>NC_000004.12:102046381-102671381 GCF_000001405.40 Homo sapiens | reverse complement strand
AGTCTGTTGTGGATGCTAATATGAATACTCTTCGGGTTTGGGGAGGAGGAATTTATGAGCAGGATGAATTCTATGAACTCTGTGATGAACTAGGAATAATGGTGAGAAGTTGATAGCATTTTATATATTGATAAGTTACTATATCCTCAGTTTGACTGCCAATGTTCTGAATGATGCAATTGCCCCAGTCTCAGAGCTAGGAATGATATTCCATTTGGGGCTATAGGAATAAATGGCATCTTGTAAACCAAGAGCCATAGGTGATCAACTACCATAATTATTTATTTTTAAATGATAGATATCCTGTAAATTATTTATATCCCAGTATACATATACCTACTTTTAAAATAATTTTCTTTGTGATATTTAGGTATGCATATAAAAGAAAACAAAATATTTAAAACACTTAAAGGAGATCTGACGAAACCTAAAGAGAAGAAAAATAATAAAATTAAGTAAAGAAAAGGTGTGTTTCATATTGTTTTTCTAAATTTTTTCTAATTTTTTATTTTTAATTTGTTAAAAATTAAAAATGTTGCCCAGGCTGGAGTGCAATGGTGCAATCTCAGCTTACTGCACCCTCCTCCACCCCAGGTTCAAGCGATTCTCCTGCCTCAACCTCCGGAGCAGCTGGGATTACAGGCATGTGCTAAATTTTGTATTTTTAGTAAATTAGCATCCAGCTAATTTTTGTATTTTTAGTAGAGATGGGGTTTCACCGTGTTGTCCAGGCTGGCCTTGAACTCCTGACCTCAGGTGATCCACCTGCCTCTGCCTCCCAAAGTGGTGAGATTACAGGTGTGAGCCACTGTACCTGGCCCTAATATTGTTATTAAGTACTTTTAATGTGTTTTGCAATTGTGAGGATAAAGCAAAGAAAATATATTCTGTTAGTTCTATTATTGTTGTTCTAAAATATAAAGAGTGCCACCGAAGACTAGGAATTATTCTAATAATGATAATGCTGATGGTCATTGTGACGATGACAATATTCTATAATATTCTCTGAGTGCCAGGCATTGTTCTAAGTGCTCTACATATTTTATCTTCATGCCCATTCAATGATGTAGTTACTATTCTCTATCCCCATTTACAGATAAGGAAACTGACACATGAAGAGGTTATATATTTTATCCAAACTCTAACAACTCATTTATGGTGGAATGAAATTCCGACTCAGACAGGCTGCTTTGGGGCTATGATCTTTTTTTTTTTTTTTTTTTTTTTGATATGGAGTCTGGCTCTGTTGCCTAGGCTGGAATGCAGTGGTGCGATCTTGGTTCACTGCAGCCTTCACCTCCTGGGTTCAAGCGATTCTCCTGCCTCAGCCTACCAAGTAGCTGGGATTACAGATGTGTGTCACCACGCCCGGCTAATTTTTATATTTCTTTCTTTTTTTTTTGAGACGGAGTCTTGCTCTGTCACCCAGGCTGGAGTGCAGTGGCACAATCTTGGCTCACTGCAAGCTCTGCCTCCTGGGTTCACGCCATTCTCCTGCCTCAGCCTCCCGAGTAGCTGGGACCACAGGCGCTCACCACCTTGCCCGGCTAATTTTTTGTACTTTTAGTAGAGACGGGGTTTCACCGTGTTAGCCAGGATGGTCTCGATCTCCTGACCTCGTGATCTGCCCACCTTGGCCTCCCAAAATTCTGGGATTACAGGCGTGAGCCACCGTGCCTGGCCTAATTTTTGTATTTCTAGTAGAGACCGGGTTTCACCATTTTGGCCAGGCTGGTCTCGAACTCTTGACCTCAGGTGATACGCCCCGCCTCAGCCTCCCAAAGTGCTGGGATTACAGGCGTGAGCCACTGCTCCCAGCAGGGGCTGTGTTCTTAACCATTGCATCACACAGCCTCCTTAGGAAGGGACTTATATGGTTTCATTACTAAAATGTGCATGTAGTAATCCTTTTGTCTATGAAAAGCTAATTCCTTTATAAATGAAGTATGATTCTTAACAGTCTGGTGCATCTCAATACCAAATGCCTGGTGAAAATTGGAATGAATTAGGAGTGACAAGGGGCTGGAGGGAAGCCTCATTCTGTGTCCCCTCCACACATTTTTTCTTTTTCAAATTCTTCCATCTTCTCTTTCTTCTATACCTGCCTAGGATTTTCTCTTCTCAGATTTTGTGCAGTTCTGGGAAGTCCTAATGTCTTTGATACATTTCTTGGTATCAAATTATGCATAATGGCGCCCCAGTGATCACACTCATCAGGCTAACTGGATTTTTCATTTGTGTGAAAGATAATGCCCAGAGCTCAGAATAAAGACTTTCTTCTGTGTAATAAAACTTATGGAAGTGTTGCATTCCCTTTTATTTGATTTGCTAGGTATGGCAGGATTTTATGTTTGCCTGTGCCCTTTATCCAACTGATCAGGGCTTCCTGGATTCAGTGACAGCAGAAGTTGCCTACCAGGTATGTTACTACCCTTCCAAGAAGAAATAAAACAAATAATATGTTTTAGTATTGCCTTTTGTTAAATCTTGCTTCATTTTGGTTTTTGTTCTCTACTAAATCCCATGAAAAATTACACAGCCAGGTAATTGACATCCTAGGTGATTGTACCCAGTGTCATGGCTTTACCATCATCTATTGGCTGATGACTCCCAGATTTATCCCCAGTCCTGATTTCTCTGCTGAATTCCTCTTTCTTATATCCAACTGCCTACCTGGTGCCTCTGCTTGGAGGTTTAACAGGCATCTGAAATGTAACATGTACAAACTAAACTTATATTGCACCCCCTCCCCAATCTTGCTTCTTCTGAAGTTTTCTCCATCTCAGCAAACAGCAACACCACTGTTTGAATTGCTCAGGAGAAAGTTTAAATTGATTATTGATTCCTTGATTTATTTTAGATTCCACATATTGACATTTATATTTATATTCACAGATATATAAATGCAAGGAAGTGATTATATGCTTTCTCTGCCTACTGAAAAGATCTAGAAATAATGCCCAACGTTGTAGTGTTGAGTATTCTTATATTGAAGTAATCTTTCCTGTTAAGAGAAAAGCTTCTTAGAGAAATGGCCGACTCCAGGTCTGGCACAGGAAATATATAAAATGATCCTGGATATCTTCTTTTCACAAATGGCAATGGTGTTAATATAATATTATCAACTGATAATTTTAGCCACAGATCTGAGGTTTATGAGCTGTGTGCTGAATATACTTATTTTTGCAGCAAGGTCTGTTTAGGGGATGATCATGCTTTGAAACACAGATTGCATTATATTTCCTCTCCCCTAAATATTAAGTGCATGGCATGGGTTTCCATGTAGAATCAGAGTGGGATGCTTGTCAATACATGAAAATTCTGAATTATGATGTACTCCCAAAATACAGTTTAGAAACCAACTTGTGAGTGTATCATATGCTAGTAAAATACTACTGAAACATCGGACTGATTCATTAGCATCCATTGGAAATGATCACTGCACCAGGAGATCACCCCTACCTTGTAAAGAGTTTGCAAGACTGTGGAGACATATTGAGTTTTTATAGTGCTCTGCAACATGTTAAAGAAGGAAACAAATCCATTTTCTCGGTAACCTCAGGTAAAGCTACAATGTGGATAATTATTGACTCTGATTTCAATTTCTCATGTCCAACTGTCTGCCAGATTTTTTGTAATGTTGATATACAAAGAACAAATATTTTGATATTTCTTCTTGAATGGTGAGTCTGCAACCTTAGGGAGGTCACTTTACCTCTTGAGCCTCAATTTCTGTATCTATAACTCTAGTATGATGTCACTCCTCATGAAACTGTTTCAAAAATTAAATAGGATAATACGTGTAAGTCATGCAGTTCAAAAGAAATAACAAATAATAGCAGCTGTCACACTAACTCAGCGTGTCTTCAAAGTACATCTATTATCTTTTCCCCAGTGCACTCTTTCAAGATTTTTCTTTTTAGCAGGAAATATGAAAGTCATTGATACTTTCTTCTTTCTCACCTCCCACATCCATCTGGTTTTAAGTTGAGACAATTTTTTGATATCAATGTTACTAGTATTTGTATTTACTTTCTCACCCCCGTGCTTACTACTCTAATTCAAATCCTATTTTTCCCTCTCCTCAATCATTGCATTTGTTTTCTGATTGGACTCCCTAGCATTGGTCTCTTTCAATATGTGCATACTCAACAGAGCTGCCAAAGTCATCTTCCACTGACACATTTTAAGTCATACCACATTCCTGCTCAGAACCCTGATCCTGGAATATCTCAACATGCAGATAACAAGGAAGCTATCAAAGTTATGTCAAAAGGATTTTGAGAGACTCTGAACAACCAAAAGGGGGACAATTTGAGATTCAATAAAGATAAGGATGTCAATGAATTGAATCCATCAAGTGTGTTAAAATCTAGAGTTCATATTATAGTGTCTGCAGATGTATATTTTGTGAAAAACCATACAGAAATGCAAGGAAGCGATTTCTATTACACTATGATACTCTAGATAGTGGTTACTTTTGGAAGGAGGAAGGGGCTGTGATTAGGAAGAGGCACGTGGATGGCTTCCGGCCTGGCTGCACTGGGTGGTGGCTACAAGGGTGATTGCCTTATGATAATTGACCGTGTCATAATTTGTTTTCTGTAACTGTGTTTCATTTTAAAATAAAAGGTTTAAAAAGTACAATCGAACTCCTTCCCTAGCCAACACTTCCCCTGAGGTGGCTTCTTGACCTCTGGGTAAGGTGTAAGATCCTCTTAATGCGGGACTCCGGCCAGCTGGTGTCTGCACCTGTTCAGGCACCATCTCCATCTTGCTGTCTATGTCCTGGAACATCTTCCCCATCCACTGCCCTTGTGAGCCACCTCCTTTGTTCTCCTTTGGCCCCTCTTACCTTAAGCATGGGAAAAATCTTTTGCCTTTTGAGACACACATCACACTTTGAATTACTTGTTCAAGGATTTGTCACCTCTGCAAGATTGTCATCTCCCTGAGGCCTAGGACTCATTCCCCTCTGCGTCCCCACTCTGTGGATTATTCACAAAGTGGATAGATGAATGGATGAATGAATAACTGTAAACATATTAATTGTAGTTACACAGGTTGCAAGCATTTCAGTTTTATTTTTAGTTTTCTTTCGTATAAATAATTAAAATCTAACATTTATGTATCTTCAGTTCTTTGATGCATTATTAAAGATAAGGAGAGCCATTGCATGCAAAGTTTGTTAAAATTTTAAAGTAAAGCTTACCATAAAACTCTAAGTCAGCTTGAGGGTTGTGTGTAACACGGTGCTACTGAAGCTTTTTGCCACTTCAGGATTTATATTTGTATTTTCATCAGTGGCATAAATATGTCAGTCACAGTTGGTAGCAGCTGTCCCTTTCTTGGGCATGTACAAAGACAAAAAAAGGAAATAGTGTTTATATGGCTGGCTGAGAAAAACACAAGACTTAATTTTTTTAAAAATGAAATATATCTCTTTAATATACCTTCAGTGCATCTCTATTTCATCTATGTGAGTTTCTGAGCTTCTTGAATGGAGAACACATTGAGAGCATCAGTGGGGGGCAATCAGTGTAATCATGCATCACAGCGAAGGTGAACCTATAAATATCAATGAGGTAACATTGCCAAAACATGTTCCAAAAGAATTTTTCTTGACCATTGACTCACTCTGCCATTCTCAGAGGAATTTAATTGCTCTCTACTGGGGCACATGTCCTAGTGTATTAGAAGAAGGGACATGTCTGAATCTGTCCAGTGCAAACATAACACAAGTGGATCCTTTTGTCTTTATGTAGGGCCAGCCCAGATGAGCTCAGTTTATGCAGGCCTCGTGTGGCACGGTTTTCAGGTAGATTCTCTAATTTTCCCTTTTATATTTAGGTACATTCAGTAACTTAATGTTAGTTGATTTCTCAGGACACGACATTGATAGTTATTTCAGGAGACATCAACCCTGATTGCCCTAATCTGTTTTCCTTTAGAGTATTCCATATTTGTCTTTAACTGCCAGCATACCTCTAGTACTCACTTGCTTTGTAAAACCTTCTCTAGTTCCCCTTCTGGTTTTCTGATCTCAGTGAGGACTGCATAGGAACCTCCGTCCTTCTTTCAGTGGTAGTGTTTGCTTTGCTTCATTTATTTCTTCACACAGAACTCCAATTTGTCCAATTTGCTCTTAAGAACCAATCCCCAAAATATAATGTCTCCTGCCTTTTGTATTTCCTGAAAGTTTTCTTTGTGGCAATCCACAGAGTGAAGAGTTTATTCATTCCCCTTTTCTTTCTCTTTCTAAAAAAGGGATTATATTATCTTCAGTTTTTATATAGCAGAGAAGAGAAACCCTATGTATCAGTGTTTATAAAATCTAGTTAAAAAGAATCTCAGAGATTTCTTAAAATGTATTCCTGCAGCTAACATGACTAGCCATTTTCAAATTAGGTTTTTGGCACATAAGAATTTATGTGCAGAAATGCAAGGGCTTTAATTTTATGAGTAATTATAGCTCTGAATTTTTTATGTTAACTCTTTGAAAATCATTTTATGTTTTCTTAATTTTCAGATCAAGAGACTGAAATCTCATCCTTCTATCATCATATGGAGTGGCAATAATGAAAATGAGGAGGCGCTGATGATGAATTGGTATCATATCAGTTTCACTGACCGGCCAATCTACATCAAGGACTATGTGACACTCTATGTGAAAAACATCAGAGAGCTCGTACTGGCAGTAAGTAATGATTTTTAATGCAGTAGAATTTAAGAATGTATCTTTAGGGCTGGGCGTGGTGGCTCACGCCTGTAATCCCAGCACTTTGGGAGGCTGAGGCGGGCGGATCACAAGGTCAGGAGATCGAGACCACGGTGAAACCCCGTCTCTACTAAAAATACAAAAAAAATTAGCTGGGCGCGGTGGCGGGCGCCTGTAGTCCCAGCTACTCGGGAGGCTGAGGCAGGAGCATGGCGTGAACCCGGAAGGTAGAGCTTGCAGTGAGCCGAGATCGCGCCACTGCACTCCAGCCTGGGCGACAGGGCGAGACTCCGTCTCAAAAAAAAAAAAAAGAATGTATGTTTAAAGTGGATAAGTTTGAATACTGGTATAGTATGTTTTATGCCCCTTTTTAGGGCTGTCTTCAACAGTATCGTTTGAATACAGGGTATCCCATTGTAGTGCAGCAGCAGATGAAAGGATTCATGGGCTGTGGACTTTTTGGAGGATTAACTTCTCTGTGCAGCTCTCCACACATACACCAATGCAGTGCTTACAATGCTAGGTTGTCACATGCTCCTTGGAGTCCATCCGTGGATCCCAAAAAGTTTAGAATCTCTAGATTCGATGATTATTGATATGCCACTTCTAAAATTCTGTAATCGTATGTGTTAAAGTAGTAGACTTTGGTATATATCACATATGAATGTCCTGGTATGTGATTTAAGGGACAAAGAGAGATGAGAGAGCTGGTCTCCAACCCCGCTGTATGGCCCTTGCTCTATAGTGGTTCTCTTTGCACCACTGTTTGTCTAATTGGCATATTATACAGACATATGTTAATATAAATTGGCCTTTTTGTGAGAAAAAGCAGCATTTTTTTCAGTAATGCCTTCAAAAGTTTTAACTTTTGAAAAACTTTGTTTAACATGTGATTTAATAATCTGGTTGTCTTTACACTTTTGTGTCTGTAAATAGATGTTTTAAATATCTGGGTATATCCAGAAGCAATTTGAAAAGGCATCTATTTTTTAAAATAGTATGTGATATTAGCACCTAAACATGCCCAGTTTATGGCACTATTCCATTTATAGAAGAAACTTCATTGAGAATTCATGAAAAACATGGGTTCAAATTTATAGTTTACCTGATATACTAAGACATGTGTCATGAAGAATTTTTCTATTCACAAAATGTGATGATACAAATTTTAAAAAATATTTACAGAACACTTATTTTATAATCTTTTTATTCACAATATTGATATTATGTTTTTCATGTTTGATGGATTTATAGTTTCTGAGGGTTTTCATTTTATAGCATAGTGGTTAAGTATGCAGGCTTTGAAATCCTGGCTGGGCCACTTCCTGTCTATGTAACCTTGGGTGAGTTACTTAATCCTCCTTTTCCCATCTATAAAATTAGGTTAAAAATAGGAGCTAACTTTTAAGAGCTGTTATGTGGACTAAGTGAGATAATGGATGGAAGGCACATGACTCAGTCTGACGCATAGTAACTTTTTTTTTTTTAAAGTTAAAATATTTCTTTGGGGCAGGGGACAACACATTTCTGCTTAATGAAAAGAAATATTTTTACAGTCCAGAGCTCTTTTATTTTTTAAACACCTGTTATGCCATGCATTCATAGGGAACAGGTTCTAGAAACTCAGGCTCTGTTCCATTGGTTCTCACAGTGCACTTCTCTGGGTGGAGCCAGCTGTGCTTCCATTGAACTCAGGCTCCTTTCTCTTTGGCTTCCTTCTTTTTCTTTTCCTTTGTTTCCTTCTTGAGTTTTGGGGAGCTATCTTGGCTCCTAGAGTGCTTAATATGCTCAACACATTAATTATCTTGGCAACAATCTTGCACTTGTTTGTTTACAACAGTGCCAACAGCATGCTGGGTAGCACAGTAGACTCCTCTGGTTTTCCCACATTAACGTTTGTGGGGCATTCCTTTTTGAACCAGATGCATTTCCCTGATGTCTACATCACCTTTCTTGTAGATTCACATGTATATGGCCAAAGGAACAACTCCATATTTTCTAAAAGGCCTAGAGAATATCAGGTGCCTTTCCTCTTTCCCTTTGCGTGTCATCGTTGTAGTGAATTACTGAAAGATGGTGGTTCACAGTAACTTTTTTTTTTTTTTTTTTTTTGAGATGGAGTCTCATCTGTCTCATCTGTCACCAGGCTGGAGTGCAGTAGTGCGGTCTTGGCTCACTGCAAGCTCTGCCTCCTGGGTTCAAGCAATTCTCCCGAGTAGCCTCAGCCTCCCGAGTAGCTGGGATTACGGGCATGCACCACCACACCCAGCTAATTTTTGTATTTTTCATAGAGACAGGGTTTCAGCATGTTGGCCAGAATGGTCTCAATCTCCTGACCTCCTGCTCCACCCACCTCGGCCTCCGAAAGTGCTGGGATTACAGGTGTGAGCCACCACGCCTGGCCCACAGTAACCTTTTAATTAAAACTAGCCATCGTCATCATCATCATCATCATCCTTATTGCTTTTGTTCAACAAGGTAGATCTTCAGATACTTACACATTTTGATCATTAATTTTAACACTACATTCTTAAGCTTTAAAAAATTAGCTTCTTTGTGCCATTTCTTTTTTACCTCTGAAATGGAGATATGCCTTTCTTTTTAGGGACTTATTTATCTTAAAACGAGCCATGGGCAATAACTGATGTTTGTAAATTTTTTCAAAGATGAATAGTATTAAAAGCTACATAACCACTACTGCTTTTAGTTTCCATCAAAGTATTAGGCATCATAAAAAGGGAAAGTACCATAAATTGATTCATCTACAAATTGGCTGTAATGATTGGTTTCCTGCTGCACATGCTTTCTTTTTATGGCCATTCTCTTGGATCACCTTATGGTATTTCCTGGTCCAACTAAGGGTTTAAGGTCATGGCTTAGAAAGATGTCATCTGTGAGATTTGCAACAAATAACCACACCTCAAGAATAAAGGATTTATAAGTGGAAGGAAATTATAATGCATCGTCAAAGCCAGATATTTTTAGGTAGAGACTTGTTTGTAATTTTACTGCATGGCTCAGCGTGCCAAATTTCTCAAGAATCTCAAGGAATGAAGGGAAATCTGTCAAGCTTGATCAATCAAGGCCAATTGACTGGCCTTCTTCTTCAATGTTCTTCAAAGCCATTGTAGCAAAAATATTTTTAAACATTTAGTATCACCTATAGTTTCATCATACTTTTTAATATTTTTAAATTCACCCAACATCTACTGAGTACTTATTGCCAAGAGCAAAGCCTCATTCCCGATGCTGTGGGGGACACTCTTATCTTTGTGGAGCTTACACTCTGCTGTCAAAGGGAAACATGGGAAAAATTATCAGACCTTGGGCAGTTAAAAAAAGTGCTATAAAAAATGTAGCTTCAAAATGCTGGGAACTATGTGGCAGAACCATTAATTTTAACTGAAAGAATCTAAAAAGGCTTTCGAGTAAAAGGTTACATTCAAGGGAAACCTTACAGGTGGAGAATTTTGAGGCAAAGCATTGTCTAGTAGTACTTTAGGTCATGAAAACAATGTAAATAAAGGTAAAAAGATGTGAAAGTAGGTGGTATGTATAATGAGCAGCAAGCAGTGCCTGGTGCCTAAGAGCAAGGGACTCCTGGATTACTGTGGGAGAATGGAAGGTAGTGAAGACTGGAAGCAGGTCATAGAGGGACTTTAAATCATATTATGGAGTTGAGCTTATTCGGTAGATGGTGGGAAGCTAGTGGACATTTTGGGGGAGAGGAGGAACTTTATCTGGTCCATGTTTATGGAAGATTACTAGCAAAGATTAGGGAGGTGAGAGGTTCTAAACAAGGAAACCAGTTATAACAACTAAGAACTCCAAGTTACTGAGATGCCAGGCATCAATATATTAATTATAATTATTATATTAATATTATTATATATTAATATATTAAATTAAAGCTGGATGTGGTGACTTACACCTGTAACCCCAGTGACTTGGGAGCTGAGGCAGGGGGAACATTTGAGGCCAGGAGTTTGAGACCAGCCTGGGTGATGTAGCCAGATCCTGTCTCCAAAAAAATTTAAAAAATTCTTTGGGCATAGTGACATGTGCCTGTAGTCCTAGCTACTTGGGAAGCTGAGGCGGGAGGCTTATTTTGAGCCCAGAAGGTCGAGGCTGCAGTGAGCTATGATCATGCCACTGCACTCCAGCCTGGGCAACATTCTGTCTTTTAACAATTTTTTTTAAATTTTAAAAAACAAATTTTTAAAAAGTTAATTATGTAAGTGCTTTGTATAATTTATTTACTTAATTTTTAGAAGTTACCTGGAGTGTAGGTGATATATTTATTTTAGAGTCATTAAGTCCCCAAGGTCATGGAGGTCATAGGTAGTGGAGTCCAGTGGTGTGGGATTGGAAATTCGGTGATGGAAAAAAATATCTGAATGTAGAGTTGCTACTACTCAGAGTGACTGAATGTGGGAGGTAAGAGAGGGAGAAATTGAAGATGACTCCAATCTGGGTACCGTTCAGCAAGAAAGGGAGCATAGTCAGATAAGTTTGGAATTAGTAAATAAAGAATTCTGCTTTAAAAGGTTGGATTTGCGATGTTGGCAAGACAACACAGGTGGAAATGTGGAGCTGGTTATCAGCAATGTGTGGTGGTGAACATGAGGTCAAGTGTGCAGGTGTGGCTAGGAGTAATCAGAACATCCATGTGACGGGAAGCCATGGGACAGGGTGTAGAACAAGGAGAAGCCTGAGAGAGAGGTAGAGTGTCCATCTGGGGATGGAGAGGGTAGCTGGAGAAGGAAGAATCAGGAAGGTTGGGGGAAACTGGAATGTGGAAGAATTGTGAACAAACAGCCAGGAGTGGAGAGAGCTTCAGAAATAATAGGTGGTAAATAGGGTCATTTATTGCACACCTGAGAGGGAATAAGTGGGGACAGAAAGAACTGCTTTATTTAGTAAGTAGAAGTTCATGGGTAATTTTTGAAAAACATTTCAGTGGAGTGAAATGATCAGGAAATGAATGTCAGGGGTTTAGGAATGAGAGGATGGTAAAGAAATCTGATGGACTACAAGGGATCAAAGGGACTTTTTATTAGGATAAAGGGAGTCCTAAGGAAGCTAAGGGAAAAGGGCAGTAGAGGGAGATTAAGAAAAAAATGGAGTGGAAGATAGTTTGTTGGCTATAGTACCAAAGCAAACTAGAAAGATGACCAGAACACAGAGTCTGGCAAAGGAAAGGGTTAAGGATTTTTTTTTCTTAATAGCAGAATAGAAACAAGAAATGAAATATGAATGGATATACCACGAAAAAGTGAAACCTAATGGTGAAAAGTTGAGAAAATTATTTTCTGGAAGTCTATCTCTCAGGGAAGGCTTACTGGCCTTCTGTAATATGTTTTACATTCCCAAAGAGCCTTGCGCTTTTCCTTCAAAATATTCATCATACTTATAATTACTTGTTCAGTATCTGGTTTCAGCACTAAATTGCCATCTACTCTTCCAAGACGGTCACCATGGCTGTCTGCTGAACCTCCAGCACATAGAAAGAACTGCATGCCTGGCCAATAGGAAATACTCAAAAGAGATTTGTTGTATAAGTACTTGACAGAGTCATAGATTCTCTCTCTTTCTCTCTCTCTCTCTTTCTCTGTCTCTCTCCCTCCCTCTGCAGTGTGGAAAAATGCCAGACACAATAGACTTGACGAATACTTGCTAAATGAATGAATCTTCTCAGTGAAATAGGAAGTAGTCTCATCTACTGAGATGATAGTAACTATATTTTGAGTTCTCACAGTGTGCTAGGCACCCTGTTAAGTGCTTACATGCTAGATGTTGTAACAGGTAAGCCACAGTATTTCAGTGGTTTACATAATAAAAGTGTATTTCTTCCTCACTGACACTATGAAAGGGCTGCTGGCAGCTCCTCTTTCAGAGATATAGACACCTTATTCCAGCTGCACCATCTCTTGCACCCTCAGCTGCAAATGGGGGCAGAGGATGAGAATGAGGCACATGGCCCCATATGGGCTAGGAAGCCACTTCCTAGGGATGGCTCTATATTACAGAAACGAGAACATGAATTGGTGGACACCTAGCCATTACTTTCACATGAGAGTTATTTACTATTTATAATACCTCTAAAGGAGGTACTATTATTATCCTCATCTTACAGATAAATCTACCAAGGCTTAGACCTGTCCACAAATAATAAGGTTCAGATTTGAGATTTAAAGTCACGTTTGGGTCCATCTGACTCAGTAGCTTCTGTTCTTACCTGTTAGACCTGTGGTTCTCAAGTGATGGTGATTTTGCCCCCATGGAACATTTGGCAGTGCCTGCAGACATTTTTCAAGGTTGGGGGAGGGGTACTGACATCTGTTTGGTAGAGGCCAGGGATGCTACTAAATATCCTACAATGCATAAGACACCCCCAACCCCAGCCAACCCCAACAAAAACGTATCCAGCTCAAAATGTCAATAGTGTCAAAGTTAAGAAACTCTGGACTAGACTGTACACCACCCATGATGGATGAGAGTGGAGGCAAAACATGATTGAAAAGATTAAGAACAGCTGCTGTGAGGGATGAGCTAAGTGTTACTTATGAAAAGATATAAAGGATTGGCGAAGAGCAGAGAGGTGCTGGTGGTTGTTGAATAGGGAAGAAGGTAAGTGGTCCTACTAATTTTCTATCAGCTACTTGGCATTTCAGGGACTTGTTAGTATTTTTAAAGAAGTAAATGATACATACTTTACAGGATGAATATATTATCCTTGAATTCATTTTATTTCTGAACTCAGGGAGACAAGAGTCGTCCTTTTATTACGTCCAGTCCTACAAATGGGGCTGAAACTGTTGCAGAAGCCTGGGTCTCTCAAAACCCTAATAGCAATTATTTTGGTGATGTACATTTTTATGACTATATCAGTGATTGCTGGAACTGGAAAGTTTTCCCAAAAGCTCGATTTGCATCTGAATATGGATATCAGTCCTGGCCGTCCTTCAGTACATTAGAAAAGGTAAGTCATCGTTTGATTTTCTAATGTTTCAGAATGATAGACTGTGGGCATGTGTTTATTCTGATCACTGGTTCAGAAAATCATATGAAACCTACGTCTTATTTAAATGAAAGTTTGAGAAGAAGATGGAGGAAAATAATTTTTTTAAACCTTTGGGGATTACTTTTCTATATTGCTTTTACTGTGTTCCTTCAGGAGCACCGAAAGCACTGAATGGGACCCAGTGGTTGCTTAAGCCTGACTTATTATCACACACGGAAATAACTCTTACTTGCTACAATAACTCTTGCTTGTAAATCATATCCTGCAACTGTTTTACCGTTTACAGATATTCAGAGCTGGATATTTCACTACAGGAAGAGGGTAAATGTGATAAATAAACCTTAGTCTAATGTTGTCATCTTACCTTTTCTCTCCTCTTTCTCCTCCTATTCCATTACCACCGCCCACCCCCCCCCCACCCCACTCCTCTCTCTCCCTCTTTTTCATCATGTTGGTGTGTTTTATTTTCTGTATGGATTTTCACTCTCTCTGTTCCTAAAGATTCCGTTTCAGCATTGTGTGTGTTCTTCTTAAAATAGCTTTATTGAGATATAATTCACTTGCCATACAATGCACCCATTTAATGTGTACAATTTAATAGTCTTCAATATATTCACAGAGATGTGCAGCCAGCACCACAATTTAATTTTAGAACATTTTTATCACTCAAAAGAAACCCTGAACCCATTAGCAACCACTCCCTATTTTTCCCTATCCCTCCTCCCCAGTTTTAGGCACTACGAATCTACTTTCTGTGTCTATAGTTTCCTTATTCTTCATATTTCATATAATTGGAATAATATAATGTGTGGTCTTTTGAGACTGATTCTTTGACTGTGTTTTCAGGGTTCATCCATGTTGACCATGTATTAGTATGTTCCTTTTTTTTATTGCTGAATAACATTCTGTTGCATGGATATACACTACGTTTTGTTTATCTATTTATCAGTTGATGGACATTTGTGTTGTTTCCTCTGTTTGGCTATTATGAATAATGCTGCTGGGAACATTTGTGTACATGTTTTGTGTGAATACATGTTTTCAATTCTACTGAATATATATATCTAGGAGTGGAATTGCTGGGTCATATGGTAGCTCTATCTTTAACATTCTAAGGAAATGTCAAATTGTTTTCTGTAGTGATTGCACCATTTTGCATTTCTACCAGCAAGGGATTAGGGTTCCAATTTTTCTACATCCTTGCCAACACTTGTTATTTTCTTTTTTTCTTCACATTTCCCTGGGAATTTACATTTACAGGAAATTTGCATATCCTTGATGGCTAATCATGTTGAGCATTTTTTTTTCACGTGCTTACTGGCCATTTGTATATCTTCCTTTGAGAAATGTCTGTTCAAATCCTTTAGCCATTTTGTTTTTTAAATAGAGACAGGGTCTTGCTTTGTTGCCCAGGCTGGTGTGCAGTGGAGTGGTCACGGCTCACTGCAGATTTGACCTCTCAGGCTGAAGCAATCCTCCTGCCTCAGCATCCCCAAGAAGCTGGGACTACAAGTGTGTGCCACCACACCCAGCTAATTTTTGTATTTTTTATAGAGACGGAGTTTCACCAAATCATCCAGGCTGGTCTGGAACTCCTGAGCTCAAGTGATCTTCCTACCTCGGGCTCCCAAAGTGCTGGGCTTACAGGTGTGAGCCACTATGCATGGCCTGATCATTTTAAAATTATTTGTCTTTATTTTATTGAATTATGAAAATTAAAAAAATATATTCTGGCTATAAGATTTTATCAGGTATATGATTTGCAAATATTTTCTCCCAGTCTGTGGGTTGTCACCTTATTCACTTTGATGGTATCACTTACAGCACAAAAAATTTAAATTTTGATGAAGTTTTACTTACCAATCTGTTCTTTTTGGTGTTGCATCTGAGAAATCATTGCCTCACCCCAAATGGCAAAGGTTTATTTCTGTGTTGTCTTCTAAGAATTTTATAGTTTTAGCTCTTGCATTCAAGTCTATGATCATTTTGGGTTATTTTTTATGTATGGTAGAAGGTAGGAGTTCAGGTTCATTCTTCTGCATGTGTATAGCCAGTTGTTCCAATAGCATGTATTAAAAACACTATTCTTTCCCCCATTAAATTCTTTTGGCCCTGAAAATCAATTGACCATAAAAGTTAGGGTTTATTTCTGAATTCTCAATTCTGTTCCAGTGGCATATTTCATGTCACTATGCACTGTCTTGATTACTATAGCTTTGTAGTAAGTTTTGACATTAGGAAGTGTGAGTCCACCAATTTTGTTCTTTTTTTCAAGATTTCTTTTTACTATCCTGGGTGGCTTGCATTTCCAAATGAGTCTTGGGATCTATTTGCCAATTTCTGCAGAAAAGCTAGCTGGGATTTTGATAGAGATTATGTTGAATCTGTTGATCAGTTTGTGAGTATTGCCATCTAGTAATATTAAATCTTCTGATGCATGAACATGGGATGTCTTCTTTAATTTCTTTCAACACTGTAGTTTTCAGTGTACCAGTCTTACGCTTCTTTGGTTTACTTTTTCCTAAGTGTTTTATTCTTCCTGACGCTATTGTAAATAAATTATTTTCTTAATTTCATTTTTAGGTTGTTCATTGCTAACGTATAAAAATACAGATGATTTTTGTATATTGCGCTTGAATCCTACAAAGTGGCTGATCTCATTTATTAGCTCTAATAATATTTTGGAGGATATTCTTTAGCATTTTCTATATATAAGATCATGTCATCTATAAATAGAGATATTAATAATATTGCTTCTTCCTTTCCAATCTGGAAGCCTTTTATTTCATTTTCTTAATTTCCCTGGCTAGAACTTTTCATACAATGTAGAAAATGAGTGGGAAGACGAGATATCCTTGAGTTGTTCTTTTTCTTAGGGAGTACATTTCAATGATTTACCATTTAGTGTTATATTGACAATAGGTTTTTAGTAGATGTCCTTTATAAGGTCAAGGAAGGTCCCTTTTATTTCTAGTTAGCTGAGTGCTTATATCATGAAAGAATGTTGCATTTTTCAAGTGCTTTTTCTTCATCTATTGAAATGATTATGTGATTTTGCTCCCCCTGCATCAGTTGTATAAAGTAACCAAAAAAAGTCTTTTAAGACAATTTCAAAATCTTTTTCAATTTCGCTACCTGAACACAACTATAATTTGCTTATACACATTGAAGTTATATTGTACTTTTAACTTTAATGATGTCATAACCTTAGCTCTACCTTTGGTTTTTTAAAATTAAAAAATTAATTAACGAAAAATTGTATATACTTATCGTGTACTACGTGATGTTTTGAAACATATATACATTGTGAAATTCCATACCCCGTTTTTTAATTGCTCCCAAATTGTGGGGCTAATCTTTTGGGAATACTGTTGTTTCAGAGTGAAGGAGGATGAAGTTCAGTATCCTGACGCAGGTAGGAACAAGTGTTGAGAATGGGAAGGAAGGAATGAAGGAAGCAAGAATATTTACTGAATAATTGCTGTGTACCACGTACTCATTCTTTAATTCGACAATAATCTACCCACTCCACTTTGAGACCCAGGGGGAAATCAAAGTACTGCAAGAGGTCACAGATAGATCTCCCACCCTGCAGTGCTTTGATTTCCTTTTGGGCCTCAGGCAAAGTGGAGTGGGTAGAGTATTGTCTAATAAAAGAGTGAGGACCTGGCACACAAGCAATAATTCAGTAAATATTCTTGCTTCCTTCATTCCTTCCTTCCCATTCTCGACAATAAGTAGCTGGGTTCAGACTTACTCTCTGTCTCCAGAGCTGATAGATTTTCTTTTCACCACGCTTTAGAAAGATTAGTGTTAGAAATTGCTAAACCTTTTCCTTAAATCTATAATAATTTCTACTGGCCTCCTTCAAATAATGGAATTATTTTTATCCCATATTTTTGTGAAATGCCTGATGATGTTCAGAGATAATAAACACTATATTTTAAAATAGAAAAAGTTGAGGATAAGTGCTGCTCATTATGAATCATTTGTTATCTCTTGATTTACTCATCTTTTTTTAAGCTACACTGCTTAGTTGAGAATTTGAATAGGTGATTGGGAAAATAAAATAAACCAAAAGAAAAACTAAATAAAACTTTGGCTCTTTTATTTAGAAGCTCTTTCATGTATTCAACAACTTGATTAAAACATATCTCTTTAATTTGGGATACATTGATTTTTCATAAAATATAATTTTAACATGTGATTATCAATATTGCACGGTGATTAAAAGTTTGGGCTTTGGAATAAACAGAACTGGATTGAATATGACAGCTGCCATTCATTATCTGTATCATCTTGGACAGATTATTTAATCTTTCTGAATTTCAGTTTCCTCATCTGTAAATTGGGGTTAATGGTAGTAAATACCTTGTGTGTGTGTGTGTGTGTGTGTGTGTGTGTGTGTGTGTGTGTGTGCATGTAGATCTGCATATGCGCGTGTGTTTATGAGTAAAGATTAAGTTAACTAATACATTGAAGCACTCAGCACTCTACCTGACACAGTGAGAGCCCATGAAATGTAAACTATTTACCTTTAGTATAGACCATTTTAACCATATGATTTGTATGACAGTTCGATTTTCTTCAGATCCTTCTGGGTTTAATGAACTAGGGACTGGAGCTAGACTGCATTAGATTTGGATACTGAAGAAGTTATCTAACCTTTCTGTGCCTGGTTTTCACATCTGTAAAATGGGGTGATAATAGTACCTACTCATAGAGCTTGTTTTGTTTTTTGTTTTGAGAGAGGGTCTAGCTGTGTCACCCAGGCTGGAGTGCAGTGGCGTGATCACAACTCACTGCAGCCTCAAACTCGTGGGCTCAAGCAATCATCCCACTTTAGCCTCCCAAGTAGCTGGGACTACAGGCATGTGCCACCACACCAGGCTGATTTTTTATTTTTCTTTTTGTAGAGATGGGGTCTCACTACGTTGTCCAGGCTGGTCTTGAACTCCTGGGCTCAAGCAATCCTCCCACCTCAGCCTCCCAAAGTGCTGGGATTACAGGTGTGAAACACTGCATCCGGCCGGGTTTTTATGAGTACCAAATAAGTTAATATTCTTTTTTTAAAAAAAGTTAATATTCTTAAAGTAATTAGAACTTTGCCTGGCCATTTCCAGTTCTTTCTGGTAATATTATTATAGCTGAAATTTGAAAGATTTTCACACCATAGTTATGAGAAGGTAGAAAGCCTCCCACGTAACTAAAGATCAGGTTTACTGATTATGGGATAGATTCAAATTATTACAAATAAGAAGGCTGCATGGCCCAAAGGTATATTTCAGACTTTGAAAAGGAGGAAGGACACTCCAATGTGAAAGCTAAAAAAGTTCAGCTCAAAGAAGTAGAGTGGAATAATGATTACTAGAGGGTGGAAGGGTTGCCAGGGAGGGACAATAGAGTTGGTTAATTGATACAAAAGTATAGCTAGATGGGAAGAATAAGTTCTGGTGTTCTATAGCACTTTGGGGTAACTATAGTTAATAATAATTTATTGTATATTTTCAAATAGCTAGAAGAGATAATTTTGAGTGTTCCCGACACAAAGAAATGATAAATGTTTGAGGTGATGAATTTGCTTATTAGCCTGATTTGATCCTTATACATTGTATACATGTATCAAATTATAACATGGTACCCCATAAATGTGTACACTTATTGTGTCAATTAAAAATAATAAACATAAATAAAATAAATTAAGAGGAGGAAGCGTAGGAAGACTATTGATAAAGGATGTGTGTCTAAAAAGTGTGCGAGATGATTGTCAATGTGAATCTCTCCTTTAAATACATAATAGGAGTAGTTAGCATTATTTAATTCTGGTGGTGGCATTTTGGAAAAACATCTGTAATTAGGAAAAACTTCCAAATTTAATATGGCTAGTGTACATTTCTTATATTTGGGTATGAATCAGTTCCTGAAGGATAACCTTTTCCTTTTAAGGTAATGGGCCCATGTGTTGCTTGATTACTGGGAATGAAAAGTCATACTTTATGAACAGGGATTAAGCTTTTTTAATTTTCAGGTTTTTGGGTGGAGGGGCAGAGTATGTTTTTTCAAAGTCTGTGTAACTTGAATTAAAACTCTGGATATTTTCAGATGTAGCCAGCAATTGTCTTCTTTCTTAAATGCTAACAGTGCATTAAATTATAGGCCTAGAAGCCAGAATTATTGCTTTTTTCTCTTTTTTTGTAGAAGGTATACTCCAACATATGTGAGTTTTTTTTACTTTGTTTTTTAATTTGAGCTGACGACAAAAGAAAGATCCTGTAAGTTAGGGGATAAAATAAAGATCCTATAATTTGGGCCTGGCTTAAACCATAAAAAATTGATTTTTTAGGGGAGAGAAGTAACATTATTTGGTTTGTGTCTTCAACTATATAAAAATTAAACATATGTATATCAGTTTCATTTAGTAATCACTGAGAAACAAGTGAACAGTGTAAGTGCTAAAGCATCTACTCTCATAGTATCCCTATTATAGTGTAATAGGTGTTTTATTCCTATTTAAGAATTGTGACAGTTTTAACAGTGTTGATTGCATTCTATTAAGTTTTGACAAACGAATACTAGATAAAATGTTTACCTAAGTAGATAAAATGATATTTAAAAATACATATAGTGGATGTTTCAAAAACCAGGAATATGTTTTGATAAAACAAGAGTCTTAAGAGAAACATCAAAATATAACTTTCTTAGTTGGAGGAAGGGAGGATATATGTACCAAACCCTGGTTTTGTGATTCCAGTTTCCACAAGGCTAGTCCTTCACTGGCAACAAGTAGGATGGTAAAACATTTATGAAACTGGAGCCACAGAACAAACCTCAAGGTCTTCTCTAGTGTTTAGGATACTTTCCAGGTTTGTCAGGAACTTATAGAAAAGTAGTTTTACTGCCAACTTTCAGATTTCTAATTCTTATTCTTTATTTGAAAGGTCTCGTCTACAGAGGACTGGTCTTTCAATAGCAAGTTTTCACTTCATCGACAACATCACGAAGGTGGTAACAAACAAATGCTTTATCAGGCTGGACTTCATTTCAAACTCCCCCAAAGCACAGATCCATTACGCACATTTAAAGATACCATCTACCTTACTCAGGTAAGTTGTTTTCATTCTAGAATTGAACAGGTTCCTGCAATTAATGTAAGAGATTATGTAGATTTTGTAGGCCATATATGGTGAAAAATATTCAGGTTTTCATTCCACTGGTTAAGGAATTTATTTTCTTCAAAGAACATATATGATGACACATAGGACATGAAATAGTTCATTTTTGGCATTTGCCTCTCTTACAAAAACAGCTCACAAAATTCTGAAATAAATTGTGTATGAAAATATTCTCTACTTCAAGATTGCTCTAAAGGTTTAGTAATTAAGACAGTGCCATTTCCCAAGGATAAAATAGAACAATGGAACACAATAGAGTCCAGAAACAGATCACTGTATAATATGGACACCTGATTTATGGCTGTGATGCCACCACAATTGAGTATGAGAACAATCATTTTATCAATAAACAGTGGTGAATCACGTGGATACCTTTATGGGAAAAGAAATGAACTTGACTCCATATACAAGTTAATTTGATTGTTGAGCATGGTGGCACACACCTGTAGTCCCAACTACTTGGGAGGCTGAGGTGGGAGGATTGATTGAGCCTAGGAGTTTGAGACCAGCCTGGGCAAAATGTCAAGAACCCTATCTCTAAAAAATAATAATAAATTTTAGAAACTTCATTTGACCAATGACTGAAGACTCAAATGTGAAAGGTACTACAATAAAGCTTCGAGAAAACATGGAATAGCTTCATGATTTTGGGATAGGTGAGAGTTTTTATATAGAACATAAAAAGCACTAACTAGAAAAGAAAGTATTGATAAATTATACTCCATTGAAATTATGGACACCATTAAGTATAAAAAACACCATTAAGAGAGAGAAAAGGCAAGCCACAAATTGGGGACCAATAGTTTTAATTCATATATTTGATAAAAAGATTTGTATCCAGAATAAAGCAATAAGAAAAAGTCAGACAATCTATTTAAAAATGGACAAAAATCTTGAACTGGAGCTTCACTAAAGAAGATATCCAAAGCGTCAATAAATATCTGAAAATGTGCCCAATCTTGTTGTAAATCAAGAACATGCAAATTAAAGCCATACCAGTATACCCCTACACACCCAGCAGAATGGCTAAAATTAAAAAGATTGATAATAACAACTGCTGGTGAGGAAGCGAGACAGCTGGAAATTTTAGACATTGTTAGTAGGAGTTTAAATTTGTTTAACCACTTTGGAAAATTTTATGGCAGTTTCTACCTAAGCTAAATGTTTGCTTCCCTTTTGAATCAGCATTTCTGCTCCTAGCTATGCACTAGGAAAAATGAGTTCATATGTCCACCAATGGATATCTCAAATAATGTTCATAGCAGCATTATTCACAATAGCCCCAAAGTAGAAACAACCTAAATGTCTTTTAACAGGAGAATTTATAAACAAATTGTAGTATATTCATACAGTGGAATACTCCACAGCAATAAAAAAAGAATAAACTACTGATAATCAGCATCAGCTTGGATGAGTCTTGCAGGTATTACATTGAGTAAAAGAAACCAGACATAAAAGGATACATAACTGTACTGATTTCTTCTATATTGAAATTTAAGTATATTATAGAAAAAAGTACATATTAGAAAAAAAAACAATCAAGATGATAGAGAGCAAAGTAGTATTAACTACACTTGTGGAGGAGGGTGTGAGCAATGATTAGGAAGGGGTACAAGAGAACTTTCTGTTTTCTATCTTGATCTGAGTGGTAGTCACATGGATGTGTGCATGTATCAAAAGATTTGTGAATGTTATGGCATGCACCTTGCTGGATTTTAAAAACAGTTCTATCAAGTTTTGATGGACATATCATAAAATTCACACATCTTAAGGGTACAGTTAAGTGATATTTATAGAGTGGTGCAACCATCACTATGATCCAATTTTAGAATATTTCTGTCATTCTAAAAAGATCCCTTGTACCCATTTACAGTCACTCCCCTTTCCCACCTCCAGCTGCAAGACAACATAAATCTATTTTCTGTCTCTATAGATTTTACTTTTCTCAACATTTTATATAAATGGAATTATACAATATGTGATCTTTTGCATCTGGCTTCTTTCACCTAGCATAAAGTTTTTGAAGATCATCCATGTTATAGCATGTATAGTTCATGTCCTTTTTCTTGCCAAATACTATTCAGTTTTATGGTTATACACATTTTGCTTATCCATTCGTCAGGTTCATCTGTTGCTGGACATTTGTTATATCGTATTCCAATTTTTGGCTATTATGAATAATGCTGTTAGGAATACTC
Source organism: Homo sapiens (assembly GCF_000001405.40). Classification (NCBI taxonomy): domain Eukaryota; kingdom Metazoa; phylum Chordata; class Mammalia; order Primates; family Hominidae; genus Homo; species Homo sapiens. The sequence continues at coordinate 102,648,269 of NC_000004.12, read as the reverse complement.
ATATACAAATCTTCGTATGGACATAGATTTCCTTTTCAAAGGGTAGAAATGGAATTTCTGAGTTATATAACAAATTTATGTATTTTTTTTAAGAAACTGCCAAACTGAATTTTGGATAATGGTTTCATTTTACTTTTTTCATTTGCCTATTTTAGTTCATGAACCTGTGACCACACTTAAGACTCCATTAAAGTCGCTGTTTATTTACCTGCTAGTTTTGCCATACTTGTTTAAAGTTCTTAGAGAGGAGGTAAAAGCCTAATCCCAATAATAAAGTTGATCTGAAGTAGACAGGAAATTTTTAAAAACATAATCACAGTTAAATTTTCCTATCTTAGTATCTAAAAATGTATGAATTTTAATCCAAACTCATGCTCACACCTTCATCAGTTTTCTCCTGTATGAAAACACAAACCCCATGATAGAAACTAAAGCAGAAAACTGTAAGCTGAAAGAATAATCTTTTTTAGAAGGTGATGAAATGATTAGGAGAATTTTAATGTTTCAATCATAATCTTATAGGTTAGGAAAGTTTTGCCAGGGTTATATGTAATTCATGAACTTACCAGAACACAAGGTTAAAGGCAATGTTGGTATCTGTCCCTTGAAAAGTGTTGCACTTTATCTTTCAAGTTTTCCACAGATAATACTCTGTTAAAGTGTTCTGACATATAAAATAGGCTGATTATTATTTGTGTGTGTGTGTGTATAAGAGACTTTTCTGCTATTGTTTTTTATGCTGGATTTCCTCCTTCCAGCTGTTTATTACTCTAACTTTATTCTTTTCCTCAAAATTATATTCCAAGAACTGATAGAAATAATTTTTCTTTTCTGAACTTATCAGCATTCAAGGTCCATAGTTAGGAACTGGGCATGCAAGTGGAGTTATTTGTTGCCAGTTTTTGTTGGTGATGGTTTTGTCTGAGAATTTAGCACTAGTGTCCTCTCAGGCTTTGGCTCAGAATTGGACTTGTCCTCGTGTGGCTTGTTAGTGTCTACCTTGGCACTTTCCAACATACTAGATGCTATCTGTGATGAAAGAAATCAGGATTATGATTATTTTATTTTGTTTTCAGTGTCAGATTTTCTTGACTGAAATACAGACAGGAAATGTTAGGGTTTTAGGGTTTTTCCTTGTTACTTTGATTTTAGAACAGTCCTCTTTAATCTGTGTATTAGAAATAAAACCCTTCTCTGTTCCACTTTCTATGTTCCTACTCCAACCCCTGTTCTTTTTCTCATAGTCTGTCATACTGTTCTGAAGAACAGAGTGCTTGCCTATGTGCCACTTTTTAGAAGATTTATTAATTAAGGAATATTTGCAACTGTTAGCAAAGTCTTCGCTGAGAAAACTGTCCAGTAAATTTCTTCACGTTTGGATCCTTCCCTATCTTCTCTTTGTCTTATAGCCAAAAAGATATCCCTATGGGCTCCTGCCTCTTTAATTCTCCTAGTATTCCAGGATAATCTTGCCTTACCTTTTACTCTCCCTCTTGCCCTGTTATATTGTATTCCCAATAGCCCATATACATGAGCACACCCTCTTTAGCTATGTTACACAGATCTCACTCTCTAGTTTGAGGACCAACTATCTAAATGAACATATCTAAACTAACTTTTGAGTGTCTTACTCTACCAGCACGGCCTCTTATTGGCCACTAAGAGAGCAGGCCAGGCCAAGGACATTAATTACCAAGCCCTTAGCTTACAGCCTTTTCTAGTGCTTTTGTTTATTCTTCATGTGTCTATTGAATATCTAATGATGGCTTGGGGATGTTCTTGAGAAACTCATTTTCTTTAGAGGCCCATTTTATCTTCCTGTGCTGTAAGTAACTTGATCATAAGAACTAGGACAAAAGGTAGGTGATGCTGTAGGCCCAGGTTTTGATGATACCTGCTGCCCTGGAATGGTTATTTGTTTGGTAAGTAGCACTGAGACACGATGGAAGATCCAGGTCATACTGAGCTTTTAAGATGAGAGTAGGGTGGGCAAAGGAGGGGAATGAAAGAGTGACCATTAACATTGTGTATTATATATTAGGAGTTTGTATAGGCATCATGTAATTTAATAATCAAGCCAATATGTAGCATTCTTTGGGTATCTACTAAATGCCTGCCTGGTCCTGGGTCATGAACTGCTTTGTAAATCTTATCATTTAATTCTCACATTATCTCCAGACACCCATATCACTCTTTCCATTTCATACATGAGGAAACAGAGTCTCAGAAAAGTTAAATATTTTGCCTAAGGACTCAGGGCAATGAATGGAGTAGGGTTTCTGCTTTTTAAACTGTAATATTCTATCCCTTCACAGTTGCAATAATGGTGTTTGGTTAAATTGTTAACAGTAATTTTCAGCAATTAAGTAAAGTGGGCATCAGAAATTTGGCACATTAAATAAAGACCTCATTAGAACACTGGAGAAAACCAGTGAAGCCAAAAGTTAGTTCTTTGAATAGATCAACAAAATTGACAAACCTTTAGTTAGACTGGCCCAGAAAAAAGAGAGGACACTTGAATTACTAAGTCAGGAATGAAAGAGGAAATATTACTACTCACCTTACCAAAATAAATAAGGTGATAAGAGAATATATACACAATTATATGGCAACAAGTCAGTTAATTTAGATGAAATGGATGAATTCCTAGAGAAACAACCCATGAAAACTGAATTAAGAAGAAATAGAAAATCTTAATAGCCCTATAACAACTAAGGAGATTGAGTTAGTTAAAAAACAAAAACAAACAAAAAAACCTTCCCGTAAAAAGAAAAATCCAGGACCAGATGGCTTCACTAGTGAATTCTAAGAATGTTTAAAGAAGAATTAAAAGAAACCCCTCATTAACTCCCTAAAAAATTAGTAATAAGAGGAGGAAACACTTAACTCATTCTGTGAAGCCAACATTACTGTGATACCAAAACCAGACAAACATATCTCATGAAAAGCAACCTACAGACTCATATCATTTGTGAATGTAGACAGAAAAAAATCCTCAATAAAATGGTATCAATCCAAATCCAGCAGCATATACAAAGGATTATATAGCATAACTATGTGGGAAATATCCCAGGAATGCAAGATTGATTCGATATATGAAAGTTAATCAGTATAATAAACCATATTAGTAAAGAAAGAAAAAATACACATGATCATCTCAATAAATGAAGAAAAAGCATTTGACAAATCTTATACTGTTGAAAAAAAGATTTTAAAACTTACTTCAAAGCTGTAGTAATCAGGACAGTGTGGTAATGACAAAAGACAAGGTATATATAATAGATTGATTCAATAAAATTGAGAATCCAGGAACAAATATACATTTATGGTCAACTGATTTTCTTTTTTTAAAAAAATTAATATTTCTTTATTTTAATTGATAAATTAAAAATATATATTTGTGGTGTACAACATGATGTTTTGGTATATGTGTACATTATGGAATGGCTAATTCAAGCTGTTAAACATATGCATTGCTTCACGTACTTATCTTTTTTGTAGTGAGAACACTTAAAATCTACCCTGTTAGCAATTTTCAAATATACAATACATTATTAATTATAGTTACCATGTTTTACAATAGATCTCTTGAACTTATTTCTCCTAATTGAAATTTTGTATTCATTGACCAGCATCTCCTTGGTACTTCCTCTTTCCCCCATCCAGCCCACCATTCTACTCTGTGCTTCTATGAGTTTAACTTTTTTCAATTCCATGTATACGTGAGATCATGTAGTATTTGTTTGTCTGTGCATGACTTATTTCACTTAACATGATGTCCTCCAGTTTCTTCCAGGTTGTCACAACTGACAGGATTTCCTTTATTTTTAAGGCTGGATCGTATTCTATTGTGTATATGTATCACATTTTCTTTATGTACTCATCTGTTGATTTCATATCTTGGCTATTGTAAATAATGCTGTAATGAACATGGGAGTGTGGATATCTCTTCAACATACTGATTTCATTTCCTTTGGATAGATACACAGTAGTGGGACTGCTGGATCATATAGTAGTTCTATTTTTAATAGTTTGGGAAGCCTCCATACTGTTTTGCATAATGGCTGTACTAATTTACATTCCAAATGGTAAAAAGAATAAAATGGGAGGAAGAATCATGTTTTCAACAAGTGGTGCTGGAACAATTGGATATCCACATGCAAAAGAATAAATTCAGACCACTACCTCATACCATATACAAAAATTAACTCAAAATGGATCAAAGATCTATATGTAATAGCTAAAACTATAAAACTCTTAGAAGGAAACATAGGTATAAATTTTATGGCTTTTGGTTAGGCAACAGTTTCTTAAATTTGCCATCAAAGAAATTAACCAAAGAAAAAATAGGCAAATTGTATGTCATCAAAAACAGAAAACAAAAATACCTTTTGTATGGCAAAAGACGCTATCGAGAAAATGAAAAGATAATCCCCAGAATGAAAGAAAAAATTTACAAACCATATGTCTGATAGGGATCCAGCATCCAGAATATATAAAGAACTCTTAGAACTCAATAGTGAAAAAGACAACCCAATTGAAAAATTGGTAAAGGCTTTGAATAAACACTTCTTTAAAGAAAATGACCAGTAAACACATAGAAAGATGCTCAACATCATTAGTTATTAGAGAAATGCAAATCAAAACCACAGTGAGATACCAGTTATATCCACTACAATATCTACAAATTTTTAAAAAAGGAAAATAATGAGTATTGGCAAGGATGTGGAGAAATTGGAACCCTCATATGTTGCTGGTGGGAATGTAAAACAGTTCAGCTGCTGCGGTAAACAGTTTGTTAATTCCTTAAAAAGTTAGACATAGAGTTTGCCATATGACCCAGCAATTTTACTCTTAGGTATATATACTCAAGAAAATTGAAAGCATATGTTCATGCAAAAACCTGTTCACAGATTCATAGCAGCATTGTTCATAGTAGCCAAAAAGGGGAAATAACCTAATTTTTCAGCTGACGAATAGACAAGCAAAATGTAGCATCTCCATACAATAAAATATTATTCAGAAATAAAAAGGAAGCCAGTCACAGAAGCCACATATTTTATCATTCCATTTATGTGAAATGTCCGGAATAGGCAAATCCCAGAACAGAGGAAGTAGATTAAGTGGTTTCCAGAAGCCGGGGAGAGGGGAGGATGGGGAGTGACTGCTTCCCAGTATGGTGTTTCTTTTTGGGGTGATGAAAATATTCTGGAATTAGATAGTGGAAAGAGTTGTGCAACCTTATGACTGTGCTAAAAACCAATGAATTATAACCTCTAAAATGATGAATTTTATGGTATGTGAATTATATCTTGGTTTTAAAACAGCTTTGTTGGAAGATTCTTAGTGTCGGGATAATTTTAGTAAATAAAGTATATAGATATTGAGGGAACTTAGTCACATGGCTACTCAAAGTCCCAGGGGTTGGGGTGTGTTTCTGGAAAATGTAGTCCAGCTACAACTCCATCACTCTGGAGGAAAGGGATATTGGTTTTGGAAGACAGCTAGCAACCACCAGTGGCAGTGCTGGAACTGGAACTTAGGTCTTCGTATCTTGATCCAATTTCTTCTCACCATACCATCTGTCTCTCATAGGAGACTCATTTCATAAGTGTAATCAAGCAAGCTGCTGAGAATAGGCATTTTTTTCTTTTCTTCTTTTTTAGACAGAGTCTCGCTCTGTTGTCCAGGCTGGAGTGCAGTGGCTTGATCTCGGCTCACTGCAACCTCTGCCTCCCAAGTTCAAGCCATTCTCCTGCCTCAGCTTCCCGAGTAGCTGGGACTACAGGCATGTGCCACCACGTCCGGTTAATTTTTTGTATTTTTAGTAGAGACGGGGTTTCACCGTGTTAGCCAGGATGATCTCCATCTCCTGACCTCGTGATTCACCCACCCCAGCCTCCCAAAGTGCTGGGATTACAGGCATGAGCTATCGCGCCCAGCCAAATAGGCATATTTTTAAAACTAAAATTCATTTGTCTGCTAACAGTGGACTGGATAACCTAGAAAATGACTAAGCATTTATCCCTCTTATGTGTAAAGATTGCCCTTTTTAGGAAAGGATGCATGGATGTGTAAATATAGGTACAGTTTTTAAAGGGGAAGGGGAAGTTCTAGAGATTTTCCAGGGAACTAGGATTGTACAACACCCCTTTAAGAAGTTTAGTGGGCAATAGCCTTCTGCATTTTTATGAACAAAGGTGTCATTCATTAGCCTTGACTGGTACCCACTGGTTTGGATAGATTCAGGTCCATGTTATTAGCATGGTACCATCTGTGTGTGGAGTGTACTGCACTGTGCCAGAGCCTGGAGCACAAAAGAGTCTTGGTTATGCTCTTTCATGCTAATTTCCTGTAAGAGAGGCTACTAGATAGAGCCACTTTGTGCTCTTTTCTTTTCATTGCTAGTGAGGGTTAGGAATCCTACTTGCATTTAAAATTTTTTCAAATTTTGAAAATTCTAAGGAACTAATAAGTTTTACCTATTAAACCAGGAAAAAATAACTTATAGTGAGGAGATTAATGTTAGAATGGATATATAGAAATAAATATATCTTGCAGATAATGCTGAAAATTGATATAGTTTAGAGACTGAAAACTCAAATGTTTATAGGGGCCATGGTCATTTTGAGGTGGCACCAATGCTGCTTGCTTTGTGAGATTCTTGCTTTAGAACATTTTTTCCAGCTACTGTTGCTGTGGTCCTAGTGGTCTGGTTCCTGAATGAGAAGACATTGCTTTGTCTGCTCATAGCTAAAACCATCTCTTGCCTAAATGGTCTACCTAAATCCACTCTAGCCCCCTTGCAAGCCCTTCCTCCTTCAGTAGTCTCAGTCATCTTTTGGAAATGTAAATCTGCTCACATCACCCTTTAGTTCAAAAGCCTTTTGTGACCTCCATTTGCCTTTAGGATGCACACCAACACCTTCAACATGTGGCCTTCCAGGGTCTGGCCCCTGCAATTCTCACCAGCTTCTCTTCCATTGCTCCCGGCTTCCTGTGCTCAGGCCTTCTTGGCCTTCCTTCAGTTCTTAGCTGACCTGGCATCCTCCTCCAATGGTGTATTGTCCTCTCTGGAAGGTTCTGCCCTCTCTCTTTTTCCCATTCCTCTTCTTTTAGGCCAATCCTCACTCTACAGCTCTGCCCAATTGCCCCACCATATGAGCTTGTAACATTGCATACCTCTTCTACTTAGCATTGGTACTGTTTAATGATTACGTATCTTTCTGTGATTCTTTGATGAAGGACTGTCTTCTACACAAGCTGATAAGCTCCATATGGTGGGCTGTATCATTTTTTTCTGGCAGGGGTGCCCACCATTCTCAGTATGTAACATATCCTGCAGGTTCTTATTAAATATTTATTGACTGACCACAATTTCTTCTGGCTTCCGTTCTGGAATTTGATGGCTGTGACTCATGTAAGTCATAACCTCATCTATGACTTCCTTACTGGTCAGCCTTCCTCTATTTAAAGGTTCTACCTTTATCTGAGCTTTTTTGCTTTTATGGGAAAGCGTCTCGACTTAGTCTTTTGGTGGCCATATGCACCATTCTTTTTATTCCTCTGTGAAAACCCCAGCCCTATTCTAAGGCCTTCTTGTTCTCTGAAATCCTCGCTGCTCTGACCATCTCTGGGTTCTCCTCAGTGGTCCATTCATGAGCCCCTCCTCAGCACAACTCCAGGCTAAGAGCATGTGATTCATATGTGTCGGTAACGGCAGCGATAAAAGAGACTGATTTTTCCATGATGGTGTCGGTAATCAAGGGTCCTGTGTGAAGTTCTTTAGTGTCTCTTAAACAAGAACTAAATTCATTTGTCTCATTGCTGCAATTTGCCATCTGTTCTGCTACAACGAAGGAATTGCATTCATGAGAAATCTTACATTACCAAAAATCATGACATCAAAACAATTGTTTGACTAGAAAAAATAATTAGGGATTGGATAATATCAGACTCATAATAACAATGTTATTTTTCTTATAGAATTTTTTCTAGTAAAAGTTTTTCTTAAAAATAGCTATGAAGGTATTAGCAAAATTTTTCAGTGAAAATAATCTAGTTTTGGACTATATATAGCATTTGCTCTGGAATAGTAGTCTTTGTTTTTCTTTACGGCCTACACTATCATTAGCAGAGAACCTTTTACACCATCCTATTTCCATTGTCACCATAATGAAACACCAAGTCTACCAGACAAACCCACTGTTACAGACAACAGCTTCTCTCATGCTAAGGGGCTAGTTACAGATCTAGTATAATGTATTCCTAATACTAATTAAATTCCCTAATTTTATCCAAATTGCTCCAAAAAGAAAAAACCCAAAACAAAACTAAACCCTGTATTTTTCTCAGATCTAGGCAGTCTACATCAAACAATAACACCTGTGTATGAATGTTTTCCTGAATCAGGTGATGCAGGCCCAGTGTGTCAAAACAGAAACTGAATTCTACCGCCGTAGTCGCAGCGAGATAGTGGATCAGCAAGGGCACACGATGGGGGCACTTTATTGGCAGTTGAATGACATCTGGCAAGCTCCTTCCTGGGCTTCTCTTGGTAAGCATTTCAGCGTTCTTTGTGCGAGTGAGAGAAAGCAACACTGTGGGGAGAGGGACTGAGAAAGCACAGTGCTGGAGGGGTCAGATTAGCCCAGGCAGAACTATGACCAAAAGAGTCATTCTTTAAAAAGCCTGCCTAGGAACTACAGCCACCCAACTCACCTTAGTAGCCTTTCCATGAGCCTTAGGGTCAACCTAATTATGGGTTCTGTGCTGTGCAAAGTTGCAACAGCAGGCTAAGCATGGGATAGATTCCTATACAAAAGTCTCAGCCATGTGTCTTGTTATTACGCATAGAATTTTGAATTTATTTAAGAGGGCATTCCAGGGCTAAAGAAGCATGAACTTAAGCATCCCTTCTTCTGTGTTGGAGAATTCAATCAGGTAGAAGTTTGGCCCGCTTATGTGTTAAAGTTTCCCTTTCTCTGATTCACCTTTAAGGACAAATAAAGATGTCCTTTAAGGACATAATGAAGATGTCTCTTAAGGCCATCTTTATTATGCCCTGTTTAGCTCTTGGGGAAAAGCTAGTAGAGGCAGAATCCCGAATGGGAAAGGTGACCAGTTGAAACAGTTCAACTAGCAACAGGTGAGATGACTGGCATGGAACCTGCAGTTCGAATTATCCCATCTATTCTGGTACATTAAAAAAAATTAAGGAATAATAGTCTTTGCCCTTCACTAGAGATGACTTGAAACAAAGTTCAGTTAATAATGTAAAGAATAGTTTGGGGTCAAAAACGAGGCAAGGCCACAAAGTAGAAAGGTTGGGTGAGGTTCTTTTTGTTTTTTTTGAGACAGAGTCTTGTTCTGACACCCAGGCTAGAGTGCAGGGGTGAGGCTCTTAAACTGGCTGTGAATGCAGATCAAAAGAAATTCATTCCAAACATGTTTTCATTAGTGCCAGATGGATGACTCTTACAGAGAATTGGATTTCTAATCAAATTTCTCTGACCAAACTCTTTATCAGCACCAACCAGATAAGAGAGCATTGAATGAGAATCAGGGGTAGAATTGGGGGGAAAATCCTTCTGGGATGCTGGAAAGGTAGGCAAAGAGATAACTGTTCAGAGACTCTTGGATACTGATCCTGCTTTCTGTCTGTGGATGAGGTTGTGGACTGAAACTGAGTTCGATTCAAGAAATGGGAGAGCCCAATTTTTGTAAATATTCCTTTAAGTGATCCCATGCAGATTATTCCTGAGTTCCTCAGGAAGAGTAGGTCTGTGGGAAACAAGACACTCAAACTCTAAGTGGTTTTTTGTTTTGTTTTGTTTTTTTGTTGAGATGGTCTCACTCTGCTTTTGCCCAGGCTGGAGTGCAGTGGTGCAATCATGGCTCACTGTAGCCTCCACCCCACAGGCTCAAGCCTTCCTCCCACCTCAACTTCCTGAGTACCTGGGTCTATAGCTGCATACCACCATGCCTGGCTCATTTTTGTATTTTTTTTCTGGAGACAGGGTTTTGCCATGTTGCCCAGGCTGGTCTTGAACACCTGGTCTGAAGCAGTCTACCCTCCTCAGCTTCCCAAAGTGTTGGGATTACAGGCATGAGCCACCGCACCTGGCCTAAAAGTGCTTTGTTAATTCCCTCACTCCACAACAACAATCCACACAGAAGACTTCTGTGACCAAATATATGGGAAACTTCCCCCACACACCAAGCAAGCAATCACTTCTGCAGTGGACACCATGCGAGTGCCCTCCAATTTAAGTCTGACACTATCTACCTGCAGATTGCATCAGATTCCATAGGTTGAGAACTCAGTTCCACAAAGCTGCCTTCCCTCTTTAGACAGCAGTCGCAAGTCTGGGCCTCTAGAACTTCTGACTGACCAGCTTCAAGCTGGGGTTCCCATGACCCCTTCTTTGGGTTTAATTTGCTGGAATGGCTCACAGAACTCAAGGAAACATTCTAACTGCTGTATTACAGAGGATGTTTTAAAAGACACAAATAAACAGCCGTATGAAGAGATATATGGGGTGAAGTCTGGAAGGGTCCTGAGTGCAGGAACTTTATCCCTGTGAGGCTGGGGTGTGCCACCCTCCAGGCATGTAGATGAATACTTGTTCCTCTTTCTGTCAGCCTTCACATGGTCAGCTATGTGGAAGTTCTTTGAACTCTGTCCTCTTGGGCGTTATAGGGAGACTTCATTGGACAGCCATGATTGATAACCATGTAGAAATGTGATTGGACAAAGCGGGTATGATCTAATACCATTAGACTGAGTGGGGAAACACAGCAAGGCCTGTCCATTCAGCTTCTTGGCCTCTCTGTGAAGCATTTCCTCCTCCAGGGTATGAGGCAGGACACCTTCTGAATGAGTGTCTTATGACCCACAATCGGATTAGAGACCTGCCTTGGGCTGGTGAAAGGAGGGAAGGAGATCAGAGAGATAGATTCTGTTTTCTGAGGCCTGCTTTTGAGTCCTAAAGCTTCTCAACATTATAACAAGAGTCTGTAACAAGGGCTATGGTAGTTGTGAGCTAGGAACCTGTATTAGTCTGTTCTCATGCTGCTGATGAAGACATACCTGAGACTGGTAATTTGTAAAGAAAAAGAGGTTTAATGGACTCACAGTTCCACATGGCTGGGAAGACCTCACAATCATGGCAGAAGACGAAGGAAGAGCAAAGGGACTTCTTACATGGCAGTGGGTAAGAGAGGACTTGTGCAGGAAACTCCTTCTTTATAAAACGATCAGATCTCGTGAGACTTATTCACTATCACAAGAACAGCATAGGAAAGACCTGCCCCCATGGTTCAGTTACCTCCTACCAGGTCCCTCCTACAACACATGGGAATTGTGGGAGCTACAATTCAAGATGAGATTTGGGTAGGGGCACAGCCAAACCATATCTAACTGTAGAAGAAAAATTATATATGTATATATAATAATATTACAGTAGGAAAACCCAAGTACCAGAGCTTGGCTGTTTTCTAAACCCTGGCAGGATCCTGCCTGCCTGAGGAGGATCACCAGCTCCTTGTACTTATTAGACAAAAAGGTTATCCGGGAGAAGCTGTGACAAGTTTTCTATATCTGCTTCTGCTCTGGGGGCCTCACAGCCCCATGTTGATTGGCTCAATAAATCCACTGCTTCTAGTGCGTGCAGTAGGGGAGGTATTTGTTATCTCTTATCACCCGAAATGGTTATATATTAAAGCAATCAATAGCTACCTAGAATCTATAAGTTATTATATACAGTCATGCACCGTATAACATTTCAGTCAACAACACAGTTCATATATGATGGTGGTCCCATGAGATTATAATACTGTATTTTCACTGTCCCATTTCTATGATTAGAATTACCTACAGTATTCAGCACAGCAATATGCTGTACAGGTTAGTAGCCTGGAGCAACAGGCTATACCATATAGTCTAGGTGTGTAGTAGGCTATACCATCTTGGTTTGTTTAAGTACACTCTATGATCACACAATGATGAAATTGCCTAACAGCATGGTTCGTTAATGCCTGCCCTGGTTCGTTAGTGCCTGCCCAGATGTTGTGAGGGTGACATGACATAATGTCCAGAGTGCTCAGAGCGCTTCACAAACATGGGTGCCCTCCACTGTTGACTCTCCCTCACATGCTCACTCCCTTAGAACCCCGATGAGCCACAAACAGCTGGGCCATTGGACAGTGCCTCTCTGACTACTTGACCTTGCCGTCTCCTGACACTCTTGATTATTTTCAGAGTACGGAGGAAAGTGGAAAATGCTTCATTACTTTGCTCAGAATTTCTTTGCTCCACTGTTGCCAGTAGGCTTTGAGAATGAAAACACGTTCTATATCTATGGTGTGTCAGATCTTCACTCGGATTATTCGATGACACTCAGTGTAAGTTACTTGGATTGTTTTCTAAGATCGAAGGAGACTTTTAGATGATTTCTTTAGTTGTTTGGTTACATTCTTTTGGGAAAATAAAAGAGAAATTAATTTAGAGTTAGAATACATATATTCAGGCTACAACCCTGCCATTAATCATGTGACCATAAGCAAAACCCTTCACATCTTGTTGATTCAATTTCTTCTCAGTAAAATGATACCAGTCTCTCTTCTTACAGGATTTCTATGAGTAGGAAATAAAATAACTAGATGAAAGCAAATCACATATGCTATAATGTGCCCCTTAAATGCAAGGTTATTTATAATTGTGAGAGGCTGGAAATAGTCCAAACTTTATAAAAAGAAATGGTTAAAAATGGCATGTTATAGTGAAAATCAGTAAAACTATTCAGAATGCGCATGTGGAAAGCAAATTTGTTTTAAAAAACAAATTTAAGTAAAAAGAAAGGCTAGAAACTCAAAGTCTTAGGTGGCTATAGTTTGGAGGACACTAATAACACTGAAAATAGGTCACATTTACAGAAAAATTACAACGCACCAGGTACTGTGCCTTCCGTGGATTATTTTTTAAATTCTCACAACAGCCTGTGACATTACTGCTGTTATTTTCATTCTACATATGAAGAAATGAAGACTGAGAAGTTACTTAGTCACATAGCTAGTATTTTGCAGGACTGGGATTAAAACTCAGGTTTCATAGTCTCTTAACCATTTCTGCTAACCTGACTTTCAGCAATTATTACTACTATTGTTCCTTAAAAACATAGCAACCAAGAATGCCTGTTTTTATTCTGTTTTATTTCTCCCCAGGTGAGAGTCCATACATGGAGCTCCCTGGAGCCCGTGTGCTCTCGTGTGACTGAACGTTTTGTGATGAAAGGAGGAGAGGCTGTCTGCCTTTATGAGGAGCCAGTGTCTGAATTGCTGAGGAGATGTGGGAATTGCACACGGGAAAGCTGTGTGGTTTCCTTTTACCTTTCAGCTGACCATGAACTCCTGAGCCCGACCAACTACCACTTCTTGTCCTCACCGAAGGAGGCCGTGGGGCTCTGCAAGGCGCAGATCACTGTAAGCACAGGTCATGGCGGAGGGCAGGGGACTGTGGCCTTGTGGGGTTCTCCTGCTCTTGGGCCAGCTCCTTGCATCCTGAGATTTGCATGTGTCCCCCTTGGTGCTGAGTTTACCTGAGGCCTGGGGGAAGATTGGCCTCTTCCCACTAAAAGCAAACACCAAATGATTTCTATTTCGAATCCAGGATTTGTCAGAGTTGCTGGTGACCACTACTCGTTTGTCCCATCACCCCTCCTTAGTGGGCAGGTGCAGTGATGGGAGAGGAAGCTCGAGTCATCACCACTGCCTGCATGCCCACTAGGTTCCAGGCTGTGTTCTAGGTGCTTCACCTCATAGTCTCTGACTTTCACCACAGCTCCAGGCATTATCATCTGCATTTTGTAAGTTTGGAAGCCAGTTTAGGAGGTTAAGTGATGAGCTCGAGGTCCTGTAGCTGGGAAGCATTGGAGCCCAGCTGACGCAGTCTAATTTTAAGTAGAGTCTATTAATATTCACTCTAGTCTCTTTGATTTATTGCTTCAAAGTAGCTCAATCACCAAATCTTTTTATAATTGCCAAGATATAAAAATGGGATGATCAGGATGTGTTGTTATAAAAATTGTGCAGCTGGAGAATTTGGAATTTGTCTAGTAGGTTGAAAACCTTTCCTTCCTTCTCCCCTACACATAGCAGTTGGAAATATATGTACACATATATGTTTTTAATTTTATTATCTTATCTTCTGGACACTCAGGAAATATCTTTCTAGAAAGTTACATTCTCTGTTTTTAGAAAATTTTAAATTTGTTTTACACTTTTACTTCATAGAAAGGGATTTTCTACATTTAATTTAGAAATAATCATATAAAAACACCTAATTCTTGTGTTTTATTTGAAAGAGCCTAACAACTGAAAACATACCTTCTTTCTATAGTCACATAATAAAATCCAAGTTATCTGTAACAACTAATAGAGAACAGAAGAAAATGACAGTCTTACATATATTTTTTTCCAAAAAAGAAAAAAAAAACCACTATGTACTGGATGAATTTTCAGTCTCTAAACTTATGATTTTGAAAACCAAATTTTTTTCTTTCCTGAGTTAGGCCTTCATTACCTTGAGGTGGGTAATTGGGGTGGGAGAAAAGCAGGGCTCTTTCTTTGTTCTATCTCATTTTGATTTCAGTGAGACTTGTCCTTCTTAAAGAGATAAAATGATAGTAATAATACTGTTAGTTAATGTTTAATTCGGGGCTAATATAGACTAGGTATTTGGCTTCTTTTCTCAAGGGAGATGCCAGAAACTTGTTCTCCCTGTCTCCCTGAAGCCAGGGTGCAAGCTTGAATCCCAGGCTCTGCAGTCAGACATACAGAGAGGAGATTTCCAATCCAACGAAGATAACCAGCATAAGCATGACACCAGCATCTCTTTCGGCCTTGGTCTTGGAGCAGCAGAAGCTGATGCTACCCTGGCAGCTTCCTGGGCAGGCTGGCATGAGCCGCATGAACCTTGTTCCTGTGGCTGCTTTAGGACCTTCACTGGAACAGCTGGGCGGTGCGATCTGGGAATTTGCCATCCAAATTCAAGCCTGAGTCTCTGATCCTGAAGAGCAACCTGATACGCTTTATTAAGCTTCTTTTCTGCTTCTATCAATATAGGTTTCCTTGTGTATAACTCAGAACCCTGAATGATAACATATTACACAAATATGTAAGGCTAAATTATATATAGTGAAAATGGCCCTTTGAAATTCTTTATGTCACACATAACATATAATGTAAGACTGAGATGTTGCATGACAAATGCACAGATTAAGAAACCAGGTTGCACTCAGCTCCGTGCTCACACAAAGAGAGGTTTGCAAACCCTCCCACTCTGGGGAGCAGCGCATCCTCACTCTGGGCATATGCTATTCGGCTACTTAAGAGGAATGGAGCCAACACGATTTAAATTGCACTGTCTCTTTTTGCTGCTATTTTGTGGAATTCACACATGTAAAAAAAATGCTAATAATGTGACTTTACTTAACTATGCAGTAAAAGAGATAAGCTCTAATGGTAGAGCTTTTGTAAATTTCTGGCAGTGGACTTTCTAGATTGCTGGATCTTTTCAGGAGACTTGAATGTAAGCTCCACAGTTGGGCTCTGTAGCTAGGTCCAGATATATCCTTAGAAAGTCATTAAAACCACCCAGGCTGTATGTAAAAATGTTGCTCTCTTGATGATACTCTGAGAAAAACTGTAAAAGATGTAAAGCTTTGAGCTTCTTGTGAAATATTCTCCTTAATGATTGGAGACGATGTATTTCCTTGATTTGTGATTATAATTTGGTAACGTTCCATAGCCTGTAGTCATTTTCCATGTATTGTTTTGTGTTTGAAACTGCACTTTAGCAGTTGTAGAACCAAAGTTGTGGGAAGTGGACTCCTTGTTAAGCCCACATAAATGTTTACAGGAACTGTATACAGACTATATAACTCTTCCCTCATCCTTCACTTCATTCATTTTTTTTTTTCTTTTTCAGGCCATCATCTCTCAGCAAGGTGACATATTTGTTTTTGACCTGGAGACCTCAGCTGTCGCTCCCTTTGTTTGGTTGGATGTAGGAAGCATCCCAGGGAGATTTAGTGACAATGGTTTCCTCATGACTGAGAAGACACGAACTATATTATTTTACCCTTGGGAGCCCACCAGCAAGAATGAGTTGGAGCAATCTTTTCATGTGACCTCCTTAACAGATATTTACTGAAGGAATCTAGGTTGTATTTTCAGTGGACAATGGGAATAAAGCATTTCTAAAGCACCGACTGGAGAGGAAGGCAACAGAGACAAGGAGAGAAGCCGAGAGACATGTCTGCGTGCTGCCACGCATTTGAGCGATTGCTCTGTGAAGAGTTGTACACTGAACACTTTCAGGGGAGGCTGTTTACCCAGGCAATGTCCTCAAACAAGCCTGTGCCGGGGTGTCCTGGAATCTGTGCCAGGACTGTGTTTTTAGCCCTTCACCTCTCAGCTTTAGCAGGACATGAACCAGTTATAACAAGATGGCCCTGCAGCTGGTTACAAGAATGTGACATGGCAGGATCTATGGAACCAAATGGAAGGTTTTGAGGTGATGTAGGTCTTTCACAGCTAGCTTTGGGGAATACGGAATACTCAAATAAAGTGCTTTGTTATTATTTCAGAGGGAATGGCGATTGAAATGTTACAACAGAGATTTCTTGGTGGTAGCTATTTGGGTAAAGGTATATGGGTATTTTTCTGTACATGTGAAATTATATAAAAATAAAAGTTATATAAATTACATTGACAACTTGATATTTCATCTGTGGCTTATTTAACCGTTCTATAAATATTCAATTTTGCCCAATACTGTGCTGGACCCTAATTTCCATTTAGTTCTCGTTATTATTCTGCTTGGTAAACTGGGAGAGTTTGAAGAATCTAAACTAAGACATGTGAAAGGTTTTCTCTGGAAACAGTCATGTAATTGGTTATAGAATGGACCAGCAAAGAGTGTTTGGCTTTAAAATTAAGATATTATTAGTGGTTTTGGTTTTAAAAATGAGAAGCATTATGTTCAGTGACTCTAAAAGTAACTACAGACAATCCAGTCTTCTTCAGTATCTAAGAGTATCCTCATTTTATATGTACACACACACACACACACACACACACACACACACACACACACACACAAAGCCTTATCAAGGGGATAAGGGGACTTAGGGCTGGGACTCCGTAGAGTCTTACTTGGTAAATATTATGTCATGTTCTTATGACTATTGTAAATCCTGTTTTAGCAAAGCATTGCTGCGAGGCAGGGAGGACTGCTCTTCTTGACACCTGTGCATGTTCTGCCAGGGGCCCTGAGAAGGGGCTTTCAAGCTGATGAGCCAGAGTTTACTTTGTAGTTTGCCCTTACTAGTTCTGTAACCTTAATCAAGTTACTTAACTTCCTGTGCTCAGTTTTCTTGTGGCTAAATGGGAGTGGTAACACCCACCTTGTAAGTTTGTTTTGAAGAATAAATAAAATAATTTAGCTCAAGGGCTGGGCCCCAGATTGGCACATAGTGACGCTCTGTAATGGAAGCATCATCCTGGGCCTGAGCTCGGTGTCCTGGAGAGGGTGAGGCTTCCAGCCGCAGTCTCTAGATTCAAATCCAGGTACTGAAGCTTCTGACTGTGTGTCCTTGGGCAACAATTCAACCTTTTGAACTGTGGTTTCCACCTCTGTAAAATGGAGCTAATGATCCCTCACCTTCAAAGGTAGGTGTGAGGACTTAACAAATAGGGTCTGGAACAAATTAAAATGCTAAGTAAATGGTGATTGTACTTTTAACATCACATTCATTATCATCCAGTTAGTACAGAAAGCAATAGTAAAAATGAAGTGAAGAGAGGCAAATGGTAAGTAAGTTCTTCAGCAAATTCTTTCTGAAAATAATACCAGAAAAGAATAATTTGTAAGGGAAGAATAAATTAAAGGACATAAATATATGCTGACAACAACTTCTAAAAGAAAAGAAATGTGCCGTATACATATTATTCCTATTAAGGAATAATAGTAGCCAAAACATTCTTCCGCAGTTCTTGTGTGGCAGCACAGTTAGTCATTTTTACTGTTTTCATAGATTTATCTTGCCATGCAGGAATACAGTCTGATGCACTTACTCTTGACTTTGAGTTTCTGATAGGGTTTTTCTGTTAGTGGTTGTATTTGTCCATTCTTGCATTGCTGTACCTGAGACTGGGTAATTTATAAGGAAAAGCGGTTTAATTGGCTCACAGTTCTGCAGGTTGTACAGGAAGCATCGCACCGGGCATCTGCTTGGCTTCTGATGAAGCCTTAGAAAGTTTACAGTCAGGGCAGAAGGCGAAGCAGCGACAAGCATGTCATATGGCGAAAGCAGGAGCAAGCGAGAGAGAGTGGGTGGGAGGTGCCGCACACTTTTAAACCACCAGATCGCCTGTGAACTCAGAGCAAGAGCTCATTTATCACCAAGGGGATCCGTGCCTATGATCCGGACACCTTCCACCAGGCCCCGCTTTCAACATTGGAGATTACGTTTCAACATGACATTTGGATGGGGACATATATCTAAACCATATCCTTAGTTGTGTGAACAATAGGATAAAAAGACCAGAACCAGGTCTTACTGTCATATGCTCTTGCAAAGCACATTCCAGAGAGAGTGGGATGAAGAGAGGTCAGTTCCCAGGATTATATCTTCCCATTTCAGAACAGAGAGAACAATAAAAATCATAATTTTCTCATTCACATTCACGATAACTCTTCTTATTCTCTTTTTTTCCTTACTTCACTTTTCATTGTGAGACATTTTCACACCATGAGAAGTCACTTGGAAAATAAATAGAAAGATTTTGTTCTCTGTTGGAATGAAGGTGAACTGGAGTGCAGGAGAAATAAAGATATGTTTCCCTAACATTCCTAAAGTGACAAAGACCTGAGATAGAAAGAATATTCTCTTGGGCTACCTCTGGCTCTCAGATATGAAACTTATTCCCCAGCTTGGTAAGATTTAGGGAGAAAAGCAGGTAGGCATTGTCTGTGTGGGAAATTCAAAGCATTTGAAAACATCCCCAGAGTCTGCCTTGACTGAATGCAATCTTATTAATTCAATAAGCACATGCAATTAAAAGGGTTATGCAGAAAAGACAGTAATATTTTCAAGTGAATGGGAGAATTCTTGTTTTCTAATTGATTTATCAGAGGCATGAACCAGAGTAGCATACAAAACCTTAAAATCACTGGCAAAACCGGTGTTGTCTTAAGACATGTTTATATTCTGCCCCTAGACACTGTTTAACTTAAGGATTTATTCATTCATTTATCAAGCATGTACTGCAGACCACTCTGGGCAGGTATTGTCCTTGTCACTGGGGGTATGGCAATGAAAAAGGCAGACAAGTCCTAGTTCTCATGGATCATTAAACCAGCGAACGAGGCAATTCCAGCTGGCGATAAGTCCTTAAGGTTAATGTGATGGCGACAGGGGAGCAATGTTAGATAAGGCACCATCTTGTTCAATACTTCAGGGAAGCTTTTTGGAAAGTATATGGTAAAAAATAAGTGAAAAAATTTCAGTTGAGAAATGAGTCTTTAAAGACCTTCATTGTAATTAATACATAAGGAAAGAAAAGCACAAAATCAGCTGGTTATGTAGTTGGGGCTCTGAGCCTGTGATCTACAAGCTGGGGGTGAACTAACCTGCCAAGACATCTTTAAGTCCTTGTGTGGGGCCAAACAGTGAATGAACTTAGCAAAGATAAGACCAATGCATCACTGTTTCGTGTTTTATAAATATCTCTCCTTATAAATATCTCTCCTTATTTCTGTAGACACGGGTTACTGAATCCTGCCATGAAAGAAAAGTTTGCTTAACCCCTTAGGTTGGTCTCTGTCTTTAAACAAGATTTATTGAGCTCCCCTGTGTGCCACATCATGCTATGCAGTGATCAAGTACACATGATTATAGTAACACCTAAGTTACCTACAACTCTCAGGAAATGAGACATTCTGGCTCACGAAAATTTCTGTTTGAGAACTAGCACTCATCCCTGCCTCATAATTTAGGTGGGAACAACCCCCTTGTTCTGATTCTGTTCCTGTTACTTTTTGTTGGTTTTGTAAAATTTATTGGACCACTGCCAGTAGTTGGAGCAGACAGTGTTGGCTGGCCACCTCACAGCCAGATCTTCCTCCTCTCTGCTAATAGAGGTGGCCATGTCCAGCCTCAGAGACTGAATCATAATTTGTTATTCTAATCCTAGTCTCCATTGCCAGTGATTGATGTAGGGTTAGGCCCATGACACATTTCAAGAATGAATCATAAGTTGATGTCTAATGTGGGGTTTCTGGGGGAAGGTTTCCCTGCCTGATAAGGGATAGACCTGAGGCAAAACCCTCTGCTGTTGGGTAAAATTGAGAAGCTATTTGAGGGCCTGACACTTGGAGCTGCTGCAGCCTTTTTTTGGTGATCTTAAAGAAACATATTTGACAGGGGGTGTCAGAGATGTTTAGCTGCTAAATTAACCCTGCAACCATCTAACTGTGGTCTTATTATAATGTGGTAAAAAATAAAGGCTTAATTGTTTAATCTTGTAGTCAGGTGTTCTGATTTTACAACCCAAAGCATCCTAATTGATACAGCAGTTAAAGGTGTGGGCGTTGAAATCGGACTTACTTGTGTTTCAGTCCCAGATCCACCAGTAGCAGGCTGTTCTTCATTGGATACAGGCTACTGAGTCTTTCTGTGCCTTAGTTTCTTTAAACATGGGAACAATAACAACAGTATCTGCTTCATAGGTTAATTGTGAGGTATAAAGGAGATAATGCACAGATTATTGATAGCACATGATAACTATCCACCAAATGTGAGCTATTACAATCATCATTGCCTCTGTGTGAAGCCATCAGAAGAAATCTAGGGAGGTGGGCAGAACTGAACGTGTGCAGGCATTGGGTGGTGGCTGTGAACAGCATCAGACAGGAGAGCTGGAGGTGTCGGGGGCAGCAGTGAGCCTGGGAGAGGAGCAGGTAGGACCTGGATCCCCCCGCACCCTGCCTTGTCATCCTGAAGATTTAGGTCATATTTGACCAGCAGGTCATGGTCTAGACTGTGTTTTAAAAAGTTGAATTACATGCTAACATTTAAAAAGGGAAAGATTCCATGTAAAATATCGATGTATCTATCGCTGATCTTGTAATGGTATTTTTTAAAGCCCTTATTTGTTTAGCCCACTTATAGTCAGGCATTCTCATTTTATCATTAAAAGCATCCTCGTGGATAAAGACATGGGTCTTTGAGGTCAAACATATCTGGGCCTTGGAGAGGGCAGTGTGGGCACCTGGGTGTCCTGTTGGGAGATGCGTCACCTACTTCCTTGTGCTGGGATGCTGCAGTGGCAGTGGTGCCTCTAGTGAGGAAGGCTGTTGGGGACATAATTTGCTGAAGTGGGCTGGGAGCGGTGACTCACGCCTGTAATCCCTGCACTTTGGGAGGCCGAGGCGGGTGGATCATCAGGTCAGGAGATCGAGACCATCCTGGCTAACAGGGTGAAACCTCGTCTCTACTAAAAATACAAAAAATTAGCCGTGCGTGGTGGCGGGCTCCTGTAGTCCCAGCTACTCGGGAGGCTGAGGCAGGAGAATGGCGTGAACCCGGGAGGCGGAGCTTGCAATGAGCCGAGATGGCGCCACTGCACTCCAGCCTGGGCGACAGAGCGAGACTCCATCTCAAAAAAAAAAAAAAAATTGCCAAAGTGGGTGAAGGAAGGGCCCCTGCTCTTTTACAATGAGCTCTCAAGCCAAAGTGGGTGACTGGCATGCTTCCCTACCCATATTTTTGGTATTGGAATGAAAAGATTTTTAACTAGTCAACTTACAAACATGAATGAAATTTTGCCTTGTCAAAGATCCAAATTGTGTGTGCATGCACGTGCGTGTGTAAGTGTGAAGACTGCATGTGGTGCAAGGGCTATGGGCTCATGCTCTGATACTGAACCTCCCGGTACTGGCCTTGGACCAATCACTTAACCTCTAAGCCTCAGTTTCCTTATCTTGAAGTTGAGATTAATGGTAATAACTATCTCACAGTGTTCCTGTGAGGATTAAATAAAATAAAGATATAAATGTAGTAAATGCAATAAATGTTGGTTTATCAATATCATCCCTCAAAGGATAAGGCTGGTGGTGGCTGAAGTGTTCAGGCCTAAGAATCTTTGATTCCGCTTGCTAAAAGGAAAGAGCAACTTAAGCCTTCTGTACTGAGGGAAAATAATCAACAGGCTTCATGAACTGAGTTGAAGGAGAAAAATCCAGGCAGAAAGCTGAAGAAATTTCTAATTCCTTTTTTTTGGTAAGGTTTTTCCAATTTTACAGAAGCAATAAAATAAAATAAAATAAAATAAAATAAAATAAAATAAAATAAAATAAAATAAAATTGAGTAGCAATAGGCAAGCCAGCTGTTGGATGATTGTGCAAAGTTCTGCTTCTTCCAGCAGAGGCCTCTTGTGCTCAGGAAATGAGGCTAGTGGTGTGCAGAAGGGACTGCCCTGGGCCAGGGTGCTGGCTTCCTGGAGGCTTCCCCAGAGTACAGGGCATTTGCTGCCTTCAGCGAGGCGAGGGGAGCCTAAGGAAACACTTGCAGGGCTGCTCCCCAAACCCCTCACCTTCTGGGCTTCAGGGAGTTGGATGCCAGTGCCCCAGAGGAATGCATGAATGTGAAAGTACCTTAAAGAAGGAAATAAAGAGAAAGAAAAGAAGGGAGGGATGAAGGGGGAAAGAGGTGGGAGAAAGAGAAAAAGAGAAAGAGAAAAAGAAAGAGAAAGAGAAGAGTTGAGAGAAAGAGACTAGGAGAGAAAGAGAAAGGAAAAAGGAAGGGAGAGAAGAAGAATGAGAGAGAAAAGGAAAGAAATGGTGAGAGAGAAAGAGAAAGGAAGAGAGAGAGAAAAGAGAGAAAGAGAAAGCGGAGGGGAGAGAGAAAAGTAGAAGGGAGAGAAAGGAAGACAATGAGAAAAGGAGAGAAAGGAAAGGAGA
This sequence comes from Homo sapiens, assembly GCF_000001405.40. Classification (NCBI taxonomy): domain Eukaryota; kingdom Metazoa; phylum Chordata; class Mammalia; order Primates; family Hominidae; genus Homo; species Homo sapiens. The sequence continues at coordinate 102,625,242 of NC_000004.12, read as the reverse complement.
GAGAAGAGATAGACACAGGGAGAGAGAAAGGGAGAAAGAGGAAGGAGGGAGGTGAGGAGGAAGGGTGGAAGGAGAAAGAAGGAACCCAAAGGGCGTCTCTGTTTGCTGAGCTCTGGTTTCTTCCATGGATCCAGGGCTAATAAAGGCTGAGCACCAGCATAGCTGGATCACAAGGTTCAGATCCACAGAGCAAATTTGTCTACTTTCTGCCTGTCTTTTGGTTACAGACAGGTCCCAGACTTAACAATGGTTTGACTTACGATTTTATGACTTTTTGACTTTATGATGGGTTTATCAAGGTATTAAGTGCACTTTTGACTTATAATGGGTTTATCAGGACATAACCCCATTGTAAGTGGAGAAGCATGTGTATTTCATTTCCATCCACTGTTGCTACCTTGGCAAAAGTGTGGCATATAAATGCTTTTTAATTCAAATTTACTTACTATGGATCTATGAAAACTTGGTACCAAGCCTCCTGAATAGATGATTGACAGAGGAGAAGTCAGATGAGCTATTTAAAGGCTTAGTAACAAAACAATCAGGAAAGGGCCAAAACTGTGAGCTATGGGCGTGATTTGGGGAAAGGAATTACATTCTGCTGGTGGAGGGACCAAAATCGTCCTTGGCCCACACGCTGTGTGCATATGTTGCTCATCATTCAAGATGTGCATTTGGCTAGGCAGTAAAGGAAGGCGGGGCCAAATGGTGGCTTTGACCTTCCCAGATCAAAACTGGGATGGAGAAGAATGCTAAGGACTGCTTGCATCAATCAGGCCTGAGAGGTTTGCTCATCTGTGAGCATATATGCACTTCCTGAGCATATATGGTCTCCATATACTGGGGAGGTAAAATTCCCCCTGCTACTGTGGTCGCTGGCAGCAGTGGTGGAGGGGCAGGAGCTTCAGGACCTAAAGGAAGAGAACAAGAATGTTGCTTTTTGGCAGCCCTGCTCCTGTAGCAGGACCTGTCTGTGGGATTACGATGGGTCTTTACGGGGATGTCATTTCTGATCCCTTTGGCCTCCCTAGGCCAGGCTTTGCTTCAGCTGGGAGGCAGGATTCTGCATTAATGTGGGTGGCCCATGGATAGCTTTTTGGGGGTCCTGGCTTGAATTGTTGAGGGAAGGTGAAGGGACACAAAGAAGTGGCAGAAAGAAGCAAGTGGTGGAGAAAAAAAGCTTCTGAGGGCCCCAAAGCAAAAGGAGTGGGGCTGGAAGGAGTGGGTAGGAGGAAGAAAGTCAGCATGGACTCAAGGCCTCTTCCTGGGCCTGTTCTTGGGGACCGGTGCCAAGCATCATGTGTGCTGGAGCTGAGTTCATTTGTTGAGGGAATGCTGGCTTCCTGCTGTTTGGCCACCCTTGGATAATACTTCAGAGCCCCCTGTTGGCAAGCTTCTTCCCTTTCCTGGGCATGACCCACCCCTTTGAAACAGTTGTGTGTTCCGTGACGCACTGCTGCAGCGTGAAGCCAAGGAGCACAGTATGGGGATTGAAGACTGAGTCCCGGCCCAGCCTTTGCTCTTTACATTAGACCAGGGGCCTTCCAGCACATCAGCAACTCTGTCCTGTGGACAATGGCAGGAATTCAAACCCCTCCCTGTTCACCTCTCAGGCTGCTATGACAGTCAGTACTTGAAAATATTTTCTAAATGAAAACATTTACATTTAAAGTTTTTTATTTTGCGAATTTTTTTCAAAATTACAGAAAAAAATTATTTCAAAAGACTTTTGAACATTTGCATTTGAATAAGGTGATAAAAAGGGATGCTGGAAATGTAAAAAAAAAAAAAACCCACGACATGAAGTTTTTCATTCAATTTTTTAAAGCCAAAAAATAAGTTGTGCATTATTGCTTTAGGAAAAGGAAAAAGGGAACTGCGAAACAGTTTTGAAATGAAGAAAATATCGATCTCTTTTCGCCAGGGAACAGACCTAGTAACCTGGTTGTCTGCTACTGGGCATCGACTTACAGCCTTCCCTGATCTGATGTGTCCCCAACATAGTCCTCAGGGTTCCATCTCACTATCTTCATCACCAGCTCTGCTTCCTGGATCCCAAGAAGGAATCCTGGGAGAAAAGTTTTCAAGAATTTGTTTCATCTGCTATCCTTCTGGCCTGAAGAGAATATTATTTCCACAAGAACCAATTTCTGCTCCTTTCCAATTTATCTGAGAAAATGGGAGCCAAGGTCTTTCCAGCTTTCTGCAGAACACAACTAAGATAAACTTGCTTGTCCCTTTCTTTTGGGTAGGATCTTAAAGGGCCAGGGCCTCTTGAACGCTAACTGTGGTGTCTACAAGCCCAGGACTTCTTGTGCAGCGTTTAAGGAACTACGGAGCATAGAGGTTGGAGAGCAGAGATCTCTGTGAATCAGTGCGAGGGCAACAAGATATAGCTGCTATACCTCTTCCCCAGCCTACCTGCCCTCATATCCTTGATCATCTCTGAGGATTTCCTTAAGAAAAACTGTGACTTTGTGCTTACAATGCAATCTTCATGCTTAATCCTACGAAATGATCTTGCCTTTAGTGATGGCCATTTACCATGATTGCAGGTGACTTTCAGAGTGAATATCTGCATACAAGTTGCAACTAGAAAGAACCTTATGGCTCAGCCTCCCTCAGTGAAGGGATTATTACCTGTGCCAAAGGCTGTGACCTGTTCCAAAATCAACAGCTCTCTTAATACTGGGAACAGAAGTAGACCACCCTTCTATCTTCACTGCTCTTAGTGTGACCAAGGGACTGAAGTTTTTCTCCAGCACAACATGAGAGGAGGTGACACATTCAAAACTCCCTCACATACTTCTCTCAACATTTTTCTCCTGGCTGACTGGGGCTATCGCCCCTAGCAAGACCTTAGGAGCCAAGCGTTGGAGGAAGAATGACTGTCAGCCTGGATCCATGTGTGGCTAAGTGGAAGAGAGACACTACTCACCCCTGACCCTGCTGCAGTGTTGTTACTGGAGTCAAGTGATCCTGCAGTCATGCCTCTCATGTGTCTCAGTTTCCCCATGACCACCCATTGTAGTGCCTGGCAAGCAACAGATGCCCAAGAAATCTTGATTGAACACATATCTTTATTCTTTGAAGACTCTTGTGATAGTTCAATGAAATAATCACTTTGGAAAGAGGTATCAACGTGGAAAAGCTAGTTGACAGAAGTAAGATGATGCTATCTCAGCCCCTTCCTCCCTTTCATCTTAAGAAGCTTGAACAACTTGTGGAACTATTCATTTGTCCAGGGTAACAGAAAAAGGCTATTGTGGACATAATGAAATCCATGGTAATTGAAGGAGATCCATTTAATTTCAAGCCTCTCCTCAGTGTCTCCCCCAATTCCAAAACCAAATGACAAACCTGGAAAACCAATGGACAGGAACTTGTAGTCTCTAGGATTGGTATTTACATGAAGCAGCCAGCCACAGTGAGGCCAATGGAGAAGAGACACTCTCACTTTGTAGGCATTCAGAAAAACTTGGATAGTTTAGGAAGGTGATCTTTAAGATCTTAACCAACCCCAAGTTCTGTGATCTTCAAGAAAATAAACAGAATTTTAGTTTCATCCTCTTTTGACTCCTGTGCCTCCCATGTCCATTCCCTGGGGAAGCACAAGTCAGAAACAGAATTTCCCCCAAAAGCACAAAATAGGAGGCTGAAAGAAATGCAATAACTTCCAGTCAATGAATAATTCATATTTAAGGCATCCTTGCCTTTTATTAGGGGGAAAATCAAGTCTCCAAGCAATATGTCCTCTTAGTTATACTTTGGGTTCATTTTGCATTTTGGTTGGGTACGTGACGACTCCATCATCTTTGTACAGGACTGTATGCATTTTTCTTTCTCTTTTAAATAAAGCATGTTTTTGTCAAAGGACTGCAAACCTCACTAAAGAATAGTCTTTGGAATCAGATGGGCCGGCATTTGAATCTGGGGCGAGTTATTTAATAACTTCAGATCATTCATTTCCTTTTTATAAACTGGGGTTAAATATATACCTAATAGGGGTGTCTTGAGAATTATCATTAGAAATTATTAATCCAAAAGGGCTGGCATGTAATAAATGCTCCATGCTGGCTGGATCTTTCCCCTCCTCCTTTTTTCCTGTTAAAATGTACAAAGTCCAGTTTGTGCAGCTGCATTCCATAGTGGTGACCAGGAACGTCTGTGCCACATTCAGCTACTTCAGAAGACGCAGATAGGTAAATGAGCAGCAGCAGGGCTTCGTTCTGCTGAAAAGAAAGACCGCTGATCCTGAAAAAGTCTGGGTTATGCCTGCAGAGTATAGAAACCTCAAAAATGACTGAAGTTCTGAGGAAGCTATTTTTAAATGGCCTCCTGCTGTGACACAAGCTTTCTGGGAAGGTTTATTTCAGGCCCATTATAGCTTTCCACCTGATCTCCTGCATTCCTTTTGGTTTATCTCCATCTGCTGGTACAATATGAAAGATACTTTCACAGAGACCCAGACAGCACTGGTGGCCTTGCTGTTGCAGCACCACACAGAGGTTCAGGCCAGCACTGAGATCTGGGAGGAAGAGTAAGTTTTTGGGACAGAAGAGAAATGGGGCTTCTTATGAAAGAAGGGGAATGTGATTTTTCTATCTTGGCATGAGTTGCTTAGTTGTTCCTCCTCCTCAAGTCAGCTTCACTTCAAGTGAACTTCTGGTAGGTGAGCTGTCAAGTTGGAAGCCTGGAGCATGGTGACAATCCACTCCACACTTAAGGCTTAAAACCTCAACCATTATTTAATTTGCTCACGAATCTGCAATGTGGGCAGGGCTCTGCAGAACAGCTTGTCTCTATTCTGGGCAGCATCAGCTGAGGCAGTTTGAGGGCTAGATGGGGTGACTCAATGGCTGAGGGCTGGAATCTTCTGAAAGCTTCACTCCCTTACACATCTCTTGGTTGATGGTGGCATCAGCTGAGGCAGTTTGAGGGCTAGATGGGGTGACTCAATGGCTGAGGGCTGGAATCTTCTGAAAGCTTCACTCCCTTACACATCTCTTGGTTGATGGTGGCATCAGCTGAGGCAGTTTGAGGGCTAGATGGGGTGACTCAATGGCTGAGGGCTGGAATCTTCTGAAAGCTTCACTCCCTTACACATCTCTTGGTTGATGCTGGCATCAGCCAGGGCCTCAGTAAGTCTGTGGACTGAACACCTGCACTTGGTTCCTCCATGTGGCCACTTGGCTCCCTCAGAACACAATGACCAGCTTCTAAGACAGAGGGCACAGCACGATGGGGGTAGAAGTTGTATTCCATTTTATGACTTAACCTTGGAAGTCACTTAGCATCTCCTCCGTCCTTGTCACTTTTGCTTAGATTCTCAGAGAAGGAACCCAGGCCCCTCCCCTCAGTGGGAGGAGTGTCAGCCTCATGTTGTAGGTCAGGAGGCTTTGTAGTGGCCAGCTGGAAAACAATGATCTGCCACAGAAAGGAACCCGCAGAGGTGTGGAGGCATGGGCTGCTTGTTGGAAAATTAAGAATTGAGGAAAATCAGAGCTGTATTTTTTCACTTTACAGTGGGGCTGGGTAGGGGCTGGGTAGGGGTGGAGAAATGGCAATGTAATAGAAAACATAAGTAGGATTCTCCTTGAGATTCTATTTATTTGGGAGGTGCTGTAAAATGAAGAACCTAAACTGCTTTTATACCAGTGAAAAGTTTTGCTTAGAAAAGCCTTCCCTATATCAAGATTATTTATCAATCAATGACGTCTAGTACTTCTAATATTTTTATGGCTTAATTTTTGATATATTTGGAAATTATTTTGATGAAAGGAGGGAGGCAGGTGTTCAGATGGATTGTTTTTAAGTGATTAGCCGGTTGGGACCTCTGTTGATTGAGTGATATGGTTTGGCTGTGTCCCCACTCAAATCTCATCTTGAATTATAGCTTCCACAATTCCCACGTGTTGTGGGAGGGACCTGGTGGGAGATAATTGAATCATGAGGGCAGTTTCCTCCATACTGTTCTCGTAGTAGTAAGTCTCATGAGATCTGATGGTTTTGTAAGGGGAAACCCCTTTCGCTTGTCTCTCATTTTCTTTTTGCCTGATGCCATGTAAGATGTGTCTTTCACCTTCCGCCGTGATTGTGAGACCTCCCCAAACACGTCGAATTGTGAGTCTATTGAACCTCTTTTTCTTTATAAATTACCCAGTCTCGGGTATGTCTTTATCAGCATTTATCAGACTAATACATTGAGTAATCATCTTTTTCTCATTGATTTGAAATTTTACTGTATCATATACTAAATTCCTATATATTTTGGAGCCTACTTCTGGACTCAAATGATTTTTATCTGCCTTCTCATCAGGATAATATCCCATCATGAGCTCTGGAGCTAGACAGAGCTGGGTGTAAACTCAGAAGCAGCTTAGCTATGGTCTACTTTAAGCCTCAATTTCCTTCTTTATAAGTTGGGTTGTTTTTCAAGATTAATGGCTCAATGTGTTGCGCAAAATTGTTCTGCATGGTTCCAAGCACCTTGTGCAGGCAAGGTTCTCGGGGAGACTGACTCTGAGTTGGAAATTTATGTTAAATGTTTTTCTGGAGTGCCTTCAAGCTCAACAGCTATGGAAGGGTGAGAGAGTAAGCAGGATGGGCAGAGGGAGAAGTTGAGTGCAATGCAGCCTCAGCCTCTCTAATGGGAACCCTGAAGCTTCAACAGCCCTTCAGTGTTGTCCCTGGTTGGACAGGCTTATTCATATGTCCACATTGATCAATGTTGCATGGGTGCCATTGTGGAAATGGATGTGGCCTAGGAAGACACAGCTCCCGGCAGCATTCCATGAGAAAGCTGACAGCTAGAGTGCACCACCAGCAGAATAGTCCTTTGTCAAAGGGGAATCCTGGTTGTGCATCACAATGTCGACAATAGTACCTCGCTCAAAAACTGATTTTTTTTCCTCTTCCATATTCCCAACTTTTTTTTTTATTATACTTTAAGTTTTAGGGTACATGTGCACATTGTGCAGGTTAGTTACATACGTATACATGTGCTATGCTGGTGCGCTGCACCCACCAACTCGTCATCTAGCATTAGGTATATCTCCCGATGCTATCCCTCCCCCCTCCCCCCCCACCCCACAACAGTCCCCAGAGTGTGATATTCCCCTTCCTGTGTCCATGTGAGCTCATTGTTCAATTCCCACCTATGAGTGAGAATATGCGGTGTTTGGTTTTTTGTTCTTGCGATAGTTTACTGAGAATGATTTCCAATTTCATCCATGTCCCTACAAAGGACATGAACTCATCATTTTTTATGGCTGCATAGCATTCCATGGTGTATATGTGCCACATTTTCTTAATCCAGTCTATCATTGTTGGACATTTGGGTTGGTTCCAAGTCTTTGCTATTGTGAATAATGCCGCAATAAACATACGTGTGCATGTGTCTTTATAGCAGCATGATTTATAGTCCTTTGGGTATATACCCAGTAATGGGATGGCTGGGTCAAATGGTATTTCCAGTTCTAGATCCCTGAGGAATCGCCACACTGACTTCCACAATGGTTGAACTAGTTTACAGTCCCACCAACAGTGTAAAAGTGTTCCTGTTTCTCCACATCCTCTCCAGCACCTGTTGTTCAGCAAAGCTTCATGCTGGAAGGCTCCTAGTCCAGGGCCCTCTGGTATATGGAAATCTTAATACTTTATCACAGAGGTGTGGAGAAGACATTGAAGAGGTGTAGCATTGCATGAGATGGAGGAAAGTGAGGTGGCACAATCTAAATAAGATGAGCTGGGTAAGGATTAGGCAAATCCAAAGCTTTCATCTTAGGTTAAAACACTTTCCTTTTGATAATTATTTGTTCATTTCTAGATTAAAAAATTGACTCTAATAGGCAATGTGAATGTGATAACCAGGCTATACGGAATGATCCCATGATTATAAGGAAGCATCTTAGAAAAGTATTTGCACAGATCAAACAAGGTGAGGTCATCAATTTGCTTTTCCTTTTATTATAAAAGTAAAATAAAAAATAGCATTTATAAATCCAACATTTTTTCCTTTAAAGTATTTGATCTAAAAAACATATTTACAATAGCAAAATGCAGAAAAGGGGGAAAATACCATTTTCAGCAATGATTGTAACCATGTTTAAATATTGACAAGTATTTTTTTTTTTTTTTTTTTTGCAAATCAGAGAAATAACCACATTAGAAAAAGCAATATGCCTTTTTTTTTAAAATGGCACATCAAGTGACTCTCATTTTAAAATATCTCTTTTCTTAACCCTTAATTTGAATGCAAAATGATGCTGTGGTCAGAAGGAATGCCAGGTGGCGACCGTGATACCTTTAATGACAATAGGAACGTAGCAGAGGGACAACAGCAATGACAACAGAAAGCAGCTGTGATCCAGCAGCAGCTGGCAAAGCTTAGTAAGCAACCTCATCCCCAGATGCATCCGCTCAGCCAGTGTTGTGATTGCTAGATACTATCTGTAAGTGAACCAAACTAAAATTCATTTATGAACCAAGAAAGGAAGCCAAGTTGAAAAGGTCTCGAGTTAAATCGAGAATGATTCAGGCGGGCCGGCTCTCTGAGCACCTTTGGATGCACTTCAGCTTCTGTCTTGTGGACAACGCAGTGGAATTTTAGGGCTTTGGTTTACACGGTGTGGGAAATTGTCAGCAGGCTAAATTTTGCCTTCTAGAGGTCCTTCCTGCCCATAATCATGGGGCATTTTGTTGAGAGTTAGCAGTGAGGCACCACTGGTCAGAGACTCGGTAAAGCTGAGTTTGCGGAAGGATGTCTCCACGCCGCTGTCGCAGACACTGTCACTGTCTCGGAGCTCGTCTGAGGGGAGAAAGCACAAATTCACTGGGGGAATGGCCGGGCTCTAAAAAGCTCATGGACTATTCTGTGGACAACTCTTGCCCACTGGCTTCTGCCAGCCACACATCCCACCTATGCCACCCTCACTGTCATGACTGCTCACCGTGGTGGGAAGGGCAGAAGATACTTGGGACATACTGTGAGGATGTTATTAGCCAAATGTCAGAATTAGCCAAATGCTTTCACATCTTCCTGCAATCTAGTCTTGTGTTTATGAGAATCCTTTCTGAATTCTCTTGACTCACAGTGGACCTTTTTTTCCCTTAGAAATCAAGTGTAGTTTTCCAACCACTGTATTATCTATTTCATAGCTGGGGAAACTGCTGAACCTCAGCAAAATAAATTGGTGACAGAAGCAAGAACTAAAAATGAGATCTCTCTCTGGGCCTCATATGCTATTACAGCATACATTGCCTTGAAAACATTTTTGGTAGCAATAAAAGTAAAATGATTTTGGTGAAAATGAGTCTATACTGGAAAATCAGGTTGAATTCCCTTTGTTTATAAGTGTCCTTAGGGATATGACCAAGACAAATTATTTCCTATACAGTGAGGAAGGAAACAGAAGTCTAACATACACTAATCAAAATGCTATCTTCTTATGTACCAAATTCCAATATTAGAATATTAAGACTTTAATGCCAGTGGCACGACTATCATTTTGGTATTGACTGATTTGTTTAATCAACCAATCTTTATTTGGTGTCTATTATGGGTTACAAACTATGCGATATCCTAAAAATAACTACAAATTAAGGGCTTAATGCTTAGGTATTTACTTTTTAAAAAAATGTTAAGTATTTGCTTTTTTTCTTTTTTAATATCTGTGCAGAAGGAGCACTGGGCTGTGACTCAGGAGATCTGGGTTGTTTTCCGGCGGATACATTATTCCTTTCTCAAGTGCGGACAATGACGTCTGCCCTTGCTCCCCTGGGAAGGCCCCCTGGCAGGGTGAGATGGGTGCTGAAACTGAGTGGCAAGAAAGAGCCAGCCAATTAAGAGCTTTCCAGGGAATGGGAAGAAACAGTCAAAAGGTTGGTCAGACTAGTGAGCCAGGGGAGCAGAGAAAACACTTGGGAATGGAGGCGCAGTGTGGAGGAAGAGCTTCCACAGCAATGTTTAAGAAAGCAAACGAGTAAAGCAGGGACACAGTTTTATCTTTAAAACCTCGAACACTGCTAGGCACACAGTGTATGCTGGATCAGGATTTGCTGAATGAATGACTGAATGAACTGAAGGGCATAACCCAGAATTAATACAATGTCACTGATTTTTTAGAAGAATCATACCGTCTGTTGGGCAGAGAATGGACTGAAGGGAGGTGGACAGGAAGGAAACAAGGGGACTGAGTAGGAGCCGTGCAAGAATTTGGGCAGGAAATGACGGCAGGCTGGCCTGGGGCGGTGGTTGCAGACAGGATGACACTCGATGCGTCGCATACGAAGTGATTAGTGGCAGAAAGGACTCCTGAGGAATTCTTGGGTTTTGTCTTAATCTCCTGGAAGATGGCAGCGCTTCTGACAGATGTAGCCAGTATTGGGCTTGGGTGAGGTACCAAGCAGGGAGGGTTTAGGACTGACCCTGGAGGGCTGTGACTTTAAAAGGTGAGTGTAGAAGAGCCAGCCAGGGGAGTGTGCTGTGGAGGAGCCAGGAATGGAGACGGTCTGAAGTTGAAGGTAGGCGTCAACCATGACACACTCTGCAAGTGGTCAAGGTGAAAAGGAGGTGACCAGATCTGGCAATGTGGAGGTGACCGGTCACTGTGAGGACAGCAGGCCTGGTGGAGCGGTGGGGATGCGATCCCAACTGCAGGAGGCCAAGCAGAGGGTGGAAGGTGGCAAGCTGGAAAGAATAACTCTAAAAAATTCTTTGAAGGAGCTCTGCTATGTATGGGAATAGAGCAATTGGACTGTAGCTAAATGGGATGTGGGATCAAGAGGGTGATTGTTTCGGTGTGTTTTGTTTTTAAAGATGAGGAAATCATGAAATGCTTGCTAGGTGACCTAGTCGGAGAGTGGGGAGGAGGAACGGCTAGTACAGGAGAGAGAGGTAAGAATTAACAGGAACAACAACCTAGTAAAGGTGAGGGGGTTAGACTCAGGGGAGAGGTGGCTCCTCAGCTGGGCAAAGAAATTTAACCCACCAAGTCCGGATGGAAGGCTGCCAATGTGGGCACAGGCACAGGTGGGCTGGCACTTGGTGCAAAGGTGAGAGGGTTCTGGTTTCTTCTGTTTTCAACAGAGTGTGAAGCAAGGGTGTTGCATGAGTAAGGGGAGGGAAGGAGTGTTGGGGGTTTAGAAATAGAAAGCATGGAATCATCATTTACAGAGTGGGAGAATAAAATTGTAGGAAATATAGGATTACTGGGCTGGGTTGAGAGTCCATTTCATATGGTTGCGAGACTTTTGGTGGCATGACACGTAGTCCCATATATGGTGGGGGACAAGGTCAGTGTCATAAGCTTGAGAGAGGAGGCAAAGGAAGAAGGAGATGGTTCTCTCTTTAAGGTAAATATTATTTCTCTCATGTGTTAAATTTAATCACCCACATCATGTTGTTTTTAGTATTTATTGTATTATTTAGTGTTTACTAAGTAGTTCATGTGTCAATGTGATTTTCCAAGGGTACGACCCCCTCATCTGAATGGTACTATCAAGAGAGGCAGAGGGTGAGCCCAGGGGGTAGAGAGACACACAGGGAAGTGTATCCAGAAAACGAGAAAGAAAACTGCCACACCATATCCAAAAAGAGCTGAAGACACCAGCCTGGGGGAGCTGGAAAATATCTCCACTGTCTTTTGTCTTTTTTTTTACCTATTTGCTGCCTTGTGGAGGCAGGCGAGAGAGGCAGCGAGTGGGCCTGAGAGGTGGTCTTCACTGGGCTGGAGGCTGCCTGGATCACTTCAATTGCTTCGGTGTAGCCCATTTGTCTCAGGGCCTCCACCAGCTCTCTGACTGTACCCCCAGAGACCTGTGAGAAAGAAAGGAAGGAGGAGCATGTTCTTGTGTTCGAGTCCCAGTGCAGGCTGTAAGCACTGACAGCCCACCCTTCCCTCTTCCATGCTGCCTCCTCCACTCAGGAGCCAGGAGGAAATGGAAAGGGCAGAGAAGAGCGACTAAGAAAATACAGTCTTCGAATCAAGTTTCCTGTTTCGGCTCAAAGACCACTCAGGAAATCACAGAGAAGTGGTTTGTAGTAAGCAGAGAGAGAGACAGCGAGAGAAGCGCTGAGGCAGTGAAACTCTGCCTACAGTGACGTCTACACAGTCTCCCTCTGTAAGCTGAAGCTCTGAAATCCATGCAGAAACAAAAGCTAACCATGAAATTTTCAACAGAAAACTTCACCCCATGCTTTTCTACATTTTATTTTTAGAAATGAAAAAAAAAAATCCCCGGGTAATGGCTCCACTAGGAGTCACCTCACAGAACATGACTCAATGCCCTGCCATGGGGTAAGGTGTGTTCTTGGGGACAGGAAGCTACACGTTGATTACAGTCGATTGTTTGCTCAGGGCCGTTAAAGTTCTGTGAAAATCCTGACCCTCTACGTAGCATTTTCACAGGAAGTCTCCAGGTATTTGAAAACGGGGAAAATCTGAAGGTATCTGAAAACAGCATTCTCAGGAAGATGGGCTGCCAACTTGGCCTGGGTCACCCTCCCAGGCCTTGGGCAATGACTGGTTTTCTTCTTCAGAGTTAAGGAAAAGGGAAGGAGATTATGCCCTGGCCAGAGATGTTAACAGAGTAAAGTCAAATGAAAATTGCTAAATCTGTAAGGTAAGGTGTTACCTCATAGTTGTCCATAAGTGTTTTGGAAGGAGCAGGACTCAGCCGGAAGGCATTATTAAGTATCCCCAGACCTAATTTCTGCGCCAGAGTAGCCCAGTTTTTGTCTGGATCAGGAATTTCTAGTAACTTATACAGCTGCAGCTTCACATCTTCAGCCAGCTGTTTCATGTCTCCTGAAGGAAATGAAGAAGGAACACACTTGTTCTAACATGCCATAGACACTCTGGAGGGACTGATCATTGCTGCCTGGCTTGCTGTCCAACTCCCAGTGGAACCAACCAAGCTACTCTACTTGAAGGTCAAAGCCCAGCTGAGTAGAAGGCAGTATACATTTACAGTAGATTAAAACTGGATATTCTCCTTATCTACCTCCAGCATCTTTTGGTTCTGAAATAAGAACTTTTAACAGTAGACCCTGGATAATGCTGGTTCCTCCCTTTAAATGACAGTGTGGAGATAATAATGGTTAAGAGAATCTGGTTTTATCACAACCCACCTTGTGCTAGTAAATCATCAGATGTAAACTCTGGCTCATATGGTTTCCCATTTAATATGTCAAATACCTGTTGGAAAGAAAAACACCAGAAATCGTTATACATCGAAGGGACCACTAGGGCAGTCTGTTTCTTTATAATAAACAACTCAGCATGTCCTCCTTAGGAGGGCCTGGTACCCTAATGATGGAGGAATGGCAAGAGGAATCAGGACCACCCTCCAAGAATATGGTACCCTTTGGGGGAAGAACAGCTGTAGGGGCTCTGGTACTGGGAAATAGTGCTTTGCACAAACTCTGAGCTGGGTCAGAATACCCAACCAAACTGCAGAGAGTCAGAGCTATAGCCTTTTGGAAGGAACAGGCAGTCCAGGCCACCATGTCAATCATCTCCTGCTCAGAGACCTAAGGCTAGTGAAGAGCTTACTCAGAGCTGTGAAGCTGTCTCCCTTCTTCCATAGGAACAAGCTTATGAGAATGAATTGTATAAACTTGCTCAAATTGAGATGTCTAGATGTTCACAAGGCTTGGTGTTAACCCTCTGGCAATACTGACATTTTAACTGAGGGTCCAGAATTGTCTTAGGCTAAAAGAAAAATTATTCTGTAGCTGCCGAGGCATTTGTGGTGTTCTCTGCAGTCACTCTGTTGCTGGCTGACCTGGGTAAGGAGAGCGTGGGGTCACTGAGTGCATCATCTTTTTGTGTTCTGTGGCAAGGCCTTCTGGGGAAATGAGGTGCTAACATAAAGGGAGAACCATGCTAACGTCAGTGAGCTGGACACATACAGGCTGTGGGAGGCACATGAGCAGTTTTAGAAGTGGAGCAGCTCTCGTCTCTAGAAGAACTGATCTTGTCATGTTGGAGATCTTGCATGCTGCCCACCTCCTCCCTCTGGCTTTTCTTCCTGGGGCCAAATGACCTAGTAACTGCTTTATACCTTCAGATCTCAGCCCTGTGGAGTTTTGAGGAAGGCTTTAAATCTATTTACTCTGTTTATATTTATTGAAATTCTAAGAAGAATTCTTAGTTTATTTTTACATCCTGAAATCACTTACCTAAGTCCTAAGCAAACAGTAACATTTATCCTAGCTTCAGAAATTGAGATGGTCACAATTATGGTGTGAATTTGGAATGGGTAACTTTTATGTGAATTTTGTGTTTTTCTTCTAACCTTTTCTCACATCTCAACTCTGATCTGATTAGGCATACACTTTCGTACTCAGAACTCAGCTGACCTAGATCTTTCATGGATAGGGTTTTTCAAGATAAAAATGGTCTCTGACAAACAGACTTTCTTAAAAATAAAAGGCATGTTCTTTGGGGAATAAAGCACCAGGAAGACCATCTGTTCTTACATTCCTGAACCTCTGACTCCCTCAGGGGCAGCCATCAGACAGATGGAGCGGCACTCACCTGCCAGCTGGTGGCCATATCTAGAGGCGTGGTTCCAGGCACAACTCCTTCATCCTCTCCTGCATTTTCCCAAGAGTCATCCAGGTCATAGAGAGGCTCAAAGTTCTCCACCAGGGGATCTGCTCCTGCGAAGTTAGATTACACAGCATTAGGTAAACCCAGATCTTGTCAACTTCCAACTGCCTGCAAAGGTCAGATTCCCAAAGGCAAAGCAATGTAGCAGCTTGAGGCAATCTCCTGGATAATTTTTAAATCATAAAACATTTCTACTGGAATATCCAGAGAAATTATTTTAAAATTGTAATTTACTTTGATTGTTAAAGTGTCTTATGACACCTGAAATAGCCAAAGATACTATTGAAGAAAAAAAGACTTCAAATACTCTTTCACATTTAACTCTACAGGATATTTCTCAACTGAATAGTGCATCTTTAATCTTAGGGCTGATGGACAGCATGATTACAGCCACTAGGGTGCACCCTCAGGATTAGGGTCCTAACTGTTCAAATTTATGCATGACAATGTGTATTTCTCAGCCCCTTTTCTTGGACACTCAAAAGAGCAAAGATGCTTGATGTCTAGTGACAGCATGGCCAGTTTCATTGCTGGGTACAGCAATGCCAGGGTTCTGATCTTTAAATAAACAAACCTACTAGGATGTATAATTATTGAAATATTTTGGGAAATGTAGTCTGCTCTTTAGCATCCAGCAAAAACAAAAACAACAAACAAATAAACAAAACATCAAAGTAACTCAAAGACTAGAGCTAGAGTTACTTCTCAGAGGCTTAGATGATTTTTATGAGTGTTTAGCTTGATGTCTAATGATGCCATTTTTGAGGGAGGAACTTGTTTTTATCTTGCTGGGAGAACATCAGATGGGTCAATATCAATAATAGAGGAGTACTTAATGGGAAACAAAGAAGGATCTTCATGCTGTTTCTTGATTTTATTCTCCCAGTTCTGGCCTGATCTATGAGGCAATAAATGTAATCCATGGAGAAATTAAGATGAACAATTTACAGGACCAAAGTGTGGAGGGATGAGCTATCTCTTAACTGACGCTTTTTTTTTTTTTTTTTTTTTTTGAGATGGAGTCTTGCTCTGTTGCCCAGGCTGGAGTGCAATGGCGCAGTCTCAGCTCACTGCAACCTCAGCCTCCAGGGCTCAAGTTATTCTCCTTCCTTAGCCTTCTGAGTAGCTGGGATTACAGATGCATGCCACCACGCCCAGCTAAGTTTTGTATTTTTAGTAGAGATGGGGTTTCGTCATGTTGGCCAGGTGAGTCTCGAACTGCCAGTCTCAGGTGATCCACCCACCCTGGCCTCCCAAAGTGCTGGGATTACAGGTGTGAGCCACCACACTCGGACTTAACTGACCTTTTCCACGACATTAAGATTAGGACTTGGTTTTTCATCTGAGTTTCTTCATTTATATATCAGAGAAACTGTTACTTGCTTTTCCTTTCATGGGATTCTGAGAATTCAATATAAAGCATTTTTAAAAGGGTTATAGTTTCTTTCTTTTTCTTTTTTTTTTTTGAGACAGGGTCTTATTCTTATTCTATAGCTCAGGCTGGAGTGCAGTGGTGAAACTGTAGCTCACTGCACCCTTGAACTCACAGGCTCAAGTGATACTTCTACCTCGGCCTCCAAACTAGCTGCGACTATAGGCGCATGCCACCATGCCTGGCTACTTTTTAAATTTTTTAATGGAGATGAGGTCTTACAATGTTAACCTGGTTGGTCTCACACTCCTAGTGCAAGTGACCCTCCCACCTCAGCCTCTCAAAGTGCTGAGTTTACAGGTGTGAGCCATCACGTCTGGCTGGTTATAGCTTCTTGTTGGAAGGCATTTAATTAATCAGTGTCTTCTAAAACTATTAATACCCACTGCAATCAGAGTTTCTTGTTCAAGAAAAAGTTCTATTTAACAAAAGAGAAAAGAAAAATATGGTGTCCCAAAGAAAAAGTTCCTATGTCTTTTGCTTTGTTTTCTTGAATTTATGAAGCATTTACCTTTTAAGTTAAAAAAAAAAAAAGCCTCTAAAGTATATCAGATATGTCAGGGCAGGCTTCAGATGCCAATTTCATTACACATATTTTGAGGTTCTAAATATGCAAGGCACTGGAGATTCAAAGATCAGCATGGATAATTTTCTATACTTCACAGGACTAGAGAATTAAATGGAATAACATCTGCAAACCTATGAGCAAAATAGGAGAGAGAAACATAGTACAGAGAATAAAGTCTTGAAGTTCACACTGCCGAAGTGTGATTCATAGCTCTGTCACTTACTGGAACCCTGAAGTGGGATCTGGTAGTCTCTCTAGTCTGTTTCCTTGACTCTAAGATGGGGAATAATGGTATTTGTCACAAGGGGTGATTGGGCATTAAATGAGACTGTGCACATAAAGTGCATATCACAGTGCCTGGTACACAGAAAGGTCAATAAGTGCTAGCCATTTTTAGTGCCTTCCACATAATGGGTCTTAATACATGGCCCATTTTCTTTTTCCTACACTTCAATTTCTAAGAGATATTTCTTTCAAAATGAAGTCTTTAAATGATTTCTTATACCAATAATCTTTTTCTTCTGGGGCCTTCTGATATGATCTGAGACTAATACCACTCAGAATTCTATAAGGAATCAAACTCTACTTTGAAAAGACCCTTTGTCATGGGAGTCAATCTAAACAATCAAACCCCAAACAAACAGATGAATCAGAAAGTAAAAACTAAAATGACTATCAGGGTAAAGCCCAAGATTACTAGTCCAAACAGTGCCTTATGGCAGATAAAATGTGATTTGCCATATAATTTTTATTTACCCTTGTTTTTCAGCAGTAGGTCTGTGGCTTAAAGAAGGCAACATGACTGCTCTATTGAAGTTGGGTTTGCATTCCTGGTAACATTTTTCATTAATGACCGCCAGATCACCATCTTACCTGCTGCTTTGAGAAGAGCTGCCAGCCTGGTGGACCCTCTCCCAGCTGCTATATGCAGGGGTGTGGTTCCATCGTAGGTAGTACTGTCCACATGGGCATCACCCTACAATCCAGCCCACACAAGAAAGCGTTAGTGGAAGGTTCTTTTGCCCTTTTGTCCCCACCTCCCAGTGTGCATGGCTCCTTGGGTCCTATTACTAGCCCAATTGCTACTTTGGGCTGGCTCTGTCATTGAAGAAATCCCCAGTTAGAGATGCCAAGCAAGGGGGTTGGGGGAATGTCTAAAGGTGGTACTCTGAAGCCCTCCATAAATGTTAAACAAATAGAGCTGATTGTAAGGGAGAACAGCAGCTACTGACTTCCTTCTTTGAAAAGATTTCCTTAAATCTCCCTCAGAAATTTAATGCAAAAGCAAATAAGTGTGCCCTTCACCTCCAGGAGCAGGCAGCCTGCCAATGAGATGTTGTCGTGCTCCACAGCCAGGTGCAGTGCTGTGCGCCCGGACTTCTGCTCCTGAGCATTGACGTCAGCCCCAGCGGCCACCAGCAGCAGCAAACATGGCAGGCTATTGCTCATCATGGCTAGATGAATGGCATTCAGACCTAGAGTCCAAGCAAAGGGACAGTCACAGGATGGGATGGCTAACTCACAAGATGGCCCTTGTGAAGCTGAAGGAAATGGCAAAAACTGAATCATGGGGAGGGACAGTAAAGATACTATAAGTCTATTGTTCTGCTTTGAAGACCCACAGTCTCCTATTATGTTCTCAGGAGACATGAACATAAATAAACATTCTCTGAATAAACGACGCTTTGTGTACTTCAAGATGAATCTTTACTCAGGCCTCTGCTTTCTCCTCCTACTAACTATTCCAAATCATCTTTAAAAAAATTAGCTTTGGTGAGCAACAGAAATGCCCAAAAGAGATGATGAACTCCAGGTGACTAAGGAAAGCACTTTTGGGTGCAAATCAAATAACACACGTTTATCAAATACCTAGTAGATATTTAGAAGGTGGAGAAAGTTACACCAATGATGTGTGATTGTCTCTTACCGTCCCCGTTGGGGTGGTCAAGAAGTAGTGCTGCCTTTTTGTGCTTGAGTAAGATACTGAGAACTTTATCATGTCCTTCTTTGGCAGCTAGGTGCAAAACAGAGTTACCCAAGCGGTCCAGAAGGCTCAGGTCGGCCCCAGCCCTCAGCAAATCCTCCACCACATCTTCCTGCTTAGTGATCACTGCCAAGTGCAAGGGCGTCTGGAAAGTGAAAGGGCAGGAGATTCACTGGTCAGCAGTGAATACTTACTTACAACTCACAGCTTGGTAGCTGTTACTGCAATAGGTGGGGCCATACTGCAGGAATATTTCTCATTCCCAGATTAACTTCTGACCTTGGCACCCAAGTTATCCTGTTCCATACTATATGCTAATGAAGTACATATACTGTACTAACACTTAGCCATTCAATAATTCATGTTTTAAAATTCTTATTTATCTTAAATTTAATTGACAAATAGTAATTGTATATATTTATGAGGTACAATGTGATGTTTTAATCTAAGTTTACAACATAAAATGATTAAATCAGGCTAAGTTACAAATCCATCACTTCATATACTTACAATTTTTTCTGTGGTGGGTTATTTTCATATTTACAAGTCTTAATAGCTTCTTGTTTCTCACTACAACCCACTGATTGTTGATTTTGAGCACACCTAGTAGTAAATTTAGTTTTCTTAAATATCTGGTAGGAGTTACCTCCAGCTGATAATTTTATATTAACAAATCAAATTAAGGCTATGTTTTCACTGAAGAAATTTAAATAAAGTACTCAATAGAAACCAATTAACAAAAGTGCCATGATTCTATGCTGACATGGAAACTAAATTTACTAAATTAAAAAATACTGTCCCATGGACTGGCTCCTGAGACCAGTCAATATAGCTTTCCTACACCCATTTCATAAAAGGTATTATAAGATTCTAAATAACATAACCAGGATAATACAAGTATCTCACCAAGGGGGCTCAGCTGAATAAAAAAGGTGAGCTGCTGATACCTAATAGGTACTTAAATAGTCCATTTGACTATCCTGCCCACAAGGTATTACTTCGGTGAATGCAAATAAGATGTTTTGCAAACTGTGTGTTTTCAAAAATGAGTAAGACAAATACAATCACAAACGTATCTTTCAAATAACTGAGTTCACTGACAGAGAACAGCAATGTATCTTTATACAAATCAGTTTATTTCACAGGAGCCTAACTATGACATCCAGCCAGTCTTGTGACAATTTGCCTAAAATTCCCTTTTCATTGAGCAGTTACTGGCTACAGCAGCAGGTGAGCCACCAACCTCCTAGCTGTGTAGGTGACCACAGCACATGATAACTGGCAGGATGAATGATGGGAGGGTAGTCTAAATCTCAACTACAGTGATTATTTACTATACAAGACCCTTTTTTTTTGCCAAATTATTACTTGCCCTTATTTCTTTCATTTTCTAGGACTATCAACCTGGCCTGAAATGAAGTGATGTCCTCAAAACTTTAGATATTGTTGCCAAGAGCCTTCTTCTCAAAAATAAGTCAATGGAAACTGTGTTTACTAATCTGTGTTTTCTGAAATGCTACTTGGGGAGATGGGAAAAGGAAAGAGAATGAGATTGTGAAAAAAGGATCTGAAATTATAAGATAGTATACCATTCAGGAATTATAAATTATCTGTAGCTTGAATTTAATTAAAAAATATCTTATGAGTCGGAGAGGTTTTTTTTTTTTAATATTTTCTTCCACAGTCCAATCAATGGTTTTCCATGATATAAACCTTCTAGTTCTTAAATCCAAGGATTATATCTTAAACAATTATACCTTCATGCTATGGCTGTGGGCATGGGGACTTACACAGACATTCTGGAAAGCCAAATATACAAATGTCCCAGCAACCCAACTCTTGCAGATGTATCTGGGTGAAATTCTGACACAAATCCACAAGAGGACATAAGTGAGGACAGTCACTGCAGTATTATCTACTGAGGTAGGAAGTTAGAAGTTGGTTAAATGTCTACTACTAGGAAACAAGGATGTTATAGGTGAAAGACCCATACTAGATTCTCTTCAGGAGCTGAAACAACAAACTAGCTATATGTAGAACTGTGTGGATAAGCAGTGAAGGCAGAAATACAGTAACATGTAGCACAATGCCACTTAGGCATTTAAAAAATATATGCACAAAGAACTATACAGATACACACAAGTGTGTGTAAAACTGGTGAAATCTGATTAAGATCTGTGGATTGTATCAACGTCTATTTCCAGGTTTTGACACTGTTCTGAGGTTATGCAGGATGTTACCATTGGGGGAAACTGGGTGAAGAGACCTCTGGTTTCCTTGCAGTAAATACTAGGACTTCCTAGTACGTTTTTGTAACCTCCTTTGAATCTATAATTAAATTAAATTAAAAAAATTTTAAAGGTTAATGCAAGGCAAGAGAAGTACATTTAATATAATGTGGATTGTATGTGAGAGTATATGAAAATATCTATGTATTTCAAGTATACGTACATTTGTATCCAGTACTTGAAAAACTACCTATAAACACAATAGTGACATTTGTGCTAGCAGACCTGGGCATTGTCAGGGTGGGCAACTTTGACTTTCCAATGTAGATTCTTCTGTACCATTTTTAAAACTATGAATATACATGATATGTATAATAATTAAAAACATAAAAATACATAAAACCCTCCAATAATGTTTTATGGGAACATACACAAATAAAACAATCCATACCAAACACGATAGAGTGGTTGTCTATGTTGGGGGAAGGAGAATGAAAGGAGAAAAAGGCTTAAAGAGAATATTTTCATAAAAAATCCTAACTCGGTGCACTTGGACTATTTTGAGTGTGTTTCTAGAGGGTGGGTGGGGAGAGGAATTTGATCATGACAGATGGTCACAGAAATGTACTTAGATTAGTGAAAGGTATTTGGGAAGAATGCTTAACTGTCAAATAATCCAAATTATTTAGAGAACTGTATCATTTTCCATTAAGAATAGTTACTAGAGAACCTTTACAACAGATAATCAAGAGTTCAAATCTTAGCAGTTTCTAATTCTCAAATCAAAGTTGCCATTGGGTGTGTGTTTGACACCTAGAAGGCATACTAGGGAAGCCAGAATCACTGCCCATTAATCAGACTGGTGGTAAGGTAGGGGAAAAATGGACGTATAGTCTTCTGAGAGTCCCCAAATCAGAAGGGATAGAAGTATCAATGGTGGCGGTTTCAGGGTTTTTGTCTCTAACACACTGGAGAGTCTCAACATATGTAACCAAATGATACAGTAAAGAGTTTAGGATATAAAAAAAAAATCATAGCTACTGGCCAGACGCAGTGGCTCATGCCTGTAATCCCAGCACTTTGGGAGGCCGAGGCTGGCAGATTACGAGATCAGGAGTTCAAGACCAGCCAGACCAACATGGTGAAACCCCATCTCTACTAAAAATACAAAAATTAGCTGGGTGTGGTGGTGCACGCCTGTAATCCCAGCTACTCAGGAGGCTGAGGCAGAAGAATCGCTTGAACCTGGGAGGTGGAGGTTGCAGTGAGCCGAGATCGCGCCACTGCATTCCAGTCTGGGTGACAGAGTGAGACTCTGTCTCCAAAAAAAAATCACAGCTACTAATCCTGTTGTGCTGTGTCCTTTGCAGATCCTATTTATAAACATAAAATAAGTAATTCCTTGAATATGACTGTTAAGCAGGGTTTGAAAAGAGGACTGACAAGCTACAATGTCCCATTCCTGGTTTTATTCATAGATTTGTGATGACTACAAGGAACAATCAGCCAAAAGTCTGCGAGAATCAAGCTTTACAGGCAAAATGACCTTACGGATACCAATGACCCCAAAACGGTATGAAAGTTTCAAGAAGACATCCTTTAAATGTAAATCTACAATCACACTTCATACTAGTTATTTTATATTAACAGGCAGTGAAGAGTCACTAACTTTACTTTTCCTTTGACAAGAAGCACAAGAGCCAGTGAAGAAGCCTAATGGTGACTTATATTGAATGAAAAATGGTCATTTTCCCCTATCAGGAAACCTATTAATTTTTACCTAGTCACAGGTAAAAACTATTAAGAGCCACATGTAAACGTTTTAGTAGTTTTGCTTTAAATGCACTTTAAAGCACACTTTTTTTTTTTTTTTTGAGACAGAGCGTCACTCTGTCACCCAGGCTGGAGTGCAGTGGCGCGATCTCGCCTCATTGCAAGCTCAGCCTCCAGGTTCACACCATTCTCCTGCCTCAGCCTCCCGAGTAGCTGGGACTACAGGCGCCTGCCACCATGCCTGGCTAATTTTTTTTTTTTTTTTGTATTTCTAGTAGAGACGGGGTTTCACCATGTTAGCCAGGATGATCTCGATCTCCTGATCTCATGATCCGCCTGCCTCGGCCTCCCAAAGTGCTGGGATTATAGGTGTGAGCCACCGCACCCAGCCTAAAGCACATTTTAAAGAATGGAAATAAAAATAAGAAAATAGATATTTTAATTTCCTTTAAAGAAAATGAAGTTTTAATTAATTTTCTTTAAAATAATAAAAGCATTTTCCTTTAAAGTGAGGAAATAGAAATGATTCACATCACTGCTATAAAAACTGAGAGAGCAGGAACAAATATCTTTACTAAGTAAATAATTACACAGGATTTTGGCCATAGTTTTGGAGTGAGAGATACACGTGAACCAGCAAACCATCTCTCCAAGGAGGATGAGGAAGATGCTTCGGGTCGATGAAGGGAAGGAGACAAATGGAAAGGTAAGAAGTGGGCAAGGGCAGGAGCCCCATACAGCAGACTGGTGGGAGTAGGGGAAAGACAGTGAGGTGGGAAAAGCAATCAGGGGCAGGAAGGAGGAAACCTCAGGAGCCGAACCCCATCTTGGTTTCATGCCAGTGCAGTCGCTCAGCCAGAAAGGCTGGCTGGGGTCACTGGGCTCCCATCACCAACGTCCAAGCTCTGCTTCTGCCGAAGTGGCTCCCAGGCTCCTTGCCTCTCCCTGAATTCTGCATATGCCCATCAAAGGGCCTCGCTGTGTCTCCAGCTAACTCTCCCTTTGCAGTGTTGGAAGACCTCTGGAAAAAACAGTTCCTCAACTTGTATTTTCAGCCCACCTAATTAATTCCTAAGAAAACCTGATTTGGGCAAAACTCTGGTGTTCCCACTTTTCCTCACTTGGAGCTGTCTTTCTGCTTTTGAAAGACACCTTTTCCTCCTCAAGCAAACTTTTAACCTTTCTGTGTGGTGATTTCAGAATGCTTCATTTGATATACATTTAATCTGGATGTTGTCAAGGTATGTTTCAGTAGACTTCAAAATTATTATAAATTACTGGCTTTTCAAACTTTTTTTAACTTTATTTTTCTTGACAGATGTGACATTTTTACTTTAGTTTCTCCCTCTTAAATGAAAAAACTGTTTGATTTCTAAAGTTTAAAGTTTGCCTTCCCCCAGCGGGATGCTGAATTTCATTGTGGCTTGATGGCTGTTATACCCACAGATCAAAGGATCCTACATCATAAAGTAACATTCTCAACTAATGGGATTTTAGATATTACCTACAAAGGTTTGTTTTTGTTTTTGCTACTGTTAACATTACTAAAAATAACATGCACCCAAACATAACAGAAGAAAAAGTAAACTACAGATTTTTCTTCAGTTGTTTTCTTGAGATTTCTGCTTACCTGGTACAGATCATTTCTCATGTTGATAATGTCATCAGAAATCAAACCAGATGTGACTTCTAGTAGATCCCTCACAAGTTGAGAATGAAGGTGGATGATTGCTAAGTGTAAGACACTGGAATGAAAACACAGTGGCAATAATTAACTAAAATGTTAATGAAAAAGAAAAGATTCCCAAGATGTGATTAGACTCAAGAATGGAATCTGCTCTCATACCTAGTTTTATTTGGCCCTAAAATGTTTTGAATCTATAAAATGCATTGAATCTGAGGTGGGATGCTGTCTCCAGAGGACTGGTCCCTCCCAACTGCCTACCCAAGGCTGCTACGTTATTTGTGGTACCTTCCTGGCCTCTGGGAGCATTCAGGTCTTGACCCCTTGATGTATAAACACACTGAGGCTTCCAGCCCAGAAAGACCTAAGCTTAAATCCCAATCCTGCCTCTATACCATGGCTTTGGGCGGTTTTCTTCTCTACCTTTCCCCCTGACTTTTCCTGACACACAGATTCTATGTAAAATGAATGCCTGGCACTAGGAATTGTTCAGAAAAACTTAGTTACCTCACTTAGCCCTGCTGCCCTCCTCCAAAATACAGTGTGGTGGTTTTTTAAAGATCTTTCCAGATCCCAAGAGTGGAGAATGGAGTGAAGCTTTTAACTACTGGAAGAAAATTCTTGCAGTAAACTTGTGAAGAAACAAAGTGATTGTATTTCCCACCACTCCTGCAAACATTCCAGCAAATATTCCCTCTGCCTGGAATGTTTTTGCTCCTTTCTTCTGCCTGAACAATGCCTACTCCATCCTTTATATTCCAGTTCAAACCTGACATCCTCAGAGAATACTTTCCTAACCTCCTAGGTGGAGCAAGTTGTCCCTCTCAAATTTACTGCTTGGTTATGCAACTGCAGTTTTCTACACATTTTTCTCGTTCTCTGTCCTGTCATCTCTGGGGCAGGTTCTGTCTGAGTCAGCCTTACAACCCTAGCATGCAGTAGAGGCACAAAAATAAGAATGATAGAAGGAACTTAAGAGCTTACGCTAATGAGGCTGAACATACTGGTGGTGTCAAAGTCACTCACAGGAGCGTAATTCTTTTAATTATTAAAAAACATACTATTAAAATTCAAAACAATAACAATAACAATCATTTTACCAGTGGCTACTATTTGTTGGGAGCTTTGATTTACCAGACTATGCTAAGCATTTGATATATATTGTCTTTTTACTATAACAATAATCCTATGAGTTAGGTAATATTATCTTCACTTTTCAGCTAATGAAACTGAGACTTGCAGGCGTCATATAACTCAGTCAAGGCCAATACGTGGTGAAGCTGGGATTCAAGCCCAGGCCTGTCTTACTCCAAAGCCATCTCTTAATCCCTTAAGCAATCCTGCATAGGGGATACATGTGCACTGTTCTAAAGACATTCAGATGAATGTCTAAGAAGATGACCACTCCAGAGCATGGACAGATTGAGGTGCAGAGCACACTAAAGCATCTCGCAGCAGCACTACATCTGGGACACGAGGTACAGGCTGGATCTTCTCTAAAATAAGCTATCAGGTGCCACTTTACTCAAGCCTCTTCCTTAGCAATAGCAAGTATATCGTACTTGGGATTAACTCCGGCACAGAAGAGCCTAAAAAACTAAATTGTGATTTTGCTACTTGAGAAATATTTTAAAACGGATGATCTCAGGGTTTCACTATTGCTTCTTGAAATGTGATACTGGAAGAAGACTTCTGAAAAGGGCCTAAACTCTGACATAGACATGATGCACATACACCAAGAAAAAGGTCATACTTCTAAAACTGCTCGAAAATTTCCATGTGCCGCTCAGCATTTCATAGCAGAAGTACATTCCCCCTCCCCCTCAAATCCTCACACCCTTATGGGAATTTCCCCAATAGCAGAAGTTTTATATATTTTTCTTTATTATATTTTCTATGATGACTAATGGCCACAGGATTTAAACTATTAGCCAAATATGACGAGCTGAATTAAAACAAGAGACTTGGGCTGTGATGGCCAAAAGCTGCCCTATACCTATGCTCTTATGAGGATCCTCTGGTCTCTCCAAGTCCCAAATCTGTGGCCTCTCTGAGAGCCGGCTTGTGTGAGTGTGCTTGGGTCTTAGGAGGGAACTTGCATGTGCCTCGCCTTGTATCCCTTCCAACAATCCTCCCTTCAGATATCAGCACTTCCTTTCTAACCTGTATGTGCTCATCTTCTTAGACTTATCAATTTAACAGGTCCCTGGAAATGCCACTTGAAACACTGCTGTACTGTCTTGGTTAACTGCTTTTTCTTGTGGTTGTATGCTACTGAATGCTAACTGGATTATTTAACCCTGAAAAAGAATTCTGCTGTTCATGGCTTTATACCAAGAAGGTTGTACTGGTTCCTCTCATACTGTATAACAAGGCCAGTGGTTATACCACATCCTTGGTTACGTTGCAAGGAATGAGAACAAAGGTGTCTCTGCTTGAAACCCTGAGGTTGTTACTTTCCTAAAGTGCTTGGTTTAATTTTTAAACTGAAGTCTAAAACACAGCACTCAAGAGCTCTTCCACAGAAAAGGATTTCTCTATGTTGATGCTATTTTAGGAAGGTTTTAGATAAGGCACTTGACTTGAATGTGAAGGCTGCTGTCTCTTGTTATTTTTATAGGCTTTTGAGATCATTTTAGAAGTCTCAATGAAAGGACTAAGAGAACTGTTTTAGAAAGAAGCCAGGTGGCTTTGCAAATACAATCTCAGTAATAGCAAGAATGGAAGGCATGGTGTTTGGAATGTTCCACTCCCACATATGGGCTGGAGCAGTCACAAAAGTCTGAAACAGTCATAGACTGATGACCATCAGAAGAGGGAGCAGAGAAGAAACCAGTAACTGGGAAATAATGACCAGTCCCTCTTAATCTTTCTGTTGTTGTTGCTGCCTTTATTGGGCTTTTTCTTGAGTACACTGTCATAAATATGCAGCTGGGATAACAATGCTTCAGGGATTTGGTAGGACTCTTAACAATTCTCCAAATATTACTTCAATAAACAAAGCAAGGCTTTTCAAAAAGTACCATTACCTACACACATCTTAGTTTTCTTGCCCAGAGAGATTCACTCTTAGATGAGTCCTCCAGCTACTACAGATTCCAACAGATGACAGCAGCAGGATGGAGCAGCAAATTGTGCTACTTAACCTTATTCACACATTATTTTTCTTCATCATTCCAGTTAGAGGACTCAATATATTTGAACAATTATTTTTATCTCTAGTCAGTATGCATTATACGATGCTCTTCTTCTTCCCCACCCAGGACAACCTATCATGCAAAAGTTCTGACTTACCTGTCCCCATTCTCATCCTGCACAGCAGTGAGATGGCGCTGGACGGCCAGCAGCATCTTCACGTCTCCTGTCACCGCGTAGTCGAAAAGGGCATTGGCATGCCTCTTTGCAAGCTGCATAGCCTTCTCTAGAAAGAGGTTATCTGTAAGGCAATGACCACAATCATAGTTGAGTGTTCCTACTTTTGTTTTATGGGTATGGCATGCTTAAGGACAAACTGACCAGCATCAGTGTTCTGACACCTTGACATATCATTTTAGTTGAAAATGTTCTTTCAATGCTTTTGGATTGTGTGGACTAGAAAAAGCAGAATTGGACACTGGGTCACTGACAAATATAGTTAGAGATTGATCTTAAAGAATCTGTGTATGATTTGTTAGAGGAAAAAAGTTTAGAAATGTATTATTTTAAGGGAACGACCATTATCTGTTATTTTAAGGAAAACAATCTCCAAACAATGTTAGATTTTACCATGATTTTAAATCACCAATATCTTGGTGAAATAATCCTTCATTGGAATCTCTAACAATTAGCTTGTTAGGCAATGTGTGAAAAAACACACATCTCTGCCATAAACAGAGACGTTCAATGAGCCACTCACGTTTTTGTAAAGTTTGTTCCATTAAGGTCAGGGAATGGCATTTGTGACCTTTGGGCCAAAACCTGTTTATGGCCTGCTTTTCATATAGCTCCCTAGCTAATCATGGCTTATACATTTTTAAAGGGGTGTAAAAAAAAAGCATATGTGATAGACACCACATGTGGCCACCAACTCTAAATATTTACTACCTTTGCTTTTATAGACGTCTTCTTAGTACGATCTAGGATGACCTAGAATCATGACACATATGCTAATAAGTATTGGTTCACAGTAAACGCAAAAGTACATTTTCTCCTAATCCTACTTCTTCAAAGAGGGCACAAGATAAAAAGAAAAGTTCCTATTTTAAGGCAAAGTTCTATTTCAGTATGACGGTTAAGCCAGAATCTAGACAGGGTGACTATTAAGCTTGTGGAAATACTTCTCTATTTATCTGTGCCAGAAAAGAAGTTGATTATCTCTCACAATACCCTAAAACTGCATGATTATGACTGGAGAATGTACATATAAATTTCTGTCCTTTACATTCAAAGATAACAGAGCAAAAATGGAAATCCCAGTGTGAATAAAATGATCTGACATATGCTTTTCCAAAGGCATACAGAACTTTGAAGAGTACACTAAACTAGATATTGATATATCATCTTTAGATTAGCAGATATCTTTCTGCACCTAGGACTGACCCCTCCCCAGCCAACCAACAGAACGTAATTTGTGTGCTCACTTACCCTGAACTCCAGCACTCTCTTCTTTTGTTCCTGTTGCATACGTTAGAGTGACCTCACCATTCCCAACGGTGGCCTCGCTGGGCTCCTGATCTTGCTCTGTGGTTTCAATAACTTTCCCAAAGAGGTTTACAGTGTTTTTGTCATCACTTTTGTCACAACCTTCAGGGTCCTTTTTAGATTCAGTGTCCATGGTTCCTAAGATAAATGCAAAAACATCAGATTTTTCTCAGTAAAATGTATTTAGTGATAATTCGCTATTCCAATGTAGGTCAGATAAAGGTAAGAGACAAGTTTGCTGCAAAAGGAAAAGAAAAATAATAATTTAAAATTCTTTTAAAAATGGTCATATCATAAATACCATGTTTTGGAGATATTCTAAACTCATTTCTAAAAATCATTTTTAGTATACTTCTAAAATCTTAAATCTCATTTTGCTTATTTGTAAAGGAGAAAAATGAAATAAAGCTCTTCTATGAATTGCAGGAAAGCTGAATTTTTAAAGTTCTTGAAAACAGAGCAGTTTTTTCCTAATGCTAATGAACAAAGCAAATCATAAAGACGTGTTGTCGACTCACATTCTTTAGTGTGGGAGTTATCCAGTGTACCATTCCTGATCACCCTCTTTCAGGTTCAACTATGTTATCTGACAGATACTATGAGAGCATCTAGCTTTTCTGCAGGAGACCTGCTTCAAATTCTTGTTCTGCCACTAACTTCTGTGTGCCTTCAGTGAGTACGAACATTTCTGAACTTTGATGCCTTTTGTGTGCAAAATGGAGTTACTATTTTCCATATAGAGCAGTCATGAAGATAACAGTTAAAACATGTAAAAGCACTTGGCACAAAAATAGGTATTCAATAAATGGGAAGACTTCTTTATAGTATTATTTCTTCCATGGGTACACTAGAATGGACCTGTAATATAAACTATCAACATGTGGTTTAACTGCAGCTTCTCAGGGGATGACTTGATGGGAAAAGACCGATCCTATAAAACTCAAAATGATTTCAGAAGTGTACTATTTGAGAAAAAAAGAGACAGAATACATTAAGTTTGATGATGTTTAAAATATTTGAATAGTCAGGTCTCTGTTGTCTCTTTTCAATGCTCTTTTCTTTCCTCTGTTCATGCCACTTACAAAGTAAATATATAAAATATATAAAAGTAATAGAGTTTATACTAGCCACAGGAAATAATATCTTTTGGGAAAAGTATCTTCTTAGTTTATTTGCATTCATCAATTATTTGTCAAGATGATAATACTGTTGTGATAAGTAATGATTTTAAAAACCCTTTTTAGCATTAATTATTTTTTTCCTTTCTTGGTATTAAGAACAAAGCATTACTTACCATGCTTCATCCCAGCATTAGATTTAGTAGTTCCAGGATGGAAAGTAATCCCACCATAAGTAGGAAATCCATAGTGTGGGAAGCTATACCCTGAAACGGCAAGTAAAACAAATGAAACATCATGAAGATATTTTACAAAGACTCAGCACAACTTAGTGTCTGTCTCTCAGGTGAGCACAGCCTTTGGTGTGACAGGACAGTATTGTGCCCACACATGGTTTTTCTGTTGGGACTAAGACACATGGTGGGGGTCATGGGACTATCAGAATTCCACTTTGGTAAAGTTTACATGTTGGCAACTCTGACAGCACCCCAGATTTGGGGAGGGGTTGTAATGGAGAAAGCCTTCACTCCTATGTGAAGGGGAGAGGCTAATAGTGAGGGTCACCAACCAAACTCAGACTTGCCTATGTAGAAGACATTAAAATAACCCCTTGAGGAAAAAAACTTAATCAAACAAAGCACAGAAAAACATACTGACTCCTCAATGGAAAAATGGCCACCACTGTTCATTCTTAGGCATTTTTGGTGGAAGCATAAACTGGTACAACTCTTTGGGAAAACAGATGGCATTAGATGTCATGCCCTCTGACGTAGTAATTTTACTACAAAGACTCTAATTTACAAAAGTAATCTGGAATAAGTGAAAAGTTAGGTGGACAGAGGTTCAGTATAGCATTTTATATAGAAAACAGGAAACTACATGTAAGTAAGTTATACTATGGTTTGTTCACTTGAGGAAATGAGTCATTAAAATGATGCTTAAAATTTATGCTTAAAGTTCATATTACTGGAGGAAATGTTTATGTTAACATCTCAGGTAAACGTTGCACCTATGACTCTATACACACAGTCATGGTGCAAATGATAGTAAAATAGTATTGCAAATAAATGGATTAAAATAAAATGCATAATGATGATCACAGCTGTATTCAGGGTAAAATTTACAAATATATACTATAACATATACATAAAAATAGTAGTAGTTAACCTTTGATGGCAGATTTTATGTATTTTCAAAGTTTCTACAATGTAGTATATAGAGATGTTTAATATATAGCTATATTGTAGTATGATAATATACAATCTTTTCAATGTTTCCAAACAAAAACAAGACAACTATGTCAAAAAATGTAAAAGAGAAATATACCAAAATCTTTAGGAAGGTATTCATTAAATAACTGGCTTTGGGGTACTTTTTTTTCTTCTTAATGACTTTTGAGATTACCTACATATTGTAAAATGAACATGGATTTCTTTGAAAAATAAATTTACATTTGTCAGGAAATTTTAATTAATATACTCAATAATATCATAGCCACTCAACTCACAGACATGCTCAGAAACCAAAGAAAAGAAAATTCTACCCTCTCCAATATGAAAAAGTTTTAGGAAGAATAAGTATTTTTGTACCTGGACCTGTACTTCCAGTGCCCCCTCCTCCACCGCCACTACCAAACATGCCTCCGCCTCCAGCTCCAGCACCACTACCACCGCCGAAACTATCCGAAAAATTGGGCATGAGCTTCTGACGTTTCCTCTGCACTTCTTCTTTATCTGTATTTAAAGGAAGAGAAACCAGAGGAGAAAAGATTGATTTGGTCCCACCACTAGCCACAGAAAGACCACTGATTCTAATGGTATTTTTAAACATCTTAAAGGGAAATAGAAAGCACTCAAAGAGGAAGAGATGGTAAATTTCAAGAAGCGTTATATTTATTCCAATGGGTATGAAGGCTGAAAGTTAGCTCCAGAGAGACCACAGAGCAGTACACACCCAAATCCACTCTACAACAGTTTCTTAAGTCCCCAGTGTTGTTAAAACTAGTGAAATATTTGATTATCCATCAAAAAGATCCTGAAGATGCTGAATTAAAAAATTATTGACCCTTTTGCTTGGTCACACAAAATAACTCATGTTAAAAAGTTAACATTTATTATGCATCTACAATGAGCTAAATGCTGGAAATAAAAAAAAGCATGACATAATGTCTTTGCTGCCAAGAACCCTCCAACATAATTTTAAGATAGTGGGGGAAAGACTTAGTGAGACAGCACTATAACAGGACATACATTAAATTCATGGTGCAGATCAGTGTTCTAGGAGTTTGGGGAAAACCTTTTAGGAGTTCACTGAGGGATGGGAAATTCAGGAAAGGCTTCTCAGAATCAGTTTTATATAAGAAGAGGAAAAAGAAGATGTACACAGGGTGCTTTTGAGAACAGGAGTAGATAAGTTTGGCTGAAGTGAAAGTTTAGTACAGGCATGCCTCTGAGATATTGAAAGGTTCAATTCCACATTACTGCAACAAACCAAGTCACATGATGTTTTTGGTTTCCCAGTACACAAAAAAATTATGTTTACACTATACTATAGGCTATTAAGTGTGCAACAGAATGTCTTAAAAAGCAATGTACATATCTTAATTAAAAACACTTTATTGCTAAAACAGGCTAATGATCACCTAAGCCTACAGCAGGTTGTAATCTTTGTACTGGTGGAAGGTCTTGCCTCAATGTTGATGGCTGCTGACTGATAAGGGTGGTGGCTACTGAAGGCTGGGTGGTTGTGGCAATTTTTAAAAATAAGACAAAAATGAAATTTGTCAATTCACTCTTCCTTTCACAAAAGATTTCTCTATAGTATACAATGCTGTTTTGATAACATTTTATCCACAGTTTTAACTTCTTTCCACACTAGGGTCAATTCTCTCAAACACTGCTGCTGCTTTACTAAGTTTATGGAATATTCTAAATTATTGTCATTTCAAGAATGTTCACAGCATCTTCTCCAGGAGTAGATTCTATCTCAAGAAACTACTTTCTTTGCTCATCCATAAGAAGCAATTCCTCAACCATGAAAGTTAAATCATGAGCAGCAGTTCAGTCTCATCTTCAGGCTCTACTTCTCACTCTCATTCTCTTGCTATTTCCACCACATCTGCTGTTACTTCCTTCACTGAAGCCTTGAACCCCTCAATGTCACCCACGAGGGCTGGAATCAATTTCTTCCAAATTCTTATTAATGTAGATATTTTGACCTCCTTCCATGAATCACAAATGTGGTTAATGGTAAATCCTTTCCACAGGGT
The DNA here is from genome assembly GCF_000001405.40 of Homo sapiens. Taxonomy (NCBI): domain Eukaryota; kingdom Metazoa; phylum Chordata; class Mammalia; order Primates; family Hominidae; genus Homo; species Homo sapiens. The sequence goes on along the minus strand of NC_000004.12, from coordinate 102,591,889 downwards.
TTTCAATTTACTTTGCCCAGATTCATCAGAGTAATCACTATCTACGGCAGCTACAGCCTTACAGAATGTATTTCTTAAACAATAAGACTGAAAGTCAAAATTACTTTTTGATCCATGGGCTGCAGAATGGCTGTTAGTAGCCATGAAAAGATCTCCTTCAGAGCTCTTGGGTGACTAGGTGTATTGTCAATGAGCACTACCATTTTGAAAGGAATCCTTTTTTTTTCTTTTTTCTCAGAGCAGTAGGTCTCAACAGTGGGTTTAAAAATATTCAGTAAACCATGCTGTAGACAGATGTGCTGTCATCCAGGTTTTCTTGTTCCATTTACAGAGCAAAGGCAGAGAAGATTTGGCATAATTCTTAAGAGCTCTAGGATTTTCAGAATGATAAATGAGCACTGGCTTCAATTTAAAGTCACCAGCTGCATTAACTCCTAATGAGAAAGTCTGCCTTTTTTTTTTTTTTTTTTGAGCCAGGGTCTCACTCTGTTGCCCAGGCTGGAGTGCAGTGGTGCAATTATAGCTCACTGCAGCCTCGACCTTCTGTGTTCAAGTGATCCTCCCACCTCAACCTCCTGAGAGTCAGCCTGTTTTTAAAAGCTTTGAAGCCAGGCATTTCTACATCTTCTCTCTAGTTATGAAAGTCCTAGATGGCATCTTCTTCCAATGGAAGGTTGTTTCTTGTACACTGAAAATCTGTTTGGTGTGGCCACCTTCATCAATTTTCTGAACTAGATCTCCTGGATAACTTGCTGCAGCTTCTCTGTTAGCATTTGTTGCTTCACCTTGCACTTTTACGTTATCGAGATGGCTTCTTTTTTAAACCTCATGAACCAACCTCTGCTAGCTTCCAACTTTTTTTCTGCAGCCTCCTCACCTCTCTAAGCCATCATAGAATTGAAGAGAGTTAAGGCCTTTCTCTGGATTAGGCTTTGGTAAAAGGGAATGTTGTGGCTGGTTTAATCTTCTACTCAGACCACTAAAACCTTGGCTAACTGGCACAAGAGGCCTAGCTTTGGGCTTATCTCAGCTTTTGACATGCCTTCCTCACTAAGCTTAATCATTTTTGGCTTTTGATTTCAAGTGAGAGGTGTGACTTTTCCTTTCACTTGAACACTTGGAGGCCACTGTAAGGTTATTAATTGGCCTAATTTCCATATGGTTGTGTGATAGGGAATAGGGAAGCCTGAGGAGAGGGAGAGAGATGGAGGAATTGCCAGTCAGTAGAGCAGTCAGAACACACAGAACATTTATCGATTAAGTTTGTCATCTTACATGGACACTTCTTGTGGTACCCCCAAAACATCAAAGATCACTGTTCACAGATCACCATAATGGATATAATAATCATGGAAAAGTTTCGAGTATTGAGAGAATTACCAAAATGTGACACAGAGACATAAAGTGAGTACATGCTGTGGGAAAAATGGCACCAATAGACTTTCTTGACACTATTGCCACAAACCTTCAATTTGTAAAAATCACAGTATTTGCAAAATATAAAGAAACAAGCTATGACTGTATAAGGAATTCCTGAGAAATGGAACTGTTTGGGACAACACTGCGGAGCACCCGGAGAATGAACTTACAGGCAAGAAAGCTGCTGAATGTTTTTGAACAGGGAAATAATGTGTAGGGGATGGTATTTTAGGAAGTTCATCTTTTACGTGTGTGTGGGACATACTAAAGAGTTAAAGTGAGAGGCAGAGACAATGCGGACATAAGTGATGGAGGCCCATTCCTTAGTGGTCACCAGGATAATAAAAATGGGGTGGATGCCAGAAAAACAGTAACCAAGGGATCTGTAACCTCTGGTGACTGATGAGATACTGGGGCTAAAAGTCTAAGACCACTATTTGACTACAATACAGTGATGCCCTCTGAGACTTCTGATTGCTTTTCTTTTTGTTTTGTTTTCATCTTTCTGTTTCTCGCTATCTGTGCTTCTCACCAGCCCCAATGCCCTTTTGAGTTCCGTTACTGCCTATGTGGTGTTACTGTGTTCTTGTTTCTCCTTTCTGTTTCCTTTTCTTTCTCTTCTTTTTCTATCATATACCTTTCTTCTCTTTTTTTGGGCTGGAGCAGTTAAGGAGGTTTTATTTCGTTTTTTCAAATTAAATACAGTCAATGAGGTATTCTTTTTTTTGATTAGTGCTGAACCCTTAACAATTATTCTATTTCTGATTCTTCAATGTCAGTTTTGTCATGCTTATGTTCAGAAAGAACTTCGATTATTTCTAATTCTGTGGTTGTTTCAGTCATCTTAGGGCTAGATAGAAGGTCTCTGTTTACTGATTATCTCATGATCATCTAACTGCAGTTGAAAGATGAAGCAGGGGAAAGCAGGGTAACAAAGTACACTTTAATAGTTGTTTAAAAGCTGAGCATCTCCAGACTTCCCAGGAAAAAAAAAAAACCAAGGTTGCCAAATTTTGAGAAAAATATGCTTCCACTAGAAGGGGATGACCTTTAAGTGGAGAAACTTTGACTTACTTATCAAATATGTTTTAGATTCAGATTTATAATTTCCCCATCGGTTCTATCTTAACTAATTTACAGCTATACTCATTACTGTTCACTGCAGACATATGAAACACAAGAGGGAAGCAGGCAACTTATTTATCTTCAGAAATAAATGTTATCTATTGACATGGATTCCAGCAAAGAGACTAGTTAGTATTTTCTATGTATTCATTTTACCTTTTAAAGCAGAGAGATATTTATTGGCTGTATTTCACTGTAAAATGGGAATTTTAAGGGCAAAATATTAATTATAACACAGCTAGTAAGATTCCAATGACAAGAAACTGATACAGAACATTCCACATAAGCTTTATAAAAGAACCTGCTGTTTGAATCTCCACAGAATTGAATATGGAGACTTTCACACTCCATATTCAAGGGATCATTTATCCTTGCGGTCTGCTTTTGACAATGGCACCATGGGATGTACTATGAAACATCAACCTATTTTAGAAGGAACCAAAGCAGCCACTTACTACAAGTTCTCCTTTTGCAGGAGAGGAAACTGAAGCTAGGAGGGGTTAGGTGACTTATCTGAGGTCACAATGGAGTCAAGATCAGTCTCAAAGTGCAGTGATGTTTTCATTATGTTAGGCTGTCATTCTTTTGAAAACACTCCAAAATAGCTTTGTATAATAATAACCAGTGACTTTAATAATCAATGACTTTACATAACAGTTGATGACTTTAGATAATAGTTCAATTCACAAATATGGATAATCTCCTAGTGTTTGCTACCTATTTCTGTGCATGTGCCTTAAAAGTACCTCATTCTCACTTTTCAGGTTTTAGTTTACCAGTAAAGGTGACTGCATTTATCTTGGCCATACCTTTCATAATTTAAAGATTATTTATCCCTAATCTCCATCTTTCAGACTGAAAAATCATTATGGTCTCTTTTATTTTTTTTTTATTTTTTTTTGCTTTTGTACAGCAGTTCCTCAACTATCTTCCTCCTCTGCCAATCATCCTTCTCTTGATTATTTCGATCGTCTCCCCTGGACCCAACCATCTCCAATAATTTTTTGTGAAGTACAATGTTGATGACCATAGAGGATGCAAAGCTCCGGGCTGGTTCTGTATGATGCTTTATATTTATGTATAATGTCTTACCTGATGATACCCAACATATTACTAGCCTTATAGATGAGGATGGATGGCAGCTTGGCTGGTCAATCAATAAGTCAGTCCACAGATATTTAATGAGCATTTTCTATGCAACTTATACTGTTCTAGATAGTCTATGACCTAAAGAAGATTCTTTGTACTCGGGGTGGTAGGAAGACAATAGACCCATAAATAAATAGATAAGACAGGTTTACATATTGATAAAAATAATGAAGAACATAAAATTAGGCAATGAGATAGGGAATGACTACAGAGACTGGGGGTAAGGAAAAGTGTGTTCAATGACTTCTGAGAAATGTATGCAATGTTTCCCTGGGTTGTACAGTTTGGATCCATTTCTATCTACTTACTCTAATGCTAAATGGCCTACTACTTTTCTGACCAGTTATATTGCCTGGTCAGATTATTTCTCCTTGGTCCTATTATCTTGAGTTTTTATAATCCAGAAGGTTTCTATAGAATCAAGTAATTTGTTGTCCTCATATATATATATGTTGTCCATTCTTTCCTTCAGAGCTCAATGGGTAAGTATTTCTCCAGACAGTTCTTAAACTTTGTATTGTATGAAGCTTTTCATCAATGACAGCCTGGAAGGTAGGTGCATGAAGCATACAGGTGCAATTTTGAACTTTCAGGTGACCCCATTCTCTAATCCCTGCATTGGATAGTTCCTACTATGATAACGAGGCATTAAAGTAATCACCTGAATATACCCCCACTATAACATACTTTTCTGAGGCATAGATACCACTGGGAAAGGGAGACAGGCAGCCTAGATACCAAGCTGAGCTTTGAATGTTTCTAGGTTCATACACATACAGGTAACCTGGGTTTTCTTTCTTCATGATTCTCTGTGTTAGCAAAAACTGGCATTATTTGAAGACATATTTCTGGAGAAGAAATCTATTTTTTTCCTCAGAAAGTCTAAAAAAATTATCCATATTTTTCTTCTGTGTCTACTTTTAAAGAAGGGTGTTTAAATTAAAGCAGTGATTTTCACATCATTTTGTGTAGGCAGAAGCATTCAAAAGACCTCCAGCAGCTCCTGATAGGGAAGTAAGGAGAGGTGGGACAGCCTCTCGGAAGGCCGAGCTGGCAGGGCCCTTCACCCCTATTTTAATCAAAGCCTACCATGTCCATACACTGGGATTTTGTATGAAATCTCATGTGAAGAAAGAAAAGTTATTGTGCTGACAATGTTTTCAAACCACCAGGATATAGAGTGCACTACAAATCTGACCAAACAATGGAGAGGCCACAACCTCAGAAAAGAAACAAGAACTTGTAGAACCGTTTTCTAAACACTCCTGTGGCAGCACGAATTCTAGGAAAGGAAAGCCCTCTTCAAAGATTACCTATCACATCTTGCTCTCACAGGAGACAACACCCACCCATGTGGCTTGTTGCTGCTGCACCTTTGCGGTTTCCAACCTCAGCAAGGATCTGGGTGCCCCGTGGCAATCATTTTACTGACCTCCCTTCCCAGTCTCACTTCCCTCCAACTGAGGGGTTTCTAATTTTGTTTGTGCCACAGCCCCTTCTGCAGTCTGGTGAACTCTATGGATCTCTTCTCAGAATCATGGTTTTCAGTATGTAAAATACAAAACAGGATTATAAAAGAAGCTGATGATATCAAAGTACATTTCTATCCACAGACTCTTTGGGGGTCAGTGGACTCTAGGTTAAGAAATACCTTTGAATGATGACTCAGTTGGTGCCTGTTATATCTCGTTTTGAGATGATTCTAATGCTAAATTTCTCACCCTGTCCTCTCTTGAGTTCCAGTTCTGCCTTTTGATCTGCCTACTAAGAACTTACACTTGATTTTCCCACAGGGACCTAAAATATAACATGTTTTACTCTGAGCTCCTTCTTTTCCCACCCAAATCTACTTTTGCTCCCTTGTTCCTTTCATCAAGTCAACCACATCACAAGCTTCCTGGTCAGGGAGTCTTAGACCCATCTATGACTCCCCGTCTCTCCTACACCTCCGACCTCTAGGCCCTCTTGACAGTATCACTGTATCACAGTATCACTGCACTCTCTCTTAAGTCCACCATCTCCTTTCATTCCTGGCACTAGGACCTTTACTAACTGCACTGTTTCTCACTTGGATTCTTGCATTACTCTTCTGACTCATCATCTGCCTCCTAAATGGTACCCTCAGTGGTGACATAAAGAAGTCAGAGCCATCATTCCAAACCTAGGCAGGCCCGGCTATCCCTCTCCAGAATTAATGCAAAATTCTTAAGCTGCCATTCACAGCCCTCTTTAGCCTGGCCCTGGCCTTCCTTACCCACATTGGCCTTCATGTCCATCCGAGCGCTCAGAACACTTTTTTCCCTCTGCATAAACGCTGTGTTTACCTCTCTCTTTAAGCTCCTCAAGTAACTTAAACCTAGAGAACCCTCTCCTTCTCTGTTTAACACCCAACTGCTGAAATATACCCCAAATGCTGAGGGCCAAATGATATCTCCTTGACGAAGCCTTCTTTTTGGAGGCTGCTTTAGAATAAAGGGACCAAGGGCTCTCTCTTCAACATTCTCTTATATTTTTATGGATGCTTCACTTTCGGTACTTATTAAAATCATAATTTACATTATAACTATTTAAGAAACCTATGAGTGCCCTTTCTTAAAGCATCTTTTGTGAGAGAAAGAATGATGCCTTACTCATTTTCATAGTTTCACAGTGCATGTTGGCCAAGTTTTCTGTTCCACCGCCTGAGGCTGGTTGACTAACTGGCTGATTCTCCTAAACAGCAAGCCTGATTTTTTCATCTCAGCTGCTTGAACTCTGAGTTAGTCAATAAATGTTAGATTCTCAAATTCAAAGACAAATTCTCAATGTCTAAATCTCATATAAGCTTGGTGGAAATAACATTATTTTAAAAAGCTAGACTAATTCCATGACCTCAAAATAATATACTACTGTCTCTTCTAAAAATAAGCACCATGGATCCAGGGACCTGTTACTAGAAAGCTGTTCAAAGGAGGTGACTAACTGATCTTTTCTAATTAGCTTGTCCTCTTCTCAGAACAAGCACAATGGCAAGACATGGCAGCTCAAGCCTGTAATCCCAGCACTTTGGGAGGCCAAGGCCGGAGGACTGCTTAAGGCCAGGAGTTTAAGGCCAGCCTGGACAATGTAGGAAGTCCTCATTTCTATTAAAAGTAAAAAAAAAAAAAAATTAGCCCGGCATGGTGGCGCACACCTGTAGTCCCAGCTATTTGAGATGCTGGGGCAGGAGAACTGTTTGAGGCCAGGAGTTCGAAGTTGCAGTGAGCTATGATTGCACCATTGCACTCCAGCCTGGGCAACAGAGTCAGACTCTGTCTCAAAACAAAACAAAACAAAACAAAAACCAAAAATAAAATAAAATAAAATATGAGCATAAGATTTTAAACAACTGACTTACCTTTGATTTCAGGATAGTAGAGGAAAGGTTTTGGTTCACTAGTTTCCAAGTCAGATTTCCTCCGAAGCTGGACAAACACAGAGGCTGGTTTTGTAATATTAATATCTTTATACTTTGGAGTTTTGAAGACAATGGCAAACTGCAGGATACGAAGAACCACATGTTGGTGTAGGACTACATTTTTTTTTTTTTTGCAGTAATGCTACTCATTAAACACATTCCTTATGCTTTTCTTTATACCCAATGTTTAGACACAGTGTACTAAAAAACACCGTGTCCTGGAGAAAGTTCCAAACTCAGAATTCTATACCGATACATTTTTATGAAATTGCTACTGTAAAATCAAAATACAATGCTATGCTAATGTACTACGAAGCTTTATTATTTCATTTGTCTATTTCAAATGTCTTCTAGTTGTAAATATCATGCTTATAAAATTCACTGCATATACTTTCTTCTCTTCCAAAGCAGCCTTAAAAGCCTCCAAGATTATTTAGAGCAACATCAGAAAGACTGGGTATGGAAAGAGAGAGATGGCTACAGGCCAGTGATGAAGAGAAGAAACTAAACATTGCTTACATTGGCATCATAACACATTAGTTCTTGGTGGTATGTTAGGGATTTAAGCATTTTTCAGTTTGATTTTTTGACTATGTAATATATTCACAGGGATAAAGATCTTATAAAATATAAAAAAGCATACAGTGGTATTCTCTTTGACATTCTTGTTCCCCATCCATGCAGTTCCTACAGTGTACCAGCCAGTGGTAAATACTGTTATTAATTTCTTAGGTATCCTTCCAGAATTTCTTTATGCATGAACATAGAATCATTTCTACACACACTTTGTTCTACACCCATCTTTTAAAATATTTTAACACTGTATAACTGAGATCTTTCTATATTAGTTCGCAGAGTACTCATTCTTTTGAATAACTACATGATATTTCATCAAAAGGACAGACCATAATTTAACTGGCCACTTACTGATGAATATCTGGATTGTTTCCAATCCAGATAATTACTTGTAAATAGGAGAATACTCTTCAATTACTTGTAAATAGGAGAATAATAATTAAGGTGGGGGCTCAGCATTATCATGTTATTAAATGATTAAACTGATCATTTAATCAGTTGCCATTGGGAAATCTTCATTTAACAGGATGACATCAGCTTCAATTAGAAGATGACTCCTAGAACACCCTTTTAAGGTGTTATCATAATTAGGTGCTATCATAAAATAGGTCTCATCATAATTACTTTGGTAGAACACTTAAAAACATTTTCATTAAAGGACCTGTGGGGCACTGTCTTATGGGTTAGGGGATTAGGCAGCAATTAAATATCTTGCCAACATCTCAGAGCAAACGATCTAACAGAACCTTGCCCATAACTCTACAGTAGGTAACTTTTTTGGATGACCTGCATGAGTCTTAAAAATAGTACTGTTTTATGGAAGTTAAATATTTATGATTTTTCTTTTTTATAGATGGAAGCTAAGTACTAAATTTCAATAAGGCAGAAAGTATAAAATGATGATAGTAATATGGATCATGCCTATAATCCCAGCATTTTGGGAGGCCAATGTGGGATAATCGCTTAAGTCCAGGAGTTCAAGACGAGCCTGAGCAAGATGGCAAGACATCATCTCTACAAAAAAAATAAAACTGAAGAAACTAGCTGGGCATGGTAGCATGCCTGTAGTCCCAGATATTTGGTAGGTTGAGACAGGAGGATCCCTCAAGCCCAACAGTTGGGGGATACAGTGAGCTGTGATTGTACCACTGCACTGCAGCCTGGGTGTCAGAGTGAGATCCCATCTCTAAAAATAATAAGGATTAATAATAATAATAAATCACTTACTTGTCTATGAACATCTGTGGGGGAAAAATCTCCAAATCCTTCCCAGACTCCACCATTTTCTTCCTCTTCATAAAATCGAATCTGGATGTCATCTGCAAACAATCACATTGAAGTGTGTAATTTCACATAGTGTAAATAGTATTTATAAACATGCTGAAAAATAAAACTGGTTTAATATTCTACCTACTATCTATTTACACTTTTAAAAAACAAGATCAAAAGGTTCAGTCTTTTAAAATCTTCACAAATCACTGACTTTTTTCATTATTTACCACAGTAATGCGCCCCAACTTTCATTCACAATGACAGAATACTAGATTTACCTAGTTAACTTGAATTTTCTTTTAATCTTTGACCTTACTGCTTCTCCATCCTTAAGCCAATCCTGAGAAACACGAACGATGGTGGAAGAATATTAGAATCCAACGAGGCAGTGCAATTCAATATATAGATGTACATAAAAATAATTAACTTATATAAGTTTTACTATTAATGTATGGCAGATGCTATTCTAAGTGCTTCATATATACACATATTAACTGATTTCATCCTCACCACAACCTTGTGATGTAGATGGGTACTATTATTATCCTCACTTTGCAAAAGAGAAACTGGGGTCCAAAGAGGTTAAGTACTTATCCAAGGCTGAACAGCTAGTACTTGGAGGAACCAGGATTTTAACATAGACAGTATAATTTCAGAGTCCAGGCTCTTAACACACTATTAAACTGTCTCACTATAATAGTCTCTTAGTTCATATTGAGTAATTGGTCAAAATACTATAATAATCAGGTCCCTTCTAATTAAAATGCAATGCTTAAATTGCACACTCTAGTCATGGAGTGTGTTTATAAATACTCCATGTTCAGCATGTTTATAAATACTCTATTCACTTCTACAGAAATGTGACAATGTAACTTAGGTTGGCATCTTCCTGGCTTCACTTTCCGTTTCATAGAAAGGGCCACACTATTGACTTTGTTCAAAGTTTTTATCTCTATGTAAGTAGAATTTTAGAAATACTAGGAATGGATAAAACATCTTACAATCTCCTTTGCCTTCAGGTAGGACTACACTGGACCTAGTTATTGAGATTCTTTAAGCCAAGTACAAGACATTTCTTACTAAGCCATTCCAATGTAATGATAATGACTAAGGATCTCATTTACAAATAAAGGTACTCAGATTGTGTTTACTCACAGTATGTACACCCAGGAATCTGGAAATGAGTATTACTTGGACAGAGTGGATTGGAAGAAGGCTGACACTAGTGTAGGCAGAGAAAGTGTAAACTTCTTTTTTTTGAGACAGGGTCTCGCTCTGTCATCTAGGCTGGAGTACAGCAGCATGATAATAGCTCACTACAGCCTCAAACTCCTGGGTTCAAGCAATCCTCCCACCTCAGCCTCCCAAAGTGCTGGGATTACAGGCATGAGTTACCATGCCTGGCCTGTAAATTTTTTTGGATAAAGTATATATGTGTTTACTTTAAAATCTGATCCCATTTTTTTCTGACTATATACCTCAGAGAATTTAATCTCATATGATAATTTTTTTAAAAGCCACATGTCTTTTATTGATTTATTTTACTTATTTATATTTTCAGTTAGGTATCTGCTTACTTTGAAAATGCTCACCCTGTAGTAAATAGATATTATACTACACTTTCCAACTATCATTTTATTTAAAAAAAGAATGCAGTTTGAGAAAATAACACATTTTCCTCAGCTTTTACTAATCTATCAATGTTGTAATATATCTAATGAAAGATAAACGCCAAGAACCTTTCCTCAAAGGGAAAATTGTGAGAGAAATGTGCTCTGAGAATTTCCCTGTATTCCCTGTTTTCTTTCCTTTTCTTAAACATCACATCTGTGGAAGTGTTCAGAGAAGTTCTCTCAGTGTTATATCAAAGCATTGCAAAAGAAATAAAAACAATTTAATACTATGTAAAACATTATTCTGTGTGTGTGTTTGTATGTGTGTCAAGAATGGGCTATTATTTATTTTTGTTTAACAAAGTACAGATATTAATTTTAATGTATAAAGATACTGAAAGTCACTGATTATAATTATCACGGTTTTCTTATTTCTTTTTACTTCCATGGGAAATCTAAAAGTGATTTAGTTGACTTAGGAAAAAATAACACAGACAATTTACATTTGGAAGAGGTAAAACGTAAATGCTTTTTAAGACTTTCTGTGGCAGCAGAGGGATGTTTCTTGTCCACTGCTGAAATGTGACTCACAGACACACTCAGAACTGTAGTGTGTCAAGATCACACCTCTTGAGATCAGAGATCACAGAATGTATTTACCTTTCTGAACTTTGTCACAAAGAAGATAAATTTCCTCCCCTCCAGTCACACATCCAGCTGTCCTGTCCATTCTTACAATTTTCAAGTTGGATGCATTGGGGGCTTCTGTTCACAGGGGAAAAACAACAAATAACATGATTAATCCTCAGCTCAACAAGCCAGTCCTTTAGGTAGGACCCTCCCCTTAGCACACATGACCAAAACAAAGCTTAAATACATGCTTTCACTAACAAAGTAAATAAAACAAGAATGGCTTCTGAAATTCTCGGAACACTTCTTGGGCATGGGTCATTTATGATCACCAAAACAAATGAGGTAGAAAGGAACAGGTATTTGTTTCTCCCTCTAACACAGAGAGACTGACACAAAAAGAGAAAGAGCTTTTCTGATGTATTGGGAAGTACCAAGCTAATTGATTTCTGGGCTTTCAATGAGGTCAAGACTTCAATTCCAAATTTGTTTCCATGATTCTGCTATTATTCTATTTACAAGAGTCCTAAAAACTTTAGGAAAAGTACAGTTTTCTTAAACTACTTACTACCTTTTATTTTACAGGTAAGGAAAATGGGGATGTTATGTTTCTTTTTCCCAAACTAAATTAGGATTCTGTGTGGTGAAGAGGCAAAACTTTCTTGTGGTAATAGCATAAAGCTTCCTTTTTTTTTTTCTCCAACAGCTGCATTTTAAGGTGATTCTGCGGTATGAGTCTGTATCATTTTATAACCTTTCACTTCCCTTCAAAGTTGTTTAAATTAGAGAATTCAGTTAGTTGTTGTACTTGGAGCACAGAGTTTTCCACACAGGCCAAATTCTATAAACTTTCAATGAGTCTGAGTACTATGCTTGCAGGCTTTTTGAAAATACCTGTCTAATCAATCCTATGCATAATCAAACAAGAAAGTTGCATGGTAAATGCTGAAGATTACTGTAAAACTCTTAAAAAGTCCTAGGAACTATAAATTAATATATATATACATATATATATATATATATTTTTTTTTTTGAGATGGGGTCTCATTATGTTGCTCATGCTGGGCTGAAACTCCATATCCTCCCACCTCAGCCTCCCAAGTAGGTGAGACTACAGGGCATGACGCCAAACCCGGCTTGAAATAGGATTTTGAAGTCACATGCTGTCTATGCTACTCATTCATTTAACTTCAAGTTTCTCTCTTGATAAAGCTAGTAACATATGGGAAAGAAAATGGGTAAGAATAATAGTTGTCTTTTATAAACTCCTTTCCAGAGTCCCCCCACCACCAAAGAAAATTGGGATTATTCTCCCTTCTAAAAGTATCAACCATATATCTTTATAGCAAGACATTCATAAATAAGATGAGATGTGACATTTCATGTAAAAGACTAAAAAATGTACATCAAAGGAAAAAGAATTACATGTATTGAGCCCCTCTTAAAATACCTCATTTAACCTGGACATCAACCTTTCAAGCTAGATTTTCCTATTCACATTTTACAGATGATAAAGCTGAGGCTTAAAGTGATTAAGTTACCTTCCCCAGGACTCAGCTAGCAAGTAAATGGCAGGGCAGGGCTGGAAGTCTATTCTTGGTGTGCCCCCTGTTGGAAGTGAAGTACTCACTACTGTCATAGATGGCGTCTGATACCACGGGTTCCAGGCGCCTTGTGAAGCTGCCAGTGCTATCCGGAAGAAAAGCTGTAAACATGAGCCGCACCACGCTGAGGTCCATCTCCTTGGTCTGCTGCAGAGCTGCTTGGCGGATTAGCTCTTTTTCCCGATCTAGGGCCATACAGCACAGTCCATTCATGCCCAGGGAAGTGTGAACATTTAAAAGACCATGCTTTTATAAAGCCCAAATAATGTAAACTTACAATAAAAACCCATTTTTCCTCTTTTGAAACTCTTCATATTGCTAATAAAGTGTTAAAAACAGTCTCATTTATGTCATCCAATATGAAAGGCATCAAAGAAGACCTGCATTTTCTCCGGATTACAGTAAAAACTCTCTTCCGTGTATCAGATCGCCTCCCTCCTCTCCTGTCCTTCCCCCACCTTTCCCTTTCCTCTCTACAGTAAGAGTTAAAGGCACACAGGATGTGATGGAATGGAATTGAATAACCCTACTAGGCACCAGCTGTATTGAGAAGTGTGCAAATTATTCCAAGAGCTGCTTGGGCACAGGGAGTGAGCTCATTCCACAGTGCCAAGCAGACAGCCTGGCACATAGTAGGTACTCAAAAACAACTTCTGAAGGAACTGAATGACTCAGGGACATCTGTTTCCTTCCCTCCTGCTGGAGTTTTCACGCTGATGGATATAGTCATAATTAAGCTATAATATCATAAAAGGTAGTGATTCAAGAGACAAGTACTACAAGAGAGCTACAAATGAAGTGATGTGGGATTTCAAAGAAGGAGAGAGTTCAGAGGGCTTTGGAGCAGAAGAGGTATTTGCTCTGAATATTGAAAAGGTGGCAGAATTTGAACACATTCATATAAGAGAGTGGATAAAGGCATTCCAGGAAGAGGAGAGAGCAAAAATAGAAAGAATGTGCCAAGGCAGGAAAGTGAGAAATCATGGTGCTCCTACCAAGTAGTAGACTTTGACCTGAAGGGGCAAAACGGGAAATAGATTGGAAATGCAGCCTGAGGCCAGCTCTTGGGAGATCCAAAAAGCCAACTTACAGAATTTGGATTTTGTAGGCAAAACGGAGACACGGAGCAGCAACAAGATACAGAACTTCAGTAATATCTATCTGGCTACAAGATGTAAACTTGATTAGAAGTGGGGAGGGACAGAGACCAGGGAGAAGACTACTATAAGTGGAACAATGAAAATGGAATGTAGTGTGGAATGCCAGAGAGCACGGAATGGCTGGACCACAGCCTCGCAGCACAGGCGAGGAGGGGGAGTCAGTGAGGATGGGAAGGTTTTGAGTCTGGGTATCAGAAGATGGAGTATATTTAGTGGAAAACTGATAATCGGTTTTGAATCACATGAGTATCAGATGACGACTGGACGGCCAGAGTAAAGGACAAAATACAAAAGTAGAAATGGGGCATGTGGTGGGACAGGGAATGGGGTTGAAAAAAAAATTTGAGAAAAGGCAAGAAAATGGAAAATCATACAATTTTTATGATAAAGATAATAGTTTATAATGTGTCTGCAGAGCCCAAAGAAAGAAAAATGCCTTATAATAAGGTGAGTTGGGGAAGGTAAAACAGAGGTGTTCTTTAGACAAAGTCTTGATTTCTGCATTGGTTTTCGAGAGGGTGAAATGGAAACGGTGGGGTGTTTTTGGTAAAGGAAGACACATACAAAGGTATAAATATGCCTCAGTTATTCAGAGAGCAGAGATGGCAAGAGGAGGATGCAAGGTGGGCTGGAGATGAGGCTGAAAGTTGCTGGGGCCAGAGAAGCAGGGCTTTGTATGACAGGCTATGGAGCTATAGTTTTTATCCTAGAAGTAGCAGGATGCCATCAAAGGTTTCTGAGCAAGGAAAAGGTGACAGCAGTGTGGGGTAGAGACTGGAAGGGATGCAGATGAACATATAATTCATACAGATGAAAACCAAAGCCTGGACCCCTTGGAGGATCAAGGCCAGGAAAATGATGCTTACCTCCCAGCTGCCGGTCCCCTCCACCTTCTGCTTGCAAATAGGCAAGGTCAGGGTGCACCAAGAGTCCAGGATTATAGCCCCTTATACACGCCTCTGTCATTCGTGCTTCCAGTGTTTCAAATACTTTTTTCTTTGTCACATGAAGTATACCCAGGTTTGCGAAGCTGGAGAAAAAACAGTAACAGCAGCAGCAACAACAACCAAAAGTTAGGCACTTAATGTCTAGGGAATCTGGCTTCACTTGTAAATTAAAAAAAAATACACAGGCCCTCAATGCTTTATACAAATCTCTTGGGGCTACATGCATTTCAGAATTTAGGGTATTTTTGATGTTAAAAAGGCAATATATGGCCTATACTGCATATTACATAATACTCTAAGCAGGTCTGGGGCACACAATGTAGTCAAACACGTTAGTATTTCCTCAGCGAAATATATAATTGGACTCACCAAATGGAAAAATAAAGACTATAAACAGCTACACATCAGGTCAGATTGGTTTTTACTACCAAATGAGTCTGCAATAAACTTGGAAGAATGTTTTGGTTTTCAGAGCTTATTTGACTTCCAAATTTGATTACGGGAGTGGGAGCATATGTGTCTATATGTCTTAATGAGGAAGTCTTACCGGGTTCATTTTAAAGTATTTTCTATGGGAGCTGTATTAAAAATTCAAAATTCAAAATACTAACAACTTCTTAAGAATAAGAAGAATATTATATTTGGAATGATTATTTTCCTTTTGAATTGTCCTTGGGTTTCTGAATGGGATTTAAAGTCTACTTATAATCTCATCTTCTCCTGAGTTATCTATAAGGTTGGAATTATTTATGACCATTAGAGTTGTCATCTAAGTATACACGTAAACAGGGATGGAGAATCTTTTATCTCACGAAGGCTACATATTTATAAAACAAAATATGTGATAAGCTTAAAAAGCAATGAAAATGATTTATAAGAAAATATATAAAATGTTCCAGCCATTCACTTTTGAAATTAAAGTACATGAAACAAAGAAGTCTATTCAATAAATATAACAGGCAAACAAAAAAGGACTTTACCAAGGAGATTCATTCACTCAACAAATATTTATGCAGATCCTTATCAGTGCCAGGAAATGTCCTAGATGCTTTTGTCAGCAGTAAAAGAATCTCTACCTTCACTGAATTTATATGCTAGTGTGACAACGGAGAAGAAACAAAGAAGTAAATTATACGATACAATTTAGAAGGCAATAAGTGTTATCCAGAAAAATAAGGTAGGAATGAGGAACAGGAGAGGTAGTAGAAAAAAGCATAACATTTTAAAGTAGGGAGAGGTCAGGAAGGACACTCAGTAAAAAGATGACAACTGAGCAAAAACTTGAAGGAAGCGATGGGGAAGACATGAACATATGAATGATGAATGTGGCAAAAGGAACAGTAAGTACAAAATTCCTGCGGTAGGACCACGCCGGTGTTTTCAAAACACAACAAAGGCAAGGAGGTCAATGTAGCTGGAGTGAAATGAGCAAGTTGTCAGAAGTAAGTGAAGAATTCAGAGAGGTAAGCAGGGGGCCAGATCTCTGGCTTTTACTCAGAAAGAAAGAAAGAAAAAAAAAATTAGTAGAGGAAAGAAAGAGATTTCATGACAACTGGATTGAAGGAAAGAATGAACAAGCTAAGGTAGGAAGGTCAGATAAAGTAGGGAAGAAAATAGGAGTTATAAGGCAGAATGAAATGAGCACTCATACCAGAGGCCCAGAGACAGAATAAGTCACGTGTCCAGGCAGATGAAAAAAGTGGATAGCTAAGACACAGAACAGAAAATATACCACTAGAAAATAAGCTCCTTGAAGGCAGAGATCTCTAGTCCCTAGAACAATGCCTGACATATGAGTGTTTAATAAGTATCTGTTGATAAAGGAATGCATGAATTAATACAGCACAGAAAAATATGCAACATGACATACTTATATGCATAGAAGCATAGGCAGTTTTTCAGAAACAATACCTATATCTTTTGGCCCTTTCAGCCTTACTCCCATATAGAACTTCCCTAACTGCAGGAAAACGGGGTTATCTCCTTTGTAATAGCAATGATAAACATCTGTGTAGCATCTTACACTTTACTGTCAATAATATGCTTTTCATGTATATTGCCTAATCTAGTCCCTGTGAGAAAAACATCATCCTTATTAATTTATTATGTGAATAATGAAGGATTTACTCTGGTTAACAAATGAAACAGTACAGAAGTCAGTCTTCTGCTTCAGGTAACGATAGAGTAAAACAGACTGGTTTGAACCTTAAATATCTAAAATACATGAAGAAATGGTTTTTAGACACTAGAAAACAGGCAGCACAGAACAGTAATCTTTAAGAAAAGGGAAATAAATAAGGTGAACCCTGTAATTACTCTGGCTTAATGCCTAAAGAGTCCCAGGCTGCAGCACAGGAAGGAGGAACCCCAACAGAGCCTGGCAATCTCTGAGGTTGAGGAGACACAGTTAAATATTGGAGGAAGCCAAGGAGGCTAAAACTCACAAGCAGAGTACCGGAAAGGAAGAAACCGCAAACAGAGATACACTCAGAGATCACTGGAGTCTTCAGCTGAGTGCTGTGTGTGAGGAAATATGTCAAAGCTGGGAAAAGAACCACCACAGAGGTGGAGGCAGAAAAATTACTGTAACACATATGGGGCTGGAATAGTTCAAGAAATCTTGTAATACATGGAGCATCAGGTTGAAAATTCAGAAAGGTACTGCCTTAGCAATGATGTCAAATTAACCCTAGAGTAAAGGTTTCTCTGGTCTCTCTGATAAAGCTTAAAAGTAAGTTTAGAAAGAATCAAAAAAATCAAACTGTTCCCAAATTTAACTTCATCCCAATCCTCAAACGTATTTAAAAGCACATCAAAAAAAAAAAAAAAAAAAGGAATCCAAGACTTAACGATACAAAATTCAAAATACCTGTCATCCAATAAAAAACTAACAGGCATGGAAAGAAATAGAAAAATATAATTCATAATTAGGACAAAAACTAAACAAAAATAGATCCAGAAGACAGAATTTGTACACAAGTACATTGAATAGCTATTATATATTCCATATGATCAGAAAAAGAAGAAAGCATTGGTATGTTAAGGAGTAACATGGCAGATATGAAAAAAAAAGACCCCAAACAAATCTATAGAAATTGCAAATTACAATGTCTAAGAGGAAAAAATACACTAGATGGAATTAAGAACATATTAGACACTACAGACAAAAATATTGGTGAACGTGCAGACACAGTAATAAAACTTTCCAAAATGAAAGAGAAAAAAAAGATTTTTTAAAAAACAGGTCATCAGTGAGCTGTAGGAAATTTCACATAGCCAAATATATGTGCAACTGGGGTTCCAGAAGAAGATGAAGAGGAGTGGACAGAAAATATATTTGAAAAAATAATGGCCAAAAAGTTTTAAAACGTACTAAATATATAAACCCAGAGATCTAAGGATCTCGATGAACCCCAAGCACAAGCAACATGAAGGAAACTATGCTAATATCCATATAATCAAATTGCTTAAAACGAGTGAGGAAGAGAAAATCTGAAAAGCTGCTAGAGAGAAAAAAAAATTATATACAGAGGAACAAAGATTAGATTGACAGGTGACTTCTTGGAAACAAGGCAAATCAGAAGACAGTGGAACAACATAGTTTAAGGATGTGAAAGAATAATACTGTCAACCTATAATTCTTTTTTTTTGAGACGGAGTTTCTTTCTTGTTGCGCAGGCCGGAGTGCAATTGTGCGATCTCGGCTCACCGCAACCTCTGCCTCCCAGGTTCAAGTGATTCTCCTGCCTCGGCCTCTCGAGTAGCTGGGATTACAGGCATGCACCACCATGCCTGGCTAATTTTGTATTTTTAGTAGAGACGGGGTTTCTCCATGTTGGTCAGGTTGGTCTTGAACTCCTGACCTCAGGTGACCTGCCCGCCTCGGCCTTCCAAAGTGCTGGGATTTCAGGCGTGAGCCACTGCGCCCGGCCTGTCTACCTAAAATTCTATACTCTTCAAAATATCTTTGAAAAACAAAGATAAAATAAAAAGCTATGAAAACATACACCTACTGAAAGAATTAATCAGCATCAGATCAGCAGTATAATAAAAGGAAGTGCCTGAGGCAGAAGAAAATGATACCAGATAGAAATTTTGACCTAAGAAACAGAATGAACAGCACTGCAAATGATAAATACGTGGTTAAATATAAACACCTTTTTTCTGATTTAAAAAGTTTCTTTAAAAGATAAGTGACTGTTTTAGATACTTTTCAAGAGAAGACACACATGCCACCAACAAACATATGGAAAAAGCTCACTAGAGAAACGCAAATTAAAACACAATGAGATATGATCTCACACCTGTCAGAATGGCTTTTATTAAAAAGTCAAAAGATAACAGATGCTGGCACGGCTGTGGAGAAGAGGGTACACTTATATACTGCTGGTGGGAGTGCAAATTAGTTCAGCCACTGTGGAAGCAGTGTGGTGCTTTTTCTTTTTTGTTTTATTTTTGCCCTTGTAAACTTGCTTATTTTTTATTATACTTTAAGTTCTAGGGTACATGTGCACAATGTGCAGGTTTGTTACATATGTATACACGTGCCATGTTGGTGTGCTGCACCCAGTAACTCAGCATTTACATTAGGTATATCTCCTAATGCTATCCCTCCCCCCACCCCACCACAGGCCCAGGGGTGTGATATTCCCCACCCTGTGTCCAAGTGTTCTCATTGTTCAATTTCCACCTATGAGTGAGAACATGCAGTGTTTGGTTTTCTGTCCTTGCGATAGTTTGCTCAGAATGATGGTTTCCAGCTTCACCCACGTCCCTACAAAGGACATGAGCTCATCCTTTCTTATGGCTGCATAGTATTCCATGATGTATATATGCCACATTTTCTTAATCCAGTTTATCACTGATGGACATTTGGGTTGGTTCCAAGTCTTTGCTATTGTGAATAATGCTGCAATAAACATAAGTGTGCATGTGTCTTTATAGCAGCATGATTTATAAACCTTTGGGTATATACCCAGTAATGGGATGGCTGGGTCAAATGGCATTTCTAGTTCTAGATCCTTGAGGAATCGCCACACTGTCTTCCACAATGGCTGAACTAGTTTACAGTCCCACCAACAGTGTAAAAGTGTTCCTATTTCTCCACAACCTCTCCAGCACCTGTTGTTTCGACTTTTTAATGATTGCCATTCTAACTGGTGTGAGATGGTATCTCATTGTGGTTTTGATTGGCATTTCTCTGATGGCCAGTGATAATGAGAGCATTTTTTCATGTGTCTTTTGGCTGCATAAATGTCTTCTTTTGAGAAGTGTCTGTTCATATCCTTTGCCCACTTTTTGATGGGGTTGTTTGATTTTTTCTTGTAAATTTATTTAAGTTCTTTATAGATTCTGGATATTAGCCCTTTGTCAGATGGATACATTGTAAAAATTTTCTCCCATTCTGTAGGTTGCCTGTTCACTCTGATGGTAGTTTCTTTTGCTGCGGAGAAGCTCTTTAGTTTAATTAGATCCCATTTGTCAATTTTGGCTTTGGTTGCCATTGCTTTTGGTGTTTTAGTCATGAAGTCTTTGCCCATGCCCATGTGCTGAATGGTATTGCCTAGGTCTTCTTCTAGGGTTTTTATGGTTTTAGATATAACATTTAAGTCTTTAATCCATCTTGAATTAATTTTTGTATAAGGTGTAAGGAAGGGATCCAGTTTCAGCTTTCTACATATGGCTAGCCAGTTTTCCCAGCACCATTTATTAAATAGGAATCCTTTCCCCATTTCTTGTTTTTGTCAGGTTTGTCAAAGATCAGATAGTTGTAGATGTACGGTATTATTTCTGAGGGCTCTGTTCTGTTCCATTGGTCTATATCTCTGTTTTGGTACCAGTACCATGCTGTTTTGGTTACTGTAGCCTTGTAGTATAGTTTGAAGTCAGGTAGTGTGACGCCTCCAGCTTTGTTCTTTTGGCTTAGGATTGTCTTGGCAATGCAGGCTCTTTTTTGGTTCCATATGAACTTGAAAGTAGTTTTTTCCAATTCTGTGAAGAAAGTCATTGGTAGCTTGATGGGGATGGCATTGAATCTATAAATTACCTTGGGCAGTATGGCCATTTTCACGATATTGATTCTTCCTATCCATGAGCATGGAATGTTCTTCCATTAGTTTGTGTCCTCTTTTATTTCATTAAGCAGGGGTTTGTAGTTCTCCTTGAAGAGGTCCTTCACATCCCCTGTAAGTTGGATTCCTAGGTATTTTATTCTCTTTGAAGCAATTGTGAATGGGAGTTCACTCATGATTTTGCTCTCTGTTTGTCTGTTATTGGTGTATAGGAATGCTTGTGATTTTTGCACATTGATTTTGTAGCAGTGTGGTGATTTTTCAAAGAGCTAAAAATAGAACTACCATTTGACCCAGCAATCCCACTGTTGGGTACACAATCAAAGGAATATAAATCATTCTACCATAAAGACACATGCATGTTAATGTTCACTGCGGCAGTATCCACAATAGCAAAGACATGGAATCAACCTAAATTCCCTATCAATAACATAAATAAATAAAGAAAATGTGGTACATATATACCATGGAATACTATGCAGCCATAAAAAAGAATAAGATCATATGTTTTGCAGGAACATGGATGGAGCTAGAGGCCACTGTCCTTAGCAAACTAATGCAGGAACAGAAAAACAAATACTGCATGTTCTCACTTGTAAGTGGGAGCTAAATGATGAGAACTCATGGACAAAAAGGGGAACAACAGACACTGAAGAAGGCCTTGTTTCTCCTCTGTATTTTGATATTTATATATCTACTCCTAGTGCTTACCAGTTGGTATATGCTATATGTATTAATTGGAAAAAAATTCCATGTCTCTAAACTGCCAGAAAGCAGAGAGAGTGTGGTGATTACTGGTAAGTGAACTGGCCTAAAGCAAAGTCAAGGAACACAGATATTTTCCATGGAATAAAAATGTCAACGAACTAAAATATGTTGAAACAAATTGTTGATATTCAGGGTTTAAAATAAAACACCAAACTAAGATTATTATTATTATTTTTTACCAAGAAAGGCAGTAAAGGCTAATTATATAAATGAATTTTAAAAAAGACAAAATTAAAGCTAACTTAAAAAATATTAAAATGACAAATCCCCTACATTACAGCAATCAAACCAGAATCAAGACTTGGCTATTTAAAACATGAATATTTATAACATAGATAAAATCCTTTTGAAAGTAGAAACTAAGTTTATTAAGAATTCATACTGAGGGAAAGATGAAGATAAACACTCCAAAGAAAGTAATTCTTTTGGTTTTGACAATTTAAAAGTTATTTGTCTTCTCATTGCCATTTTTTGGATATCTTTTTTGGTATGTTGGATTAGTGTCTTGCTTGTGAATCTATACTCTTTGCCTAATCTGTATTATTGAAAACAAGTTATCTTAGCTTCATTTCTAGTATTGACAAGTCTAAGACATAATTTTGGCTATCTTCCTAAGTTTCTCTATGTGATACTCTTATCTACAAGTCAGAACTAAATACTAATAATCAATGTCATACCATAAATATGTGTGTGGCAAGTTTGCTCATGTTATTTCATAATATTACGTAATGTTAGTTCAGTCCAGAATTCTGGAGATGTAAACAGCCTGAAGATAAGATTCTGTAGTGAAACTCTCTCATTTTATGAGGGAAGACATTAAGGTCCCCAAGAAGTCATGTAACTTGCCCCCAGTCCTCTGTTGAGAGCAACAGTACTGGGAATAAAATACTGGTTTCCAGAATGCTAGCACGATGTTCTTTCTACATAAATGCAATAAGTTTTGACATTGAAAATCTTAAAAATGTATATATAGAGAGAGATAGAAACAAATGAATTATGAAAGAAATAGTGTATTTTGGGAAACATTGTAAGCAAAAATTTCTCAGCTAAAAATCAAATTAGAAAGTGAGTACTGACTTTTCATAGGAAACACTAAAAACGTTAAGACTACTGAGTCTATTGTAACTCTCAAGTGGCATCTTGATTAAATTTCTCACTGAAATTATATAGGGTTAGAAAATCTCACTGCTCTACAACCAGACATCATAATGATCAAATTCAGGAGCTGAGATGCTCAAAATGTTTGTTGAATGAGTGAATGACTGATGAGTTCTCCCAACTACTGAGCCCACAACCCACTGCACTACAAGAGTGAAAGAATCCCTCACTTTCCTTAGAAACAATTTACTTCTATTCCCGCTTTAAGGTCTCAAATTTAAATAACCATTAGTTCTTTCTAAAATCCTGAAAGATTACTAAAGCAAACCACAGAAACACCAAATTATAGACACCATACTGGAGGTTTTATAATAATAAATACTAGTAGAAAACTTCATCTAAAATTTCCTCTAAAGGATATGATTATAATAGGGATTAAACAAGACCAAAGAAAATAAACACTTCAAACTGACAGAACCCTACTGGAATAAATCTGCAGAAACACTAAGTGATCAATCAGTCTAAAACTGTGATAATTAGCCTGCATTTCAAAGCTCTCCTAGGTCAATCAGGAATTGGAAGGGTATTCCACAACACATGATGAACAAACTGTGACATACAACAGGAGACACGCCAGTCTTTCAAGAGGATGTTGAAACAAGTTCATATAAAGCACACTTTAATTTTTCAAATCAATTTAAGCTTCTTCCTTCAATCTAGAGTCTTTTTTTTTTCTAACATCAAAAGAATCCGATTTTAGTGACTTAAAAGAAAGCTCTCTCTCTAGGTTTTTCACACTTAAATATTTTCACAGTCAAACAAAGAAATACCTAGGAACATGAAAGCACAACCTCCAAAATAATAACCAATTTGAAACTTGATCGGAATTCAAAGCCTGAAATGCAACCATCAGCTTAATTATAGTTGATTTAAACAATTCCTTTCTTTTGAGTGAATAAGCCAGATTAACTGGGATTTCAGCATAAACTATTTAAACCAGGATTAGAAAACCCTGAAAAATGTTTTTAAAAATTAAACAAAATTAAAAATTTCTTCTTTTGCATTTAAGGACTTCCAAAGAAAGACTTAAAACAACAATTTTTAGAATTATTGATTGCACATATCAGTTTGTATTGTGTGCTACACTATTATTCTGTGTGCCATTTTAGTGTATTAGGAAGATGAAAATACAAGTTTTTTAGCACAATAAATATGTCTTATTTAAAAGCTTAATTCTTTTGGATTGAAATTACTTCTATAAAACTTCATTCATTAAAAATTGCTTGTTTTATTTGATCAACCCTTAAATGAATACGTCATTTTTTATTTACATTTCAAGCCTAATGAATGCCAAAATAAATTTGCATTCCTTGGCTTCTTATCTGTGCATTACTTTCTAAGCAGCAGAGAGCTGAAATGATATTTATGCATTCACTTAAAGCCCTACATATTCACACCATAAATCCACTGAAGAAATCATCAAGAATGTAAAAATATACATAAAGTGATGATTTCTGCTATAGTTATGTTTCTTTAAATTTGTCCTTATTTTTATTTCTAGGAGAAAAAAAATTAATAGTGGCACAAATACCTTGTAGGTCAAGTGACCACATATAAGTGATCATCCAAATTGGGCCACCTTTAAGAGTAGAAGAGGGTGCTATAAACAATTAGGTCAGGGGCAAACCGGGCTGTCTCAAGCAAATCCAGACATGTGGTCACCTTACTTCCTGGAGTCCAAATGAAAGCACAAGTTTACACAGTTTTTTGAGGTCATCTGAGGGTCTCAGAAAGGTCCCTAATGAAAGGGGCCTGTTCATTCTAAGTTCCTGCATCCCATATTCTATCTGTTCCTACCTTCCACAGCATCATATACCCCTACTTACCCGACCACCATGTCCTTGGGTCCAGCAGTTACAGTGCAGATCCCATCCTCACAGTGTTTTCCCACCAGGCTGTGGGCATGCAGGTGGATATTTTTTCCATTTGTGACCAACTGAACAATAACCTTTGCTGGTCCCACATAGTTGCAGATCTATATAAGAAGCACATTCCAAAAGTTAGCATATCTGACTCTCCAGCAACATGGAAACATGTTTATGATAAGCCAGTAAGTATAAAAAGTACAATATAAAGTTATTCATATATGTATATACATGATTACAGCCCTGTTTTTAAAAGTATGTGATGAACAAATGACAGGGTGGAAGTAAATGAAAATGTTAATGGTGGTTGTTTTGTGTAGTGGGAAGATACACTCCAAGAAGCAGGCCACTTAAAACACAATATGTATTGTGAAAGTTGGAGCAACACATCTTAGAGGATGCTGTGTTGTCATGAAGCCTCCTTTCCTATTAACCAAGAACATGCCTTCCTCTGCATCCTCATCAAAATTCTTGGTCACAAAAGCTGGGTAAATGATTGATGAGAAAGAAACTGGTGGTTGATGGAAATCAAAGGAAGAAGGCAGGTAAGCAGAAACAGTCCATCCTAACTCTGTGCCATGTGATTAGACAGGAGAATCTTGCCAGGGACCTGGTTCTGAAGTTTGGCTATAAACACTCAAGCCTGAGGACTTGGCCTCCAGTCATCTCTTAGAAAACCTGAGCCTTCAGTAGCCCTCTCTGACTTCTGATAATTGAGTTACATATGCTCAGGTCATAGTAAGTTTCTTCAATTCAAAAAAGTGTACTCCTTAAGTACAAATCCTTAGATTTCACCCCTGTTTGCTGTTGCTTGATAAAATTAGAGTTTTCTATTTAAAGTAATTTATTTCTTATTGGTATGTCTTTAAAATGATGACAATAGCAATAAAAAGGAAATAGCATGGAGATAATGACATTTTTAGCAAAAAACACTTAGATATCCTCTTTCTTCTTCTTAGTCACCTAGCCCCTGTAGTAGACTGGATTCCTTCCTTGAGAAAGTGCCAAGACTAAAGTCACACTAACATAACAGAAAAGACCTTATTTTAACCCTCTTAAATCCTATCAAGTCAGAGCCCTGTGATAAATTCAGCTAAATACTTGGAAATGCACTATAATCTCCTCACAAGATGAACTACTATCCTGGTTTGCCTAGGACTGAGGGGTTTTCTGGGACACAGGGTTTTTGGAGCCAAAACCTAGATTAGTTGGTCACCCTATCTCCTTAGCTCATACTGTACTTTTTGAAGAACTGAATAACCTAAGCCCCAAATCTCTCAACTACGCAGTAATTCAAAATGCATAAATCTGTACAAGCAGCCCACAGCTTGAAAGAAAGAGAGACAGAGAGAAAAAGAAAGGTAGAAAAGGAAGGAGGAAAGGGAGGAAGGAACGATGGGACGGAGGGAGGGAGGGAGAGAGGGAGGGAGGATGGGAATCACACCTAAAGATAACTCTTTGATGGAAGTCCTAATGATATAAACTTGAGGAAGACCCTAAACCTGCCAATAATACTTGGAAAGAGACAGAATCCTTTTCGACTAGCCTACTTCTACTATAAACTTCATTAAATGGATTCATATTTTATTGAAGCAGGGTTTTGGTACAATTTTCTTAGTAGGGACTTTTTCCCAACCCAATATTTCATCCAAGAGTCGAAAAGCTGATCAGAGTTGGCATTATTCCCCAGAGGGTTTGCAGGGAGAGAAGTTTCACTCGTCAACAAAGGACAGACTCCCCTACAGTCAACTGTGCAGCTCCACCTCAAGGCCTGTATGCATGCACTTGGCTAGAACTGCTGCAAAGGTTTGCTTCTAAACCTTCTAACCTCCTTCTCAAAGAGCAGGGTCCCCAGAGCAAGCCAATCACGAAGAGGGTTGCTAATTAAATTTGATCTTGACCACCTCAAAGCACAAAAAATTTCTTAAACAGGTATAACATTTAAAAAAAAAAAAACTCTGGGTATAAAGCTAATTATGAACTCAGTGCTTTCCCTTTAACAAGGAGAAAGTCTTTGCCCTTAAATGTGGGATGGGGTATGAGAAGTTCTGGGTTTTCTCCAAAGCTGACTGCTGTCCCTAGATACTCTCTATAGATTGCTGATGCCAGTTGTGTTTCTTGGTGTTGACATCTGAAATCAGTCTTTGTTATGATGATATATCCCACAGGGGCTTCTTCAGCAATAAATCAAGAGTGAAAGAACACGAAATAAACCATGTAATTACACTTTTAAGTGACACCAGCACAGGAATGCAAGAGAGCAAGGCATGAGGTAATGCTTCATTTGGGTGAAATCAGCTAGGCTTTCCAATTTAATAGGACACCAGAAGGAATCCATAATTAAAGCCCAATCACGTCAGATAACTGGGCTCTTCAATGTTACCATTATGAGGCAATTAGTCTCTGGTACTGAAGGAAAGAGGTCCGAGGTATCCTCAAAAAGTACTCATGTATTTTTCATATTACTACTTCATGGCTGAAGGGTGGCAAGAATGAGGAACTGGGTAATTCCTGAGGTAAAGGAGCTGAACATGCTGCCAGTGACTCATGTGCTGTTGGATCCATTTGAAAGAGTCCAAGTCAGCATCGCATCATCTGGTTTTCACAGAGACCACAGGGCAACAGACAGGGAGCCCCCTGGGTTTTGTGGACTTTCCAAAATACTGATGAAAGAAGAAAGCTGAAGTGTGAGAAGACAGTGATACTATTTGCAAGTTATATGGTACATGAAGACACTGGCACTCTAACATGGGGGAGACCATACTTCATAGGATGTCATGATGACGGAGAACTGTTTGCAATCGATTCAGAAATTCATTTGCTCTACGGAGAACTTAGTTCTTTTTATTCAGTCTCCCTTTTACTTCTTTGAATAGTGGTTCCTTTGAAAATTAAGTTTATAGAGAGCAACTGTGTCTGTTAGGTTTTTTTCAAAGCGTCTGAACATTGCAGGCTCTTATTAAGAGTTAAGCTTTCGGGCCGGGCGTGGTGGCTCATGCCTGTAATCCCAGCACTTTGGGAGGCCGAGACGGGTAGATCACCTGAGGTCAGGAGTTTGAGACCAGCCTGGCCAACATGGTGAAGCCCTGTCTTTACTAAAAATACAAAATATTAGCCGGGCATGGTGGTGTGCACCTGTAATCCCAGCTATTCGGCAGGCGGCAGGAGAATCACTTGAACCCAGGAGGTGGAGGTTGCAGTGAGCCAAGATCAAGACACTGCCCCTCCAGCCTGGGTGACAGAGCAAGACTCCGTTTAAAAAAAAAAAAAAAAAAAAGAGTTAAGCTTTCAGTTAAAGTCAAGGAGACAAAGGTGACAAAACTGAGTACTCAGCTACCCAGGGACACTGTAAGAGCATGGACTTTAGGCGCAAACCAGCTGGGCTTGAAGATAGTTCCCCATTTCCTGGTTGTGTGACTTTGGGCACTGCTCAGTTTCCCCATCTGTAAAAGGGAGATGATGATAATAGTATCTCAAAGGGTTGTTGTGAGGACTAAATACATTAATGCATGTAAAGCCTTTACAACAATGCTCAACAAATAATAGTAGTTTAAAAGCATTAACTTGTCTTATTTATTAATTTATTACTGTAAAGTACTCTTCCACCTAGAGAACTTTAAACAATATGACCATCCTGAAAGTTTTTTTTTTAAGTACTATCTAAAAGCAGGTGGCTGGAATAAACGACTGATTTAGGTCACTTCTATTTCCAGGGTAAATATTTTTTTGCATGCCATATTTTATTGGGCTTTGCTAATTTTCCAGTAGTAATTATGTTATTATAGTAACAGCTATCATTCTTGGAGACACCCAGGACTTCTTGGCATTCTTGATGAAACTTAAGATTTTCTTCCAGGAGCTTTATGACTCAATACCTACTGATGACCACATGCTGGATCTGCTTTTTGAATAAGATGTAGAAACCATGGGTCTCAGATCATACCAATCTTAGTCAAATTACCTCTTTTTATTTAAAACAATTTTGTCACGTTGGGGTAAAGTACATGCTGGTTCTTCAAAGGTGGTTACAGGATGTAGTCTATAATTTTCTAGGAATCAGGATTTGAAATGTCCACTTTGCTCTTTGGGTAAATTCAGCCAAATCACTTTGGCAGAATGTAGAGTTAACATGAATGTAAGAGGTGATACATGAAGTAGTTCTTTTCTGCTTAGCTTTGCTTGTGAAGTGATTGATGATGATGATGATGACAATGGTAATGAAGAAGAGGAGGGGAAAATACACAATTTTCAAACGGAAATCTGTCCTGACTTCACGTGTGCACCTCACTTTGTCCTCTACTGCACTAAGCAGCAGAACAATGTGGTAAAGTCTAGGAAGTCTGAAGCCAGGCTGCCCGGCTCAAGACCGACTGTTACCACTTAGCTGTGTCAACGGGGAAAGATGGTTAACATCTCTGGATTTCAGTTTCTCTGTCTTTAAAGTTAAAAGGAATAATACACTTGATTTCATAGGACTTTTTTTTAGGATTAAATGAGTTAATGCAGTGCTTGGCACTTAATGGGATTAGCAATCCCAAATATAAATCCTCTCTCCCACCTAGGTAATACCTCACTAATAACCAACATTTCTCTATTTATTCAGCGAGTATTTAAAGCCCGTCCTATGTTCCACACACTGCAGTAAACTAGGGGATGAAGCGATGCATGGTGAATGCAGAACAGACACAATCTCTGTTCTTGTGGAGAATTAAAGAGTGGGACTGACACTAATCAAATAATCTCACAAATAAATGTAAAAGTGTAACTGAGAAGAGCTTACAAAGGAGATATATAAGAAGCACTTGACTGGGTCAGGAGGTCAGGGAAAGCTTCCTGAGGGAGTACTGAGGGTGGAGATCTGAAAGAAGGCTAGGAGTATAACCAGGCAAGGGGGTGGGTGAGGCCAAAGGGTTTAGAGGGTCTTGCTGGCAGGAAAAACAGCACATGCAAAGAAAGGCTCTGTGCTCAGAGTCCTACTCAGGACCTCCTTGGACCTACCCATTATCACGTCTCAGGATTTTCTTCAAGCTGACAACTCCCAGGTTGTTCCTCCACTTCCCTATTGAGAAGCACCCATTCTTCAAGAGGAAGACCTGAACCTGAATCTTCCATGACACCCTCCTCACCACTTTAGCCCACAAGGCTCCACTACTGCCTCCTTTTTCTGAAATGTGATTGGAAGGGACAGGCAGGAAAACCATATGCAACCTAGCGCAATATGAAGACAGGGTTCAGTAACTAAATGATTACTGTCAAATTTCTCTTGCTTGTTAAACTCCCAGAGCCTATACAGCTATACTTTCTAACTTACTGTGTTTTATGGAACATGCTAACTCAGATAATCCCCACAACAGCCCTGTGGGGTCAGAGGTTGTACCCCATTTCACAGCTGGAGGAACTGAGGCTCAGTAAGATAAGGTAGGTTGCCATGGTTCCTATAAATGGAGCGATCAGGCAATCCTTGAGCTTGGGTCTGTCCACCTCAACAAACTATTCACATTTCCCATTGCTCTGTGCTACCATGTGACATGATCATTTTTTCTTCTGTGTGTGTGCAGTCTCCTCAGTGTTTCATAGTTCTACTTTGCCTAGAGAGTGTTGATAGATGACAGTTATTCCTAAACACCTTGTTTGTTTGGCTTTGCTGGTATGTGTTGTGAGAAGAGAGGTCTCAGGAATGGCTATAAGAAGTGGTAGAGGTGTATCTGTCCCCTTGCAAGGCTCCTTCACAGAGTCATGCCACAGACATGAAACCATGCATTCATTCTTTTCTGTGAGGTTGCAAGTCAGATTATCAGGCACACACACACACACAAAAAAAAAAAAAAAAAGGAAAGAAAGAAAGAGAATAACGCTATTTTAATAATATTTCTTCTCTCAGGGATGAAAAACAGTCAGGCTTTATTGTTTATTACTTGTTGAGCAACCAGGGCAACCAGGAAGGACAGAATGACCTTTACCAAATAAGATAGTACAGAATTATGTCCAACACAGTTTCTGGCATAAAAAGATGCTTAGTAAAGTTAGTCTCTTCTTTCTCTGTCAGGCAGGAGATTTCAAGTTGATCTAGTCAGTGATCCAATCCCAGCTTTTCCCCCTCCTAGCTCTGTGGCCTTACACAGATTAAATAACCTCTCTGAGTCTTAAGCTCTACATCTACACAATGGGCCAATCACATGACTTCAGAGGGCTGCCGTGGGGACTACGCAGTCCCTGGTACATGGTAGGTACTATTAAAGTGCCAGTTTCTTTCCTTCTCTATTATTTGTAAAGACCCTTGGGCCTCCGAAAGTCCCTGTGAGGGAGGCAGAGTTGACTCTATTACCCCTATTTTGTAGATAAGAAAACAGAAGTTCAAACAGATTAACAAAGTGACATAACCCAAAGTCATACAGCCAAGACACAGAGGACTCTGGAATTCATTATGAGTCTTCTGAATATAAATGTGGTATTCTCAGTAAGGTAGGGGATGGCATGAAAAAAATCCTCTTTGACCCACTATTAATGGCATGTTTTTTTGTTTTTCTTTTCCTGGTAGTACTCATGGAGTTGCATTGATTCACTGACATTCTTTCACCTTGTTTAGTGCCCTTTTTGAATGACCAACAGCATATATGGCTCATGATATCAGGCTGGGATTAGAAGAGCAAACTGCCATTTGACATAATAAATAAGCTAAGAAGTTCTCGTGAATTACACAGAGACGATGAATAAAATCTCTATGTATAACTTTGCTCTGAAAGTTTTATCTTTTCCCTCATACTTTGACCCACGGTTTCCTTTTTTATTTTAACTTTCAGTTTTACTACATCAGATATAGCTGCTTACAAATCATGCTTCTTTCGAGAAAGAAGTAACACACTATTGCTAATTCCAAGAATTGCTGGGAACTTGTACCTCAACAGGTGTCATTCCATCATTAGCAAATTACAAATAAATCTTTACGTTTGGATGGCCTAATCATTCATCACTGCAAAATAATATGGGAGGAGCAGAGAGTTTGTAATTTATAAATGCACTGTCTTATAAATGTTCATGTATGTCACTTTTTTTTGCCAGTTGTGTGGATTTTTAAACAGAAAATAATGTATATAATACTGATATTCTAGTGCCATTTCTTATATTTCTTTTTCTTTCTTTCTTTTTTTTTTTTTTTAAAGGGACAGGGTCTTGCTCTGCCATTCAGGCTGGAGTACAGTGGTATGATCATGGCTCACTGAAGACTCAACCTCCTGGCTCAGGCAATCTTCCTGCCTCAGCCTCCTAGGTAGCTAGGACTACAGGTGCATGCCACCACACCTGGTTAATTTTTTTTTCCATATAGACAGAGTCTCACTATGTTGCCCGGGCTGGCCTTGAACTCATGGCCTCAAGGGAGCTTCCCACCTAAGCCTCCTAAAGTGCTAGGATTACTGGCATGAGCCACTGTGCCTGGCCTCTTTTCTGTATTTCTTACCATCTTTACTACACTACATGCATTTTCAAATTCTTCTTTAAAGTATAATATATATAATATTAATTCAAATCTTCAAAAAAATATCCTCTATCTGATCACTTCTCACCACCTTCACTGCTACTCCCTTGGTTTCCAGCCACCATCATCTGTCTCCTAAGCTTTTGCTCCTGTGTTTCCTCTGCTTGTCCTGTCTCCCCATGGCTTATTTTCCTGAGTGATCCTGTTCAAGCCATGTCATGCCATGCCATGTCTTATCACTCCTTCACTCAAAATCCTCCCAAAGTGAAAGCTGTTAAAGCTGAGTGATTAGTGCAAGGGGGCTCATTATACTATTCTGTGTTTGTATATGATTACATTTTTCTATGTTAAAAAGTTAAAACAAAAACCTTTAATATTTCTCTATATTAAAAGACAAAATCGTTATAATGGCTTACAAGGCCCTAGGCTATCTGACCATCTCATGTCCTCTCCGTCCTTTTTCTTCTTACTCCTATGCAGCCACATCAGTTTCTCACTGTTCTTGAACTTGCCAGGTGAGCAATCTTAGCTTTGGCACTTTCTATTTCTTCTGCCTAGAACACTCTTTCCAGGGACATCTGTATACCTGTATATTTCTTACCTGCTTTCAGGCTTTACATAATTGCCATCTCTCAAGGTGGCCTTCACTGACCACTCTACCCCTACCAAAACTTTGACCCCCTAATCCCTTGCTCCTTTCTCTGCTTAATTTTTCTCTATACATTAATAACCATCTAATAACTACACATTTCATGTATTTTGATTACTGCCTCTCTTCTCCATTAGGATGGAGGCTCAGAGTGGGGAAGCTGGGTGTGGTAGTGTGCACCTGTAGTTCCGGCTACTTGGGAGACTGAGGTAGGAGTGTCCTTTGAGCCCAGAAGTTCAAGGTGGCATTGGGCTATGATCGCACCACTGCACTCCAGCCTGGGCAACAGGGTGAGACCCTGTCTCTTAAAAAAATGGAATAAAAACAGTGAGGATATTGATTTATTCTCTGCTGTATCCTCAGTGCTTGAAATAATGCTTGTCATATTGTGGGCATTCAATAATTAATACACTAATGAATGCATAATTAAGACAGGATAAAATGTTATTTATGGAAGGCAATTACTAAAATATAAAGGGTTGGGTTAGGTGGCAGGTAGTGGGTGAGGAGTGGAGATAACTGTACTCTTTTTTTTGTTATTTTGTCTTTTAAAAAATGGCCAATTGAATACTATGCAGAAATGAAAAAGAACAAGATCATGTCCTTTGCAGGGACATGGATGGAGCTGGAGGTCATTATCCTTAGCAAACTAACACGAGAACAGAAAACCCATTATTACAGATACTGCATATTCTCACTTATAAGTGGGAGCTAAATGATGAGAACACATTGCCACATAGAGGGAAACAACACACACTGGGGCCTATCAAAGGGTGGAGGGTGGGAGGACAGACAGGACCAGGAAAAAGAACTAACAGATATTAGGCTTAATACCTGAGTGATGAAATAATTAGTACAACAAACCCCCATGACACGTCTACCTATGTAACAAACCTGCACATCCTGCACATAAAACTTAAAAGTAAAAAAAAAAAAAAAAAAGGCTAGATATCAATGTAGCATCTCAATAGGCTATTTAAATTAGAATATGATTATTACACACCAGAGCAGAACACTGGTCTAAATTGGAGGCAGGGTTTCTGGCTGGGGGCTCTGGTTGCTGCACTGGCCCTACAGTATCTGGTAAAAAGGAATCTAACCACTAAGAGGTAGGAATTCTGCCAGCTGTGAGAAAGTGAAGGGAGGGCAACTCTCGAATAATCATCCTTCGAAAACTAAGGCAGCAGTTCTTCCCTCAAATTCCAAGACACCCCCTTGTACTTCTCTTTTCCCACCCTAACTGCTATTGCCCATTAGGCATTCTCTCTTGTACTGATGAGTCTTGGCACCAGACTCAGATATTTCCTCTATGCTTCATTTTGTTGTTTCCCTCAGGGATCCAGGATTTGCATTTCTGGTCCATCTCAATTTCACTGTCTGTTATTCCTCAAATGAGAGGGCCCTTCTTTGATATTCACTGTGGTGATGGATAGGAACAACTACCCCACAGGACTTTATCAGGGGTAGTCCTGATAGTAGTGCAGGGGTACACCTCCAAGATCTCAAACTAGTGGAGTATGTTTCAATAAAGAGCACAGGCTTTGGAGTAAGACATAGCTGGCTCTGAATCTGGGCTCCCATGACCATCTGGGGGACTCTGGGAGAGTTACTTAACTTTTTTACTTGCTTTCTCATTTGTAGAATGTGAATACAAATATATAATCTCTAAGTTTTCTGAGGATTAAAGGAGGTAAAGTGTCTAGTACAGTTTTTGCTATATCAAAACCACAAAATAAATGACAGCAATTCTTATTTCTCTCTTCCTACCTTAAGCAGATATCTGCAGTTGAGATTCTCTCTTGACTTTAATGAGAAGGTAGAAGTCACTGCGTGCAAGTTCCTTCACTCTCTCTTCTCCTTACTGTCACTGAGGCTCAAAACATCCCTGTTACTTCACATATCCTCTCCTAATTCAGAGAAACATGTTTGTTCCCTTTTCCAGGGCTAACCATTCTGTTTTTACCCTTAATGTTTATTCCTGATCTTCTTGAATTACCCTTCTCTTTCTCTCTTCCAAAGGATTTTTTCCCTTGTCTACAGATGAGCACTGCTTTTCTTCCTTATTCTAAAAAAAAGCCCCTTCTGGATAATGATGATGACAACTGTAAAGGTTAACATTAATTGAAACCTATGGGCTGGGCATGATACCAAGAAATACTGAACGATTCTTTCATTTGCTCTTCTCTACAATCCAATGAGAAAGGTTCTTAAGAGGAACTTAAACCTGTTTGAATGCCATTCTATTTCTCCCTACAAAGTACATAAGAAAATCTCTAATTACTAATGCTGAACCATTACCACTTAATCTGAGGCCCTTTGCAAATGTAAGTAATCCCCCGATCCATCAAATGAAAAAGTGTGTAAAGGTCATGACAGATTCCATGTTTCCAAACCCACTAGCCATTTATTATTCCTCAACCCTACTTGACCTCTTTGGGAATGGGATATGTTACCATTCCCTCCTTGAAAGTCTCCCCCAACTCCCCATTTCACTGGCTGCTTTTGCTAAGGCACTCTTCTTCCTGCTCAAAGAGATGTTTCAGCAGAGATCGATGCTCAGTCCATTTCTCACCTTTATCGTGATCACTCCCTTGACATTCTTATCAAGTCTCCTGGATTGAATTGTCTACTCCATGCAGATGATGGCTAAATTGAAATCTCATGTTCTCATCTTCTTTTTAAGCATGTGCAAAATTTCCAGCTGTTTGTAGGGTATCTTCCTGTCCATAATACCGTTACAGCTCAATGTGCCCAAAACTGAACTAATCACCTTTCTTCTCAAAGCTACTCCACCTCCTGGAAATGGAAATACAAATGCTGCCTTCTAAAAAAGTGCAGCAAAATCGTCTTTTCATCTTGGATTCCTCTCTGTCTCTTGTCTTTTATGTTTAACCAGTTGCCAAACTTCAGCTGAGTACCACCCCAAAAATCTCAGTTTGTCCCTTTCTTCCATTCTCATTCCTTAGTTTATCTATCTTAGCTTGAACTCTTAGTTTAGCTCATGAAGAATCACTGCAATTCTTCCAACTAGTGTCTCTGGGCCTTTCCCTTCCAATATCAGTTAGCAGATTGCTACCAGATTTGTAGTCCTAAAGCACAATGCTGCTGATAATTTCTCATTCCTATATAAAATTTCTATAGCTTACCCATTTTCTAAAAACATACAGTTTAAATCCTTGCATGATTTGGCCTTATCTACTATCTCCAGCCTTCTTACCACCCTTGCCTTCCACGTGCTCTTCATTCCAGCAAATTATTTACTATTCTCCATTCGATCTCAGAGATTTCTACTTTTGAGCCTTTGCTGCTTTTTCTGCTGTGCTGTTTTCTCTCGTTAGATCTATGCTTTCATACATCTCTCCCTTGAATCCTTCTATAATCATCCCAACTAGCCGACTCTTAGAAATTTATCTTTACATTAGAGCAATTAGGTCATTTACTCTTTCATTCAAAAATTATCTTGTTCAACAATTCCCACATGGCAGCCGCAGGTGCTGGTTATGCTGGTGATTCAGGTATTTAAGGGCATATCTTCGTCTCTCTATTAAATGGATTGTTTCCTGAGGACAAAGGCACTATTTAATTTTCTCTGTTTTTCCAACCCCTAGAACAGAACCAGTACCTACTTAATCAATATTTGTTAAAAGAGCTAGTGAATAAATAAATAATTGTCTCCAGGCTACACTGAAAAAGGAGGGAGCAGAAAAGTGGTGTTCCCAGGCAACATTAGGAAAGGCTGAGGACAGTGGGGCCCAACAGGCTATCCAGCTGTTGAATGGTTACTGTCCTTTGGCAGGGTTCATCTCCCTAATCTAACTCTGAGGGATCCCTGAGGAGTTTCTGCAAAGTCCTAGCAAAAGTTGAGTACATGAAGCTGATTAACTTTTGGAATTTTACTAACTCCTCTGCTTGAAACCAGTTAGGAACACCTAACCCTGGCAATATTCTTATTCCTAAAAGGATTATTTTTTGAAGCCCTTGTACTCCCTTATGCTTTTCTACTTCGAGAAGCAATTTTCATTTACAGAGACACTGGCTGCAGAGATGCTAAAACATCTTAAATGTTTATAAATTCACCTCTCAGGTATTAATAGAATTCGACCTTGAGACACAGTTTTCCTATTGTGTGGGGGCTTGGCCAAGGAGGCAAACAATCACCAAGGGTTGGCTCTAGGTAAAACCAGAAGCGAGACTCAGAGATGTACTGCCCTGGCTGCTGGCCCTGTGTGATCTCACATTCACCACCAGCAGGGAGACTCCGCAAGACAGCTGCATGAGGAGGGCTTTCTCCATCAGCGTCCTAGAGACATGCTGTCATTCCCACTGGAACACAGCCTTAACTTCACAGTGTCAGTTTATGCTTCTGAGTCACTGAAAAATATCCCAGGAGTGCAAAAATAGGAAACATTAAACTCCCTAAAGTTGTAATTTAAGTATGATTCCGCTTGGAGAAAACAACAGGGATGACAGCACAGTTTATAGAGAGTCTGAATAAACTGTGCTTAACATAAATGTCTCAAAATTCAAGAATTTTGAGAATGTTCAAAATTTTCATTTCGGTATAATGGAAGAATGTTCTCTATTACACCAAATACATTTGTGTCAGGCACATCTTTTCCCAAATGTGGCATATTAAGCTTACCTTTCTCAAATATGTTTTAACTTCTTATTTATTTATTTACAGGCCTAGCCTGAAGTCTGCAAATTTTCAGATAAAAACATTTGGGTTAATTTTTAGTGCTGCAGTAGGTGGCCAGAGTTCTAGTCACCAGGTACTGCTATGATACTGCGTGAGTCACCTAACCTCTTTGGGCCTTTTAATTCTTCATTTGCAGAATCACTAGATAATGTCTCACTCATTTTCCAGCTCTAAAATTCTATGATTCCTAGTCATATGCATAGGACACAGAAGACAACATCCAAAGATCACATTTTCAAACTACAAAAAAAAAGTTTACCATCACAGAATTTCTGAGTTGGAAAGAACCTTATAGGTAAACTTAACTTTAAAATTGTGAACATTTTAAATACATTTCACCACAATTACAAACTGAGAAAACATACAATCAACACTCAAATTACCTGTTGCAATGGGACCTCTGATAGCATGGAAAATCAAAATTTAGAGACAAAGAAAAACCTTCATGTTAGGCAAAGATTTCAACTTTTGTCATTAAAACTGAGACTGAGTACCCAAAGTGTTTATTTTCAGTAAATCCAAGGAGGGCCCTGCCCTGGGTAGTTAAGTCCTGATAAGAATCTGTGTGTTCTGAGGATATGTCAGAAATGCTTCAATTACATAAGTGGAGAGAGAAAAAAAGACACGCAAACAAAGATACACTGAGAAATTTTAATCTAAGAGATTTTTTAAAAATCCTAATAACATAAAAATAATTAGAGGAAGTAGAACACATTAGATATGATCAAAGTGTGTCCAAAACAAAAATTCTAGGTTTCTCATTTATTCATTGAAAATAGAAATTATTAATGTAAATTTCTAACATTCTTTTAAAATGATTTTAAAGTCTTTAAACACATTGTTTTTGACTCAAATTTAATTTAAAATAATTAAGAATATCTCTGACTCTGTGATATCCAAATTTACTTGGGATTGAATATCACTGATTTCTTTTTTCTTAAAGGTATACAACCACCCTCATTATGTATTTTTCTTGCTTAGAAAATCTATTTTATCACTTTCACTGAAACCCACTGGCTAGAGAAGCAATTAGGTTCTTAATTATTGAAAATACTTAGAGACATCATTCGGTGTAGAATCTCCTTTGTACTACAGTAAATACAGCTGCCCTGTATAAAAATTTGGACCATGTTGGGAACAAAGCCAATTAACTGTCCCTTTCTTCAGAAGGAAAGTACATAAGATAAAGAGCATTTCAACTATTCTATTGTGATTTCCTGTGGAAAGCCCCTACTAAATTAAGAGAATTACAAGTGAGTAGAACTGGGAAATTTTCTTTGATTTCTTGGTGCTACTTTACTGGTCTTTTTACACTCTAGACATTAATAGGGCAAAAGAGAACACAATCTAAGTGTCAGACTGAGGTTAACCAAAATATTGTACCATCTACGTACTATGATGTAAACAAAAGTAGGAAGGGGGGAAACACCAAAGTTTCTCAAAGTTCTAGGATCAGCCAGTAATTTGGAAAAATGGTAGTACTTTAAACCTGCAAAAAAAACCCTTTTATGTCTTAACTTTATGTTGTTCAGCCTGTATAAACTGACTAAACACAAAGTATATGAAGTAAGTTATACATTCTACAGCTTGGATAAAGTAGTGTGTAAGCTATTAATTTCTATTATTTTGGGGGATCTGTCAGAAAATTGTAATTGTCCTATAACCAAATCTTGATTATCCCTTGTTACAGATTTATCAAGTTAAGTAAACATCTTTCTAAGGGCATACAAATAAAAAAGAAAAAAATTACTTATTGTAATACAAGTTAGCTTCCCTGCCCTGTAGTCTTCCTGGTCATTTTTGAACCAATTCAGTGACAATGAACTCACTTTGTCCTGAGGCAATACATTCCATCCTCAGACAGCCCTGACTGTCAGCAGCAACTGAAACCTCTATCGCCTGGGGCTTCCATTCACCGCTCCTTATTTCATCCTCTTGTGACAACAGGACACATTTAATCCTTTTTTCCCCATCACAGCCATTCATATATTTGAAGACAACCAAATCCTCCAGGCTATAAATTTCTCAGGCTCAGTAACTACTCCTCATTTGAATGAAGTTTGAGTTCTCTCACCATTCTGCTCTGAAGACACTCAAGTTGGTTTCTATTTCTCTACAAATGTGGTGCCCAGCAGTACTACACTGTATTCCTGGTGTGGCCTTTCATCACAGAGTGCAAATGAGACCACCACTTCCTTGGTCTTATGTATCGTGTTTCCATTAATGCAGCCTAATGAGGAATTACTTGTTTCGTAGTCACATTGCATTGCTGGTTCATGTTGAGTCTGTTATTAACTAAAACTCCTAGATCTCTTTGCATGCGTTGCTGCTAAATCATCTCTCTTCCACTCTGTACTTGTAATTTGTTTTCTGCATGTATTTATATCTTTTAAATATAATTGCTGAAGAATTGGGTCCATTGTCTCAGCTTTCAAAATTAATTTGAATTCAAATTGTTTGTTGTCTATCACTTCATGTCACCTGCAAATTTAGTAAGAACCTTATAGGGCTGTATTCAGGACAATGATAAAATATATTAAAGTGTTTGGTGAAAGATCCCTGGAACCTATCACTAGAAATATCTCTTCAGGTTGACATCACCAGCATGGGAGATGCTGTGAATCCCTGAACTACCAAAACAGGGATCTCCAGCATCTCACTATCTCACCCTTGTAGAAATCCTGTCATAGAAGACAATGATGTAGGTTTGGTGTGATTCGTTCTTCTTACGGTGACTGAGATAGCAGCTCTCTAGTTTCTAGTTTGAGAAGTACACCTGTCAAATTCCACTTGCATTCTATCACAAACAGAGAAGGGAGAGACTATCTAGCCAGGAGGTGATCTCAAGGAGGGTATATTTTCTCCCAGTCCACCTCAACACACACACACACACACATGCGCGCGCGCACACACACACACACACACACCAATTTAGAATATCCTTTGAAGAGGGATTCCTCCAGCAAATCCTGAGTAATACCCTGATTACTCTCTCACACATGTCTGTATCTTGGCTGTGGTGCCATGTAACCTGGGGGCTACAGAAAGATGATCACATTCATGTGTGTCAACACAGAGCCCAGCACTGTGCCTGGCAGGTGGTGTGCCTTGGATAAACACATGCTACATAAATGTAAGGAAGGTAGGAAGGCCAAGAAGTCTTTGAAATCTACAAATGAAATGTTCTGGGTTTAGATGGATTCGGGTGTCTGAAATAATTCAGAACGTACTTTAAATCAAGGCTCTGATTGATCCCTTTGGTTTTTATACACCTATTTTAAAAATTAATAGAACAACCTGACTTTATAATGATTTCTAAAGGGTCTAGTTAATCTCATATAAATGAAAGATGTGAAACTGACAAATGTTGATATTCAAAAAATAAAATTACTAAATCAACAGGGATGGGAAAACCCCTAAAATGGAATAGAAATAAAAAAATAGCTTAACTCTATAGCTCAATGGAAACATAAATACACAGAAGGAAAAAATCTAATCCAAGTAACTTTTGTACACATTACTCTGACTGAATGCTCTCTGTTGAATACATTTGGTCAAAAGAACTACAAAGAAATTTTGAACCGAATATAGTAAGCTTGCAGATATTGGTATAGCCATTCTAAAACTATTCTATTTTTCTACAAATGTGTGTGAATTATTGGACTGAGCAAAATGAGTAAGCATGCTGCTATCATTGATGATGAGGGTTTTCAGTTACTGAAGAAATATGGGATATGAGATACACATTTCATATCTCAAATCCAAATACAAGTATGGGATGAGGGGAGGGAGGGAAGAAGCCTGCAGTGTTGGATTGGAATTAGAATTATGAATTAGTGTATGAACTCGAGATTTTTAAAATAATCAATTTTGTAGCTCTGCCTAATGAAAGAGTCTAGAAAAACTTCTCCTGCTAAAAGGAACTAGGACTTCTTAGAGAGACAGACGATGCCTGGACTGGGGTAGTGAAGGTATAGGGTGAACCTAGAATAGCTTACAATTTCAGAAATAAGGAAAGTGTTAGGAAAAAAAAGATAGGGACATATCAAAAAGACATAGGAGCTAGCATGAAAGACTCCCACTGGCCAAGAATAGGACAATTTAAGAATCAAAATGAATAATGACAGGAATGGCTTATAGTACAATGAATAACAAAAGAATCCACGAGTTCATACTGATGCTAATTTTAATTTTTTTTAAAGAAGAATGAAGAAAGCTCTTTTAAAAAAACCAGGAAAAGTGACAGGAAGGATAGAAATAGAAAAATCACAAATTTATAACAATTATTGATAATTGATTTAGGAAATAATCATTCATGGATGCTAAAATCCACTGGAAGAAAGATGCTGAGGATGGTAGCTTATACCAGGGTGGCAGCATTGGAGGTGCTGAAGAATAATTAGTTTCTGAAAAAAGTGTGAAGGCACAGCCAATAAGACTACCTGATGGATTACATGTGGGATTTGAGAAGAAGAGAGGAGTCAAGGAAAACTCCAAGATTTGGGGCCTGTACAACTGGAAGGATGGAGCAACCACATTCCGGAAAGGGGAAGCTATGAGGCAGAGCAGATTGGTGGGGAAGATTTGAAATTCAGTTGTGAATATGTTAAGTCTACCAGACATCCAAGTGGCAATGTCAAACAAGTGGCTGAGCCTGGAGACTACATTTCAAAGTGGAAGTCTAGGCTGGAGAAACACCCCTCCCCCCATATATATATAATTAATAGAACTATATAACTCAACACCATGAAACTTAATAGTGTTAAGACTTAATAGTGTTAAGTTTTATATATATATAAATTCAATATATAAACAGAATATATATTATATGTATATAAAACTTACAACATAAGTTTTATACATATATAAAATGTACATATATAAATACATATATTAATCTATATTAATAGAATAATATATATTATTTTATGTATATAAAACAACACCATGAGAGGAAGGAAATGGAGAAAGAGAAGCCATTCTTGGTCAAGTTACTCATTAAGCCTCAGTTTCTAAGCTAAAACTTGGGATAAAACCATCTTTTGTGCAGAAGTGTATAAGGATAACAATAACAGATACATAGTAAGAACTCGATAAATGACACATGAGAATAACAAAGCATTTTTCTTGTTATTTCTATACTAATTGAGTATTTCTATGATTAACTGAGGCAACAATGTTACCATGTGATCTCTTTCGGAGTGTATTATCAGGCTGAAATGGGCATCATCCTATACTCGTAGGGCTACTGGCTTATAACCTCAATGCCACAATATGTTTGTAGTGGGCTGAATGGTGTACCCCCAGAATTCACATCTACCCAGAGCCTCAGAATATTGTATTATCTGGAAATGGGGTCGTTGCAATTATGATTAGTTAAGATGAGGTCACATAGGGTTATGGATGCCGTAAACACAATGACAGGTCTCTAAGAGAAAGAAGAGGGAGATTTGGACACAGGGACGCAGAGAGAAGACAGTATTCATGTGAAGATGGAGACAGAAATTGGAATGATGCAGCTGCAAGTCACAAACTGCCATGAATTGTCAGCAACCACAAGAAGCTAGAAACAGGCAAGGAAGGATTATTGCCTAGAGCCTTCAAAGGGGGCACGGCCCTGCGAAGACCATGATATTGGACTTCTAGCATCCAGAACTGTGAAAGAATAAATTTCGGTTGCTTTAAACCACCTAGTTTGTGGTAACTTGTTAT
This sequence comes from Homo sapiens, assembly GCF_000001405.40. Taxonomy (NCBI): domain Eukaryota; kingdom Metazoa; phylum Chordata; class Mammalia; order Primates; family Hominidae; genus Homo; species Homo sapiens. The sequence continues at coordinate 102,548,562 of NC_000004.12, read as the reverse complement.
GGCAGCTGGCAGTGAATGCTTTTAATTTTATGCTGCCTTTGCATCCATTCTGAATATAAGCTGGACTTTCTCATACCTAAAGCAGGGCTCAGTGACCGTCGACGCAGTTTCCAGTACTACACCTCCTCCCGGTTCCTCTATGTGGCCAATCTAGATATCTGCATTATACAATTGCCACCTGGTGATCGCCTCCCCATGGGCCAGCTACATATAGCCTACCTGACTGGTCTTCACTGATGCTCACACCTCGCATGGACTGTGCAGATATGCCACAGTGACTTCTTCTTCATCACACTGTGACCTCCTGGAACTCATACCTGCTTGCTTGAAACCCACCTATTAAAACTCCCTGTGGGAAACCTGTTTGGATAATGTCCTGGACCCAGTAAAGGCAATGGCCCGTGAGTTCCTTTCTCTCTCTTTCTCCACATGCTCCCTGATCTTGGTGTGTGGCCTTCCCTGGAGTGCTGTGTGCTCCCCAGGACCACTAAGTAATAAAATCTTTATTTCCATCTTGTGTTTCTCCTGATTATGGAAGGGGTGCTCTCTATCATAAGTATCCTAAATTAAAACACTGCCCTACAAAACTAATACAACTAAGGAGCCTAACAAGAATTTAATAAATTCCTTTCTGGTATCCTACCTATGAGATTTTCATAAGAAATCATGTGTTACATCTAAAAGAAAGCTTTTGACACAGCTGATCTCAGTCTCCTATCTTAACCCCAGACAGAAGAAAGGATATGGGGTCAATATACAGTGGAAGCAATACTGATTAGAGAGACTGTACTAAAAATAAATTAATAGACTGGTGAAGGTTTTGTGTAGCTCCATGAATCCATAAATGAACCAGCAAAGCTGCCACTCAATATTTGTAGTAGTGTATTTGGTTATATAAAAATAGAAGCAACTGTCATTTTTAAGTGCTTACTGTGTGGCATGTACTGAATAACTTGATTTACACATATATCCTATGACATAGGTATTATTTTTTCAGTTTCATAGATAAGGAAGCTGATGCTTAGCCAAGTTAAGTAACACTGCAAGTCGCAAAACTAGGAACCAACATCATGCCCAGCCCTGAACCAAATGACTTCAGAGCCAATGCTTTAAAACCTAAAAGTGTGGTCCACAACCACCTAAACCTCACCCCAGACCTAGAAACTGTAAATGTAGAGCCAGAAATCTGCAGTTGTAATACCTCTTTCTAGGACTTCAACTAGACACCTCTTACTCCTTCTTTTGTACCTGCCAGCTCATCCTTTCTTTCAAATTATCCATGTTAACTATGTTGAATCATTTTCAGTGTCGCACATTTAATTTTAAAAATTCGACTTGGTTTTATTTTCATTCTGCCTGGTCTGTTTTCTATTCCAAACTTATTTTGTATTTATATATCAAACAATTGGTAATTCAATTATCTGAAGATTCTGAGGATTTAATTCTGCTTTTCATTGTTCTGCCAGTTCTTAAACAGAGTGGCTTATTTGCATACATATTTTCTAATTTTTGATCAGGAGCTCATGATTCTTTGAGCCACATACATTTTTATGCTTTTCTGCAAGGCTCTGAGGGTATCCCCAATGTGGAACAACTTCATATTCATTTCTAGACTTGGGGTTTCCTACTCTATTCAGGGAGCATACACTTAACTCTGAATCTGTAAGAATTGGGCTTGTAGTTATTGATTCTCAAGAGAGGCATTTTATCTTCTGATTCCCCCTAGGCTGAGACAGGCAACTTCCTCATCACCTCTCTGCCTGAGGATCACCCATCAACAGAAACTATAGCCCTGAGAGAGTCCTGAATTAAGTGGGTGATTGCAGTTTCAATTCCTCAGATTGGAAAGGCCCAAGGCCTTATCTTTTGTCTCTAGGAAGCTGTTAAAAACCAAGCTTCTTGATTATCTAGGTCAGCAAATATTTCCAGGGCAGCTGTGGCCCCAAAGTCCACCCATATCCTATTGTGTTTTCCCAAAGTTTTCTTTTGTCTTACGGCGCCCCAGTAGTTTTCATACTTTCTAATAAACTCAGCTATGCATTAAAGAAAATGTTATATTTTTTTTCTAGTGTTACTAAGTGTATTGTAGTGGGAGAATTACCTACTCTACCAGGCTTTGGAAATGGAATAAAATCGATATTTTAAGTAGGTTTTGAAGCAGATTTTTATGGGTAGTAAGGTTTGAGAGCCACACTGCACTGTCTCCCATAGAGCTCCTGAGAAAACATGCTGGAAACTGTAGCTAAGTAAGACAGCTTCACATTTTTTTTTTTCCTTCAGTCCAATGTTCTGCTACTCAAGGTGGAGTCAGGTGTTAACCAATCTTCTTTAAGTCATGGATGAATAAATAAAGCTAAAGATACATCTATATGCTTCCACCCAGGCTTTATAAAAAGAAGCTAATATTTGTAATCACTACAAATATTAGCAATAATTTGAAATCCTGTTTTTTTTCTTTAAAAAATTTTTTTTATAGAGACAGGGTCTCACTATGTTGCCCATGCTGGCCTCAAAATCCTGGGCTCAAGCAATCCTCCTGCCTTGGCCTCCCAAAAGTGTTGGGATTATAGGCGTGAGCCACTATGCCCAGCTGAGGTTTATCCTTAATATTATGTTATAAGCAGTTTTCCACGTTGTGCCGTATCCTCTTAATTATCTTTTTAAAACACAGTGGCATAATATTCTATTCCACGGTATACATTGAATATCTATTCAATTATCTGTTGTAATATGTTGCCATTATATAATGGCATGTATTCTTAGAAACTGTCATAGAATTATTGTAGAATCCAAGATTGGCTAGATGATGCACTGTGATTTAGCAATTGTGCAGTGGTTCCCAGGCGTCTCTGTGGTTGAAACATTTTTGGACGATTCTGAAGCCCACCCATGATTGTGAACCATAGATTTAAAAGATTCCTGCAAAGTAGAAACAGATCCTTAACATTATGATAATGAATGGTATTCCACAATGGTTAAGAGTGCAGGCCCTTAAACCATATGGCATGAACTGAAATCTTGGGCTCCATCTCTAAAAGCCTGTGAGACCCAAGTTAAGCTTCTTAATTTCTCTAGGCTTCAATTTCCTCATTTATAAAATGCGGATCACAGAACCTGCATCAGTGGATTACTGTGATGATTAAATGAGATGATGTAAGTAAGCACATCAAGCCATTATTATAATCATTCTGTTGGGTAGAAGGGGACCTAAAGGCAAAAAGCATTGTCTGTGAAAGTCTGCAAGCACTTTCCAGCCCATGTCCATGAGACCCCAGGGAGGTGAAGGTAGTCTGGAGGCTTCTTATTTGGAATCCATCTGGAGGGTGGGGAGAAAAGACTGAGACTGCAGGGTAGCCTCCAGCTTCACCTCTGGACCTGCAGATGGGTTGAAAAACAACTTGTCTGTGGAGGAGGCAGTGGAACACATGTGGGGATCTTAGTGCTTCTGTGTGTTCACTTGACCTTATCAAGGCGAATTGCCAATATGTGACTTTATGAGGTCAAGACTCCAGAATGGAATGCCGAGAGTTGCCCCACTATACCTTCAGACTGAGACCACTGGGTTTAAAAGAAGCCACCAGAGATTTGTTTCGGATTGAACAGTGGTCCCAGAAATAATCATGTGTCAAGGAAGAGTGGAGGGCAGAAAAATGGGAATGGCCAATAGAGGAAGGTCACCAAGCCAGAACTGACAAAACAAAATTTAAAATTCAGACAGTTCTTAAATTCAAGGAGTGTATATCTCTCCTAATAATTTCTAAGGGTTAAGCTTCCCAGCTATTATCTGTGTGATAGGTTTTCTCTAATGAGTAGCTTTCTCCACTTTATAATAGTGACTTTGAATATATACAGCGGATTTAGAGGGCTATTTAAAAAAATATTTTACAAAGTAATATTTTGTTTTAGGACAAAATACAAAACTTCTGAACTACTTGCAACAAAAATTACCTATAAGTCTCAATTGTGGTTACATATGGGAGGGAGTTTTGTCTGCTTGTCTAGAGCAGTACCTGACACACAGTGCTCAATCAATATTTGTTCAATGAATTGCCTTCTCTCTTTTGGCTTCAATCACTAATGGTGAGCTTCATGCTTAATCTGCAAATGCATGGAAGAGCAAGAAAGAAAAAGCAGTGAAGCCCATTCAACTCTTTTGGCCATCAATTCAGTTTCATCTTTTTTCCACCTACTGGAAAACTGAAGGGAGGCTTTCTGGGCTATGTGTTGAGCAACATAAAGCATTTCACTTCATTTAAAATTGATTAAAAATGCAAGAATAAAAAAAGAAAAAATCTTAAAAAATATTACATAGATCATTTAAAAAGATAGCTGCTATCAAAAAGCTAAAGTGATACAAGCTATAGCATGATTCTTAACCATGTTAAATCTTTCCCTTTGAAAATATGATAAAAAGTTATACTCATCTCCCAAGAAAAAATGCACATACATACATGTGTAAGTCTGCATATAAATTTAGGAATCTAAAAAGCGTCTGAAACCACCAACAGGGATCCATAGACCCCAGGTTACAAAGCCCTTCTGTTCAATAAGCAGCTTTTCTCATGGTTTACAAAACACACAGTATAATGTACATAGGGGTATGGTTATTTTCCCTAATTAAATACTTGCGCAGTGAACAGCTTAGGGGTTCAATGGAAATCCTAATAAATGATATGAACTAGGTTCTATACGCACACATAGCTGATTATTGGTGATTTTCTCCCCTGTTGTTTTAAGTAATTGAGTCAGGTTAAATTATTTTAAATTAGTACTCCAAATAGATCCAAACCACGTGAATCAGACAAGTCTATACAAAGGAAAGGGAGATTATGCAAGGATATGTGATATCCTCAAATGCCACAGCAGATCGGGTAGTCTCTATTCGACCTCGACAGAAACTTAACATTTAGGATTTTTAAGGAAAGGCACGAAGAGTGGAGCCTTTTTTTTTTTTTTTTAAATCAGTAGTGGAAGGGGACAACAAAAAAGCTGTTGTTGACCTAAACATTTCAACACGTCTTCCACTCAACATAAAACACTCAGGAAAGACAACATATGTGAGAACCAGCTTTCAGAAAATGTTTGATTAAAAATAGTTACACTTCTATCAGCTGGGTTTCAAGTCCCTTGCATTTGATATTTATAACTAAAGAGAAACTAAGAATACTAACTGGTAAGCTATTTGTACTTTACAATCAAAGTCATTCTTGTCAATTTCTGGTTTTGCATAGAGTGGACCACACAGAAGGACGTGTCACATTAGTTAGGATAGGAAGGGGTACTTTCTGGTCACTCTAGAGGAGGATTGGTGAGAGTTTCTGAAGTCCCATGGGGCTGCTTCTCTTGTCACCCACCTCTGTGAAAGGGAACACAGTTTGATTTTTAAAACTTCACGCGTGGCTTTCGGGAAAAATAGGGAAGTGAGCCTTCCCTGGCACTCCTTGCTGAGTCAAAAGCAGGCAGGGACAAGCTTGGCCTAGAGGAAGGTTCCTGTGCTTTTCTGCCAGCCTCTCCTATTAGGAGCTCCGTGATGAAATTAGAATGGAAAAAACTTTAAAGGGAAATTTTATAGGCAGTATAATAGATTATTAAATGTTTAATGATGGGAAATTTTTCTTATGAAAGGACAAGATATAAGAGTTAGTCTGCATACTTACTTCCCCTAGATTTTTCTCTGAATATTATTTTTTGCTATAAGAGTTAGTACAAACTACATTGTGACAAATACATTTTTATCTAGACAGCAAAGAGGAATCAATAGGATCAAAGTGAGTACCAGTTAATCTTCAATGGCGTCCAGTTTGAACCTATGTTTGCCCTGAAAAGGAGCCATCCTATACAATGGCAAATTTGGGTTGAAGTTAGTAAAAATTAACTTTCTTGAAAATGCCAGTATTTATAGATGCATTCTTATGTAGTAAAAATATAAAAACATCTTGGGGAGTGAAAGTTCAGAGTAGCAGCTTACCTAAGAGAAGGAAGGAGGACAAAGTGATGGATAAGTGGGGTTTTAGCTGTAACTATTTTATTTGAGAGAGAGAGAGGACAGAGAGAGAGAGAGAGAGCTATCAAAAGCAAATAAGGTAAGATGCTAATACCTATTAAATTTGTGTTGTAGTACATAGTGTCTGTTATGTCAATTTTTAAACTTTCTATATGCTTGAAAGAATTTATAATTAAAATTTTTTTTAAAAAAAGAGCATGAAGACTTGCACAGCAAGATATCAGAAAGCTAAATGGAAATTTTCTTCTTAGCTATGTGAAAGACACAGGCAGAGCACCAGATGGTTCAGTAGCCTGAGTTCTAGAAATAATCTCAACATGGTAAGAGGGTCTGTAAGCTAGCCTACACCTATGCGAAACAGGGTTTTATGCATGGGACACTATTCCAGTAGAAAATGCAGGATTTGAGTAGACTTCTAGAGTTGGTTTTAAAATGATTTAATGTAAGGCATCAAATCTAGACAATCAGTAAGAGAGTAACCCATACAGGCTATATTTTCACATGTTCTATAAAGTATAGTTTGGTGTCTACAGCCTGCAAACCACAGCCAGGCCCCAAATCTTTCAAGTTGGCCCCTGACTCTTTCCTGCTGTCTCCATATGACCGAGTATGCACTGAACTATCAGCGTTTCCAGGTTCCTCTCCAGGCACCGCAGAGTGGTGGCGCTCTCACAAAGGCATGACAGGAAGACAGGGTGTGAGGTTGGAAGGAGAGAGGCTGTAGCTGAGGAAAAGCACAGCCCATGGCATTTTACTGTAATGCCTGAACAAATGCACTTAATGAATATGTGGCAAATGTAGGCTCAGAAGTATCATTTCTTTCCTGTAAATGTAAATGCTCTCCCTCTGAAGTTCCTGTGGGAATGGCTTCTGGATTCTGGGGGTGAGTGTGGGGCCACCCTCCACGAGGCCTCTGCCTACCTGAAAGCATCATTCCATAGACCCTCCCATTGTTCACACACAGTGGACCTAACTCTCCACTTTCACTTTTTCTTCTGTAATAGTTTATAACAGTCAATAGAACTCCCACATTAGCTTTTAGGGTCATCACAGAATACAAAATGTTGAAGATACATATTTTATCTTTTCTATCTTTCTCCTTAGTATCCAGGTACACTAACTCTGATATTCTAACAGAAATTATACAGACACCATGATCACCATCTTGAAAATAAGAAATATCTACTAATAACCAAGAAAGGCACGTTTATAAAATAATACACTTGGACAATTCTACGTAATCTATGCGAGACAACTTTATAGTAGAAAAGTATGCAAATGGGTAAGGTTAAGGTTGATTCTTTGTTGCATCCACATCAGTGGTTCTCAAAGAGGGGTGATTTTGCCCCCCAGGGGACATTTGTCAATGTGGAGACTTTTTGGATGTCACAATTATAGGAATCCTATTAGCATCTAGTGAGTCAAGGTCAGGGAGGCTGCTAAATATTTTATAACGTGTCAGACAGCCTCCCACAACACAGAATTTTCAAGCCCCAAATGTCAATAATGCCAAGTTTGAGAAACTTTAGATGTATCTATCCCACTGTTTCCCTTACAGTCTCTCGCCGAGCAGGTGCTTAGTAAAGTACCACAGAAAAGACATGCACAATTTTAAAGGTCTTCCTGATTAGAAAGATGCATGGAGAACAATTTTTTCCTCTGCTTAAACATTAGAGGGAAAGGGGATTTAAAATTCCTTTGTAAACTTAAAGGTCATCCTGAGCAGAAATAACTATTAAAAGGGATATTTGGAGAAGAGCTCTGGAAAAAAAAAATACCTGGCCGTTGTCTCTTTCTTTCTCTCCTACCCATCCTTCCAATTAAGAATTTCTTGGATAAATAAAATTACTTCCTATAACTGTTAGGAACAGCAGAACCATTTCAATTTTCAGTGAACAATGACAAGCTAAGGGAACAATGACAGCTTGTATAGTCATATTCTCTAACCTCTAAGTTCCTCCTCCTCTTACAAGTTGATTAAATGCTTATAAATGGATACTGAATTAGTGAATAAAAAATAAATGATTTGGTGAAATAATGTGACTGTAGTTGAACCTGCTTTATTATTAGTCGTTTACATATCTATATTTCCCAGTAAGTACTAAACTCCTTGATATAGAAACTTTCATTCTACAAGAACATCTAATGCCCACTAAGTTGTTTCATTTGTAAATTATTTTGTGACTGAGGCAGCAATATGTTTTTGAGTAGATGAAACCTCTACATGAGAAAGATGTATGAAGACTGGGAATAAATGGATGTATAAAGTTTTTTCTTAGCCAATAAATTTATAAGAAAGTTAATGCCATGTGTTTGTTAGTATCAAGAATTGTTACTTAGTCACAAAATACTAGAGCAATAGAAGTAAACAAAATACCATAATTTATATTTTTTGTGCCAAGCCAGTCAGAAAAAACTCCCAGTTTTTCGCTTAAAGTTAATTCTTCAGTCATTATAGTCAGTGTCAATGCTGATAACATGTGTCTTTCAATCCCCTTCTCACAAATATACACATACATAAAGGCACAATATTTATACATGTGACACACAGACACATGTGTTAAAAAGGTAAGTGCTGGGCCTGGCTTCCCCAATACCTGAGTACCCATTGACCAGTGAGCCTCTCTCTCCCTTGTTTTCAAGAGTTATCATTCACCATGCCTTTTTACACCATTGTCTGCCCATAATTTGTCCCTTATCTCCCTGCCCCCAGTACCCCAAATGCACACATTATATCTGAGAGGTTCGGTGAGCAATAGCCTGCTGCAGGATATAGAGCCACTAGTCTTGTGAGAAAGGCCAGTTATTATAATTCCATTCTCTGAGTCTGTTTGGGTTCACAGGCATTGCACTTTTTACCTACTGAGATTTCTAAGAGATTAAAAGAGATAATGTTATACAAACCACTTGGCAAGTCTTTGGTGTTTAATAAGTGCAAATTAGTTCTTTATTGCTGCTCCTCATTCCTCATCAAGGTTCTAAAGGATGTGAGGCCATAAGACCGTGGTCTGCTTCTGTGGACTTAAGCCATCATATTTACCCGCCTAATTACCTTTAATAGAAAAAACATCTTTCATTCCACAATTGGAGCTAAGAGACTTAAAATGCAACTATGACTAGTAGTACCCATACTAAATAATGGGTGAGTTTCACTTGAAAGGTAAAGAACGACGTCACAACATTTTGTCTTTTGTTTGGGAATAAGGATAAGAAATTTAACAGGCCTGGGCCTAGAAGATGGATAAGAGGAAAAGGAAGAAACAAAATGCAAGGCTGGCAAAACCAAAGACTGATTTCTTTCTTTTTTTTTTTTTTTTTTTTTGAGACAGAGTCTCGCTCTGTTGTCCAGGATGGAGTCCAGTGGCACAGTCTCGGCTCACTGCAACCTCCGCTTCCCAGGTTCAAGCGATTCTTGTGCCTCAGCCTCCTGACTAGCTGGGACTACAGGTGTACACCACCACACCCAGCTAATTTTTGTATTTTTAGTAGAGATGGGGTTTCACCATATTGGCCAGGCTGGTCTCGAACTCCTGACCTTGTGATCTGCTAGCCTCGGCCTCCCAAAGTGCTGGGATTACAGACATGAGTCAACGAGCCCGGCCAGATTTCTTTACATCACAACTTTGCTGAGGGCCTGCTCTACTGAGCTTCATCTACTTACAAAAACAAACCAATAAAAAGACTGAGTCCAAAAGTATGTTACACCCTGAGGGGCACACACACATAGTGAGAACTATTTTGTCCAAGCCTTGAATTACTGACTAAATAATAACTTTTATAAAAAACTAAATTACAATTGTTGACTGCGTTTATCTGCAAAATGATTACCAGTCTATGTTTATCATCAGTCAGTCTATGAAACATAGCATATTATGAAATTAAAAGTCTCATATTAACTTAAAGAAAAATATTCTCAAATAAACAAACAGCCTGAACATGGTAAAAGGTATGACCAAATACACCACCAGCATGTCACGTAGCAGTTCATTCCAAGAGGGCCACACATCTGCTCAGGCCAAGGCCCTAGGGTACTTTCAGGCTCTCTATGGAACATGTACACATTTTCTCATTTAATCTCTAAAGGACCTTATGAAGTATATACTATTAATATTTTTGTATTTTATACATTAAGAGACTGAAGTTTAGAAGTATTGGTTAAACCTATTCAAAGCTACACAGCTAATAACAAAGTCTGGATCCAAATTCATAATCTTAAATAATATACTATATAATCCATACACTCAGTCACTTGTTTGGTTTTTCACTAAATCTCCAAAGAGTCAAAATCAACCATTTCTTTCAAAGACTTACTAAAGTTTCAGGAAGTATCCAATTTTTAAAAATATTTAAGATGATCAAGAAATAGTAAGTTTGTTAGCTAATGCTGAAGACATTTCTACTAAATTGAAATGTTAACAAAGTTTTAGTATCTGTCACTTCTATTGCTAGGAGACAAATTTCTATTTAAAAATTTTAATAATCATGTGAACACTTCAGCTTAGGAGCGAAGGCAACCCGTACTCATTTAAAGCAATTCCTTGGAAATCGTAGGAAATCAAAATTTCCAGAATTCAAATAGAAGGAGAGCTACCACAAACTTACTTTGACCTGAGGGTAAGACTTCTTGTTCTTTTCACTAGAGGCACCAGGTAGTCCACCATGGGATGGGCCTTCACATACATAACGGAAACGAAATCCTCTCTGCAAAGGTGAACGTTAAGCCAATTAAGTTTGAGAAATACTTATTAAAAATTACGGCAACAAAGGTACATACAAATTTTTAAATCTTATGTCTACTAAATGAGAGAAGAAAAACATGAAACTGTGAAAGAGGGCTCCGTAAACAAGAATCACTTTTCCCGTAATCTTACTACGAAAAATGGTATTAATTGATATTTGTACACTAAGATATGGCTAAAAAGCCAGGTACCTAAGCCCATGGAACCTCTCATGCTATGCATGTGTGGAGAGTAATCTGCTGAAGAGTTTAGGCTTTAGACTTAACATGTTACGGCTTGTTCTAGTCAGAGCTTCCTTGTCTTAAATTGCTGCTGCCAAGCTCTGAACTGTACCATATTAATAAAAGTTATGCTTCCTTGACTCTTACTTAAAGACATTCCTTTATCTACTCTGATTACAGCTGGTTCAGCAGGGACTACAGACATGTTTATTTAGATATACTGTTTCAGCGTTGTAGAACACACCCTGTGCTAGACCCTGCATCTGTTAAGCTTCTCTCAGCATTTCAGAGGATAAGATTTTTGTTTTTATGATTATTAATATGGTCAAGCTCAAGATTGAATATTAACCTACCAGAATGATTCCAAAACTAGGTAGTTCCCTTAAATACTATCTAACCCAGAAATTTTATAGATATAGTTAATTAATGAAGTTAGCTGGAAGCCTTCACTATATAAACTACTGTGGGCTGATAAACACCTAAGAAGTGTCATATTTTTTCATTTGTACAAAAGGGAAGATTATACCAGACCATCTTTAAGGTCTACTCCAGTTCTAACTTTTTATGATTTATAAAGTTAACTTATTCATATTTGTATACAAAGAATAAAACAAGGATAATTATGACCTCATCATCATATTAAGGGAGGTTTCGCTGTATTTCCTGATTCAACTTTATAATGATGTCAATCAATTTGTGGTAGTGTTAGTAGTTTATAACCACATAGTCGCTTAAGCAGATGATTTTCTTTTTACAGATTCACTTTTTGGTGAAAAGAAAATACGTTAAGATTTTTTAAGGAACATTCTCACCTTTTGTTTCTATTGTGGGACCAACTCTGCATATACAGCACTAGATCATCTGCCCATCAGCTCATCACACCCACTAGCTGCTGGTGGGGGTTCACTCCCTTACTCATTAAATTGTGGAACCCCAGCAAACATGCAGATTTTGACAGCTTTGAGCTCATGAACAAATGTAAAACGTATGCACTACTTAGACTATACTACATTTCATTATGCCAAGTAGGGTCTTGCAGTCTCTGAGCAGTCCAGGTGCCTTGAACTGATTTAAATCTCTGGGAAGCATCTGGAACTGTTCCTATATTATCCAAAAACTTCCTGATTTCCAAAGATCAGTCCTCAAACACATTTACCAGATAAGTAAGGCCTAAAGTAAATTCCCCGGTCTGGGAAATTTCCTTAATGCACACAAATGTCTAAAGTTTATGATCAACTCATCACAGTGAGACCTAAAACAATTCCTTGGGAGATTCCAGATCTAAACACAAGGGAAGCCTTTGGAGATGAAGTTTCAGAGGTAATTCCTTTGTTTTGATTCTCACACAATTCATATTTAAAAATAATTTACAATTTCAGCCCTATGCCTTTTGTAAGCAAACACTGTTGGTTTTTTAAATAATTAAATGAAATTTCTAAAACCATGAAAAAAACAACACATGTATAATAGCCTGCAGAATTAGCTAACCATAAGAATAGAGATTTACTTGACTGCTAATTTAAACACAACTTGAGTTTTTGAACAGTATTAGTTAATTAACACTGATTAATATGCAACAGAACTGGATGTTCTAAAAATTAGTAGTCTATGCTATGACTCATCTCCGTCAGAGCTGGGGAAAATCTGTGGCTAAGAGGTCCCAAAGAAAAAAGAATCTTTTTCTAACTTAAAAAAAAAAAACAAAAAAAACCCCAAAACCACACACACACAATTCATTATCTTTAATCACAAAATTCCTTTGGGACAGTTGGAAAAATATAGACACGTATGTGTTTATATCTTATTGGGAGTGGTGTCAAATAGACAATACTTAATAGATATTTTTCATGGTTACATACGAGTATCTAAATCCTCAGAAGTTTTTAATCTGAGGATGAAAATTTACAACTGTTTTCAGGAAGATGTCGTCAAATGCATTGTCTGGATGCATTTCTGATTCTAAATTTCTGAGATCAAAATTTTGCCTTTAATCCACATTCACTCATCTCAGTAACTCCATTTGCTTAAAATGAGTCATCAACCTCAAAGGCAAGGCTACATCCATTCAGTCAGAAAGTCTGACTTGAATACAACCTTCTTACTTTCACTGAATTCAGATATCAAAATAGCATCACTTTGGTAAACACATTGTTTTACTCACATAAGCTTTTATATGAATTAAATTTTGAATTTTGGAACTACATTAACCCTTCAGGTAAATCATAAATGCCAATTTTTCCTTATAACTGTTGGATCCATAATAAGGAATTACATTTAAAAATTCTTATTGTAGTGCTATGCTTATGAAAATGATATTGGAAAAAATACTTTGGCATATGCAGACAAATTTCAGTTGATTTCTGTTTCATAGACTACCTAGATCTTAAAAGCTGGGAAATTTTCCAGGATGCCAGAGCCCACAGAACTTTAAGGGATAAAATTTCACTGGGAATTGATGACCTTCTCTGAGAAATAACTGCTTAAAAGAGTTGAACATGGAGGTAGAGCAATGGAGTGTTACTGGCAACCTGAGGAGTCAGGATGTGACACCTGCAAGAACTAGAACCATGCCCCAAAGTTTCATGTGGCATTCTTGCCCCCACAGCAAAAACTTTCATCTAATTTCAACCTTATAAGGATAGCCTGTTCAGCAATCATTAAGACATTTATATCAAATGCTGACCAAATATAACACATATATAATGTCACGATTCTGGAAACCACAACGCAGTGGATGCTTTATTTAAGCTTGTGACCTAGTTAGCATGTGTTAAATGTTACAAAATGCAAAAGTGTTTCACTCACCTGAGCTAATGAAAAGAATACTTAGAAAATGTATTGGGTAATACAGCTGCAAGAGGACAGGTATCCATATCCTCAGTCACACACAAATGTGATTAGTTTATCCATCCAAAGATTTACTGACTGTCCTCATTCTGTGGGGAACTACACCATTATTTCCATTCCCTAATAACTGAAACCTCCTATAGGCAGACATTAAAGATTGCCTTTCTTTCTCTTTCACAGCATTGGTCCCATCCAATTTCCTATAAATATCCACAGAGTTGGATACAGTGAGGAGGCCATTTCAGTTCTGAGCTATTCTCTACAGACTCTAGTGGTAAGGGGAAGCACCTGAAAAAATGTTCCTCTCCTGACTCCAAAGAGGCTGACACCAGAGGGAAGAGAATTCAATAGTTCATTCTAACATTTTACTTCCCACTGGTACTTTCAGTATGTTAGGTTACATGTTCCAAAGGCAGCACAGAAAAGGCTGGGGCTACCAAAGGAAGGAGGAAGGCTAAGAGGTACTACATGTGCAAGGATAATAGATGGATATCGCTCAGTGCATGTGAACTGTATGCATACGTATTTCCTTATAAATGAAAATGAATGGAAATCACCTCTGCCTTTCCTGGGAGTGGCTGGTAAGTTAAGCTGGTAGAGACAGCAGAATACTGTAATTAACTGTAATTCTAATACTGTAATTAACTGCAGTTTTACAGAACTACATACTGAGGCTCAGGACAGTGTGAACAATGAGTAAGAGAAATGTAAAGTGAATGAATAAAGCTGTTACATAATTTGTCAGGTTGTTGATCTTTCAGATAAACTACTTCCTTCATAGAACTCATTTACTATTCTTCAGTGCTTATGATCTCAATATTAGACACTGGAATCTAACATTTAAAGTCCCACCCCTTTAATCTTACCTGTTTAGGTTGCTCTAATATTTGAAGGTATGGGCCATCTGCTAAAAACAAAAACAACAAACAGAAACCAAAAGAAACTGTGAGGCTTCTCAAATTTGGTATAAAACGTAAAGCAAGTAAAAAACTGAAATTATGTTTTTATGTAGAAATTTCAAATCAATTTTTGGTTAAAATTCCACAAGGATATAATTTCTCTTCCTTGTCTGAAATATTAAATTAACCCTTATTTTAACAATAGTTTTACGAGTTTAGCGAACCACAATAAGTAAATGTTTGTTGAAAGGTGATGGCACATTTCCTAACCCAATAAAAGGCATATGGCCGGCAAGAATTGATGTCAACAGCCTTCATAATCTTGTCTCCTAACAAAGCATTTTAAAATGACAAATACCAATTAAAAGCAGCAACCACTTCTGGGCACTATGACATTTTCTTTGGCCTTCACATCATTAGACACTGACTTTCCTTCCTCAAAGAGAGTGTGCTTAATGTGAAATTAAAAGATACTGATCTAGCAACCTGTATGTATACGTCTGATAGACAGATAATGATCTCAGGCTATCTCTTTTTCCTTACACTAGGTTTTCTGTTCCCGTCTTTACTTGAAGGGAAAGTACTGCCTTCATTCCTTAACTGGTTAGTTTGTTTCCCCTTTCCTCCCCGACACTCCCAATGTAATCTGGTCTATCAGACATGGTAAAATTTTCATATTAATCCATAACTTTTGATGTTTATAAGCAATTTTGAATATTGTGCTATCATATAAACTGTGTTCTAAAACATCTCAGGCATTTTATAAAATACTGAAAATAATTTAATTGAAGATAGGTACATGCAAATTAGTTATTGTAAAAACGCAAAGAAAACTAGAGGCTTAATCCATACCCTAATGGTATCTGACTTGAAAATTCAAAGGAAAATCAGAATCTCTGACAACATAAGTACAAACTGTTCAATATGAAAAAGTCCTTAAGCTTCCCAGCTGATTTTTATGTCAATAGTACAATAATCCATAGCTTTGCAATAAATAAAGGCATATGGTGGTTCTCATTTATTTGAATGTAAATTAAGATGTTTGGTGCTAAAAATATTTTAGGAGAATGCTTGTATGTCCATTTTAATCTTCATTTTCTCTCAGAAAGAAGCTCAAGACCTCTTATTTTAAATAAATTTGTAAGGAGATAAACCTTCAGGTTGAAATTAAAAATAAACTATAACACAAAAGAGAATTTTCTCAAAATTTTTTTTATTTTTTTTTGAGACAGAGTCTCACTCTGTCACCCAGGCTGGAGTGCCATGGCACAATCTCGGCTCACCACAATCTCTGCTTCCTGGGTTCAAGCAATTCTCTGCCTCAGCCTCCAGAGGAGCTGGAATTACAGGCGCCTACCACCATGCCCAGCTAATTTTTGTATTTTTTTAGTAGAGACGGGGTTTCACCATCTTGGCCAGGCTGGTCTTGAACTCCTGAGCTCGTGATCTACCTGCCTTGGCCTCCCAAAGTGCTGGGATTACAGGCGTGAGCCACCTCACCCGGCCAGAGAATTTATTTTTATCTTTTCAATATTATGATAAATCAGGATAAGGCTAGAGAACTGGAGAAAACAAGGGTATAATTACTTCCTGTTATTATTCAAGAAATTTACAAGGAAGCGAGTTGAAAAATGAATGCATCTGAAATGAAGCATACACAAGAAAAAAAAGGGGGAGTCACTGGTCAATGTATTAAATTACCATCTTTTGTCTGTATGAAATTCACCCCTGGACATTTTAAATTACTTTTAGAAACATAATCATAATTTAAAAATTCCCCCACCAAATGGCTAGAATTTAATTTTGGATATGGAAATAAAATTGATTAGAAATAGAAATATTTTCACACTAAGATACAGCCTGTATGACAATGTAACACTTATAAAAACATTCCCTGTTAAAATGGTGAAAGAACATATCAAGACAGTCCTCTAACAGAGCAATATTTGGATGTCATGAAAAATACAGAGGAGTTGGAAGCATGTTTACATTAAACTTCAAGTCTCTCACTTTTTATTAACTCTGCTAAAAACAACTGCAAATTTGCTATTATTTTTCCTGTAGGATTTAATTTCCTTTAAATATGTGAAAATTCATGTAAAATAGAGCCATTTTTCCTCTTTCAGGCAACACATTAAAGTTAAATCAACTAGAAAATTAGATTTGATATGCATGTATTTGTTGTTTTAAGGCCAACATTCTTTTGGCCACATTTCTGTGCCATGAAAAGGACATTCCACTGTGCAGAGAAATTTAACTTTAGACCTAAGAGTTATGTCGCATCCCATAGTCTTCAACAAGTACTAGATCTACTAAAGGTTTTAGATTTCAAAAAATCTAGAAGACTAAAATAATCCATTTTAGAGTTACAAGTTAATATTGGTTTAGATAATCAACCTCTCTACCTCTTTAAAAATTTGAATACAACATCCTATATATCTTGGACTATAAAAATTGTACTATGACACTGCAATGAAGAGGGAAAAACATACAGGTAAAAATGATGGTGTAACAACAACTAACAAATTAGATTTTTAGGTGTAATTTGAATAGTTTTTCTAATATTATGGCAAAATAATTTCTACAACATAAAGCTGTGACCACAGAATATTTACTGAGATGGTTATCTTGATAATCTTATTTTCATGCCCATAAATCCGAAGGAATAAAATTAAGAAAACGTCTGCCTCAGGATACTGTTTTGTATTCACAAGACATTAAGTGAAAATGTGTGTATTTCCTGTGGACAGAACCAAGTTCTTATATTTTCAGTAATACATTAATACTAAGAAAAATACTTTGAACTCCAGAATTAAAAAGTTCCCAAGAAACACACACACTACCAACACATTTACTTGTTCACAGGAAGCTGACCTAGAGCTCAAATTGGACAGCACTTCACAAGATCTCAGACATGGCAGCCTAAAAATAATGTTTTGTAGGGGTAAAGACAGAAAAACCTCTGAAATACACCTTTACTAGTGAAGGTGAAAGTATAGTAGATCTACTTTTTTCCCTCCCATGAACTCCTAGAAATACTAAAGATATAAATGCAGAAAAAGTTTTCTGATCTAAAACAAAAGAAAAGTAAGTACTGTAGTAACCATGATAATTTTAAATGAGAATAATACAAATGGGATAAAGTCCCCCAATGAAGACAAGCAAGTCCCTGGTAAATAAAAGAGCTGATGCCTCCTTCAGCGATTACCAAACTCTGTTTTACACATAACTTCCATAATTCACTCACACTGCTTTTGAACATCTGTTAAGTCCCACTGGTGACGGGTGAAGTGAGGAGAGAAACAGAACATAAAAAGAGCCATCACACCAAGCTTACATACAAATAAATCACTTTTTTTAAGAAAGAGAGTTTTTTTTTTATTACTCTTACGAAATTAAACAGTTGCCAATCGGCACAATTAATACAGTCATGGTAGAAGGAAGGATTATGAGTTTTATCCAACTTGTCAGAGTGCAAAGTTATAAGCTTTTATAAAGATGATTTTTCTAATGAGATGATTTTTATGATTTCTGTACACTTTGATTCCCCAGTGACTGGCACACTGGTAGTACACAACAGGCCCTCTTAAATGTTTGAAACAGAAATGAAGAGTGGAGACTGCCTCGTGTGAATCTGGGAGAAAGGACTTAAAAGGAATACAGAGATAATAAAGAAAATCCTTATGTTGACTAAAGAAATTCCTTCTGAGTAGTCCTAGCAGATATGAAATGCAGTAAACCATACAAGGGGTAATTGAGATGAAATATTTTTGTGCAAATATATTTCAAGAAAGTATGTTAAAAGATTGGTTTTTAAAACAAATCACCATTTCCTTTCTAGGTACACAACTGAGTTTCTAGGACAGACTATTAACAAATCCTGCATTTTACTAAGACTGAAAGCAGAACAACAGGGTAACAGGGATGAGTTTTCTTACCTGTTGGCAGTGCCATCTGTGGTTGAAATACTTCTGGATTAAATATTGTATGAGTCAAAGAAGGATCCAAATGAAACATCTGTAAAGAAGAACATTTAAATGTTTCAATCATTATTTTTCCTATATTATATGAAAAATTTGAAGTTGGGACACCTAAAATGTAATAATAGGAATGAAACTAAAGCCAAAAACAAAAATCTGAAAATATTTTAAATCAGGGTTTTAAAAGATCTTCATGAGACCTAGGTAGTTCTCATGTGTACAAAACTTTACATAGGGTTGGACAACGTTTACGTAACAAAGGGATTTGAGAAGCATAACTTGGCTATAAAGTCCCCAGAGGCAGGGACCTGGTCTAGCTTGCTTACTGGTATATCTTCAGGGCCAAGTACATGCTTATCACAGAACAGATACTTAAATAGTTGTTGAATGAATGATTTGAAGCTTGTACTCTCTTAGAAGTATAAACAAAATAATATAATCCTAGAAATCAGTATTTCCTCTATGGTGGTAAATATACCCCTCATCTAGCTATCCAATGTCAAGGCCTGAAAGAATGCTAGAGAGCACCTCTGGGACTATTTACAGAATAACTGAAAATATAACTGACAGTACAAGGAGTAGACAACTAAGCACTGAGCTCACTCATTTCTTTTACCTTCAGTTTCCTAGCATAACACAAAATACCTGGAATCTAGTGGGTGTGTTAAGCTGAATAACGACCCCCTAAACATGTCTGCATCCTAATCCTCAGAAACTGTGAGTGCTACCTTATATGACAAAAGGAAATTTACGTATGTCATTAAGGTAATGATAATAAGATGAAGAGAGTGTCTTGAATTGTCCAGGTGGGCCTGATGAGAGGGGTTCAGGAAATCACACTGAATAGTAGGAAGTATGACAAAGGAAGCAAGAGGCTGGAGTGATGAGAGGGTGCACAGGGAAAGCAGGCAGCCACTAGAAGCTCAAAAGGCAAAGAGATGAGAGCTGCAAGAAGGAAAGCAGCCCTGCCAACACCTTGATTCTAGATTTCTGAGCTCCTGACTCAGAAGTATAAATTTGTGTTGTTTTAAGCCCCAAGTATGTGGTAATGTGTTAGGGCAGCAACAGAGTGGGCATGCAGAATATTTTGAAGAAAGTACATTTTATCTTAATAAATTACTATTCATTACTTATCAAAAAACATTGTAACCGCTGGCTCATTTAGGACTTTAAAACTGTATTTCTGAGCTTGCTATTTATTTTAGCCTAAAGAAGTTATATGTTTGAAATGTCTGTGGACAGCATGGAAACCAGCCATATTTTACTTTTTATGAGAGACTAGTAAGTGTGCTGAACTAGCTTTTCGTTTCTTTTAGTAGCCAGTATTACAGTTTGTCTCCTGCCCTTAGTAGTAAATTATTGAAAGTTCTGGGGTACTGAAGATCTTCGTATGCCTAGTTAAATTAAGAGTAAGAAAAATCTCGTTTAAATAAACAGTACTTCAGATCCATTTGAGGGATGCAAATTTTCAACTGAGGAACAAAGAATGCGCTTCACTTCAATGCTTATAAGATTAAAAGCTCACTGATGCTATTCATTGTTTGCTGAAAAGGAAATACAGGAATGAAAAACCATGTTCTGCAAAAATGGGCCTCATTTCATACAGGATTTTAACAGTCTCAGAGCAAACGTGATAACCTAGCAGGAAAACTCTTTCCTGTGGTGGCTAAATGACTGGCGAGTGGGCAAAAGGGCTCACCTTAGGAGAGAGATATACTCTTCACTTCAGACTAAGAGAGAAGTTGTGTTGTGCTGCAGCTTGCATTGTTTATTAGGTCAGGGTGGAGAGCAAATTCCAGACTCCACTAAAACACTGAGGACATGCAAACTTTAGGAAATATAAACCACCAAGCTCAAGCCAAGAAAGAAAAAAACTTCAAGACCGCTTGCCTCAAAAATGGAAATGTCAGAATATGCCCCACCCCTGTTACTGATGATCGCAAAGATGCCCACATAAGAAAAACTTTCAAAATGAATGTTTTCAGCAGATTTTACTCTTCTGTGGCATAAAGAATCATCTCTTGTTGATAAGATTTCCTGTGTACAGACAGGAAAGGATGGTTTAAAATCAAGCAGACACAATCCTCATGCTGGTTAGTTCGCCCTTAATTGTTAGAGAAAGCACAATAAAAGCGAAAGGTAAAACAAACGGTTTTGATAATACAATTAGCCAAATGTCTTTGCTGCAATAAAAGAAAATGTTCCTAGATTTATCCTAAATCACCATTTTAAAAATAAAATTAGAAAGGAGCATCTTAATGTGAAAAGCAATGCAGTCATTCTTTCTAAATCAATCAGAATATCACCCGAAGTGATAAATGCTATATATGTCCATTTTATTTATAGAAATGATACCAGAGCCTTTAAAACATATTCCACTTCTGTTTTTATTTTTCTGGCTGATTCTTTGCACGTGTAATTTCAGAAATCCACTATTTTAAATGATTTCCACTAAAATTTAAATGTGACCAGGCTATCCTGGCACCTAGTGTTCCTTCACCTTTTCTAGTCTAGCAAACTACATCTTTCAAAACACAGCTTACGAAGACTTCCTTCGGAAAGTCCTCCGTAACTCTGCTCTTCCTCCAAGGTAGCACCTAGTGATGCTGCTTATTAACATTTCTATCCCGCTCTGCGCAGACTACTACTACAGCATATATCACCATATGAAAACAATGTCTCTGTTCTTCCTATTAAAATAGTAGGTTCCTGAAATTAGAGTGTATATATCACTTATTTTTTCCCCACTAAGCCAATGTTCTGGCACGTAGTAATACCTCAATAAATAGCTGATGAATGAACAAATCTCCATGTTTTAAATACTTCTTGGAATCATTACATAAATAATTTAATATTGCCATTATAATTGCTCCAGAGTCTGAAAATTGCTTCCAAATGATTATGTATATACATATACATATATACATATATACACACACACACACACACGAAAAAGAGAGCAAAGAGAAAAGCGAAAATGTCGGTTTTAAGAACCAATGTAGATTTGTTAGATTATTCCAACATTTCTATTTATTTTTTCCAACATTTTTCAAAATAAAATATAGGAGAAAAAGAAAAAAGGACACTGCTATCCTTTCATAACTACTAATATAATGATAGGAACAGTTTTATGCTTACAAAGCACATTCATTGAATATTTTTGACTCATCCCTGTTAGTGTGGTGCTAGCATTTCTATTTTACAAATGAGAAAAGTGAGGATTACGGGGACTAAGTGATTCTTCAAGTCTGAGGAGCTGATCTGTAGTAGTCAGTACTTATATAAAGATCTTCAAATTCTGAGTTCAAAGATCTTTTCACTACAACAATCTGTCTCCTTACTAGATGAGTTTTAAATAAAATTTTTTTTTGGTATAAATTGATGGGGTACAAGTGCAATTTTGTTACATGCATAGATTGTATAGTAGTCAAAACAGGGTTTTTAGGGTATCCAACACTCAAATAACATACATTGTACCCATTAAGTAACTTCTTATCATCCACCCCCATCCCACTGCCCTCCCATCCCTCACCTTTCTGAATCTCCATGGTCTGTCATTCCACTCTCTACATCCATGTGTACACATTAAATAAATATGTCAAGGGGCTGTAGTGGGTTAAACTGTGTTCCCTCCCAAAAAGACACCTTTAACTCCTAATCCCCGGTACCTGTGAATGTGACTTTATTTGGAAATAGGGTCTTCGCAGATATAAACAAATTAAGATGAAGTCATATTGGATAAGGGTGTACCCTAAATCCAATGATGCCTTTGGAAGAAAAAAAGAGGAGATTTAGGTTTAGAGACACAGTAGAGACACGCCGGGAAGAAGCGCACGTGACAATGGAGGAAGAGATTGGAGCGATAAAGCTACAAGCCAAGGATTCCCAGCAACCAACCAGAAGCTAGGGGAGAGGCATGGAACAGATTCTTCCTGAGAGCCTCCAGAAGGAACCAACCCTGCCAACACCTTGATTTCATACTTCTAGCCCCCAGAACTGTGAAATAATGTATTTTGTTGTTTTAAGCCATCAGGTTTGTGGTGATCTGTTATGGTAGCTCTAGAAAGCTAATACAATAGCTATCCTGTAGCATATACAATTTTTGTGCAACAATATGTGTGAAAGCGGGTGTAAGTTACTCATTTCACATGACATATCCTCTCCAACTTCACATGAAAGGACAGAGAAACTGAAATTAAAAAAAAATTTACTAATTTTAGAATTTTCCTAATGCTAACTTACTAATGTTGCCTTTGCATATTTTTGAAATATGAATATATTTAAATAAAGTTATCAGTGAGATTATGACACTTACTTGTTCAGGCCTTCCCAAATATGGATCATCTTCTGCCATTCTGAAGCTGTGTATTAAAACAAAACAAAACAAAACTGTAACACTAGAATGAACTTTAAAAATTCTATCACCATGGAATTCATGCAGGAATAAACTGTATTATACCAGTAAGACCAAATATAATCCTTTTTTGAAGACCATAGGAGGAGGACATGATGTAGTTCCTCTTTGGTATCTAAATCTAACAGCAAGGAGATTGCATAATCTAGGAATTACCACTTACGTATGATTCAATACCCTCGTGTTAAGCTCGCCACAGTGTCCTGAGTTTGGTACAAATCATCTTTATGCTTTGTATAAAAAATCATACATACTGGGATTCTTAGAAGCCATTTCTTTTTATCGCCCTCTGAACTTCAACGATTTACAGTCTTAGTTCCTTAAGTGTATTGTTTTCTAACCCTTCATAAACCTTGTGATGGTCCCAGAACTGTCTCAAAGTTTTATACAAGGTTGAGAAGCTCAAAAGGGACTGATCAGTACTCTGCATAACACAAGGGGAGGACTGCTATAGTGTACCAGGCTCTGTCCTCTAGTGCAGGCGTCCCCAAACCCTGGGCTATGGATAACGCAGCACAAAAAGAGGTGAGCAGTAGGCAAGCCAGCCAAGCTTCATCTGTATATACAGCTGCTCCCCATCGCTTGCATTACTGCCTGAGCTCCGTGTCCTGTCAGATCAGCAGTGGCATTAGATTCTCATAGGAGCATAAACCCTATTGTGAACTGTGCATGCAAGGGATCTAGATTGCCCGCTCCTTATGAGAATCTAACGCCTGATGATCACTGTCACTGTCTCCAGATGGGTCACTGTCTCCCGTCACTCCCAGATGGGACTGTCTAGTTGTGGGAAAAGCAGCTCAGGTCTCCTACTGATTCTACATTATGGTGAGTTGTATAATTATTTAATTACATATTACAATGTTAATAATAATAGAAATAAAGTGCACAATATATGTAATGTGCTTGAATCATCACAAAATCACCCCCAGCCCCCAGTCTGTGGAAACGCTGTCTTCCACGAAACTGGTCCCTGATGCCAAAAAGGTTGGGGACTGCTGCTCTAGCGTGTTCCACAGAAGCAAGCCATGTTTCTGCTGTTGTCAAGCTGGTACAGAAACTCTGTAATATTAAAAGTGCAATAAAAATACAAAAATAAAAGTCCTTATTATCAAGGCTATAGGTCTCAGATTTAATCAACTCCAGCTAAACATTAATATACTGCAGGCCCTAGCAATCTTCTATTACCCAGAGGCCCTCCCTGATAGAAGCAAGGAACCACATGGTCAGATAAAGATAGTATCTAAAATCACATATCATTTGAGATTTACTTCCTTGAGAAATGTCCTTATTATTATTCAAATAAAGGTTAATTTTATTTAAATTTATTTAGATCAAATTTTAGATATGTGACATGAAAAATGAGAAAATTAAAGAAACACAAGGCTGAGGGTAAATATTAATTCCTGGGGTTATTTTTCTTTTTTTTTTTCATAAAGTCTATCTAGCAGTCATGAGTACTTAGGACTGCAGATGAGAATGTCAGCTACCCATCAAAATATGTTGTCTCCTTTTCCATAGAATTAGTATTGTAGCTGGAAATGTGACTGCTTACCTAGTGTATACCCTACACTTCGTTGGAGTTAGAGATGGCCATCTGACCAAATGCTCACCAGTGCAATGTCAGAACTCTTGCATACCACTTCCAGGTCTGGGCTTAAGGCCCTTGACATGCTTCCTCCATAAAAACTCAGACATGGAGAAGACCTGGCTTCTACCAAAAACATGATGATTAATAGCCTAGGGGATGGCAGATAAATGAGAGGGAAGGAATGAGGATCCCTGAACAATGCCATGAGACAGATCTGCTCTGACCATCCAGGCTGCTCATGCTGGTGGTGATGAGAGAAAGAAATAAACTTTGTTCTTTAACCCAAATGCACTGTCAGGTCTCTTTGTTCAAAGAGTTTAGCCCTCACCGTAATGAATATATCACATAACACTCCAATAAGCACAAAGCCCTCCAAAAAAGAATCTGATTTTCAAAGAAATCCTCTCCTGCTGGAGCACTGTGTGAGTGAGGAAGAGTGAGAAAGCTGATGAGCATTCTAGGGGGATGCAGAGCAGTGTACAACTTTAACAAAAAGGAAAGGGCAGCTCTGAGTCCTTCAGAACATGAAGTTCATGCAGATTTGCAGGGAAACATTTGTCTAAAACAAGAAAGTATTGATTGAAGATATACAGACAGCCACAATTAAACAAATCTCAATTAAGACAAGCAGTTAAAAAAGGGAAATTTGACCTGATAGAGTAAAGAGGGTAAGTCGCTTGAAATTTAAGAGTTCTATCATGCTGGCTGTGTGATCTTGGATATTAACTAAACTCACTGTGGCCTTTGTTTCTTCATCTGTAAAAATGACAGATTTTGATGGAATGGATTTTTGAAAAGAATATAACCTTGTTGAGATTAGAATATGTTAATTAGCAAATAAATGCCTATTCAAAGAACATATCCCCTAAGTCTTAATATTTTTTGGTAAACTTGGATTTTTACACGTATTTATGAGTATATATCTATAGTAAAGAATCATTAGCATAGTTTTCAGTTATAAGAAGAATACTAGTAAAAACATTACACTTAAATACAGTACTGAATACCAGCTAGAACAATCAATGTCAAAATCCCTATCCTTAGAATACCACAGAAGCTCAAACTTCCAAGAAAAATATTAAAACCATCTTTGCCCTTAAGCTTTCTGTCGATCTAGACTGATCTCCTGAACCTTCATAAATAATATTAGCCTATGGTCCTCAAAAACAGAGGTGAGGCTGTTGATGTGTTAATTATACTGATTATATACATTTAAACCTGTGGATGGTTTTCCAGACTTCTGAATGTAAACAGTTAACATAAAGCAGTCCTCACTCTAATTTTTAAAATTCAAACGAAACCTACTTTATTAGAACTGATGCATGATCACTACTATAGCTAAAACCTTAATGAAAATCTGTCAATTGCAGGCACCCAACTGCCAAATTAAACATGATCTTCCCCTTCAATATCCTCCCCATGATTTATACACCAATTCTTGCCAAAGGATCACAGTTTCAAAAGCCTAACAGCAGTCCAAGGCTCACGTGGGTGATAGTTAAAATTTGAACTTTTATAGCCTTTGCAATACAGTTCACTGTAAAGAGCTGAGGTAACAGTAACGCTATGGTGATGTCAATGTTAATTCACAATTTAAAAATGAAATGTCAAAAGAAACCAAGAATCATTTGGAAAGGATGAATCACTAAGTAATATTTGCATTAATTATAAAAGCAGGTTTTATTTCTAAAATGTTGAAATACCAACTAAGCGTCTGGAACTAAAGGATTAGAAAAGACCAGGGAAAACCCCTTCTACCTCCCTGTTCCCCCAGCCCTTCCCCTCACTTTCCCTTGTTCAATTCTTTGCTTTTGAGGAAGGACCTTGAAGCCAAAAGGGCGATAGTAAATTTCCAGGGGAGAAGATGGGACTAATCTCTGCATCTCTTTTCCCAGTAGTGAGGTTTCTAGGAAGATTTTCACACCATGGAAAAAGAAATAGAAAGTATAGCTAGCTAGCAACAAATAAAATAGCCAGTGAATTGCTTGTGTTTTTTCACATGAAAAACATAATGTTACAACTAGCTTAGTTCTGAACATGTGATGAGTTCTATAAAATGCCTAATGGGTTATTTTCTGAACCTGTGTGACAATGCCCCCACTAACACCAAAGTGTAGCACATGAGCTTCTTGGTGAAGGCTGTAGGACTGAGTGGATTAACTTGAAAGCCACAGAATTGAGCCATTAAGGATGGAGTTGGGGGCACGCCTGTCCTTGTAACTGGGGAAACTTTCTAGGATCAGAGATATTCACACTTTTGACCATGACCCACTGTAAGAAAATGTATTCTTTCTATAGGATTTCATTTTAAAAAATAAAACCTTTTCGAACTCATTAAAATGATTTTCAGTTTGAAAAAATAAAATTTTAGGTGCCATCCAGAGAGTACAGTTGGGAATCAGAGAGAAGTGTCTCTACTTTCAAGATTATATTCAGCCACAACAGACACCACTTAGGTGTGATTTTAATACCTCATCTTGGATAGCAATGAGGATGAAACTACAAGAAAAGGGGTGGCTTTTCATCATTTCTCTGCTGGCTAATAAACTGATAAAGAATGTGAGGAAGCCTCTTCCACAGAGGAATTTTCTGGAGGAAACAAAATACTTTGCATAAAATGTGAAACACTCAAATGAGAGTATCTTTTGATTCTGCAATTCTACCTCAGGAATTTGTACTTAAAAATTATCTGAGCAAGTGTGTAAAAAAATAAGTACAAGGATATTCACTGCAGCAAGGAACTGGAAATAATCTGTATGTCCTTTGATAACAGATTGTTTAATTATAATTATCCACATTTATAAGTTAAATATGCAACTGTTAAAAATAATACAGTATACAATATAATCTGTATACAGTAACTGGAAACTTTTACTAAGTTATATGTTTCTATATTGTAATTTTCTAACTGAATTATGTAATTAGAAACATATATTTAAATAGGAAAAAGGAAAAATTTAAATCTCTCCTGAATTTAAGGTTTGACTCTGACATCTTTAACAATTAATGACATACAGTGAATAAAACATGATAAATGAGCCAAAAACTTCTAAGCACTACTGAAATCTTCATAAGAAATACAATAGAAAAATTTCAACTTTAAAAGAGCTGTTGATTGACAACTTTCTGATATTGGCTTAGTGGTGATGAAAGAAAAGTTGATCATGGCTTAGTTACTTTTTTTTTTTAAAAGCTGATTTCTGAAAGTTTTTAAAAAGGAATCAATTTGGTGCACTACAACATTTAGATTTGTATAAACTAATTTTCCATGTTTTAAAGCTCCTCCTTCCACTTCCACATCCATGTTTCATTTGGGTGCAATGTGATCAATTAACATGTAGAATAGCTACCTGATATACCAAATACATTGTGCTTGGAGCTGGTAAAGATAAGGTACCTGTTTACAGTGGAATGTCAATCCAACAGGTATGGCAGATACATATACAACATTCAGCTAGTGAGTTCATACAAAGCTTATTAACACCGAGTATAATACACAGCAAATGTTAGCCATTTTATTAGATGGCATAATAAGCAATATATGTTTGTGGTAAATTATAAAAAGAGGAATATAGACAGCAAAAGGTTTAGACATTCTGAGAAGACTCAAGTATTTTGTTTCCCATTCTACACTTATGGGTACGCTGACAATTCCCTTTCTAAGGTGGCTGGCTATGTGTCACTGCTAGATAAACTGTTTGCATTTTGCCCCCAGGGGTCATTTGGCAACGTTTGAAGACATTTTTGCCTGTCACAGCTGGATAGGTGGTCCTACTGGCATCTAGTGTATAGAGGCTACAGATGCTGCTACACATCCTATACTGCACAGAATGGCCCCTCACAATAAAGCATTATGCAACCCTAAATATCAATAACGCTGAGCATGAGAAACCCTAATGAACATCATCACATCATGACAGTGCTTTGGTTCACATGGAGAAAGAAGTAAACTTTACTGACTACCTCATGGGTAAAGAACTGTAGCTAGAACTTCACATATTTCTCTTAATTCTCACACCAATCCTGAGAACCAATGTCCTAGATAAGACACTGAAGCTGAAAGAGAGTAAGTCATTTGCTCAGGTTCATATAGTAATGCTAGCTAATCTGACCCCACAGTCTCTGGTTCTTTCAGTTGTTTAGGAGGCAGAAGTGGTTTTCCTCTTTGGCATATAACATTACTTATTTTAATATAGTATCTTTGCTTCAGGTCTCCCAAGTGTTCTGGTTAGAGCTAGTCTACCCATAGCACAGCCTGAAAAGCAGAATAGGATTCTGACAATACACAAAATGAGTTATTCACAAGGCAATCACCTATGAAGATAAAAATACCAAACAATGTTAACTCAAGTGATAGTTCTTTTTTTAAAAAAAAATTTTCTTTGGTCTATCTCAAAAGATAGAAGGAGAATAAAGAGATTCTCCCTGAACCATGTCTATACTCACTGATGGTATGATAAAAGTATATATACTTATAATATTATATATAATTATATACATATACTTACATATTAAAACTATATATTTTATATATATACTTTATATATAACATATAAATATTTTATATAATATATAATATACTTATATATGAAAACTATATGTGTATATACTTATATATTAAACTATGTCAAATGTATATAATATATATAATTTAAAACTACAGTATATTGAAATACTACCTGAATGTTTTCCTTCCTTCATTAATTTAGTCATTCACCTAAAAATATTTATGCCTACTATGCCAACAACACCAAAGTGCAAAAGAGTGATGCAGTTCCTGTACTCACAGAGCTTACGGTTGTGGCAGATTGAAATCAATGGCCACACTTTTTTTTATATGCCACTCAACAAGAGGAAACATCTATTTCTCTGTGCTTTGAGTCTTGGCAGACCTACGGACATACTCTGACCAATAGGAAGAGGTAGAAGTACAAGTTCTAAACCCAGCTTATAAGAGGCCTTGCAATGATCATTCTTGCTTTCTTGGAACATTGTTACCATGCAAACAAGCCTGCACCAGCCACTGGAAAATCAAAGACCATGTGGAGCACAGACAGGCAGTCCTAGCTGAGGCTCCCTAGCACCAGCTGAGTAGCCAAAACAACTTCAGACAAACAGCAGTAGGGCACCAGCTGAGTAGCTACAAACAGTACCAGTCAAGTAGCCAAAAGACCTCAGAGATTAGCCAAAGCAGGCCAGGCCAGATGAACTAGGCAGCCCACAGAATTGGAAGAAGTAATCAGTATCTTTTAATTTGCTTTGTGGTGATTCTCCTTTTTTTTAATGCAACAAAAGCAAACTAATTCAACAGTTTAGGAAGTAGGAAGGCAAATAGGCAAAAACAATGCAATATAATATGTGTCATGGGAAATGGAGTATATGTGGGGTATGGGTTAATTATCTTGGTAATTCAGTGATCACACTTTGTTAGAGTTCTAGTCAAAGCCCACTTTGTACTCATTTTTTTACTCTATTAGTTTACTCAATTCCCAACTGAACAAAAGAGGCAAGTATAGTAGCCAAAACACTGTGGTGTATACATAAAATTAAAACTGTTAAAACTTTCAGAGTGCAAATATTAATAAATCACTGTTAGCTTTAAGCAGTGATACCTTTAAAACAAGTTAATGTTTTAAATCCCTTCACCTCTCTATCTAAAAGCAATTTCATCATTCCTGCTGCAATGAGCCCCATTTTTGACTTTGCAATTTCTGCCAATATATCATTTTCACACATATCTAGTCAATAACCAATTTCTGCTGATTATTTTCTTCATGTTGTTTCTTGGATCTGCCCCTTCTTTCCAACATCCTAGGAGAGACCTTTATTGCTTCACCTCTGAATGACAGTAATAGGCTCTGTACTGTTCTCCCTCACTGCAGGGTTTCTTCCTCTTCAAGAATCTTTCACATTATTGCCATATTACTTATAAGATAAAGTCCAAAGACTTCAACCACTCAGCACATTACATTATTATATTAAATCATATTATAAGCATCAACTACTACTATGTCCTAATCAAAACCCTCTATGATAGACAGATTAATCATTCAGAATGACTTGCTCATTTCCATCTTGTACATTTGTTCACAATATGCCCTGCATCCTGAAATGCCATCTTTTCTACCTCAATAGCATCCACTCTTCAAGGCTCTAGTTAAATCCAATTTCTGCCAAGAAATCCTATATTTTTCCTATAACCTATAGCTCTGTAGTCACATAATATCTATAAAACTTATATATACTGGTGATTTAACACTAGACAGCATAGTTTTACTGCAATCTAACTTTACCTATATATTTATCATCTTCTCAAATGGATAGAAGTTCCTAAAAAGTAGAGATGGGAGTTTTGCTTTTTTGTATTGGCAAATTGGAAAACACTGGTTTTTTTGTTTTTGTTTTTTAAGTAATACTGTATTAATTTTAAGAAGCACTGCAATTTCAAGTTTGTCAGAATGTCAAATTCTGGTTTTAGTTATCACAGATTAACAGTTATCTGAACCTCCCTCCTTGCTATACTCAACTGTGAAACCATACAAAATACCTAAAGATGTAATTTAAGACATTGGACTTCATAGGGCTATATATTATAAGGTGATTTAGGTAAATTCTAAATTCGCCCTCACTTTTTGACTGAGGACACTTTCCAAATCATGACACAGGGAGAGCCCAAAGAGAGAACACCAATGGGCAGAATATCACAAAGAAAGGCTTTACACAAAAAGCAAGAGCCTCAGAAATCTACATAGGGGTCATCTCTGGTCACTGGCCAAATACCAAGCTGTGATAGTGTAGGACAAGACCCTGCAAAACCTAATAGAAAACAGTTTCTGGGCATCTAAGAGCTAAATGGAAATTCCGGACATCATATAGTGCTGAGAGACACTGAATTTGTAATAATCCAGGGTGGAAAGACATCACTGAACATTGTGAGCATTCAGTTGTGATTTCAGAAAGACCACACGATGGGAGTTAGAAACATCCTAAAATAAGGGCTACTCTAAACCTATCTTAATAAAACTAGGTGATCCACCAGTAAATTCACTGCCTGTTACAACAAAGCTCAACACGTTTTAAAGGAAGACAAAAAACCCAAACTCTCCACAATGTACAATAAAACATAATGAAGCCTGCAAAGAAATAGGAAAATAAGACTGAGAAAAAAAATGACACAAATGACAAAAATAGCTAATAGCATATGGTCAATAATGTAAAGGAAAAGATGAACATAATGAGAGAACAGATAGGCAATATCAGCAAAGAAATGCATACCTTTCTTTTAAAAAAAAGAATGGAAATTTTAGAACTGAAATGAAATTTCACTAGATGGACTTAGCATATTTAACATTATAGAAGAAAGTACCAATAAACTAGAAGAAAGGTCAATAAAAACTACCCAAACTGAATTACAGAGAAAAAAAGGTAGAAAGAAGTGAACACAGCTTCAGTGACCTACAGGACAATATTAAGCAGTCTTACGTATTTGTAACATAGAATCCCAGAAACAGAAAAAAGACAGAAAAAATATTCAAAAAAATAACAGTTGAGAATTTTTATAAATTTGATTTTTAAAAAATCAACCCACAGATCCAAGAATCTCAAAGATCTCTCTGCTGGATAAAGACAAATAAAACCATGGTTAGGCATATTACAGCCAAACTGTTAAAAACTAATGCTAGAGAAAAAAAAAATCCCAAAATAGCAAAGGACAAGAAAGGACATATTATATATGGGGGAACAATTGATAAGCATGATAAGCATGATGTTTCTGATGATCATTAGATACAGTACAAGCTAGAAGGCAATGTAAAGGCACCTTTACAGTGATAAAAGAAAAAAAAAGATTGGTCCAGAATATTCAGCAAATAAATCTTTTAAAAATAAAGGTGAAATTGACATTTTCAAGTAAACAAGAGCTAAGAGTATTCATCACCAGCAGACCTGCTAAAAGACATGCTAAAAAGAAGTTCTTCATGCTGAAGGGAAATGATAGACACTTGGACCTGTATGAAAGAATAAAAAGCATCAATAATGATAAATATGTGAGTAAGCAGAAGACTTTTATTTCTTCTTTCTTAATTTCCTAAACAGACGATTGACTGTTCACAGCAAAACAAGACAATATATTTTGGAGTTTATAACATATAAAGAAGTAAAATGTATAACAATAACAGCACAGAAGGACAAACAGAAGTATAACATTGTCAAGTTCTCACATTAATTAGAGACTCAAAGATGCATATTGTAATAAACAAATACTTTTCTAAAGTGGTAAAGTAACCACTTTAGAAAGTAACCAATGAAGGAGATAAAATGGAATTTAAAACACTAAACTTGATTTATTCAAAGGATGGCAGGAAAGGAGAAAAAAAAGAATAAAGAAGAGATAGCACAAATAGATAATTAATTACCAAGATGAGAGACTTAAACCCAACATACCAGTAATAATATTACATGGGGCCGGGCGCGGTGGCTCACGCCTGTAATCCCAGCACTTTGGGAGGCCGAGGCGGGCGGATCACGAGGTCAGGAGATCGAGACCATCCCGGCTAAAACGGTGAAACCCCGTCTCTACTAAAAATACAAAAAATTAGCCGGGCGTAGTGGCGGGCGCCTGTAGTCCCAGCTACTTGGGAGGCTGAGGCAGGAGAATGGCGTGAACCCGGGAGGCGGAGCTTGCAGTGAGCCGAGATCCCGCCACTGCACTCCAGCCTGGGCGACAGAGCGAGACTCCGTCTCAAAAAAAAAAAAAAAAAAAAATAATAATAATAATAATATTACATGGAACTGGACTGAACTCATCTAGAAGACAGAGATGATCAGACTGGATTTTTAAAAAACAAGATTAAAGTATACGCTTTTCATAAGAATTGTACTTTAATATTAAAGACACAGTTTAAATGTATGAAGATGGTACACTGGGCTAGTTATATCATGCAAATGCTAAATATAAGAAAAGCAGGCTACATTCTAAAATATCAGATAAAGTAGACTTCAAGAGAATAAACATTACCAGGGACAAAGAGGAACATTGCATATAAGAATCAAAGGGCCAACTCATCAAAGAAAAACAATGATCTTATTGTGTACGCACCTATTAACAAAGCTTCAAAATACATGAAGCAAAAACGTGGCAGAACTAATGGAAAAAATGACAAATCCACAATTACAGTTAAGATTTTTAACATTCCTCTCTCGGTAATTGATCAAAGCAAATCAACAGAGTGTCAGGAAATGTCTTAGTCTGTCAATGCTGCTATAACAGAATAGCTGAGACTGGGTAATTTATAAAGAGCCCAGGTTTATTTCTCACAGTTCTGGCAACGGGAAGCCCAAGATCAAGGCACCAGCATTTGGTATCTGGTGAGGGATGCATCCTCTAGAGGGGAGGAATGCTGTGTCCGCAACTGGCAGAGGGCGGAAAGGCAAGAGGAGACAAATTTCCTCCAGCAAGCCCTTTTAAAAGGGCACCTAATCCCATCACTTCTTACAGGCTCTACCTTTTCCTACCATCACATTGGTCATCCTGTTTCAACACCTGAATTTGGTGGGGACACATTCAAACCATGGTAGGAAAGATATAGAAGGCTTAGGAACAAAACTGTCAATCAAAAGAACCTAGTGTGTCTACAACACCCCACTGAATGATTTTAGAGTCCACATTATTATTATTATTATTTTCTTTTTTTTTTTGAGATGGAGTCTCGCTCTGTCACCCAGGCTGGAGTGCAGTGGCGCCATCTCGGCTCACTGCAAGCTCTGCCTCCTGGGTTCACGCTGTTCTCCTGCCTCAGCCTCCTGAGTAGCTGGGACTACAGGCGCCCACCACAACGCCTGGCTAAGTTTTTGTATTTTTTTAGTAGAGATGGGGTTTCACCGTGTGAGCCAGGATGGTCTCGATCTCCTGACCTCATGATTTGCCTGCCTCGGACTCCCAAAGTGCTAGGATTACAGCCGTGAGCCACCGCGCCCGGCCCAGAGTCCACATTATTTTTAAATACACACGGAATATTCACGAAGATAGACCACGTCCCGAGCCATAAAGTAAGTCTCAATAAATTTCAAAGAATTGAAAGCATGCGGAATATGTTATCTAAATACAGTGGAATTAAATCAGAAACCAGTGATAGAAAAATATCCCCAAAAAATCCTGAAATGTATATAATTAAACAAAACTGTTAAATTGGGGGAGAAAAAAGTGCCTCTTAGAATCAATAGACTGTAGAATACATAACCTCACCCCCCTGAAAGAAGCATCTAAATTATTGCTGTATCATATTCACTATAATCATGGGGGACAGGGATTTTCTTAGAGAAGTGATTAGAATGCATTCCAACGTGTTCCATAAGAAAGAAATTTTTGCCTATGGTTGTCTTCTTAATCATAGCTGACTGAAATTCATAAGATCAAAAGATGTTTTGGGCATTTTAAAATTATATTGTAATTAAGAGTAATTTATATCATACTCAAGTAAAATTTATTTTTATTAATACTATGTTAGGACAAATTCTGCCAAGAATAACTTGTAGAGCTAGAGAAGTTCTCTAAGGATTATAATAAGTTAGATAAAACCTTAAATGTTATAATTAAAGTCACTCCTGAGATATTGCTGCCTACCATTTCCACATAAAAACTGCTTCAATACCTCTGTTCATGGTGTGAGGTCTTTCATTCAGATGGCATTATAAAGGGACTTGACATACTGGACTTTGTTCTGACCTTTTGCGTCTACATTTCTAATGCTACAGTTTTCTTCTTCCCTAAAAACATAGTATCACAGAATTTTAATTTTGATATATAGCCTCTGCCTTGAGTACCATTTTGGAATATTCATATTTTCAGACTGAGGAAGAAGTAGACCTCATGCATTATGAATTAGAGATTAGTATTCTTTTGTTCAAATACAGAGAAACTGATCCAGTTCTCTTGAATCTGAATATGACTTTAGATTTTTATTCTATTAATCCTCAAAAATCCATAAAAATATGTCCTTTATGTTTTAAAAGAAAAAGAGTCATTATGTGAACCAGCAATGTTTGGTCCTATGAACATGGGTACAATCACCCTGGAGGGACAAAGGGTTCCTTTGAAGAAATAATCACGGCGAAGGCCTTCCGATTACACATACACAAATATAATAATTTGCAAGCCATCAAAATCAGGCTCCATGAAGCCCTTTCTACACTGACCACTCATACAGATAAACGCTTTAACATATACATGGCTGGGTGTGGTGGCTCACACCTATAATCCCAGCACTTTGGGAGGTCCAGGTATTTGGGGACAAGCCTTGGCAACATAGGGAGACCCCATCTCTACAAAAATTTTAAAAAGTAAAATAAAATTAAAATTTTGCCAGGTGTGGTGGTGCATGCCTGTAGTCCCACCTACTTGGGTGGCTGAGGTGGGAGGATAGCTTGGGACCAGGAAGTCGAGGCTGCAGTGAGCCATGATTGCGCCACTGCATTCCAGCCTGTGTGACAGAGCGACACCACATCTCAAAACAAACAAACAAAACAAAACAAAACAACACACATACAGATGTCAATGTATAAACTGAGTGGGGAGAAATAGGTGAACTATACCTCTCTCTTCTATGTCTGATAACATCAGATGTGAATACTTCTTTCTCCCATGTCTCTGTCAGTGACCCTGGCTACTTGGTATTAAGCAAAATATTTACTTTTACATTCATAAGTAATAAGTAAATGAGAATGTAATCTGTTTTCTATTTTTTACTAACAACTGAGGAAAAACAGTATTTTGTTTAGTGAGGAATATCTGAAATGAACTGAGCTTAGAGCCCAACTGACACAGCAGAGTTCCCGCTGGTGTGAAGCTCATTATTAGCACCTTGGAATAATGAATTCATTCAGTCAACGCTCCATTGTCTATGTGGATATATATGAGTCACAGAATTGACATACATATAATCCAAAAGTTGTTTGTGAAATCTTTTAAATGACAGTGGAGGGAAGGGGTCCTAACTAAGAAAGGGCAGATAGGATGCTTTTGCAGTGCTGCCAGTGTTCTATTTCTTGACCACCCACTAGGTTAAACGTGTTCACCTTGAGATAAATCACTAAAGTTGCAGCATTAATATTTGTGTACTTTTTTAGCTATGGGATTCTTCAACTTAAAAAAGGCTAATGTAAAAATAAAGTTTCTCTTTCTATTTTTTTTTTCCTTTTTTGAGACAGTCTTGCTTTGTTGCCTAGACTGGACTGCAGTGGCACAATCGCTGCTCACTGAAGCCTCAACCTCCCAGGCTCAAGTGAACCTCCTACCTCGGCCTCCTGAAGAGCTGGGACCACAGGCATGTGCCACCATGCCCAGCTAATTTTTAAATTTTTTGTAGAGACTGGGGTCTCGCTATTTTGTCCATGCTGGTCTCAAATTCCTGGGTTTAAGCAATCCTCCCTTCTCGGCCTCCTGAAGTACTGGGATTACAGATATGAGCCACTACGCCCAGCAAGAAAATTTTAAAAACTGAAAAGACTACATGATTTAAGCTCCATGAATTTCTGGATTTCTGTCTTGTTTGGCACTGTGTGCCTTGTCCTTAGAACTGTGTCTGGCACATAGAAAGGACTCAACATATATTCAAATAAATCACTGTTAAAGAAATAAAACCCTACTTATGTTAATCAGCTTGATTTAATCATTTCACAATGCATATGTATATCAAAACATCATCTTGTGTACCATAAACATATATAATTTCTGTCAACTGTACTATACTAAAGCTGGAGGTCAAAAAAAAGGAAGGAAAAAATAATAAAAAAATAAAAATCACACTATACGAAGATGGAAGAGCTTCTATAAACAAGCAATGCTTCCCCTACTCCACCCCTCCTCATCTCCAATCCTGCTTTTTAAAGGCTGACTTTTTAACACTCTTTTTCTTTTTAGTTTACCTGGTGGTTCTTTTCATATCTCCAAGATATGCTTCTGTCTTTTTTCTTGATGTAGGACGTTGTGTTCCTTCTAGGAAGGAACAGAGGAGGATTCAGCTCATACTACCACCACCTCCCCTTCTTCTCCCTCCAAATATAGTTATAATTAGTGAGACCTTGAATCAATCTAGCATTTAAATATTAAACTTTACATTCAATTTTTGTCTCAAGTTTTCCATAAATTTCTTTGGAGAAATATGAATGCGAGAGACTGAATAATAATGAAAAAATGCAACACCAGAAACATCTGGATTTGAGAAAGAACCTACACTGAGACCAAAAATTATAACTTATTATCGACAAAATGGGCAGTTCCTCATATTATCATACTGATAATCAAGAATTGGCTTGGTACTTACTCACATGCATTTTTCTTAAGTTGACCTATCTTGATATGGCAAGAAAATCTGAAGTCTTCCAATTAATACAATTACATCAAAGAAACACATAATTTTAGAGAGAGATGCTCATTTTGTCAAACCTCATTTTTTTTACAGAACAAAAATAAGACTCAGAGAAGTTAATTAACTTGCTCAGAGCCACACAGTTAATTGGCAGCACTGTCTCTTGATATCTTGTTCGGTATTTACTTATTCAGCAAACACACCAGGTGCTGTGCAAATAAAAAGTAAATAAGATGAACTCCTTGCCCTCAAGATGTTTCTTTTCTAGGACCCACAGGAATTCAGGAGAACACAGAATGGGGGCACATAACTCTTTATGGAAAGGGGAGGGAGAAAACAGAAAGGCAAGTGAGAGAAATGGTGATGCTCAAACCAGGCCTAAGGGTTTAGAAGTTAGCAGGATGGCTAGGAAAGAAAAGGCACTTCTCATACAGGGAGGGCATAAGCAAAGGCATTCAAAGTCAGAAACTGTGGATAGGAAACTGAAAGTCGGTGTGGAGGATTTGAGATTAGGGGATGGTTGGGGAACACCGGAGGGAGTAAGGGGGTGAGGTGTGCGAGAATCAGCTTGTGAAGACAACTGGGATTCACTGCAGAGACATGATCCGATTTACACTTTAGAAAGCTGACCATTATGCGAAATGAACGATGGGTTAGAAGCAGGAGACAATGCAAAAATAAAATCTAGAAATTCAACGAGGAAGGGATGGATTCTGGAGATGAGGAGGCTGCCTTGATAGAACTTGGTGACTGACTGAAGAAGAAAGCTGAATGTATAAGAAGGGCTTCTAGATTTCTGGCATGAGAAATCTACTGAATGGACCCTAACAGGCTAACAACCGCATTCCCTAATGTGCTGGGGATACCAATCTGTGCAAAGGGGTGGGGATCAAGGATGATGAGAAATTTAATATTGGCATATAGATGTGAAGATACTTAAGTGCCTCAGCAATAAAATCATTTCTGTAGCTTGCCTTGAATGACTGGACTCCTACAGTTCAACAGATACTCAGTAAATATAGCACAATTACTCCAAAAGTCATCTATTTCAACACAGGATTGAACTACCTCTCTAAGCAACTTGGATTGACTCCTATTTGGCTATTACAGAAGACTTTCTAAGAGAAATGGGATACTTCCCCACCCATCACAAAAAAAGAATTGTAACTGCAGGGTAAATGATTATGTAATGGTTTAAAATAGGAAATATTTTTAAAGTTTCTAAGGATTGCTTTTTAAATTTGGTTAAATGTCTTAAATGGGAAATCGAGTAAATATATAAAGAGACACCATAAAGACATTATCTCAAATTAACGCTATGATATGGTATGAGAGTGAGTAAATGCATTTGACTATTGTTGGACTGCTGTGCTTTTGATTTTAATTTCCCAGGTACTTATATTTGCTTGATCGCAACTGACTTCTAAAGTGTTTTTTCATAATGTGGTGAAAAGTCCATTCTTACCAGTTTAGCAAAAATATGATAATCCATTATGAAATGTCTGCCGAAAGGTTCTATCCAAGGGCAATCTCTCTTACTTCTTTCATTATGACCCTCCATGAGATGAGATATACAATTTATCTCATTGTATTTCTCAACCATGAGATATATGATTTGTCCTTTTATTTATAATTCTCATTCACTTTCTAGATTATTCTATCTTCACATTCAAGTTGATAACAAAGTTTAAGTCTTAGTTTTATAGAGGACTCTTCCCCCTAAATCTTTATGCTTTCATTATCCTTTGCTTTGACCAATCTTTCAAAAGACTCAGGTTTAAAATCACATACACATATACAAACGATGCTTAACCTATTCACCTTATCATGTATTAGCAGTATAATAAATGAATGCATTAAATGAATAGGGTAGAGAAATGGCTATATTTTTGGTTCATTTTAAGCCATCTCCTCTGAAAAGTAGTTCCCCAGGTTTTTTGCTTGGTTTGAAATTAGCAGTATGAACACACTAAAAATTTTTTTCCTATTTCCTAGATTGTATATTCAGTTTTCAGTTTTGATTTTACGTAAATCAATTGCTGATTTAAGTACTTTCCTGACTATCCAACTGAGCAAAAAATTAAGTGTAATTTAATTTTAATTCTTAACATTGCTTTCAACTTCTAATTTCCTCTACATAAATAGCCACCCACACATGCTTCTTCCATCATTCCACATCATCATCATTTTAATTTTATAAATCATGAAGGTTCTTGTATTATATGCAGATGCTATAAATTGTAAGGTATTCTCCTCTGGCCTCATTACCAAGTCCATACCCCATTTAAAAGAAAAAGACACTGAAGGTTATAGATCAAGTCTTAACAGTCAAACACCAATACATGTTTAAGCCTTACAAAATAAGCCTATACTTAAGAACTGGTAGACAAAGAGGTTCTTCAAATATCAATAAAACATGATTTGGGAATTTGTGTTAAAACATCCAAAAATAGTTATTTTCTCATTCCTAAAATTCTTGTCATGGAAGACATATTTTCTAAGACAATTAAGTAATCTATTTTCACTATTTAAATGAACTGCAGGCTTGGGCTTAGAACCAATAAATAGGTTGATTAGGGAGTCTGTCATCACTTTTATGTTTTCTTTTTTACATACTTGTTATATGGTAGAATTGACGTCTGGGATAAAGAGGGATAGGTGTGCCCTAACACTGAAATATGGTATAGTATTTTCAGTCCAAATGACATGATAAATAATAAAAATAATTTTTTGAAATAACTGCTTTTAACAAATAAAAGTCATTAAAAACAAATTGCTTTTTAAAATGGGACATTATAGAGGTATGCTCAACTTTATGCAGGTCTTATACTTTCTTTAGTTCAAGTTAGTGAAAAGTAAATCCTAGAAATATTAGTGAGCCTCATTTATCAAAAAGGTTCACCTTGGCCAAGCTAGGTGGCTCACGCCTGTAATCCCGGCACTTTGGGAGGCTGAGGCGGGTGGATCACTTGAGGTCAGGAGTTTGAGACCAGCCTGGCCAACAGAGCAAAATCCCATCTCTACTGAAAAAAAATAAAAAATAAAAAATAAATTACAAAAAAAAGGTTCATCTCAAAGAAAAATCTAATAGCTTTATTTTCCAATATGAAATGCATGAATTGTCCATACATTTCTACTAGTAGCGTAAGGATTATAACAAAGTTAGAGCCTTGTTTGTTTTGTTTATGCTTCTCTTCATGCCCAGAAGCTGCAGACTGAACTCGTAAGGGAACACACAAAAATTTATCTTTTTCTGGAAGCCATCTCATGGGGAAGTCACAGGCAGAGTGCCTGGATTATTTTATTATTTTAACAAACACTGCCGCTATTAATCTTCGGAGTACTTTTCAACAATGACGGCTTTACAGTGCAATTGTTATAGATGTTAACATTTAATTTCTTTCTCATTTTGCTGGCAACAACAAAAAATATTATATATACATATTTGTAACTAATATATATTAAATATAATTATATTAGTTACAAATATGTATTTATACATATATCATTATATTTAATATACATATTAGTTACAAATATGTATATATATAACCTTTTTTGTTGTTGCCATATCTGTATATGTAACTAATATATATCAGTATATTTAATATACACATTAGTTACATATATATGTAACTAACTTTTAACTTAATTTTTAAACTTGAATGTTTGTTGTGAGTGATGTGAGGGGAGATCAGGGTCAGAACCAGAACTAAGTGGCAGCAAAGCAGAATGAACTGAAGTGAGCAGCGCTCAATAAAATGGTTGTTTTCCCACAGGACTGCATTAGGGTTCCCAGGGGGCACAATGACACTAGGACAGGGAGTATTGGCATTTTGCTCTTTTCTAGTCTAAATGGTATATTTCATTTAAAAAACTGTGTCCACAAAAAAATAAATGGTTCAATTCAGAAATTCAAGGCCAACTTTTAAAAAATGCTACAACTGAAAAATAATGAACAAACTGTGCTAGGATGAGGCCCCAGCTTCTATAGTGTTGGAAAAATCATTAAAGTATGAAAGTGGAAAGTACAGTAAACCCTGCTAACTGCCTGCTTGTTCCTGAGGTTTGCCATCTAGTAACTTTTAACAGTCACAGATTTATGGGTGATAGGTGTTTAATTCTAGAGGTAACATAACAAAATAACATATTTTGTTTTAACTTTTTGGTTGATTAATTTAGATAAGTGTTAACAATTCTTAGATTACCAAGCAGTGCTTGTAGCATTGTTTCTTTTTTGGAGGTATTAGTATTTGATATTACAGTTTCAATGGAGTGTACAGAAATTCTAACTTCACCAAAAAATTACATTTTTCAATTTTACAAGCACCTTTTATCATTCCAATTACTTTATAATCTTGCTCTGGTGCCTCTA
This sequence comes from Homo sapiens, assembly GCF_000001405.40. Lineage (NCBI taxonomy): Eukaryota > Metazoa > Chordata > Mammalia > Primates > Hominidae > Homo > Homo sapiens. The sequence continues at coordinate 102,506,131 of NC_000004.12, read as the reverse complement.
AAACTTTGAAACTAAAAGGCATTTTTTTTCTAGTTCATAAATGCCTCTTTCAGAATGAAATGTTCCCCTTTTGGAAGGCGCCAGATACTTTTTAATAAATTATTTGTTCTAGTAAACTTCAAGTGGTCTTTAGATAAGATTTCCATAATATCTAAGACACAAGGACTATTTTGTGCTCCTTTCTTTCCAGAAGGCAAAGCAAAATAATGTAATTTTTGTTCCTTATAGAAGATGGCTGTCCATTTAAAAAAAAATTTTGCAACAACTTCATATCATTCATTCATTTAACAGTTAATGATTGCTTACTATGTACCAACAAGTACAATGCTAAGCATCAGATATTTCTTTCGTCAGTATTGATTAGATATTATTTATTTTTAGTTAAACTAGAGTATTTGATTCTCTCAAACAGCTTTTTCTTTATTTCATTTTTTATAATTTTGGCTATTTTAAAGAATAAATTCTTTTCTAAAGCTTAAGCAGTCAAAATTTGTCACAGTTTAAACTAATAGGATCCATAGATGAACTCAAGTCTGTTGATATCTACTGAAGGCATGGGTCAAAATAAAAGCTATTTTAAGGTTTCTGGATTAATGGTGAAAGATGAATGAAAAATAATAAGGCAATTTGTAATGGATAATTAAACCAAATATATCATTATTCTAATTTCAAAAACAGGCAATAAATTAAAGCAGATGAAATTTGTATTACTGATAATTAATTCTGTTTGTTACTACAGAAAATATGACACAATAAAAATTGTTTTCTTTTTAAAATGTAAAATGCACTATTTTTATTATTAGTACTCTAAATTAAACAAATATTTTCATCCATAATCTATCTTCTGAGATTTCTATAATCTTTAACAAATCACATCTTATGTGACTCTTATTCTGTACAGAACTGTCAGGCTTTAAATTATTTGAGGTGTAGCAATGCAATTTGCACAACTTATTTTCTAAACTGTTGGCTGATCTTCAAGGCCAGGTCAACAACCTCCGGAAATGTAAAAGACAGTATATTAATTTGCACCCAGGAACAACCCCTAATACAGCAGAGACCAAAGGTATGAAGCAATTTCATCATCATTAAAAGAATGTTACTACTTTTTTCTCTTTTTTTCTTCTAAAAGTGAGGCACTGGATACTAATTAATGAAATACTACAAAGATAAAAGGCTTGGTTATGTTACCAGAACTATTAACTGTCCAAATTATGTGGTTTCAAATATTAATCTTTTTTGATTAAAAAAATTCACAGTCAAGGAGCCAAACTGACTTGCAGGACTATGCCAAAACGTTCAAACCTTTCTCCCTGAGGCTGAGTACCTTCAGTTCTTCCAAACTGTCTGTCTCCAAAGTAGTGACAAAATTCAAAGAGAGATCATATGCTCTTGATGGTTTATTGCTGACCTCTAAGAACACTACAAGTGAGTTCAGTATTTATGGGAGGTGCAAGAGTGCAAATGAGAACTAATTCCCAAAAAGCAGAGTAAATTGCTCCAGTATGGTCTACTGTTTACCAAGACGTAGTCATCAATTAATGCTGATTAGACACAAATGTAGATGTAGGAGCAGAACATCTTAACATATCCTCTAGCACTAACTTCTATTTTTCCTTCTCCTTCTCTTCTAATATAACAATCCCACTACTGTAGACAATTCACCTTGTAAACAGAAAACCAACAGACCAACCGAATAAAACAAACTTCCTACTAAAAGTAAGAAAATTAATGAGAAATTTTGCATAGACATCCATTCCTGTTAATGTGATTTCTGATCAATCTGTGGACCAGAAGAGCATAATCTGAGAATTTACTCTATTGGTTATACAACAGTACTGTGCATTTCCAGATACACTTCCTACTGCAGTCAATTCTATACTCAGAATAGCACATCTACTAAGACCCGAAGATGCAAAAGATGACATTTTGAGTACTTCATCAAAAATCCATACAGCAACTCAGATACAATTATTTTACTGTTTGAAAATATCGACTACTTTTCTTACTTCTCCCAAGTTCAAACCAATTGAAGGTTATGAAGTAACCACTTCCCCCCAGAAGCCAGAACTTTCACCTCTTCTGAACAGAGAAATACCTCTCATAAATTAGGTAAAAATAAGGTCTTGCTGATGGAATGATAGTCCAACATTCATGTAGCTGCCAATTCCCTATCTAGACCTCGTATCTACCACAATGAGCAATCCCTGAAAGTCAAGGTAGTAACTTACTTAATCAATTATCTGCAAGTCTAAAAGTGTAGTTAAAACAACCTGCATAAATATTAGTTTCTCAAACTACTTCAATTTGTTTCCAGGAACAGTAACAACAGAAATGTAAGGAATATAATCACTAAATCTAAAATTCTGCCTATTTCAGATTAATTGTGCTTTAATCAACTCAATCAACACAGATCTTGTTTAAGAGGTAGAGTAAAAAGGAAGTGCAAAGATCAAAGCAATGCTTACAAAGGGGAAGGACTATTTTTGTATGTATACCCCCAGTATTTACTATCTGGGTTTGAAAAACACGGGCATTTACTCAGCACAAGTGAGTGCCAATGCCTAACATAAGAATGAAATTTCAGCAAAAAGATAATAGATTTTCACATCACCACCAACCCCTAAAAGGATTATACTACCTTCTTTAAAAAGTCTCAAAGAGTTTAGAAGTGGTTTGCTTTTCACTGCAAGCAGCTTTTCGGTTCCAGTATTAAATGTACATATAACGTGTGTTCCTTTGTGTTCAAGTTTGTCCAGTAGGCTGCAGCCCAGGAAGACATTTTATCTAAACAAGCAGGGGAGGGCATTTAGGAATTGCAGGTGTATCAATATGGATGAATAATCTCAGATTCCAAGTCTCCATTAATCGTACATGTTCTTTCCATTTTAGCAATTCAATTAAATCATGAATGTAAAATTCTACAGGAAACAAATCTTTTTATTTCCTGTCTTCCCAAGTTTATAAACTCAAAAAAGTACATTGCTTCAAATTTAAATACATACATTTAAATACATAATTCCTATAGTGCCTCAAACAGTAAAAGGATTCATCTCTAGAAAGCACAATATTAAAATCAGAAAAACAACATACTTTAGTTTTAAGTTTCCCTTTTAAAGTTTTAACAAACACGAATGCAGTTTAAACTGCTTGACAATATTCAGTTGTGGGATTCTGCTAGAAAAAAATTATTGAATATCTTGACCCTAACCTTTACTATTTACTAAAAGATCACCAGTATGTAGAATATTTTGATGCCAGAGCTATTAAATGTTTTAGTAATACCATAAGCATTTTTTCAGATTATGAGCTTTATAAAAAAATCTTTGAGTTAAATATGGTTATTTCATAAACTGTAATGCTGAAAACCTCTACTTAACAAAGTCCATGAACATGTCAATCTTGATAATTAAATCCTGTATCATTAAGTCCCATTTGAGTTTCAGGATAAACCAGCAAGTCAGGGCAAACATTCCCTGGTGTCTGTTTTTAAGGACCATAGAAAAACTTGCATTTAGGATAGGCCTTGTTTTTACATTATTTTTGTTTCAGCGGTCATGCATAATGCATGGTGGCACTGTCCAAGAGTTTTACATAATCAAGTCTAAAAAGTGCTCTAAGTATCCAGGTAGGTAATTTATTTTCTCTCTCAAATGCCAGGCCCCGGAGGATCAGAATCAAGTCCTATAGCAGGTGACTATATCGTGTGTGTGTGTGTGTGTGTGTGTGTGTGTGTGTGTGCGCGCGCGCGCGCGCACGGAGGGGGGGAGGGGGGAGAGAGAGAGAGACAGAGAGCGAGCCAGGTTTCTTTTAGAAGTAGGAGAGGGATGAATAGACTCTCCTATTCAATTCTGGGGAGCTGGGGAGGGCTTTCCCAGCCAAGAGGACTGACAAGCACTTCTGCTTTCATTTCATGGAACGCCCTTAGGTGAAATCTGGTTCTGCACTGCACCAACCACCTTCCCTCTCTCCTCCGCGCCGCAGCGCACTCCAACCTTCTCACCATCCCCCAGGTGGGGCTGGGGTTGGGGATTTTAAAAGTTTGTAAGAGTTCCCCTCCGGTTCGCGTTCCCGCCCCGCGGAGGGACGTGAAGAGAAATGACCGCCGGGCGGCCGCGGCCCTTCGGCCGACTAGCCCCTGCGAGGTCCGGATGTGTCTTTCCCCGCTGTCGCTAATCCCATGTGCCTCTCAGCTACTGTCAACCTCCTCCCACGGTCTAGCCCAGCGGTTAGCGCAGGAATGAGGAAGTCCGAGTGGGGCTGGAGGGGGTGCGGAGGGCTGGGCGGCAGGACTTGGGCCACGCGTCCCCTGCCGGGCCCCCACTCGCCCGAGTTTGGCTTACCCGGGTGGCGAGTCCGCGTTCGGCCTCCTGGCGCGGGTGGGCTCTCCCTCCTAAGCGGCGCGGGCCTGCCGGCTGGAGAAGGAAGAGGCGGCGGCAGGCCGGAGCCCGGGCGGGCCCGAGTGCGGGTCGGGGCGAGCGGGAGCGCGGCGGGGCCGGGCCAGGCCAGTCAGCGCCGCGCCATGGCCGCAGCGCGGGCGGAGGGAAGCGCAGGGCGCGCGGTGGCCGGGCGGCGGCGCCGCCTTACTGGCCGGGCGGCTGCGGCCTCGGCGGCGCTGGGCTCCGGGAGCGGGGCCGGTGGCTGCGTGCAGGCCGAGGGCTGCGGCGGCTGGCGGCCCGACCGACGGGAAGGGCAGGGGAAGCTGTCAGCGCGTCGCCGGGCCGCTCCGGTGGCGAAACCTCCTCTTCCTGCCCCGGCTCGCTGGTGCACTTCTCTCTCTTTCTGTCTCGCTCACTCTCTCACTTCCTGGCTGGAAATTCCCACTGACGTCGAGAGAGCATACAGACAGACGGACACACGCGCGCACGCAGCGGGGGCGGGAGGTAGGGTCGCTGCCGGGGGTGGGGGAAGCCCGCACTTCTAGGGGCGCTGTGCGCCCCCGGCCCGGCCTTGCCGCTCGCCTCGGCTCCCGCCCCTCGGGGCCGCTTCGGGGCGCCGGGCGAGGGGCGCGCGTTAGGCGGCCTGGACGCCGCGGCCCCTGCGGGGCTCTGGCTTCCTAGCAGGGCGCTCCCGAATCCCAAGGGCTGGAGCCGGTAGGGAAGCCCCCAGGAAGCGCCTGCCGGGCCCAATCAATGGTCGGGGAACGCAGGCAGCACGGAGGCGGCGGCGGTGGCAGTGCCGCTGATAGAGTCATGCGGTCCATAGCCCCTAAGGGCAGGCCCGAGCAGCTGGAGGGTCGGCATGGATCCAAGCATGCCAGATATAAAAATAAAGCTCATCTGTATATTCCATTTAAGCGTGTCTCAGTTACATTCACATCTCTTCACAGATTAAACTACAATTTCGTTATCATAAACGACTTGTGCCCAGTAAAGTATAACCCTCTACTGGTTTTTGGTGCGGTCTTAAATCTCCTGGTTATAGAGCAGTTACTCAGAATGTTCATCTACAAGGCATTGTTAGGCCTTTATGATAATTACTGTGGATAGAATTATAGTGATGGTGGTAGCAATGGTTTTGGTTCACAGCTCATAAAATACTGATCTGGCAGAGGGGAGTTTTCTTTTTCTCTGAAGAGACCGCTACTGGCACCCACTGACAGGCCTCCCAGTGGCCACCATTCACTGGCATCTGAGCTGCTTTAGTGCTGGGCACTGTATTAGGTACAGGCTGGGGATACCTTCGGGTGGATTACCTCCCCACATAAGAAAGCTTGAGCCGAAATATATATTTTAGAGCTCATTGTTTCACTACTGGGTGGAGTGACAACTGAAAGCTTAGCTTTAAAACATCAGTAATCAGGTCCTCACCAGGCAATATTGCAGTGGCATTTAGATTGCTTATGGCATGTTCATCCTAGTCCTTTCGTGCCCACTCTCCATCCTCCTCCTCCAGTAGGTTATAAAAACCTTCTTGGTGGAGTGTTTTTCTGGAAAAAAAAAATAAACAAAAAAAACCCACACACACAAAAACCCAGCGATCCATTTGATTGCCTATGAGGTGAGTCTCCGAGGCGACCTTGGAGGCCCCAACAGTCGACCTTTAAGTGATCTCATTTAGCTCCGGGAGGCTGAGCAGCTGGAATTTAGAGGATCCATAAAGACTGAACACAATGACTTTTTAAGAAATTCTGTGAGCCGGGTGCGGTGGCTCACACCTGTAATCCCAGCACTTTGGGAGGCCAAGGCGGGTGGATCCCCTGAGGTCAGGAGTTTGAGACCAGCCTGACCAATATGGTGAAACCCCATCTCTACTAACAATACAAAAAAATTAGCCGGGCGTGGTGGCGGGCGCCTGTAATCCCAGCTACTCCAGAGGCTGAGGCAGGAGAATCGCTTGAACCCTGGAGGCAGAGGTTGCAGTGAGCCAAGATTGCGCCACTGCACTCCAGCCTGGGCGAGACAGAGCGATACTCTGAGAAAGAAAGAAAGAGAGAGGGAGGGAGAGAGGGAGGGAGGGAGGGAGGTGTGAGCATACACACTCTACTTTTCATTCTGCAAGGGGTGGCAGCCCCATTACCAAAAGATAGATAAATACAATTGTTATAAGAGTAGAGCCAGTGTGACATATTTGGGAGTAAAAAATGAAGAGCGTTAATTACTGAAAAGGATTAAATCAAACTCCAAACTCAAAATGATTCCATAAAATGAACTTAAAATTCAGGGTAGGGTGTTGAGCAGGCATATTTTCCTGGGGCTGCTGTAAAAATTTACCACCGACTGAACAGCTTACAACGGGAATTTATTCTGTCACAGTCCTGGAGCCTAAAATTCTGAACTCAAGGTGCCATTAAGGCCATGATCCCTCTGAAGGCTCTAGGGAAGAATCCTTTGCCTCCTCCTAGCTTCTGGTAGCTCCAGCAATCCTTGCCATTCTTGGCTTGGCTGCAACACTCCATTCTGTGCCTACATTGTCACATGGTCTCCTTCCCCGTGTTTCCTTTGTGTCGCTATATTCAACTCTCCCTCACCTTTCTTTTATGAAGACACCAGTCATTGGATTTAGAGCCCACCCCAATCCAGTATTACCTCATCTTAACTTGATAACATTTGCAAAGATCCTAGTTCCAAATAAACTCATGTTCACAGGTACCTGTGGTTAGGACTTGAACATATGTTTTGGGGGGATGTAATTCCATGCAGCACAGCAGGCAAAACTATAAAAGCTTTTTGGCTTGCTGATTAACCCTCCTCCATTCCTGCTTTGTTACCCAACATTTTCTCTACACTGTACAAACCTGCTTCCAGGAATATCTCTTACAAATTCATCCATCCTAAGGTGTCAGAAGGTATTTGCCATTATCAGGCTACGAAGAGGAAAAAAATGCCTCAATGTGGAATTTCAGACATCAATATTGTCTAAAAGACAAGTTATTTTGTGTTTGTCACTTGTCTTAGTTCATTTGTGTTGCTATGGCAGAATACACAAGACTAGGTAGCTTATAATGAAAAGAGGTTTATTAGGCTCACAGTCTTCAGACTGTACAAGAAGCATGGCACCAGCATATGCGTCTGGTGAGGGCCTCAGGCTGCTTCCACTCAATGGAAGGCAAAGGCGGGTGGTGTGTGCAGAGAGATCGTATGGCGAGAGAGAGGGGAGAGATGCCAAACTTTTTAGCAACCAGCTCTCATAGGAACTAATGCAGTGAGAACTCACTCATCCTCTCCTCCTTGCAGGGAATAGCATCAATCTATTTGTGAGGGATCCACCTCCATGACCGAAACATCTCCCATTAGGCCCCACCTCCAAAATTGGGGTCACATTTCAACATGAGGTTTAGAGGAGACAAATACCCAAACCATAGCATCACTAAATCATTGAAACTACACAAATTTCCCTTCTCATGAAGCTATTTTGGAAATACCAGTGTGGAGAGAATTCTGAGGTTGAGATCTGTGTAGTGTGTTCATTGGCAATGAGAACATAGGAAAAGTATGTCTTCTTTTTAATTGCCTCTGAGTAAAGGTGACACAACACTTCTGCCCACATTCCATGGCCCCACTTAGATGCAAGAGAGCAGGGAACTACAGTTCTTCTGGTTGGTTAGGAGGTTGAAATAGGTCGGCTAAGCATATGGTTAATACCTGCTATACACGTATTCACTTATTTGGTTGTCAGTCATATAAAGTGGATCACCATTATAATCCCCATATTTACAGATGAAAAGTTGAATAATTTTCCTAAGGTTTCATAATTAGTAAATAGAAGGAGAGTCAGGATTTGAACCTAACAGATTTGGCTCCAGTGTGCATGATATTAACCACCACACTAAACTATTATCCAATGATATAAAAAGGAGCATGTAAGAGATTTTTAGAAGATGAGGTCAACAGGACCTGTTTATAGATTATATATGCAGTTTGAGTGAGAGGAAGACTCATAGATAGCTCTGAGTGTTCTAGTCTGAGTGATTAGAATAGTAACACTGTAACTGGGAAAAAATCTGTGGGAATGTAATGCATTCCCACATACCAAACATACATGTAACATGTAAACATACATATTTTAGACATGTTTAGTATGACAGATTTAGTGAGATGTCCATATGGAAATGACTAATAAATATGCAATTGAAAACTCAAGGCTGCTGCTCAGAGAGACATGGCGTTGGAAATGGAAACAACTGCAAAGATGCGATAGTTGTCAGGAGAGTGTTTCTAAAACATTAGTGGTCAAAGAGTTAGGAGACAAGGGGCTAAGTACAGGAATTCGAGGAATGACTTTATTTCTGGGGTTGGTATGAGAGAGAGATGCTTAAAAACTCCTGCAGTGCCATCAAAAGTGGGAGGAAAGCTCAGAAAGCCAGAGAAGAGAGAGTTTAAAGGGTATGAGAGCTCTCAACAGTGTCAGATACTGCAGACAGTTCCTAAAGGATGGAGAGGGGAAGAGACAGTTGACTTTGTGAATTATAAAATCCTAAGCCCGGCCTCGGGGCATGGCTGTGCAGCCAAGGGCAGAAACCAGTCTTTCTTCTGTTCACTCTGCTCGCTGTCTTGGAGGAAAAGGGAACTTTATTAACTCTCAAATAGCACTGATACGCAGTGGCTGTGGTCTTACATGACTTTTTCAGATGTGTTTCAATATAATGAGGAAAACCAAGAATGAGGAGACTGACAAGTGAGTGGGAAATGGGGAAACGAGGGCATAAGTGCAAAAGAATCTCACCAAGAGTTTGGAGTGAGAGGGAAGGAAAGAGGAGTTAGTGTGATTCTTCATTTATTTGACTAACACTTATGGAGTGCCAGAGTTAATGGAAGTTTGGAAAGGTGGAGAGATAGTTTAACGAGTTAATAGCGTTAATAACAGAAAGATTAATGAGGGAGCCGGAGCCAGAAGAAAGGAGACTGTGCGGAGCTCGTAATGTAGGTGAGGAGGCAGGAACAAATCTGCCTGTGTGAGATATGAGGAGGAAGAGTACAGAGAAGAGAGGCCCCAAGAAGAGGGGGAGGATTAGGCTATAATCATCAGCTGAAATACACTAAACCAAAAATGAGAATAAACCCTTAGAGAATGTGTTTGTTAGGGCTGCCAAAACAAAATATCTCAGACTGGGTGGCTTAAACAACAGAAATATTTTTTATCGTTCTAGAGACTGGAAGTTCAACAGCAATGTGTTGGCAGCATTGGTTTACTTGAGGGCTTCTCTCCTTGGCTTGCAGATGGCCATCTTCTCCCTGTCCTCATGTGGTTGTCCCTCTGTGTCCACGTCCAAATCATTTCGTCTTATAAGGACATCAGTCATATTAGATTAGGGCCCATCCCACTGTCCTCATTTTAACTTATATACCTCTTTAAAAACCCTATCTCAAAATCCAGTTACATTCTGAGGTACTGGGGGTTAGGACTTCAACATAGGAATTTCAGGGTGGGTGACATTATTCAGCCCATAACAGAGAGATATCTTTTAATGATTTCTATGAAGGCATGGAAATAGAGACTTAACTCATCCCGGTTGATCCAGGACTATCTTGCTTTTAGCACAGAGAGTCCCTTGCGCAGGAAACCCTCAGGCTCTAGTAAACCAGGGTGATTGGTCATGCTATATGAAGCCGACAAAACTGTTCTGAGTGAAATAAGGCTAGTTACTGGACATCATTGAGACAGCTGCCAATTACTTGTTTTTATGGAGGAGGTTTGCTTCTGTTTTCTGAAAGGTTGTATATCTGGCTGTCAAATCTATTCATAAGTGATGGTCTGACACTTATACATGCCTCTTTAATAAGATAAATATGGTTTTGCATATATATAACTCCTGATAAGCTTTTACAGAAATCTGAAAGAAATGTGAAATTATGTCATTTATTAATATATTGTTAATAAATACAAGTTATTAATATTAATATACTATATTTATTATATTAATAATGTTATATGATATTTACTTTATAACTATTGCAATATAAAATTAATATTTATATAATACCAATTATATAATTATTAATAATAATATAAAATAATAATTGTACACATCAATATATAATTATTGATTTATATATAAAGCTATATATAATTTATAAGTTATATAATTCTATATTATATAGAAGTCAATATATAATTTATTATATATTATAACTATTGTATATTATATATCATATACATTTATATATAATATATTGTTTATGTATAAATTATATGTTTAATAATATAATGATTATATTAACAATAACATTAATATATAATATTAATATTAATGTTTTTGTATATTAATATAATAAGCTTGGATTTTGGAAGCATGTTATATGGCTCCCTGGGTCTCAAGATTTGATGTTTCAACAGTTACATTCCTAGTCCATTATCTTTTGTAACATTTCCTCTCTTTCATTTTCCCTAGACTTGTTTTCTGGAATTTAAATTAGGTATATGTTAGATCTTCTCAATCTAATCTCTGTGTCTTTTAATATCTCTTATCTCTTTGGATTTCATTCTGGATAATTTCTTTATATTTGCCTTCTAGTTTATCAATTCTCTTTTCAGCTATATTTCATATGCTGTTTAATATGTCAACTGAATTATAAATAATAAATTGCTTACGTTTCTTGAAACAATCTCTGGAAATTATTTGAAGCTTAGGTTAAAATTGAGTAAGGAATATTTGTGCTTCTTTTTGCCTGTTATCTGGTATACTATTAACTTGGAAAAACCTTAAATAAAATTTTTTACTTGTGTGCTTTTGATCATCACATATAGTGTAAGTGGTTATGAATTCACAGGTGAGAATTTCTTCTTTTTCTGTCCAGTGACAAGGACTAGATAGGCAGTGTTATCGTTTGAACATGTCCCCCAAAGTTCCTGTGTTGGGACTTAACTCCCCATTCAACAGTGTTGAGAGGTGAGACCTTTGAGAGCTGATTGGGTCATGAGGTCTCTACCCCCATAAATGGATGAATGCCATTATTGTAGGAGTAGGTTACTTTCTCTCTTGAGTGTCTGCTCTTTTGCTCTTCTGCCTTTCACTATGGGATGATGTAGCAAGAAAGCTTTCACAAGATGCTGGCACCTTGATATTGGACTTCCCAGCCTCCAGAACTGTGAGATACAAATTTCTTTTCATTATAAATTACCCAGTCTGTGGTTTTCTGTGATAGCAACACAAAACAGACTAAGTCAATTTCTCAGCTATTCCCTCCAGTTTTTCAGTTTTGGAAATATTTAGATTCCTGAATTTCATGCCGGCTAAGCAGTATTAATTTTTAAAAATATGTTATGTAGCATTTCAGTTATTTCCATTAGTTATTTCATTTTAGTTATTTCAACCAGGAAGGGTATACTGTCAGAAACACATGGAGTCATTACCTATTTTTAAAATATGTATATTTTATCATTCTAGCATCTATCATATATTTAACTCCTAATCTTTAATTATATCTTCTTGAGTGAATTTATTACTTTTTAGAAAAGTTTTCACCTGGCTCTTCTAACAGTTCTATTTCAACAAAACACCTGTTTGAAGTGTTTATCTTAGTTTTCCTCTCTGGCTTGCTAGTACTACTAGGGCAAGTTATTATTTTCCATTTCCTGTTCAGACCTCAGGCTCTGTATACACTGACCTATAATTACAGGACAAGTAGTTAGGGTCTTTTATGCAGTGGCAAACCTGCCAGGGGAAAGGTTTCTGCTTTTGTGGGCTGGCAGTAAACCAACTGGCAATCTGTCCACACCCAGCTGAAGCTTTAAAAAAAGTCTTTCTTCTCCCAGAGCTCCCTGGGTGCAAGGGAGAATGCTTGCCTAACCTCAGGGGCTACAAGCAACTCTTCCATGAGTGCAGCGTTCCTCCATATGACCTGTCACTACCCAGATTAGTCTGACCTTCCCAAGAACACACACAAATAAGCCCATGTAATGCTTTCCTGAAGGCATTCATAGGTTTCCTCAGGCTAACTTTCACTGGAAGCCATAAAATTGAGACCTTTGTTTTAAGTCTTTCTATAACAAGGCCCTCCAGACTACCTAAAACAGAGAAGAGTGAGAGTATCTCTTTCCTTTTAGAGACCCTGGAGCCTGTGACCTCAAGTGACCCTGCTTTAGATGCCCCTGCTTACCTGCAGTAGCATTTTTTCTTGTTGGGGAAAGTAATTGAGAAGAGATTGGGAGGGTAAATTTGGGGACCTGTGTTCCATTACTATCTTCTTACAATGCTGTGAGTCACATGTCTACTTTTAGTGACAAGGAGGGTCTATCTCATCTGGAAGACATGAATTAGTAATGCTAGATTATGGTTAGCTAAGCGTAAATTGGGGCACTGTTATCAAAAAAAGGAAGAAGGGAAGACAAAGAGTATAAACAACAGATATCACCTCTATGTAGCACCTGTAAGGCTTATGCATAGTAGGTATACATAGATATACTTATCTGTTTTACTGATAGACATATCAGTAGATATACAGATCAGTTTTTTACTGCATTTTCTTTGAAATAAGTAATATAATTAAATGCCAGGAAGAGAGTTTTTTTCCAATGGCGTATTATAAATTATCAATATAATGCTGAGCATATACTTATCTTGGTTAGGATGCTTTTCACCTAAGGTGAAAAGATGTAAAATTATGACTCAAAATGACTTAACCATTATGGAATTTCATCAGGTCACATCGTTGAAAATCTTTAGGTTTAATGTAATCACAATTCTGGCTCTCTTCCCTTCAGAGACATTTTCTTTTCTTCTGTCCCTGTGTTAACAGTTTCCTCATGCTGGCTTTTCTCTTGGTCAAAAGATGGCTTCCAGATATACTAGGGACATACTTTCTTGTTGTAAGAGATGGGGTTGGGGGATTGGAGAGAGAGAGAGAGAGAGAGTTGTTTTTGATATATATATATACCCATGAGACCATCACCATAATAAAGACAGTGACCATGTGCATCAGCTGAAAAGTTTTCTCATGGCCCTCTGCAGTTCCTCATTTCCATTCCTCACTCCTCCACATTCCTAAGCAACCACTGATTTGCTTTCTGTCATAGATTAGTTTGCATTTTCTAGAGTTTCATATAAATGGAATCATACAGTAGGTACTATTTTTTATCTGACTTCTTTCATTGAGCATGATTATCTTAAAATTCATCCACCTTGTTGTATCAGTAGTTAATTCCTTTTTATTGTTGAGTAGCATTCCATTGTATAGATAGTCACAATTTATTTATCCATTTTCCTGTTCATAGACATTTAGGTTGTTTCCAGTTTTGGGATATATTAATAAAACCACTAAAACATTTGTGTGTAACTATTTAACTGTTTATATAGACATATACTTTCTTTTGTCATGGGAAATACCTACAAGTGAAATGGCTAGAGCGTATAGTTAGCATACATGTAACTTTTTAAGAAACTGCAGACTGTTCTCCCAAAGAGTATATTATTTTATATTCCCACTACAGGAAATGAGAGTTCTAGCTCCTTCATATATTTGCAATCCTTGGTATGGTCAGTCTTTTTTATTTTAATCGTCTCAATTGATATGTTTAGTGGTATCTCATTGTGCTTTACTTTGCTTTACCCTAATGACTAATGATGATGGGCATCTGTTTATGTGCTTATTTGCCATTTGGTGAAATGCATGTTCAAATGTTTTGTTTACTTTTGGTGTATTTTTTTTCTTATTATTGAATTTTGAGAGTTCATTTTATATTCTGGATAAAAGTATTTTACCAGATATATGATTTGCAAATACATATTTTTTAGCCTGTGACTTGTCTTTTCATCCTCTTTTGCAGAGAAGATTTTAAATTTGATGAAGTATAATTTGTCAGTTTTTTACTGCATTGTGGTTTCAGTGTTGTATCCACATACTCTTTGCCTGACTCAAACTCACTAAGATTTTCTCCTCTATTTTCTTCTAGAACTTTTGTAGTTTGAGGACTTAAATTCAGGTCTATGATACATTTTGAGTTAAGTTTTGCATATAGTGGTACAAGATATGGATTGAAGTTTTTTCTTTTTAGATTATTGATTTCCAACTGATTCTGCAGCATTTGTTGAAAAAAAAAACTATCCTTTCTTCACTAAATTGCCTTTGCAAATTGTTAAAAATCAGTTGTATCTGTATGTCTGGACTCTATTTTGTTCCATTGATCTTTTCTCTATCTATATGATAATACCACACCTTTTTGATTACTTTATAGCTTTACAATAAGTCTTGAAATCAGGAAGTGTTAGTCCTCCAACTTTGTTCACTTTTTCAAGGTTGTTTTGGCTATTCTAGGTCCTTTGCATTTCTGAATTCATTTTAGAACCAGCTTGTCAATTTCTACAATAAGTTTGTTAGGGTTTTGATTTGGATTGCATTAAATCTCCAGAACAACTTGGGAAGAACTGCTATCATAATAATGAGTTTTTTGTCTCATGAACAGGGTATGTGTCTCCATTTACTTGGACATTCTTTAATTTCTCATAGTTGTGTTGTATGTTTTTCTCTATTTAGGACTTTCACATCTTTTGTCAGATTTATCCTTAAGTATTTATATTCTTAGTGCTATTTAAATAGTGTTTTAAAATTTTAATGTTAAGGCCGGGCACAGTGGCTCACGCCTGTAATCTCAGCACTTTAGGAGGCTGAGGTGGGCAGATTACTTGAAGTCAGGAGTTTGAGACCAGACTGGCCAATGTGGAGAAACCCCATCTCTACTAAAAAAAAAAAATCAAACATTGGCTGGGCATGATGGTGTGCAGCTGTAGTCCCAGCTACTTGGGAAGCTGAGGCAGGAGAATCACTTGAACCTGGGAGGCGGAGGTTGCAATGAGCCAAGATTACGCCACTACACTCCAGCCTGGGTGACAGAGTGAGACTCTGTCTCAGAAAAATAAAATACAATTTTAATGTTTAATTTCAGTTTTTCATTGCTAATATATAGAAATACAATTGATTCTTATTTATGGATCCTGCATCTTGCTACTTTGATAAATTCATTACTCTAGTAGGTTTTTTTTTGTAAATTTGATTGGATCTTCTACCTAGATGATCATGTCATCTGTGAATAAAATAGTTTTACTTCTTTTTTAACCTAGATGCCCTTTATTTCCTTTTTTTTTGCCTGATTGCGCCAGTTAGAATCACTGGTACAATGTTCAATAGATGTGGTGCAAACAGACATCTTTGTTTTATTCCCAATTTTAAAGGAAAAGCATTAAATCTTTTCCTATTAAGTATGATGTTTGATCTAAGTTTTTGTAGAGGTCCTATGTCAGGATAAGGAAGTTACCTTCTATTTCAACTTGGGTGAGATTTTTTTTTTAAATATCATTAATGTGTTGGCTTTTGTCAAATGTGTTTTCTGCCTGAATTGATACGGTCATATTATTTTTCTTTTTTAGTTTGTTAATATATTGAAATTCATTGATCTTTGAATGTCAAATGAATGCTGCATTCCTAGGATATCTCCCAGCTGTTATTCATATTATCCTTTTTATATATTGTTGAATTCAATTTGCCAAAATTTTGTAAAGCACTTTTGCATCTATGTTTATTAAGGATACTTGTCGGTAGTTTTATTTTCTTGTAATGTCTTTATCTTGTTTTGGCCTTAGGATAATGTTAGCATTTTAGAATGAATTGAAAAGTGTTCTCTCCTCTTCTAATTAAAAAATATTTTAATAGGTATTTGGGTAACAGGTGGGGTTTGGTTACACGGATAAGTTCTTTAGTGGTGATTTCTGAGATTTTGGTGCACCCATCACCCAAGCAGTGTACACTGTACCCAACGTGTATTCTTTTATCCTTCACCCCCTCTTCCACCCTTCCCTCTGAGTCCCCAAAGTCCATTGTATCATTTTTATGCCTTTGTGTCTTCATAGCTTAGCTCTCACTTATAAGTGAGAACATACGATGTTTAGTTTTCCATTCATGAGTTATTTCACTTAGAATAATGGTCTCCAATTCCATCCAGGTTGCTGCAAGTGCCATTATTTTGTTACTTTTTATGGTTGAGTAGCATTCCATTTTCTATCTATCTATCTATCTATCTATCTATCTATCTATCTATCAATCATCTATCTGTCTATCTAATCTATCCATCATCTATCTATGTATATCTCACATTTTCTTTATCCACTTGTTGATTAATGGGTATTTGAGCTGGTTCCTATTTTTGCAATTGTGAATTGTGCTGCTATAAACCTACATGTGCGAATATCTTTTTCATATAACAACTTCTTTTCCTCTGGGTAGATACCCAGCAGTGAGATTGCTGGATCAGATGGTAGGACTACTTTCAGTTTTTTAAGGAATCTCCATACTGTTTTCCATAGTGGTTGTACTAGTTTACATTCCCACCAGCAGTATAAAAGTCTTCCCTTTTCAGCACATCCATGCCAACATCTATTATTTTCTGATTTTTTAATTGTGGCCATTGTTGCAGGAGTAAGGTGGTTTTGTATCTATTATTTTTTGATTTTTTAAATTGTGGCCATTCCTGCAGGAGTAAGGTGGTTTTGTATTGTGGTTTTGATTTGCATTACCCTGATCATTAGTGATGTTGAGCATTTGTTCCTATGTTTCTTGGCCATTTGTATATCTTCTTCTGAGAATTGTCTATTCATGCCCTTAGCCCACTTTTTTATGGGATTATTTGTTTTATTTCTTGCTGATTTGTTGGAGTTTTTTATAGTTTCTGGGTATTAGTCCTTTGTTGGATGCATAGTGTATTAGTTCATTCTCACGCGGCTATGAAGAAATACCCAAAACTAGGTAATTTTTAAAGGAAAGGGGTTTAATTAACTCACAGTTCTGCAGGGCTGAGGAGGCCTCAGGAAACTTATAATCATGGCAGAAGGGGAAGCAAACACATCCTTCTTCATATGGTGGGATTAGATGGTGCCAACCCACACTGAGGATGAGTCTTCCTCTCCCAGTTCACTGACTCAAATGTTAATCTCCTTTGGCCAAACCCTCACAGACACACCCAGGAACAATACTTTAAATCCTTCAGTCCAATCAAGTTGACACTCAATATTAATCATCACACATAGTTTGCAAATATTTTCTACCACCTGTGGATTGTCTGTTTACTCTGCTAATTATTCCTTTTTCTGTGCAGAAGATTTTTAGTTTATTCCCATCTATTTATCTTTGTTTTTGTTGCATTTCCTTTTGGGTTCTTGGTCATGAAGTCTTTGCCTAAGCTAATGTCTAGAAAAGTTGTTCTGATGTTAATTTCTAGCATCTTATGGTTTCATGTCTTAGATTTAATTCTTTGATCCATCTTGAGTTGATTTTTATATAGGGTGACAGATGAGGATCTGGATTCATTCTTCTACATGCGGTTTGCCAGTTATCCCAGGACCATCTGTTGAAAAGGGTGTCCTTTCCCCATTTTATGTTTTTGTTTCCTTTGCTGAAAATCAGTTGACTGTAAGTATTTGGCTTTATTTCTGGGTTTTGTATTCTGTTCCATTGGTCTATGTGCCTATTTTTCAGTGCCATGCTGTTTTGGTGACTATGGCCATAGAGTATAGTTTGAAGTCAGGTAATGTGATCCCTCCAGATTTGTTCTTTTTTCTTAGTCTTGCTTTGGCTATGCAGGCTCTTTTTTGGGTTCCATATGAATTTTAGGATTTTTTTTTCTAATTCTGTGAAGAATGATGGTGTTATTTTTATGGGAATTGCATTGAATCTGTAGATTGCTTTTGGCAGTATGGTTATTTCTCACAATATTGGTTCTACCCAATTATGAGCATGGGATGTGTTTTCCATTTGTTTGTGCCATCTATGATTTCTTTCTGCAGTGTTTTGTAGTTTTCCTTGTAGAGGTCTTTCACATCCTTGGTTAGGTATATTCCTAAGTATTTTATTTTATTTTTACAGGTATTGTAAAAGGGATTGAGTTCTTGATGTGATTCTCAGCTTGGTTGCTGTTGGTGTATAGCAGTGCTACTGATTTGTATGCATTGATTTTGTATCCTGAAACTTTACTGAATTTATTTATCAGATCTAGGAGCTTTTTGGATGCATTTTTAGGGTTTTCTAGGTATGTGATTATATCATTGGTGAACAGCAACAGTTTGACTTCCTCTTTACTGATTTGGATGCCCATTCTTTCTTTCTCTTGTCTGACTGCTCTGGCTAGGACTTCCACTTCTATGTTGAATACAAATGGTGAAAGCAGGCATCCTTGTCTTGTTCCAGTTCTCAGGGGGAATGCTTTAAACTTTTCCCCATTCAGTATAATGTTGGCTGCGGGGACTTTTATCACCTTAAGGTATATCCCTTCTATGCCGATTTTGCTGAGGGTTTTAATCATAAAGGGATGCTGGCTTTTGTCAGTTTTTTTTTCTGCATCTATTGAGATGGTCATGCAATTTTTGTTTTTAATTCTGTTCATGTGGTGTATCACATTTTTTGACTTGTGTATGTTAAACCATCCCTGAATCCCTTTTATGAAACCCACTTGATTATGGCGAATTGTCTTTTTGATATGCTGTTGGATTCGGTTCACTAGTATTTTGTTGAGGATTTTTGCATCTATGTTCATCAGGGATGTTGGTCTGTAGCTTTCCTTTTTTTTGTTATGTCCTTTACTGGTTTTGGTGTTAGGATAATACTGGCTTCATAGAATGATTTATGAAAGATTCCCTCTTTTTCTATCTTTTGGAATAGTTTCATTAAAATTGGTACCAATTCTTATTTGACTTTCCGATAGAATTCAGTTGCGAATCTGTCTGGTCCTGGACTGTTTTTTGTTGGCAATTTTTTTTTGTTTCCATTTCAATCTCGCTGCTTGTTATTGATCTGTTCAGAGTTTATATATCTTCCTGGCTCAATCTAGGAGCATGTATTTCCAGGAATTTATCCATCTCTTCTGGGTGTTCTAGTTTGTGCACATAAAAGTGTTCATAGTAACCCTGAATTACCTTTTGTATTTCTGTGGTATCTGTTGTAATATCTCCCATTTCATTTCTAATTGAGCTTATTTGGATCTTCTTTTATTGGTTAATCTCACTAATGGTGTACGAATTTTGTTTATCTATTCAAGTAAACAGCTTTTTGTTTCACTTATGTTTTGCATTTTTGTTTCAATTTCATTTAGATCTGCTTGGATCTTAGTTATTTTTTTTTTTCTTCTGCTGGGTTTGGGTTTGGTTTGTTTGGTTTCTTCTTGTTTCTATTGTTCTTTGAGGTGTGAGCTTAGATTGTCTGATGCCTACATCAGAATTTTTGATGTAGGCATTTAATGCTATGAACTTTCCTCTTAGCACTGCTTTTGCTGTATCCCAGAGGTTTTAACGGGTTGTGTCACTATTATTGTTCAAATAATTTTTTATTTTCCATCTTGATTTCATTGCTTACCCAAAGAACCTTCAGGAGCAGATTATTTAATTTCTATGTATTTGTTTAGTTTTGAGGTTCTTTTTGGAGTTAATTTCCAATTTTATTTTGCTGTGGTATGAGGGAGTACTTGATATAATTTTGATTTTCTTAACTTTATTGAGACTTGTTTTGTGACCTATCATATCATCTGTCGTGGAGAATGTTCCATGTGTGGATGAATGGAATATATATTCTGCAGTTGCTGGGTAGAATGTTCTGTAAATATCTGCTAAGTCCATTTGTTCTGGGTTATACTTTAAGTCTTGTTTCTTTGTTGACTTTTGTCGTGATCACCTATCCAGTGGTGTCAGTGGAGTATTAAAGTCCCCACTATTATTGTGTTGCTGTCTATCTCATTTCTCAGGTCTAGTAGTAATTGTTTTATTAAATTTGGAGCTTCAGTGTTAGGTGCATATATATTTAGGATTGTGATATTTTCCCTTTGGACTAGTTCTTTTATCATTATATAATGTCCCTCTTAAACATGAGAATTATTTTATTCCCCACTCCTTTTTCCCTCCTTTTGACTCCTTCTTTCCTCTCTCTGTCCTCCCCACCCCCATTTTCTTTTTTTTTTTTTTAATTATTATACTTTAAGTTCTAGGGTACATGTGCACAACATGCAGGTTTGATACATAGGTATACATGTGCCATGTTGGTTTGATGCACCCATCAACTCGTCATTTACATTAATTATTTCTCCTAATGCTATCCCTCCCCTAACCCCCATCCCCCGACAGGCCCCAGTGTGTAATATCCCCTGCCCTGTGTCCAAGTGATCTCATTGTTCAATTCCCACCGATGAGTGAGAACCTGTGGTGTTTGGTTTTCTGTCCTTGTGGTAGTTTGCTGAGAATGTTGGTTTCCAGCTTCATTCATGTCCCTGCAAAAGACATGAACTTTTATTTTATAATAAATATCCTTATTTATGGCTGCATAGTATTCCATGGTGTATATGTGCCACATTTTCTTAATCCAGTCTATCATTGATGGATATTTGGGTTGGTTCTAAGTCTTTGCTATTGTGAATAGTGCCACAATAAACATGTCTATGCATGTGTCTTTATAGTAGCATGATTTATAATCCTTTGGGTATATACCCAGTAATGAGATTGCTGGGTCAAATGGTATTTCCGGTTCTAGATCCTTGAGGGATCGCCACACTGTCTTCCACAATGGTTGAACTAATTTATACTCCCACCAACAGTGTAAAAGCGCTCCTATTTCTCCACATCCTCTCCAGCATCTGTTGTTTCCTGACTTTTTAATGATTGCCATTCTAACTGGTGTGAGATGGTATCTCATTGTGGTTTTGATTTGCATTTCTCTGATGGCCAGTGATGATGAGCATTTTTTCATGTGTCTGTTGACTGCATAGATGTCTTCTTTTGAGAAGTGTCTGTTCGTATCCTTTGCCCACTTTTTGATGTGGTTGTTTTTTTTGTTGTAAATTTGTTTGAGTTCTTTGTAGATTCTGGATATTAGCCCTTTGTCAGATGGGTAGATTGCAAAAATTTTCTCCCATTCTGTAGGTTGCCTGTTCACTCTGATGGTAGTTTCTTTTGCTGTGCAGAAACTCTTTAGTTTAATTAGATCCCATTTGTCAATTTTGGCTTTTGTTGCCATTGCCTTTGGTGTTTTAGTCATGAAGTCCTTGCCCATGCCTATGTCCTGAATGGTATTGTGTCTGGAATTGGTGGGTTCTTGGTCTTACTGACTTCAAGAATGAAGCTGTGGACCTTCGCGGTGAGTGTTACAGCTCTTAAGGTGGCGCGTCTGGAGTTTGTTCCTTCTGATGTTCAGATATGTTTGGAGTTTCTTCTTTCTGGTGGGTTTGTGGTCTCGCTGGCTTAGGAGTGAAGCTGCAGACCTTCGCGGTGAGTGTTACAGCTCTTAAGGCAGCACGTCTGAAGTTGTTTGTTCCTCCCGGTGGGCTAGTGGTCTTGCTGGCTTCAGGAGTGAAGCTGCAGACCTTCACGGTGAGTGTTACAGCTCATAAAAGCAGCGTGGACCTAAGGAGTGAGCAGTAGCAAGATTTATTGCAAAGAGCAAAAGAACAAAGCTTCCACAGTGTGGAAGGGGACCTGAGCCGGTTGCTGCTGCTAGGCTCGGGCAGCCTGCTTTTTTTCTCTTATCTGGCCCTACCCACATCCTGCTGATTGGTGGAGCCGAGTGGTCTGTTTTGACAGGGCGCTGATTGGTGCGTTTACAATCCTTGAGCTAGATACAAAGGCTCTCCACGTCCTTATTAGATTAGTTAGATACACAGTATCCACGCAAAGGTTCTCCAAGGCCTCACTAGAGCAGCTAGATACAGAGTGTCGATTGGTGCATTCACAAACTTTAAGCTAGACACAGGATGCTGATTGGTGTGTTTACAAACCTTGAGCTAGATACAGAGTGCCGATTGGTGTATTTACAATCTTTGAGCTAGACGTAAAGGTTCTCTAAGGCCCTACCAGAGCAGCTAGATACAGAGTGTCAATTGGTGCACTCACAAACCTTGAGCTAGACACAGGGTGCTGATTGGTGTGTTTACAAACCTTGAGCTAGATACAGAGTGCCGATTGGTGTATTTACAATCCTTGAGCTAGACATAAAGATTCTCTAAGGCTCCACCAGAGTAGCTAGATACAGAGTGTTGATTGGTGCACTCACAAACTTTGAGCTAGACACAGGGTGCTGATTGGTGTGTTTACAATCCTTGAGCTAGACATAAAGACTCTCCATGTCCTCACCAGACTCAGGAGCCTAGCTGGCTTCACCTAGTGCATCCTGCACTGGGGCTGCAGGTGGAGCTGCCTGCCAGTCCTGCGCCATGCACTTGCACTCCTCAGCCCTTGGGTGGTTGATGGGACTGGGTGCCATGGAGCAGGGGGCGGTGCTCCTCCTCGGGGAGGCTCGGGCTGCACAGGAACCTACGGAGGCGGGGGAAGGCTCAGGCATGGGGGACTGCAGTCCTTAGGCCTGTCCTGTGGGAAGGCAGCTAAGGCCTGGCGAGAAATCGAGTGCAGCACCGGTAGGCTGGCACTGCTGGGGGACCTAGTACACCCTCCGCAGGCGCTGGCCCGGGTGCTAAGTCCTTCATTGCCTAGGGCCGGCAGGGCCGGCCGGCTGTTCTGAGTGCGGGGCCTGCCAAGCCCATGCTCACCTGGAACTCCAGCTGGCCCGCAAGTGCCCTGGTTCCTGCTCGTGCCTCTCCCTCCACACCTCCCTGCAAGCTGAAAAAGCCGGCTCTGGCCTTGGCCAGCCCAGAAGAAGTCTCCCATAGTGCAGCAGTAGGCTGAAAGGCTCCTCAAGTGCCGCCAAAGTAGGAGCCCAGGCAGAGGAGGTGCCGAGAGCGAGCGAGAGCTGTGAAGACTGCCAGCACGCTGTCACCTCTCGGTATTGCCTAGGTTTTCTTCTAGGGTTTTTATGGTTTTAGGTCTAACATTTAAGTCTTTAATCCATCTTGAATTAATTTTTGTATAAGGTGTAAGGAAGGGATCTGTTTCAGCTTTCTACGTATGGCTAGTCAGTTTTCCCAGTACCATTTATTAAATAGGAATCCTTTCCCCATTTCTTGTTTTTGTCAGGTTTGTCAAAGATCAGATGGTTGTAGATATGTGGCATTATTGCTGAGGCCTCTCTTCTGTTCCATTGGTCTATGTATCTGTTTTGGCACCAGGACCATGCTGTTTTGGTTACTGTAGCTTTGTAGTACAGTTTGAAGTCAGGTAACATGATGCCTCCAGCTTTGTTCTTTTTACTTAGGATTTTCTTGGCAATGTGGGCTCTTTTTTGGTTCCATATGAACTTTAAAGTAGTTTTTTCCAATTCTGTGAAGAAAGTCATTGGTAGCTTGATGGGGATGGCGTTGAATCTATAAATTACCTTGGGCAGTATGGCCATTTTCATGATATTGATTCTTCCTATCCATGAGCATGGAATGTTGTTCTTCCATTAGTTTGTGTCCTCTTTTATTTTGTTGAGCAGTGGTTTGTAGTTCTCCTTGAAGAGGTTCTTCACATCCCTTGTAAGTTGGATTTCTAGGTATTTTATTCTCTTTGTAGCAATGAATGGGAGTTCGCTCATGATTTGGCTCTCTGTTAGTCTGTTATTGGTGTATAAGAATGCTTGTGATTTTTGCACATTGATTTTGTATCCTGAGACTTTGCTGGAGCTTAAGGAGATTTGGGGCTGAAATGATGGGGTTTTTCTAAATATACAATCATGTCATCTGCAGACAGAGACAGTTTGACTTCCTCTTTTCCTAATTGAATACCATTTATTTCTTTCTCTTGCATGATTGCCCTGGCCAGAACTTCCAACACTATGTTGAATAGGAGTGGTGAGAGGTGGCATCCTTGTCTTGTGGCAGTTTTCAAAGGGAATGCTTCCAGTTTTTGGCCATTCAGTATGATATTTGCATGGGTTTGTCATAAATAGCTCTTATTATTTTGAGATAAGTTACATGAATACCTAGTTTATTGAGAATTTTTAGCATGAAGGGTTGTTGAATTTTTTTGAAGGCCTTTTCTGCATCTATTGAGATAATCATGTGGTTTTTGTCATTCGTTCTGTTTATGTGTTGGATTATGTTTATTGATTTGTGTATGTTGAGCCAGCCTTGCATCCCAGGGATGAAGCCAACCTGATCATGGTGGATAAGCTTTTTGATGTGCTGCTGGATTCAGTTTGCCAGTATTTTATTGAGGATTTTCACATCGATGTTCATCAGGGATATTGGTCTGAAATTCTCTTTTTTTGTTATATCTCTGCCAGGCTTTGATATCAGGATGACGATGTCCTCACAAAATGAGTTAGGGAGGGTTCCTTCTTTTTCTATTGATTGGAATAATTTCAGAAGGAATGGTACCAGCTCCTCTTTGTACCTCTGGTAGAATTTGGCTGTGAATCCACCTGGTCCTGGAGTTTTTTGGTTGGTAAGCTATTAATTATTGCCTCAATTTCAGAAACTGTTATTGTACTATTCAGAGATTCAAATTCTTCCTGGTTTAGTTTTGGGAGGGTGTATGTGTCCAGGAATTTATCCATTTCTTCTAGATTTTCTAGTTTATTTGCATAGAAATGTTTATAGTATTCTCTGATGCTAGTTTGTATTTCTGCAGGATTGGTGTTGATATCCCTTTATCATTTTTTATTGCGTCTATTTGATTCTTCTCTCTTTTCTTCTTTATTAGTCTTGCTAGTGGTCTATCAATTTTGTAGATCTTTTCAAAAAACCAAATCCTGGATTCATTGATTTTTTGAAGGGCTTTTTGTGTCTCTATCTCCTTGAGTTCTGCTCTGATCTTAGTTATTTCTTGCCTTCTGCTAGCTTTTGAATGTGTTTGCTCTTGCTTCTCTAGTTCTTTTAATTATGATGTAAGGGTATTGGTTTTAGATCTTTCACACTTTCTCTTGTGGGCATTTAGTGCTCTATATTTCCTTCTACACACTGCTTTAAATGTGTCCCAGAGATTCTGGTACTTTGTGTCTTTGTTGTCATTGTCATTGGTTTCAAAGAACATTTTTATTTCTGCCTTCATTTCATTATTTACCCAGTAGTCATTCAGGAGCAAGTTGTTCAGCTTCCATGTAGTTGTGTGGTTTTGAGTGAGTTTCTTAATCCTGAGTTCTAATTTGATTGCACTGTGGTCTGAGAGACAGTTTGTTGTGATTTCTGTTCTTTTATATTTGCTGAGGAGTGCTTTACTTCCAATTATGTGGTCAATTTTAGAATAAGTGCGATGTGGTGCTGAGAAGTATGTATATTCTGTTGATTTGGGGTGGAGAGTTCTGCAGATGGCTATTAGGTATGCTTGGTGCAGAGCTGAGTTCAAGTGCTGGATATCCTTGTTAACCTTCTGTCTTGCTGATCTGTCTAATATTGACAGTGGGGTGTTAAAGCCTCCCATTATTATTGTGTCGGAGTCTAAATCTCTTTGTAGGTCTCTAAGGACTTGCTTTTTGAATGTGGGTGCTCCTGTATTGGGTGCATGTATATTTAGGATAGTTAGCTCTTATTGAATTGCTCCCTTTACCATTATGTAATGGCCTTCTTTGTCTCTTTTGATCTTTGTTGGTTTAAAGTCTCTTTTATCAGAGACTAGGATTGCAACCCCTGCTTTTTTTTTGCTTTCCATTTGCTTGGTAGATCTTCCTCCATCCCTTTATTTTGAGCCTATGTGTGTCTCTGCACGTGAGATGGGTTTCCTAAATACAGCACAATGATGGGTCTTGACTCTATCCAATTTGCCAGTCTGTGTCTTTTAATTGGAGAATTTAGCCCATTTACATTTAAGGTTAATATTGTTATGTGTGAATTTGATCCTGTCATTATGATGCTAGCTGGTTATTTTGCCCATTAATTGATACAGTTTCTTCCTAGCATCAGTAGTCTTTACAATTTGTCATGTTTTTGCAGTGGCTGGTACTGTTTGTTTCTTTCTATGTTTAGCGCTTCCTTCAGGAGCTCTTATAAGGCAGGCCTGGTGGTGACAAAATGTCTCAGCATTTGCTTGTCTGTAAAGCATTTTATTTCTCCTTCACTTATGAGGCTTAGTTTGGCTGGATATGAAATTCTGGGTTGAAAATTCTTTTCTTTAAGAATGTTGAATATTGGCTCCCACTCTCTTCTCGCTTGTAGGGTTTCTGCCAAGATATCTGCTGTTAGTCTGATGGGCTTCCCTTTGTAGGTAACCTGACCTTTCTCTCTGGCTGCCCTTAACATTTTTTCCTTCATTTCAACCTTAGTGAATCTTACAATTATGTGTCTTGGGGTTGCTCTTCTCGAGGAGTATCTTTGTGGTGTTCTCTGTGTTTCCTGAATTTGAATGTTGGCCTGCCTTGCTAGGTTGGGGAAGTTCTCCTGGATCATGTCCTGAAGAATGTTTTTTAACTTTGTTCCATTCTCCCCATCACTTTCAGGTACACCAATCAAATGTAGATTTGGTCTTTTCACATAGTCCCATATTTCTTGGACACTTTGTTCATTTCTTTTTACTCTTTTTTCTCTAACCTTGTCTTCTCGCTTTATTTCATTAATTTGATCTTCAGTCACTGACACCCTTTCTTCCACTTGATTGAATCAGCTATTGAAGCTTGTGCATGCCTCATGAAGTTCTTATGCCATGGGTTTTCAGCTCCATCAGGTCATTTAAGGTTTTCTCTACACTGTTTATTCTAGTTAGCCGTTCATCTAACCTTTTTTTCAAGGTTTTTAGCTTCCTTGCAATGGGTTCAAACATGCTCCTTTAGTTCGGAGAAGTTTATTATTACCAACCTTCTGAAGCCTACTTCTGTCAACTTGTCAAAGTCATTCTCAGTCCAGCTTTGTTCTGTTGCTGGCGAGGAGCTGCAATCCTTTGGAGGAGAAGAGGCGCTCTGATTTTTAGAATTTTCAGCTTTTCTGCTCTGTTTTCTCCCCATCTTTGTTGTTTTATCTACCTTTGGTCTTTGACGTTGGTGACCTACAGATGGGGTTTCGGTGTAGATGTCCTTTTTGTTGATGTTGATGCTATTCCTTTCTGTTGTTAGTTTTCCTTCTAACAGTCAGGTTGCTCAGCTGCAGGTCTGTTGGAGTTTGCTGGAGGTCCACTGCAGACCCTGTTTGCCTGGGTGTCACCAGTGGAAACTGCAGAACAGCAAATAATGCAGAACAGCAAATATTGCTGCCTGATCCTTCCTCTGGAAGCTTTGTCCCAGAGGGGCACTCCCCTACTGGGAGGTGTCTCCCAGTTAGGCTAAACGGGGGTCAAGGACCCACTTGAGGAGGCAGTCTGTTGGTTCTCAGAGCTCAAACGCCATGTTGGGAGAACCACTGCTCTCTTCAGAGCTGTCAGACAGGGACATTTAAGTCTGCAAAAGTTGTCTGCTGCATTTTGTTCAGCTAAGCCCTGCCCACAGAGGTGGAGTCTAGAGGCAGCAGGCCTTGGTGAGCTGTGGTGGGCTCCACCCATTTTGAGCTCCCCAGCCACGTTGTTTACCTACTCAAGCCTCAGCAATGGTGGACGCCCCTCCCCCCGCCAGGCTTCCACCTCGCAGTTTGATCTCAGACTGCTGTGCTAGCAGTGAGCAAGGCTCCCTGGGCGTGGGACCTGCCAAGCCAGGTGTGGGAGAGTATCTCCTTGTCTGCCAGTTGCTAAGACTTTGGAAAAGCGCAGTATTTGGGTGGGAGTGTCCCGTTTTTCCAGGTATAATCTGTCACGGCTTCCCTTGGCTAGGAAAGGGAAATCCCTCTATCCCTTGCATTTCCCTGCTAAGGTGACACCACGCCCTGCGTCAGTTCACCCTCTGTGGGCTGCACCCACTGTCCAACCAGTCCCAATGAGATGAACCAGATACCTAGTTGGAAATGCAGAAATCACCCTTCTTCTGGGTTGATTACACTGGGAGCTGCAGACCAGAGCTCTTCCTATTCGGCCATCTTGGAATGGATCTTTATTTTCTTGAGATGATTACAGTCCTAGCTGATGTCTTGATTGCAACCTTATGAGACATCCTGAGTCAGAGTCCTCCAGCTGATCTGCTCCCAAATTCCTGATCCACAGAAACTTGCTTGTTTGTTTTTCAGGAAGAAATAATAGCTGGTACAAACCCTTGATGAAAACAACGTTTATCTCTCTACTGAATTTCCACAGAAACTGGAAGTTGGAGCATACCTCTCACATGTCCCGTACCAGGACCCCCTCTTTGTCTTTTTTAACTGTTGTTGCTTTAATGTCTGTTTTGTCTGATATAAGGATAGCTACTCCTGCTCACTTCTGGTGTTCATTTGCATGGAACTTCTTTTTCTACCCCTTCACCTTAAGCTTATGTTAGTCCTTATGGGTTAGTTGACTCTCTTGAAGACAGCAGATACTTGGTTGGTGAATTCTTATCCATTCTGGCATTCTGCATCTTTTAAGTGAAGCATTTAGGCCATTTACAGTCAACATTAGTATTGAGATGTGAGGTGCTATTTTATTCATCGTGCTACTTGTTGCCTAAGTTTTTTTTCATTGTGTTATTGTTTTATAGGCCCTATGAGATTAATGCTTTAAGGAGGTTCTATTTTATCGAATTTCAAGGTTTTATTTTAAGATTTAGAACTCCTTTTAGTAGTTCTTGTATTGCTGGCATGGTAGTGGCAAATTCAGCATTTGTTTTTCTAAAAAAGAGTTTTCTTCATTTATGAAGCTTAGTTTTTCTGAGTACAAAATTGTTGGCTAATAACTGTTTTGTCCAAGGAGGCTAAAGATAGGACCCCAATCCCATCTAGCTTGTATGGTTTCTGCTCAGAAATCTACTGTTAATCTGATAGGTTTTCCTTTATAGTTTACCTGATACTTTTGCCTCACAGCTCTTAAGATTCTTGCTTTTGTCTTGACTTTAGATAACCTGATGACTCTGTGCCTCGGTGATTATCTTTTTGCGATGAATTTCTTAAGTGTTCTTTGAGCTTCTTGTATTTGGATGTCTAGATCTCTAACAAGACCAGAAAAGTTTTCCTGGATTATTCCCTCAAATAAGTTTCCCAAACTTTTAGATTTTTCTTCTTCCTCAGGGGCACCAATTATTCTTCGGTTTGGTCATTTAACATGATCCCAAACTTCTTGGAGCCTTTGTTCATTTTTTAAAAATTCTTTTTTCTTTGTCTTTGTCAGATTGGTTTAATTCTGAAGCCTTGTCTTTGAGCTCTGAAGTTCCTTCTTCTACTTGTTTGATTCTATTGTTGACACTTTCCAGTGTATTTTGCATTTCTCTAAGTGTGTGTTTCATTTCCAGAAGTCGTGATTGTTTTTATTTATGCTATTTCCCTGGAAATTTTTTCATCCATATCCTGTATTATTTTTAAATTTTCTTTAAGTTGGTTTTCATCTTTCTCTGGTGCCTCCTTGGATAGCTTAATAGTCAATCTTCTGAATTCCTTTTCTGGCAATTCACAGATTTCTTCTTGGTTTGGACCCATTGCTCGTGAGCTAGTGTGATCTTTTTTGGGGTGTTAAAGAACATTGCTTTGTCATATTACCAGAATTGTTTTTCTTTTTCCTTCTCATTTGGGTAGACTGTGTCAGAGGAAATATCTGGGGCTCAAGGGCTGCTGTTCACATTCTTTTGTCTCACAGGGTGATCCCTTGATATGGTGCTCTCTTCATTCACCTAGGGATGAGGCTTCCTGAGAGCCAGACTGCAGTGATTGCTTTTGCTCTTCTGGGTGTAGCCACCCATTGGAGCTACTGGGCTCTAGGCTAGTACTGGGGAGTGTCTGCAAAGAGTCCTGTGATGTGATCAGTCTTCAGGTATCTCAGCTGTGGCTACCAGCACCTGCTCCAGTGGAAGTAACAGAGGAGTGAAGTGGACTCTGTAAGGGTCCTTGGTTGTAGTTTTGTTCAGTGAACTGGTTTTCTCAAGTGCTGGTTGTGCTAGTGGTAAAGTTGTCATGTGGACAGACTCAGGACCTCTGGTTAGCCATGATGTTACAGACCATGTAATTAGCTGTTGTCTTCTTTGTTGGAGCAGGGTTGTTCTTTTATAAGGGTTGTAATAGCTTGAGTTGATTCACCTCCAGTCAGGAGGTGGTGCTTTCAAAAGAGTACTATGGGGGGATAATATGGGGGCAAACCAGCCTACCCTAAGGAGGGTGTAGTATAGGTGGGATGCTAGCTTGCGCTATGGTCACCTGGATAAATATTCAGGTCTCTCAGGTGATGGGCAGGTCCATAGAGCTCCTAAGAGATTATGTCTTTTGTCTTTGGCTACCAAGGCAGGTAGAGAAAGACCATCTGTTGAGGGCAGGGTCAGGTATGTCTGAGCTCAGACTCTCCTTGGGCAGGGCTTGCTATGGCTATAATAGGAGATGCAGGTGTGGTTCTCAGGCCAATGGAGTTATGTTCCAAGGGAATTATGGCTGCCTCTCCTGCATCATACATCACACAGGTCACCAGGGAAGTAGAGGAAAGCCAGCAGTGACAGGTCTCACCCAGCTCCCATGCAGCCAGCAAGGCCCGTCTCACTCCCGCCATGCCCCACCAGCACTGATTTTATATCCAGGCAGCCAGTGAGTAAGACTGAGATCTTGCCCCAGGCTACAAGCCTCCTTGCTGAGAAAGCAAGCAGGGATTTCAGGCTCCAACCCTCCTCACCTGCCATGACTTCTGTGCTCCTGTCTGCACTTCCTGTCTGCCCAGGACAATTTACGCTTGGCTGAAATTATTATGAAGGTCAGCTGGAAGTTTCCTTCTCCTTGTGGTCTTTCCCCAATTCCACTGGGAGCCCTCCCAAAAGACCCCTGTGAGATAAAGTCAGAAATGGCTTCCCTGGGCTTCCCTGGAAGCAGGGAGTTCCTACAGGGCTCTCCCTGCTGCTTTGTTTACGTTTCTATTTCTCTTGGCTCTCTAGTTTCAGCTCTAGGTAAGGTTAAATCCTACTCCCATGATCTGGATTTTCAGGTTTCCCAGTGAGGATGTGTATTTGGAAGCGGACTTTCCTTCTCTCACACTTTGGATACTCACAGTTTTTTGGCTGTCTCACAGAGTTTGTAGCAGCAAGCCTCTTCTTTCAAAGGATCTGTGAATTCTTTTAGTATTCCTGGTATCTTCCTGCAGTAGCTCTTGGAGTAAAAGTTCACAATATGAGTCTCCACATGCTGTTCTGTCCATCTGGGTAAGAGCTGCAAGTTAGTTCTGACTCCTATCTGCCATTTTTTCTCTCTTCCATTTTTTTATGTCTGTGTGTTTGTGTATAGATATTGCATTATTTTTTCTTTCTACAAATGCTTAGTAAACTTCTCTAGTGAAGCTCTCTTTACCTGGATTTTTTGGTTGTTGTTAAAAGATTTTAAAGTATAATTTCAGTTTAATAGATATTCCACTCTTCATACTCTCTATTTTTCTTGAGTGATTATTGGTAGTTAATGTCTTTAAAAAAATTTGCCAATTCCTCTAAGTTATTGAATTTGTAGTCATAAAAGTGTTCATAATATTTCCTTCTTACCCTTTTTTAAAAAAATTATGTTTCATTTTGACGCAACTGTAGATTCACATACAACTGTGAGGAAGAATACACAGAGATCTTGTGTAGCTTTCACCTAGTTTCCCTCAATGTAATATTTTGCAAAACTATAGTACAATATTATAGCCAGGATGTTGACACTGATACATTCAAGATACAGAACATTTCCATCACTACAGGCTCTCTCCTGATGCTCTTTCACAGCTACACCCACTTCTCTTCCTCTTCCATCCCTCTTTAACCCTTAGCAGTCACTAATCTGTTCTTCACTTCTATAATTTTGTTACATCAGATATGTGAATATAATTATACAATGTATGATCTTTCAGAATTGTTTCTTTTTCACTTAGTACAAATCCCTGGAGATTCATCCAGGTGGTTGTGTGTATCAACAGTTCATTCTTTGTTATTGCTGGGTAGTATTTTATGGTACAGCTGTTCCAGTTTGTATACCCATTTACACATTGAAGAACATCTGAGCTGTTTCTACTTTTTTTGTTTTTTTAGAGACCAGATGTCTCTCTGTTGCCTAGGTTGAAGTATACAGGTTGCCATGATTGTAGTTTACTACAGCTTTGAACTTCTAGGCTCAAGCAATCCTCTCACCTCAGTCTCCCAAGTAGCTGGTCCTACAGACACCACCACACCCTGCTAATTAAAAAAACTATTTAGAGACACGGTCTTGCTATGTTGCCAAGACAAATCTCTCCCAGCCTCAGGCAATCCTCCTGCCTCAGCCTCTCCAGTGGTTGAGATTACAGGTGTGAGCCACCATGTCTGATGTTTCTACTTTTTGGCTATTGCAAATAAATCTTCTATAAACATTCTTTTACAGGTGTTTGTGTGAACATAAAGTTTCATTTATATGGAATAAATACCCAGGAGTGTAATTGGTAGATCATAGGGTAGTTGCATGTTTAGTTTTTAAAGAAACTGCTAAACTACTAAACTGCTTTCCAGAGTGGCTGTACCATTTTACATCCCAAGCAGTGACACCTGAGTGATCCAGTTTCTTCACACCCTCACTAGTATTTGGTGTTGTCACTATTTTTTATTTTAGCTGTTCTCATAGGTATGCAGTGGTATTTCATTGTGATTTTAGTTCACACAGCCTTAAGGGCTGATGAAGTTGCACATATTTTCATGTGCTTACTTACCATCTATTTATCCTCTTCAGTGAAGTTTCCATTTATGACTTTCATTCATTTCTAATTGGATTGAGTGTTTACACTGAGTTTTGAGAGTTCTTTTTGTATTCCAGATACTAGTCCTTTGGTGGCCATGTGATTTGTAAATATATTCTCTCAGCCTGTAGCTTGACTTTTCATCCTCTTAACTCAGTCTTTTCTAGAGCCAAAGATTTATATTTTGATGAAGTCCAATGTATCATTTTTTTCCATTCATAGATCATATTTTTGGTGTCAAGTCTAGGGACTTTTTGCCTAACCCTAGATCCCAAAGATTTTCCCCTGTGTGTGTTTTTTTTAAGTTTTATAGTTTACATTTTACATGCAAGTGCATGATCCACTTTGAGTTAATTTTTAACTTTGGTCAAGGTTCATTTTTTTTTTTTTTTTTGGCCTATGGATATCTAATTGTTCTGGAACAATTTATTGAAAAGGCTATCTTAAGGACAGGCACAGTGGCTGATGCCTGTAATCTCAACACTTTCGGATACCAAGGTGGGAGGATAGCTTGAACCCAGGAGTTTGAGACCAGCCTGGGCAACATAGTGAGACCCTGTCTCTCAACAAATTAAAAAATAGCCAGGCATGTTGGTGTGTGCCTGTATTCCTAGCTACTAAGGAGGCTGAGGTGGGAGAATTGCTTGGGCCTGGGGGGTTAAGGCTGCAGTAAGCCATGATCCTGCCATTGTACTCCAGCCTGGCTGAAAGAGTGAGACTTTGTGTCCAAAAATAAAAAAAGACTATCTTTTCTCTATTGAATTGCTTGTGCACGTTTGTCTAAAGTCAAGTGGGCATATTTCTGTGAATTTATGAATTTATTTCTGGTTTCTCTATTTTGTTCCCTTTATCTATATATCTGTCTTACTTACAATAACTCACAATCTTGATTACTATAGCTATAAAATGTCGGAATTAGGTAGACTGTTTCTTCCCGTTTTTAAAATTCTTTTTCAAAGTTTTTTTTAGCTATTTTAATTATTTTGCCTTTCCATATATAATTTTTGGAATAATTTGTCCTTTTTTATCTAGTTCCTCTATATTTTTGTTATATTTTAGAATTTTTTCTGTACCTATTAAAAGTCTTGCTGGGATTTTGATAGGAAATATATTAAACCTGTATATCAATTTGGGGAGAACTGACATATTTACTATGTTGAGTCTTCCAATCCTCATTGGCTGCTCATTTATTTAGATCTTCTGGAGTTTTTTCTTTAGCATTTTATAGTTTTCAGCATGTAAATCCTATACATGTTTTGTTAGATTTACACCTGTTTCTTTTTTTTTGAGTGATTGTAAATATCATATTTTTAATTTCAGTGTTCATTGCTAATATATGGAAATAAAATTAATTTTTAAACAGACAATTTTTTTTTCACAGCAGATTTAGGTTCACAGCAAAATTGAGAGGAAGGTAAAGAGATTTCTCATATACCCCCTGCTCCTACACATGCATAATAGGCTCCTCTGTTACTGACATCCCGGCTAGAGTGGTGCATTTGTTACAACTGATCAACCTACACTGACACATCGTCACCCAAAGTCCGTAGTTTACATTAAGGTTCACTCTTAATGTTGTACATTCTATGGGTTTGGACAAATGTATAATTGCATAGATCCACCAAGATAGTATCATACAGAATATTTTCACTGCCCCCAATCCTCTGTGCTCCACAACAGTTGATTTTTGAATGTATATCTTGTACCCTGTGACTTTTCTCAACTCATTTATTAGTTCTAGGAGTTCTTTTTACAGATTCCTTGGGATTTTCTATGTAAACAATCATGTTATCTGCAAATAGAAACAGTTTTCTTTCTTTCTTTTTGGTCTGTATACCTTTTATTTCATTTTCTAGCCATGATGCGCTGGCTAGAACTTGTAGCACTATGTTGAATAAGAGTGGAGAGAGTGGGATCTTTGCCTTGCTCCCAGTCTTAGGGGGAAAGAATTCAGTTTTTCACTATTAAGTATAATGGAAATTGTAGGTTTTCTTACAGATGCTCTTTGTCAAATTGAGAAAACTTCCCTGTATTTCTATTTTTCTGAGTGTTGTTTTTTTAAAATCATGAATGGGTGTTGAATTTTGCCAAATGATTTTGTTTCATCAGTTGATATGATCATGTAATTTTTATATGACATATTACATTGATTGATTTTAAATATTAAAGCAGTCTAGCATCCCAGGGATAAATCACACTTTGTAATAGCATATAATTTTTTTTAGATATTACTGAATCTATTTTCCAAATATTTCATGTTTATATTCATGAAAGATATTGGTCTATAGTTCATTGTGTGTTGTGTGTGTGTGTGTGCTGTCTTTGGTTTTGGTATCAGTGTAACACTACCTTCACAAAATGAATTAAGAAGCATTCATTCTTCTTTTATTTCCTGGAGAAATTGTGTAAAATTGGGGCTAATTCTTTCGCTCTTTGTTCAAATTCTCCAGTGAAACTCTCTGGGGTTGGAGATTTCTTTCTTTTCTTTTTTTAAGTCTCAAAATTATGAATTTAATTTTGTAAGTAGTTATTTGGCTATTCAAAGTTTCATACTGAGTGAGTTGTGGTAGTTTGCACTTTTAAGAAATTGATCCATTTTATCTAAGTTGCCAAATTTGTGTGTAGAGTTGTTGATAGTATTCCCTTATTACCTTTTGTTGTCTGCAGGGTCTGTGGTAATAGCACCTTACCAATATATTTGACATCCCTCACCACAGATTATAGTTTTGTCATAGGTGAAAGGAGAGGCTTTAACCCATTAAAATAACTTTTATCTCTAAAGACCTACCAACTGCGATTCAGAACAACCTATGTGTGTACTCATTTTAAAGTGGAGTATATATTTTCAGCCTCTTTTTTTATAGAGCCCTTTATGGCATATTTGAGGTAGAAATGCAAGCTCTTACAATACTTTACATGCTGTTTAGAGTTTAGATTTAAAAAGAAAAAACAAGGAAGAGAAATGTGGTAAAGAGTTAAAGATCTGGTCCTTTAAAATCAATTATTTTATAGAATTATCTAATTTATAGTTTATAGAGATGATTCAAACATTTGTTCTCAATAATTCTAAATCTGGGTATTAACTGAAAGGATGTGGATAGTAAACTCTGCTCCCTCAAACAGTTAACATCCTTTCATCAAAAAGCTTAAATCCTGCTGAAGGAAGGAAGTTGGTTGCAGGAAATACCTCATTTAATTACATGATGAATTGAAAAAATACTATCGTTTTACTACCAGAACCAGCATTACAGGCTTACATCAAACATGCATCTGTGCAGACATTAATGCTAGATCAAAAATCTTGTATTGATTTACCTGATTTAGTTGTATTATCAATTGCTGTCTCCTCTTCTCCCATGTATATTACTAGTGAGATTTGTTGGCAACTTGTGCAGGTTGTACTATTAAAAAAAACGCTTGTTGTGCTGAAATTTACATGCAAGAAAAAATTCAATGGGAATGACGGCAGTTGTGTTCCTATAGCCATAGAATCCTTTGCTGGGTGAGGTATCATCATGTGAGACAGGGATGGGATTGGAGTCAAAGCCATTTGATTATGAGCTTAGCATTACAACTTAATAGCAGTATGATTTGGGCAAGTTATCTAAACTCATT
Source organism: Homo sapiens (assembly GCF_000001405.40). Classification (NCBI taxonomy): domain Eukaryota; kingdom Metazoa; phylum Chordata; class Mammalia; order Primates; family Hominidae; genus Homo; species Homo sapiens. The sequence goes on along the minus strand of NC_000004.12, from coordinate 102,469,563 downwards.
GAACTTCAATTTCTTTATGGAAAGTGAGATTAGTAATTATGATATTACAAGAATTAGAAAAAGTTCATACAGTGTGCTCACAATGCCTGCCTGATTTAAAAAAAATACTCAACAAGTCATAGCTATGATTATTACTCTGCAGCAAGAACTACAACAACAATAATGATAAGAAGAAAAAATAAAATGTTAATTTTTCAGTATTATTTTAAATATTGAGCAAGAGTCTTAAATTTAAATGGCATCTGGCTAGCAGGTATTGTTTCAGTAACTCTCTGAATTCCTTGCAAAAATATTTACGGATGCCTATAATATCAGCTACTCCAGAGGCTGAGGCAGGAGCATCGCTTGAGCACAGGAATTTAAGACCAACCTGGACAGCATAGTGAGACCCTGTCTCAAAATATATGTATATTTATGAAGACACAGAAGAGGATAAAAACTCATAACATTGAAAACTAAGCCTGACAGTTTTTTAAGGTTATTCAAATAATAATAACACCATTCACAATTCATGGCCAGTATGAGTGGTTTTGATCTGTTTGTATTTTATTGTTTTTCCTCTTGAAATGGAATATACCTACATCTTGCAAGTAGGTAGAGAAAGCTACTAACAGCTCCCCTCTCAAATACAACTTTGATTCTCTACCAATGAATAAAAAGTGACGAGGGCTGTTTCTTTACAACCCAGGCATTATTTTTGAGGTATTCAGAGGATTGTTCAAACCCTGTCTTGTTCCATTGGTATCTGTCTTTATATATCCATGTTAAAACTGTAATCTTTATATATTCATTTAGAAAAAAACAAGACAGTTTTCTTAGTTCTTCTGGACAAAATATCATAGACTGAGTAACGGATAAACAATAGAAATTTATTGCTCACACTTCTGGAGGCTGAGGAGTGCAAGACTAAAGTGCCAATAGACTCAGTATCTGGAAAGGGTTCACTCTCTGATCTAGAGATGATGTCTTGTTGCTGTGTCCTCACATAGAAGAAAGTAAGGCAGTGCACTTCCATCTCTTTTGTAAGGGCACTAATCCCATTCATGAGGCCACAGCCATTGTGATTTAATCACTCCCCCAAAAGGCTGCACCTCATAATACTATCACATTAGATAATAGGTTTCAACGTGAATTTTGGGGGGATGTCAACATTTAGACTATGACATTCTGTTCCTGGCCCCCTATAATTCATGGCCCCCTCACATGGAGCATATATTTGTTCCATCCCAATAGCCCCCAGAATTTTAACTTGTTCCAGTACCAACTCAAAAGTCTAAAACTCGGTCTCATCTTAATATCAACTAAATCGGAGATGGCTGAGACTCAAGGTATGATTTATCCTGAGGCAAGTTACTCTCCAGCTGTGAAATCAAACATGTTATATACTTCCAAAATACAATGATGGGACAGGCATAGGATAGACATTTCCATTTCAAAAGGAAGGATTTTTTTTAAAAAGGGGATAGCAGGTTCCAACCAAATCCAAAACCCAATAGGGCAAACGTTAAACCTTAAGACTCCAGAATAATCTTCTTTGACTTGATATCTCATCTTCCAGACACACAGGGGTAGAGGCTGGGCCTCACAGGTCTGAACAGCCCTGCCCTCATGGCTTTGCCGGGTGCAGCCCATGCTGTAGTTGTCATTGTTTGGAGTTGCTTGCTGGTGGCTCTATTTTTGGGGGGTCTCAGAAGAGACTCTGCCTCTATGGCTCCTCTAGACATTGCTCTAGTGAGGACTCTCTGCAGTGGCTCTGAGGCTCTCTGGGTAATCCTTTGAAATCTAGGTGGAGGTAGCCATGTCCTCACAGCTCAAGCACTCTGGTGAGGTGGCACTGTGCAGATGCCACCAAGGTTTACTGCCTGTGCATCTGCACAGAGGAGAAACCTGAGCTGCTCTTGGGCCCATTTGAGCCACAGCTGAGGGGTTGAAGGAGTGCTGCACCAGAATGAGAGGGGCAGAAGTTTGAAATATTTCTGTTCTCAAGGCCCTGGTATTCTGGGCCTGTAATGGACAGGGCAGCTGCTGAAGATCTCGGAAATGTTTTCAGGCCCATTCTCCCATTGCCTTGATGAATAGAAGCAAGCAAGCTTCTGCCCATCCATACTAAATATCCTTTTCAAATAGTGACTTGGCCACACCCTTGCTGTTCGCCTTGAACACAATTTTTCATTCTTTACAACATGGCCAGGCTGAGAATTTTGCAAATCTTTAAGGTCTACTTCCTTGTTTGTTATAAATTCCATCTTTGGTTAGTTTTTCTCTTCTCATATTTTAGTATAAGCAGTCAACAGAAGCCAAGCCATGCTGCACTCTTCGCACTTCGCTTAGAGATTTCTTCCAAATATTTCATCGTTTCCAAGTTCTACCTTCCACAAAGCACTAGGAGATAAACACAATTCAGCCAAGTTGTTGCCACTTTATACAAGAATGGTTTTTTCTTCAGTTTCTAACAATGTGTTCCTTCCATCTGAGACCTCATCAGAATGGCCTTTAACATCCATATTTCTGTCAATATTCTGGTCACAACCACTTAGATAAAGTCTAAGAAGACTGAGGTTTCTTAACAGCTCTCCTTTTCTTCTGAGCCCTCACCAGAATATCAGAATATCGCTTTACTGTCCATTCCAGCAAAACAGGCTTTTTTTTTCAGCCTCTTCCTCCAAATCCTTCCAGACTCTGCTCATTACCCAGTTCCAAAGCCACTTCCACATTTTTAGGTATTTGTTAAAGCAGCACTCCACTTCTCAGTACCAATTTCTATCTTAGTTCATTTATGCTGCTATAAAAAAAATCTTAGGTTGGGTGGTTTAGGAACAGAAATTTAGTGCTCAACCTTTGAGGGTCTGGGAAGTTCAAGATTAAGGCATGAACAGATTCAGTGTCTGATGTTAGCTCCTTCCCTGCTTCAAAGATGATGCCTTCTTATTGTGTCCTCATGTGGTGGAAAGGGCAAGGCAGCTCTGTTATAGCACTGACCCCATTCATTAGGTTGAAATCCTTATGACTTAATCACTTCCTCAAAAGGCGCTACCTCTTAATACTACCACATTAGGCATTAGGTTCCAGCACATGGTTTTTCTGGGGGACATCAACATTTAGATCATAGCAACAGGATATATGGAGTTTTGGCGAGCATGTTAGGCAGAGGGTAGTGTGAATGATAGTGACTCATTACATACAGAGAAGTGCAGTCCTAAAAGAAACTAGATGTACTTAGCATAGATATTAGGAAAGCTTTGGACCATTAATTTTACATATTCTGTGGGATGAGAAGTTCAAAGAAGTTGAAGTTGACAGCCTAGGTCTGAGAAGACCCCAACTCAAGCCCTGTAAGACATGAAGATTTAATTAGAATATTTACATGCCAAGTTATCTCCAAGAAATGGCATAAAAAGAGAATTCTATTAACTCCAAAGAAAAGGCTGGGCTGGGCACAGTGACTCACACCTGTAATCCCAGTACTTTGGGAGGTCAAGGCAGGAGGATCACTTAAGACCAGGAGTCCAAGACCAGCTTGAGCAACAAATTGAGACCCTGTCTCTACAAAAATAAATAATAAATAAATAAATAAATAAATAAGCCAGGCATAGTGGCATGCACCTGTGTTCCCAGCTACTTGGGTGGCTGAGGTGGGAGGCTTGAGCCTGGGAGGTTAAGGCGGCAGTGAGCTAAGATTGTACCACTGCACTACAGCCTGGGCAACAGAGCAAGAACCTGTCTCAAAAAAGAAAAAAAAAAAAAAAAAGAAAAGAAAAGCCTAAGGGGTGAGGTAGGATCATGGACTTTGAATGTTGGTATTTACATGGAAAAAATTCTTTTTTCATGGAATTGGAGAGGGAAAAAAACTTCTGTGTATGCTTTTAAAAAGAAAATGACAAGAAAAGCTGATTTTTTTCTCCGATGATTCAGAGAGGGAGTACATATTTTTTAAATGATTTACTACTAGAACCAGGAAAATATTTTGGTAAACATCTTGGCAGTTATTAAAACAGTAAGATAATCTTTATGAAACTGGAACAGAAAGCCAAGAGGAGAGTAGAAATTAACCTAAAGACATAGTAGTGTGAAATGTACAGAAATGTGCTGGAGATAAAATCAGCTGCCAGAGAAGAGGAAATTGTCATGAAAATGAAAAATGCAATAGAATTAAAATCAACAATGTAGTTAGTAAAAGCAGACTTGTTATAACAAAAAAATTTAATCAGTGATGTGGTGGACTTACTTGAGAAGGTTTTGCAGAATGTAAGAGTAGACTAAAAAATATGTGTCAAGTTGACACGTAAAATCAACCATCGCATTAGATTTAAATAATTGTTGTAAGTTTGGTTGTAAAAATGAAATGCAAACATTGGAAATTGTTCTTAAAAGAAGACAGTGGAAAAACTACATATAGAATCAAATCACATTAATGTGGATCTGAATGTCCAGATAACATGAAGAAAGACTATGACTAAGTGAGAAAAATGTGAACTGGGAGAAAGCAAAAAGATAGTTACTTTTTAAAATCTTATGTGAAAGTTAGTAAAGAATGAAAAAGAATAATTTTTAAACACTAATATCAATAGAACTTAAAAGAGAGTTGATATCTTCCAAAGCTGCAGAAGATAAAATCAACCCAAAGAGCAAATGACAGAAAACAGAGGAAGTGGCATAGAAACCTGAAAAATAGAAAGAAAACAGCAAGAAAGAAAAAAGAAACAATACCCGCAGATAGCATAACAACACAAATGATATCAGTCCTGATAATAAATTTAAATGAGTTATACTACCCAGTTAAAACAGAGTTCTCCAAATATGGTTAAAAAACAACTGCTTAAAAAACCTTTGCTGCTTCCAAAAAGCACATCTAAAACAAACATAATTTTATTTATTTTATTTATTGATTGATTTATTATTTACTTATTTTAATAGGTTTTGGGGGAACAGGTGGTGTTTGGTTACATGAATAATTTCTTCAGTGGTGATTTCTGGGATTTTGGTGCACCCATCACCTGAGCAGTGTACACTTTATCAATGTGTAGTCTTTTATCCCTTGTCACCCCCCACCCTTTCCCCCAAGTCCCCAAAGTCCAATGTATCATTCTTATGCCTTTGCATCCAAAGAGTTTAGCTCCCACAGATGAGTGGGAACATGTGATATTTGGTTTTCTCTTTCTGAGTTACTTCACTTAGAATAATGGTCTCCAATTCCAGCCATGTTGCAGCAAATGCCATTATTTTGTTCCTTTTTCACGGCTGAGTAGTATTCCATGGTGTGTGTGTGTGTGTGTGTGTATATATATATATATACACGTATGTATATACATGTGTATATACATGTATACGCGTATGTATATACATGTGTGTATATACATGTATACGCGTATGTATATACATGTGTGTATATACATGTATACGCGTATGTATATACATGTGTGTATATACATGTATACGCGTATGTATATACATGTGTGTATATACATGTATACGCGTATGTATATACATGTGTGTATATACATGTATACGCGTATGTATATACATGTGTGTATATACATGTATACGCGTATGTATATACATGTGTGTATATACATGTATACGCGTATGTATATACATGTGTGTATATACATGTATACGCGTATGTATATACATGTGTGTATATACATGTATACGCGTATGTATATACATGTGTGTATATACATGTATACGCGTATGTATATACATGTGTGTATATACATGTATACGCGTATGTATATAATCAGTGATTATATACTACGTATATATGTATACATGTATATATATGTGTATACATGTATATATATATGTATATGTATCTCCTCACATCTTGAGGAAATACTGTAGTCAACATGGAATATACTTCAGTTACCTTTATTCTTCAGTCCACATCAATGAATGGAAGAGAAATTGTAAGGCATGTATGTAGCAAAGACTTGTTAGTGATCTGATCATAATTGACATGAGAGAGCTGAAACTGTCAACATAATAAACTAAAAGTCTTAAGCAACAGCTTTGACTTAAAACATGTGGGACTTTCAGGTAGAGAATCTCTAGCTCTGCATTCAGTGTGAAAATGTTTTTTATTTGCAATTTATTGTCAAATAACATAAGAAAGCTTTACTTGGATGAACCCTTTATTTGTATTTTCTGTGACTAAACATTCAGCCAAGCACCAGTTTTGATGTTCACAAGAAAACACAGTGATAAAATGTTGCTAAAATGGAAAATAAGAGAGGAAAGCCTTTATAAGCTAAATAAGAAAGGAAAATCTTACCGAGAGCAATGAATTCTCTTGAAATACCAAATACTTATTACTGGAGAAATTATGCAATGAAAAATCATGAGAAATCCTTTCTTCATAGAGCAACACTTGTGGCACATGTCAAATTTCACACTGGACAAAACACAGTCAGCATCTTGAAATGAGAAAACTCTTCAGTGGTAATTCATTTCTTAGTTGACATTAAGTTTCTCACATTGAGGAGCTATCAAACCTGAAAATCACTGTAGAGAAACCTGATAGATTTCTCATCAGAAAAGTGAGTCAAGAAGGTGGACCTCTAGAAAAAACTCTTAGCACATAGTTTAGCAAAATAATTCAGAAATTTGAGAAAATGTCTATTCATAAAAATGTGGCATGTAAATGTATAATAGCAAATTGACCTGGGAATAAATTGAATGCAGAATTATATAAGAAATTTCATTAAACTTTTCCAAAAGATCAATACTTACAAATATTGAAATAATGCAAAAATAATACTTACAAAATAATTATAAAATAATACTTACAAATATTGAAATATATATACGTTATATATAACACATATATATACACATTTTCTTTTTTCCAACAATATATGTATATATGTAACATATATGTATATATGTTACATATATACATATAGAGCTAGAGACTCTCTATATAGAGATTCCATGTATACATATAGAGCTAGAGATTCTCTACCTGAAAGTCCCACATGTTTTAAGTCAAAGCTGTTGCTTAAGACTTTTAGTTTATTATGTTGACAGTTTCAGCTCTCTCATGTCGTTTATGATCAGATCACTAACAAGTCTTTGCTACATACATGCCATACAATTTCTCTTCCATTCATTGATGTGGACTGAAGAATAAACGTAACCGAAGTATACTCCATGTTGATTACAGTATTTCCTCAAGATTTGAGTCCTTTGGCATGTTTAGATGTTACAACTATAGCTGAAGTCTCTTCCACATTCCTTACATTCGTCATTCCTAACACCATGTCATCTAAAGTCAGAATATGTTCTGAAGATGTTTATAATTTTCTCTCTAGGGTGAATTTTCTCATGCTATTTAAGATTAGTACATTGACTGAAGTCTTTCACACATAAATGGCATTCAAATGGCTTTTCTCCAGTGCATGTTCTCTCATGTCATCTAAGGTCAGAAGATAGACTGAAGGCTTTCCCACATAGAAGACATACATGTAGTTTCTCTCCAGTGTGATTTTTTTTATGCTCTCTAAAGCCAGAGCTCTGACTAAAGGCTTTCCCACCTTTATCACATTCATAACATCTCTTTCCAAGGTAAGTTCTCTAATGTCTTTGAAGGTTTAAGGATTGAATATAGGCTTTCCCACACTGATGACACTTATGTGGTCTCTCTCCCATGTGAGTTTTCTCATGTCTTCTAAGGTGAGAACACTGAATGAAGGCTTTTGCACATAGATGACATGCATATGGTCTCTCTCCAGTGTGAGTCAACTTGTGCTGCCTAAGGTGAAAGCGATTAGTATAAGCCTTTTCACATAGATTACGTTGATATGACTTACCTTTAGTATGAATTTATGTTGTTTAGGGGACAACTGATTACTAAAGGATTTTCCACACTGTTTGCTGATGTAGGGTTTCTTTCCACTGTGAGTTAACAAACATGGAGTCATTGTGGAACTGTGAGTGCAATCTTCTCCCAAATCATTATGTTCAAAGGGATCCTCTGGAATGAGAGATTTCTCCATTGTCAAACTGGTGGATGAGTCTTTTCTGATGATAGGATGCATGGATATCATGTGTTTTTTCTTAAGGGCAGTTTCCCTGTCTGGACTCTGGCCTTGAAGAAATTCTCTTCCTTCCCTCCATAGCTCTTTTCTTTGTTCCAGCTACAAAATTATATAGGATTTGCTTATCTGATGCCCGAGGGACACCAGGTGACTGATGTTTTCCAGCATCACATCTCTGTACAGCTTTCTCTTGGATATGTCCATCAAGAGAAAGCTCCACTCTTCTGGGCGAAGTCAATAGCTACATCTTCAAAGGTCACTTTCTTTAGTGAATGCATTGTCAAGAGCTCAGTTTCTCTCTGTCTTCTTCTGGATTTTCCCTTTTAGATGTTTCAGGCACTAAGAAAGAGCTGAGTCAAGTTAGACAGCTGAGCTGAGTGAAATACAGAGGTAGAGGAAGTAGCAGAAAGGCACGGGGAGCTCGCTGGATCCCCAAGTAGCCCATTCCTGCCTGGCACCACAGGCATCCATCAGGAGGATGGCCAGAGGAGCAGGGGGTAAAACTTCACGGGAAGGTCTTCTCTAGCTGAACTTTGTAACAATTTGAGCAGAACGAGAAGCCTCCTAGCCAGAATTCATATATTAAATTTTCTTTATCCACTCGTTGATTGATGGGCATTTGGGCTGGTTCCACATTTTTGCAATTGCAAATTGCACTGCTATAAACATGTGTGTGCAAGTATCTTTTTTGTATAATGACTTATTTTCCTCTGGGTAAATACCTAGTAGTGGGATTGCTGGATCAAGTGGTAGATCTACTTTTAGTTCTTTAGGGAATCTCCACACTGTTTTCCACAGTGGTTGTACCAGTTTATATTCCAATCAACAGTGTAAAAGTCTTCCCTTTTCACCACATCCATGCCAACATCTATTATTTTTTGATTATGGCCATTCTTGCAGGAGTGAGGTGGTATCACATTGTGGTTTTGACTTGAGTTTTTCTGATAATTAGTGATGCTGAGCATTTTCCATATGCTTGTTGGCCATTTGTATATCATCTTTTGAGAATTGTCTATTCACATCCTTAGCCCACTTTTTGATGGGATTGTTCATTTTTTCTTGCTGATTTGTTTGAGTTCTTTGTAGATTCTGGATATTAGTTCTTTGTCAGATGGATAGATGAGGATTTTCTTCCACTCTGTTGGTTATGTTAACCCTGCTGATTATTTCTTTTGCTGTGCAGAAGCTTTTTACTTTAATTAAGTCCCATCTATTTATCTTTGTTTTTGTTGCATTTGCTTTTGGGTTCTTGATCATGAAGTCTTTGCCTAAGCCAATGTGTAGAAGGGTTTTTCTGGTGTTATCTTCTAGAATCTTTATGGTTTCAGGTTTTAGATTTAAGACTTTGATCCATCTTGAGTTGATTTTTGTATAGGGTGACAGGTGAGGATCCAGATTTAGTCTTCTACATGGGGCTTGCCAATTATCCCAGGACCATCTGTTGAATAGGGTGTCCTTTCCCCGTTTTATGTTTTTGTTTGCTTTGCTGAAAATCAGTTGACTGTAAGTATTTGGCTCTATTTCTGGGTTCTCTATTCTGTTCCATTGGTCTATGTGCCTATTTTTATATCAGTACCATGCTGTTTTGGTGACTATGGCCTTAGAATATAGTTTGAAGTCAGGTAATTGTGATGCCTCCAGATTTGTTCTTTTTGCTTAGTCTTGCTTTGGCTATGTGGGTTCCTTTTTGGTTCCATATGAATTTGAGGATTGTTTTTTCTAACTCTGTGAAGAATGATGGTGGTTTTTTTTTTTTTTGAGATGGAGTTTTGTTCTTGTTGTCCAGGCTGGAATGCAATGGCACAATCTCAGCTCACTGCAACCTCTGCCTCCTGGGTTTAAGAGATTCTCCTGCCTCAGCCTCCCTAGTAGCTGGGATTACAGGCGCCCAACACCACGTCCAGCTAATTTTTTGTATTTTTAGTAGAGACGGAGTTTTGCTATGTTGGCCAGGCTGGTCTTGAACTCCTGACCTCAGGCGATCCACCCGCCTCAGACTCCCAAAGTGCTGGGATTACAGGCATGAGCCACCGTGCCCAGCTAATGGTGGTATTTTTATGGGAATTGCATTGAATCTCTAGATTGCTTTTGGCAGTATGGTTATTTTTCACAATATTGATTCTACCCATTTATAAGCATGGGATGTGTTTCCATTTGTTTGTGTCATCTATAGTTTCTTTCAGGAGTATTTTGTAGTTTTGCTTGTAGAGGTCTTTCACATTCTTGGTTAGGTATATTCCTAAGTATTTTATTTTATTTTTGCAACTATTATGAAAGGGTTTGAGTTCTTGATTTGATTCTCAGCTTCGTCACTGTTGGTGTATAGCAGAGCTACTGATTTGTGTACATTAATTTTGTACCCTGAAACTTTGCTGAATTCATTTACTAGTTCCAGGAGCTTTTTGGATATGTCTTTAGGGTTTTCTAGGTATACGATCATATCATCAGCAAACAGTGACAGTTTGACTTCCTCTTTACTGATTTGGATGCCCTTTATTTCTTTCTCTTGTCTGATTGCTCTGTCTAGGACTTCCAGTGCTATGTTAACTAGAAGTGGTGAAAGTGGGCATCCTTGTCTTGTTCCAGTTTTCAGGGGGAATGTTTTAAACTTTTCCCCATTCAGTATAATGTTGGCTGTGGGTTTCTCGCAGGTGGCTTTTATTACCTTAAGGCATGTCTCTTCTGTGCCAATTTTGCTGAGGGTTTTAATCATAAAAGGATGCTGGATTTCGTCAAATGCTTTTTCTGTGTCTCTTGAGATGATCATGTGATTTTTGTTTTTAATTCTGTTTGTGTGGTGTATCACAGTTATTGACTTGCCTATGTTAAACCATCCCTGCATCCCTGGTCTGAAACCCAGTTGATCATGGTGGATTATCTTTTTGATATGCTGTTGGATTTGGCTCACTAGTATTTTGTTGAGGACTTTTGCATCTATGTTCATCAGGGATATTGGTCTATAGTTTTCTTTTTTTGTTGTGTCCCTTCCTGGTTCTGGTATAAGGGTGATGCTGACTTCATAGAATGACTTAGGGAAAATTTCCTCTTTCTCTATCTTTTGGAATAGTGTCAGTAGGATTGGTACCAATTCTTCTTTGAATGCCTGATAGAATTCAGCTGTGAATCCTTCTGGTCCTGGACTATTTTTATTGGCATTTTTTTTAACCATTTCAATCTTGCTTCTTGTTATTGGTCTGTTCAGTGTTTCTATATCTTCCTGGTTTAATCTAGGATAAATTTCCAGAAATTTATCCATCTCTTCTAGGTTTTCTACATTATGCATGTAAAGGTGTTCATAGAAGCCTTGAATATACTTTCATATTTCTTTGGTATTGGTTGTGATATCTTCCATAAAACAAACATAATTTTTTTAAAAAAGAGGGTGGACAAAGATTTATAAGGTGACATTTAAAAACAGATGTAATTAATGATTTCAGACACATAGATATCAACGGTCAAAACGCTAAATGGTTAAAAGAAGGGTTATTTTTATCATGAACACTACATTGCACAGTGAAGTTATAACAGTTATAAAACTTTATGTATTGACTAACATCAACACCTACAGTAAAAAATTATTAGGAGAAAAGGAGAAATGTGCAGAAATACTGTAGCTCCAGGAAAATTTAACAGCCCTATCTCAGGCTTTGAATGATACAAGTGGTCACTTGTTTTTTTGGCTTCACATTCTTACCCTTGAGAACTGCCCTTCTTCTAACCCTGAGAATGTTTTGGTGGCGTTAATCAAGAGACTGTATCTTCCCCACCAAAGCACTGAGCAAATTTAGTGGACACTGGATGCTCCACTTCGATTCTTCGGGATTCCTTTTTGCCAGTTTTGTAAGCCCATTCCCAGCTTTTGTGTGCTTTGCCAGTAAGGCTTTGCACCTGAGCCCTTTGGAGGCTGGACCTTGGGCACTGGGTCTGCCTTGTCTACATGTAAAGCTGAAAGTGCCTGGAAGTTTGATGGCCTTCCAATCTCTCCACACCCAGGGCTTCTTTGCCCCAGGATGACATGCTAGGAGGTATAATTTATGCTCTAGAGCTCCCATATCAGGTTTTGGAAATTGCAAGACTTTTTTCCCCTTCTCTAGCTTTCCCCACTCCCTTACTGTTTTCTCTCAGAAGCATATACTTAAGAAATCACTCTCAATGGAATCTTTGATTTAAGATGTGAGTCTGTGAAACTTAACCTGAAATGGCACATAGGCTGAGCTGACCAATCAGAGTGGCTTATCTTTCTGACTCAAGAATTGGCCAGAGGTGGGCAATTTACCAAAACTGGGGCAATCAGAGTCCTTTATCTTGTCTTGATTTGTGTGTTGGAAGAAAGAGTGTTTCTCTATTCCTGTGATTACAATATGTAAGGAACATACAAGGCTAGATTTCCTAGAAGCTGATCTTGTTGTACATAGAGCCTACCTGAGAAAAGAAGAGAGAGGCAAGCAAAATTACAAGAAGAAGCAAGAAAGATAGTACCAATAAGAATTATTAATATAACAAGGATTTCCAAAACATAAACTTCAGCAAAGACTAGATCTAGGGATTCAAATGATGACTTATCATTTGAATGGCCCCAGAGTGCCTGTGCCTTTGGGTGGTGTGACATCTCAGTGTCACCTTGTTTGGACTGATGATGCTCAAGCTCTGAAAACCAGACTAGATGATGGATGTCTTGGCAGATGCCTATGTGGATGGCCGACATTGAAGAGCAGACCTGCTTCCTTCCTTGGCACTAGGTAAACAACCTTAATTAAAGAAGAGAAGAATTGAGCCCCAAATTCCACTTCTGGTGGAAAAGGGACTTGAAATAGATATTAAATTGATTTGTAGAAAAATAAACTAGGCTGTATTTCTGCTGCGTTATGATTGAATGTATCCTCCAAATTTGATGTGTTGGAAAGTTAATACCCAATGTGGCACTATTAAAAGGTGAGGACTTTAAGAGGTGATGGGATCATGAGTGCTCTGCCTTCAGTAATGAATCAATCCATTAATGGAACAACAGATTAAAGGGTTAATGGATTAATGGTGGCTATACAAGAAAAGAGAGACCTGAGCTAGCACAACCAGTCTCCTTGCCATGTGATGCCCTGTGGCCTCAATTCAGGAATCTTCAGAGTCCCCACCGGCGCAAAGGCTCTCACCAGATTTGGTCCCTCACCCTGAGACATCTCAGCCTCCATAACTGTACAAAATGCTTTTCTTTTATTTATAAGTTACTCATTCTAGGTATTCTATAAGCAACAGAAAATGGACTAAAACAGAAAATTGGTAGTGAAAAGTGAGGTGTTGCTGATAACAAATACCTGAAAATGTGGAAGCTGCTTGGGAACTGGGTAATGGACAGGGGCTGGAAGAATTTGGAAAAATAGGCTAGAAAAAAGCCTAGATTCTGGTGAAGCCTTAGAGGATAAGAAGACTAGGGAAAGTTTGGAAGTCCTTAGAGGTTGGTGAAGTGGTCATGACCAGAATGTTGATAGCAATGTTGACAGCAAAGGCCATGCTAATGAGACCTCAGATGGAAATGAGGAATAAGGTGTTGGGAACTGGAACACAGGTCACCCTTGCTACACCATAGCAAAGAACTCAGCTGCGTGGCCACACCCTAGGGCTTTGTGAAAAGCCGTCAACTTAAAAGTGACAGAATAGAATATCCCATAGAAGAAATTTCTAAGCGGCAAAGTGTTCAGGCTGCTGTGTGGTTACTTCTAACTGCCAGTGGTAAACTTCCAGAGAAAAGGGAAACAGTGGAAAAATTTGGAAATTTATCAGCCTGACCATGTGAAATAGCATTTTCAGGAGAGGAATCCAAGAGTATGGCCTAGAGAGACCATCTGCTAAGGAGATTGGTACAGACAGCAGAAATCATCAAGAGAATGGAAGAAAGACCCAGAAGGCATTTCAGAGATCTTCGGGGCTGCCCCTCCCATCGCAGGCTTGCAGGCCTGGGAGGGCAGAGTAGTACTGGGATACAGGTCCAGGGAGGGCTCCCTGCAGGTTTGTAGTAGGCTCCTTGCCTCTGACTCTGCGCCCCACACCAGGCACAGCTGAGCTGCAGCTGCAGAAGTTATAAACCTTGGCAGAGTCCACGTGGTACTAATTCTGCAGGCTTGCAGACAGCAAGAGCTATAAATGTTTGGCAGCCTCTACCCAGATTTCAGAGAATGTTATGGAAATCCTGGGGACCTAAGCAGAGACTTGTTACAGGGGCTGGAACCACCACAGAGAGACCCCAGTAGGCAACGCGCAGCTGAAATGTGGGGTTGAGGCACCGCAGAGAGTCCCCACCAGGGCAATGCCTAGTGGAGCCATGGTCACTGCAGAGAGTCCTCACTAGGATAAAGCCTAGTGGAGCTCTGGGACCAAGACTGCCACCATGACCTCAGAACTGTGAAGTCACCAGCAGTATGCAACATCTACTTAGGAAAGCTTCAGGCACTGGACTCCAATCCAAAGGAGCAGCGGCTGCACCCAGCAAAGCCATAGGAGTGCAGCTTCCTGAGGCCTTGAGGGCCCAACTCCTGCTCCAGCGTGTCCAGGAGGCAGTGTGTGAACTCAAAAGAGATTATTCTCCAGCTCTAAGATACAATGTCTGTCCTGCTGGGTTTTGGATTTGCTTGGGGCCTGTTATTCTTTTCTTTTTGCCTATTTCTCCCGTTTGGAATGGGAATGTTTGCCTTAATCCTATACTACCATTGTGTAGACTGTAGGCTTTGGGCTTTTGAGTTGGTGCTGCACCAAGTTAGGATTTGGGGGCTATAAGGATGGAGTGGGTGTATTTTGCATGTGAAAAAGAAATGAATTTGGGGGGCTGGGGTGGAATGCTAGGGCTTGAATGTTCCCCAGATTTCATGTGTTGGAAACTTAATTTTCAATGTATAATTTTCTATATTTATATATATTTTTTCTTTGAAAATTACTCTGTTTCAGTTATTCTATTATAAGCAACAGAAAAGAGACTAAGATATGCTGCATTCGAGTTTGTGACTAAAATTTAAACTCACTCTACTTCCTATTAACATTTGTGGGATGTGGTCAAAGGAGCTTGGGAAAGCAGAACTTTACTTTAACTCCAATTCCCCACCCCCAGCATTTCAGTCTTTGTCATGTAACAGGGCTTATGGAGCTGGTATAATATTTATTTTTAAAAGAAATATATCAATTTCATATCAAGTTTTTTTGGCTTTTGCATTCAGTTTAATAACTGTATTATAATATTTACAATATAATCTTGCTCTTCTGGCTATTCTAGCTCCTTTTCTTCCCAGGGCCTAGGAGAACTTTCCTTTTACTGACGTAAAACTTTATGGTCTAAACTGACTTACATGACTGTTCATTGTCTTGCTACAAAATCTTATATTTGGATGCAACTGTTGGTGATACCCCAGTTCTTCTTTTTCTTCTTCTTCTTTTTTATTTTGAGACAGGGTCTCGGTTTGTTGCTCAGGCTGTAGTGCAGCGGCCCCATCATGGCTCACTGTAGCCTCAACCTCCTGGGGGCAAGTGATCCTCCTGCCTCAGCCCCTCCCTGCTCCCCTTCCTGAAGTAGCTTAGACTACAGACATATGCATCACCATGCCTGGCTAATTTTTGTTTTGTCTTAGAGATAGGGTTTTGCCATGTTGGCCAGGCTGATCTTGAATTCCTGGGGCCAAACAATCTGCCCAGCTAGGCCTCCTAAAGCGATGGGATTACAAGCATGCACCACCATGACCTTTCCAGTTCTTTTTGCATTTATTTTGTAACCCAGGCAAGTAATTACTTAGGGAAGACTAAGTGAAAGTCATGTGTCTCAAAAAAGAATGAGGAAAACACATTGATAATTTAAAAATGCAATTGCCTGCTTACATAAATTATATATTGAAGTCTATGAATACATTTCCTCCCAAGTATATGTATTTTTATGTCCAACTTTTGGGCTCCCTCCCTCACTTGTGGTCTGAATTGTGGTGGAGGGTATTAGATACCTATTTTTATGTGTTTGAGGAATGTGTAAGTGTTCAGTGCCTACATTTTGAAGATAAGTGAAATTAATCGATTTACCAAATAGATGATGAGTTGAAGTATGTTTCCATCTTCTTCAGGACTGCCTGTATGGCTCAGGATGTGGAAGAAATTGCTAAATAGTCTATCCATCTCCCTTGACACCATCTTTAGTGAAAATTCCACCCCAAATTTGGCATAAAGTCTTCTGAGTTACAGAACTATTGCCAGTTTAAAAAAAATGACATTCATAGGTATTTTAATGGAAAGTTGGAGAGAAGCAACTTAGGCAAATCTAACCTGCTTCCTAAAAAGTCCCTAAAAAAAAAATCTCTCTTTAATTTCCTATTGTTACCAAATGTATTTTTCTCCCCTTGATTTCTAATAACTGACATAAGCAGGTTTTGCTTGCACTTCATGTTGCCACAAAATTGTATTATTCCATTTTTTTCTCTTGCTTTTCCAAATATTTGTGCCACCCTAAGCATTTTCTCCTTTTTCCAAGCTATACAGATTCATAGATATTGGTATCTTTTCTTAAGCCCGCTGTAGTTAAACCTGCATCATATTGAGCCAGATAGAATCTCATGAAACAGTCATATCAAACAATGAAACATATGGCTATATGCAATTCATAGTTTATTCTTATTTTTAGCAATATAGACTTTTTTTGCCTAAAAAGAAGGAAGACATCAAAAGCAAATATTTAAAAATTCTTATGTAAAGTATACATAGTAATCATCTATATGGATGTAGCAAATAACATTCTTAAAATTACAAATGTTTTTGATTGAATTCTTTAAATTTTCCCATCTGTCATATAAAAATGTTGGATTATATTATCTCTATGTACCTTTTCTAGCTCTAAATTTCCCATTTGAAACCTTAGTATTAGTAGAATTTGGTGGATTTTTTGAAAGCGGTTTGGGTCACAACATTACACATATTCTTTCCTAGGAAAGAATATGTGACAATTAACAAGTCTATTCTTCAGAATTTTGAATCATACCAAGCCACACATGATTCATTGTTCATCTTTTAGTTTACTGTAGATGAAGAATTCACAAGATTTTAAAAAAATGAATACATTATCCCAGAATAAATTTTGGTTTCTGAAGTTTTGATATCTGTTCTAATAATGAAAATAGTACACTGATCATGAGGTAGAATTTTATAGAAAAGGATAGTAGGGCTTTTAATGTATATATTCTCAAGTCTTAAAAGTGTATCTCAACAGGATAAATGCAGATCAACTTTTTAAAAAAAACTAAAAAAGAGTTTCTTTTATCTAATGTGTCCTAATTCATAATTTAAAAATAGTGATGCATATGTTGAATATCTTTCTAAGTAGGAATATAGGTAAAGAGACTGATTGATGATAAGGCGGGAAGCCTTTAAAACTGAACACTGAGCGGGGCTGTGGCAACTAGAATAATCACATTCATTGTGATTCTTATTCTTAGACTGAACTCTTAGAAAGGGCACTTCATTCCTGATTATCTGGCTGCCAGGTTCATCTGCTATGATTTCCGAGACATTTATGGCTGTTATATTTGTAATGATTTTCCTATGACAAAAGTATGAGAAGCAAAAATTGCACTGCTATTGGTTAGTGAAATAACAGCTGCCCCTGAGCAAATCTTTCTCAGCAGTGGGAATGGGTTAAAAAATGGAAATAGGACGGGCGTGGTGGCTCACGCCTGTAATCCCAGCACTTTGGGAGGCCGAGGTGGGCGGATCACGAGGTCAGGAGATCAAGACCATCCCGGCTAAAACGGTGAAACCCCGTCTCTATTAAAAATACAAAAAATTAGCCGGGCGTAGTGGTGGGCGCCTGTAGTCCCAGCTACTCGGGAGGCTGAGGCAGGAGAATGGCGTGAACCCGGGAGGCGGAGCCTGCAGTGAGCAGAGATTGTGCGGCTGCACTCCAGCCTGGGTGACAGAGCGAGACTCTGTCTCAGAAAAAAAAAAAAAAAAAGAAAGAAAGAAATATTTACTGAGTTTTCATACTCTGTAGTTGGCACCATACCAAACCCTTAGCAAATATAATGATGTGTGAAGGAAATTGTTTATAGAGACAGTTCTGGAACTACACTTTAGTCATATGCCTCTCAGTTAAAATCCAGGCTCTCCTTTGTCTTTCTCACTCTGTTCTTTGAAGATGCAGATAAGTTCTGTATATTCCCACTACTGAAGATTTTTTTTAAAAACTTTTATTTTAGGTTCAGGGGTACATGTGCAAGTTTCTTTTATAGATAAATTATGTGTCACAGGAGTTTGGTGTACAGATTATTTCATCACCCAGGTAATAAACATAGTACCTGATCCTTACCCTCCTCCCATCCTCCACCCTCAAGTAGGCCCCAGTGTCTATTGTTCCTTTCTTTGTGTCTATATTTAATCAACACTTAATTCCCACTTATAAGTGAGAACATGTGGTATTTGGTTTTCTGTTCCTGTGTTAGTTTGCTTAGGATACTGGCTTCCAGCTCCATCTAAGTTGCTGCAAAGGACATGGTCACGTTCTTTTTTATGGCTCTATAGTACTCCATAGTGTATATGTAGTACATTTTCTTTATGCAATCCACCGTTGATGGGCACTTAGGTTGATTCCATGTTTTTGCCCTTGTGAATAGTGCTATGAAGAACATATGCGTGCATGTGTCTTCATGGTAGAACAATTTATTTAACATATTCCTTTGGGTATATACTCAATAATGGGATTGCTGGGTCGAATGGCAATTCTGTTTTAAGTTATTTGAGAAATCGTCAAACTGCTTTCCACAATGTCCAAACTAATTTACATTCCCACCAAGAGTGTATAAACATTCCCTTTTCCCTGCAACCTCACTAGCATCTGTTATTTTTTGACTTTTTATCAATAGCCATTCTGACTGGTGTGTGATGGTATCTCATTGTGGTTTTGATTTGCATTTCTGTAATGATAAGTGATGTTGAGCATTTTTTCATATCCTTGTTGATCACAAGTATGTCTTTCGAAGTGTCTGTTCATGTCCTTTACCCACGTTTTAAAATGGAGTTGTTTGGTTTTTTTGCTTAAATTCCTTATAGATTCTGGATATTAGACCTTTTTCAGATGCATAGTTTGCAAATATTTTATCCCATTCCGTAGGTTGTCTGTTTATTCTGTTGATAGTTTCTTTTGCTGTTCAGAAGCACTTTATTTTAATTAGGTCCCATTTGTCAATTTTTGTTTTTGTTGCAATTGCTTTGGCGTCTTCATCATGAAATCTTTGCCGGATCCTATATCCGGAATAGTATTTCCTAGGTTATCTTCCAGGGTTTTTGTAGTTTTAGGTTTTTTAAGTCTTTAAATCCACCTTGAGTTAATTTTTGTATATGGCTACCCAAGATTTTAAGATTTAATAGAACACCAATGACACCAGATTTATTTTGCTTTCAAGTATAATATTGTGTTATAATATTGTCCCAATGCCTTTTTAATCCGAACAGACTCCTGCCACCTTATGCTTGTCACCAACCCTTCTCCTCCAAATCTGATACACCAGACTTTCTGAGAACCTGTGCTTTAATGAGTAAACTCACACAGCTGCAACAAATGCTGCCACCTCCTGGCATCTTTTAAAAAGGTAAAATCTGGTAAGCAAAGACTTGGTTCAGATGCTCTTTGTGAATATACATGGCCCTTCATGTACTTATTCTCCCTTCTTGCTGAGAGTTATCCATTTTTGGGGAAGCAAAATAATCTTGAGTAGGTCATCTGTTCTCTTAGTATGTCTAACCTGTTAGGATTTTGAAACTTTCTGGTGATTCTGTTTTGCCATTTAATATGCAGCAGGGCGGTAGTTCATGCTCATGAGGAAAAAAAAAGATGAACTCTTTGATGAGTATAAGTTTTTCTACTATCTGTACTATACATACAAATTTGAGGCAGAAGCCATGACATTCACCTGGAGAACTTGGCCACACTAAGCCAAAATTAAATGAAACATTTCTTGCCACTTTCCTATTTGCTTTAATTTTAATTGAAATGACCCAGTAACATTTGCAATAAGGTAGCTAGCTGCTGGTAAACTATGCCATGCATATGAAAACCTTTAAAATTTTATTACTAGTTCATATAAAATAGAGCAATGCTAATTCACTGGATTAAATTGCCAATTATTTTTAAAGTGTAAACAGGCCAGGCGCGGTGGCTCACGCCTGTAATCCCAGCACTTTGGGAGGCCAAGGCAGGTGGATCACGAGGTCAGGAGTTCAAGACCAGCCTGGCCAAGATGGCGAAACCCTGTCTCTACTAAAAATACAAAAATTAGCCGGGCGCGGTGGCAGGTGCCTGTAATCCCAGCTACTTGGGAGGCTGAAGCAGGAGAATTACTTGAACCTGGGCGGTGGAGGTTGCAGTGAGCCGAGATTACACCACTACACTCCAGCCTGGGCAGTAGAGTGAGATTTCATCTAAAAAAAAAAAAGTGTAAACAATCTGAATTGAGGCATTCTTAAAAATGTTACATCAAGAAAAACTTAACACGAGAAGCATGATTGATACATTTTGAATTGTGAATGACAAAAGTTCTTGTAAGCCCTGTGCTTATTACTTGCTTGAAAGAACAGTCGAAAGTAGATTGATCAAGGGTAGTTTTTTTTTTTTTTTTTTTTTTTTTTTTTTAAGACAGGGTCTCACTCTGTCATCCAGGCTGGAGTGCAGTGGCGCAATCTCAGCTCACTGCAACCTCCACCTTCTGGGCTCCAGTGATCCTCCCACCTCAGCCTCTTGAGTAGCTGGGACCACGGGAGCATGGCACCATGCCTGGCTAATTTTTGTATTTTTTTGTAGATATGGGGTTTTACCATGTTGTCCAGGCTGGACTCGAACTCCTTAGCTCAAGCGATCTGCTTACCTCAGCCTCCCAAGTGTACTTTTTGCTTTAGTTACTGTTGAATGTTTAGTACCCGCCATAAGGCCTAGCATATAGTAAGCTCAATGATGTTGATTGAATGAACAATTAATTCCTAACTCTTCTTCACATTAATTTATGAAATGGTGTTTAAACTTAACAGTGGATATAACCTTTACAATAAGCAAATGTGTTTTTGCTGGTCAAAGTGTGGTTCAGGGGTCAGCAGCATTGGCATCACCAAGGAGCTTGTGAGATTTACTGAATCTCAGGCTCTACCCCAGAAGTACTGAATCAGAATCTGCATTTTAATAAGATCCCCAGGTGATTCATATGCACGTTAGAGTCTCGGAAGCATGGCTTTAAAGGACATAAGCTGCCATTGTTATTTCCATTTTCCATGTAGCTATAGAATTTATTGTCCCATAGATTTCTGTTTTCCTAAATAAAATTATTCTGTGACCAGACTTCTCACTACTTTCTGACTGAGTCTATGCAAAATAAATTTTTCACATCTTTGTTTCCTTCTTTCTTTTCTAAGGTTGCTCAGGCTTAGAAACTGTGTGAATTCCTACTCCTGAGCTGTGAATCAGGGGGCTTTTTTTTTTTTGGAGACGGAGTTTTTGCTCTTGTTGCACAGGGTGGAGTGCAATGGTGTGGTCTCAGCTCACTGCAACCTCCGCCTCCTGGGTTCAAACAACTCTCCTGTCTCAGCCTCCTGAGTAGCTGGGATTACAGGCGCCTGCCACCACACCTGGCTAATTTTTTGTGTTTTTAGTAGAGATGGGGTTTCATCATGTTGGCCAGGCTGGACTTGAACTCCTGACCTCAGGTGATCCACCCGCTTCGGCCTCACAAATGGCATGGTGGCTCACGCCTGTAATCAGAGGGCTTTTTATAAAGGAAACTCCCTTCTAGGGGTCCTTGATTAAAAACTTTTTAAATGATTGAACCAGTGGTTGGCTATGAAGACATTGCTGCTTATACAGTTTTCTTCTTTAAAAGTGTGTTTGTCGCGGTGCAGACTCAGCACTTAAGGGAAGACTTCCTGCCACAAAATATTTGTAACTGCTCCTGAAAGAGAAAGCAATTATCACAGTTCAGTTAGGTCTTAAAACAAAACAAAAACAAACGTTTTACTGAGATCACCCATGTGTAAATTTATGAAGGGGTTGGATCACTTGTTAATTTTATTTTTATCTGCTTTTCACTTAATTGTTGTTAACTCAACAGCATATTTTTTATTAGAACATTTTGGCTATTTTTAACGTGCCGAAAGTTATTAAGATTTTTAGTACAGAAAAGCACTTACTGTGGTTGTTAATTATTCTACTCATCGTAATGAGATGCTTACCTAAAGTAGGTATCTTCAAAGTCAACTCTCGCATCCAAAGCACTGGGCTTGTGCAGCGTGTGTACCAGCTGCGGGGGAACTGCAGGTATGCCTGGGATCAGATGATTCTTTGCCTGAGGAGAGGTCCATATATAGGCCTTGAGGCTAATGGCAAGAGAAAGAAAATGCATTTGGAAAAAATAAACTGCCACCACAGGTGCAAGCCTCCATCTTGATACTTTTCACTCTTTGTAGAAATTGTTTGCTAGAAGGTTGTAAAAAGTCACGGAAAAAGCCTGGGAGTTTGGACTCAGACAGATTCAGGTTCTGTGACATCATGAGTACTCTCAGAACGCCATTCTTTTTTTTTTTTTTTTTTTTTTTTTTTTAGTAGTAAGAGTTTTGAGCCTTGGTATATTTATTATCTTGTGGTTATTATTTTGTGGTATATTTATTTACTGGTTTATTATTTTCTTTTCTTATGAAAATATAACTAGTGAGGACAAGTGACTTTTTGGTTTATATGCCTGTGTCTAGCATACTGCCTTGCATGTACTAAGTGGTCACTGTAGATGACTGCATAAATGAACTGGTGTTTAGGTGTGTACTAATAGTTCAGGCACTACATGTTAATTCATTCTCATGGTATCCTTGTAATGTAACAATAATTAACACTTACTGTTACAGACAATGTTCTAGATTCTCAGTGCTTTACATTTATTAACTCATCTGATGGTTTTAACAACCATTTGATGCTTGAAAGTAGGTATTAGTGTTATAATTTTCATTTGCTGATGAGGAAACTGAGGAACAAAAAGGTGAAGTAAGTTGCCCAAGTTAACACCCATAGACAAGTAAGCTAGATTTTGAACCAGGTGGTTTGGCTTCAATATCTATGTCCTTAACCACCCATATAGAGTGGTTCATCAGTGTTCCCTTTTGTGGGTAAGGAAGTCAAGGTTTAAATAATTCTCCATAATCACACTTTTGAAAGTTGGCAAAGCAGGGAACTGGGCCTGGGATACCCATGTACAGGCTAGAGTTCTTTCCATGATATCACAGTTCTAGACATTTCATTATGATCCTGGAGACATAGATTTCCAAGGAGAGACAATGTGTGTCTCCATTGCCAAAAAGGTCAAGAACACTCATCATGAGAGGTATAGTAAAAACAAAATAAAATTTCCCTATACTTCAGCAAGGACCTTTTACATATAAGCCAGTAATATTCTTTGTAGTTCCGGTCAACACATCTTAAAAAAAATGTGTAAAGATGTTAGGGAAAGTCTAACAATTACATGGAAAAAGGACAGCAGAGCTGCTGTGTAAGGGCATATTAGCAAATGAGTGAGCTTCAACTTAGGAAGACAAGGACTGACAATAAATTTGAACTTGCCTGACATCTAAGAATGACAAAGTATATTACTGGCTTTTAAAGTAACCCCAAAGAACCAATGAAGCGTAAAATATTTAAGTTTTTAGAGTTTGGGATAAATACAAAGTTTTAGAGGTTGGATTGTGAGCTAATGGAAGTTCCTAGAGCAGTTGGAATGAATTTATGAATGTGTTTTTAAGGTTTTAGATAAGTAAATGGAAACATCACTAATGTGTCATTGCGGAAAATTTGGCTTTATTGTTTGTTTCTTAATTTTTTTACAAAAATTATTATGTTTTTTATAGAGATGGGGGTCTCACTATATTGCCCAGGCTGGTCTTGAACTTCTGAGCTCAAGGGATCCTCCCACCTTGGCCTCCTGAAGAGCTGGAATTACAAGCCTGAGCCACTATGCCCGGCCTATTGTTTCTTTCTTGTCCTTGAGATAGACATCTAAGAACTTGGTGTCTGGAATCAAAGGGTCTGAGTTTGAAACTTAGCTCTGCCCCTTACTTGTTATGTGACCTTGAGCAAAGTTTTTAACTTCTTGGTTCCTCAGTTTCTTCATCTGTACAATGGGATACTGATGATGCTCACTTCGTAGGTTTAGAGAGAATTAATTGAGTTAATTTTAAATGAAATTTAATTACATTTTAAGCACATGAAAATGCTTAAAACAGAGACCAGCATATTGCCAGGGCTCAATAAAGGTTGGCTGTTATAATTAGCTATTGTGACTGCACAGGATGGATGGCATGAACTGCCTGCCCTTTGTCCAAGTTAGTAGTTCTCTGTTTTAGGAAAATAATGCAGAGGTATTTCAGTGAAAGAACAGGGAAATATTGTTCTCCATACCATGGGCACTTCACTGTGGAATCCTCTAGTGATAGTGTTCGAGTTATCTGTGTGGGGTAAACTGCGTTGTTATAACTGTTTCCAATTGTTTGCATTTTCTAAGAGAAAACTGGAAAACGTTGCATCTGGCAAAGATAGTGAGAGCTATCTTATTAAACCTGCGTCTGCTGTGCTGCTTCAAGTGATTATATATAAGGCACATGGGAAGGAAGCTGAATGAAGAAAATGACTAGATAAATACCTAGTAAATGGTTCAAAGGCTGGGCAGAAAAATAAACTGTGACTGAGGAGTTACCTTGCTCCTGATTGGGTCAGTTAGAAAAAAACAAACATGCAGACTATTAATATCAGGAAATTGATTCTCTTGCATGTAGCAGTGGTCTAGATTTTACTGGAACAAATGGTTAGAAAGTGGAAACCATTTCATATAAGATAAACTCCAGAGTGTACTTCAGACAACAAAGAGAACAAGAATGCCTGACCTCTGTTACAGAAGCTGCAACTCCAAAATAACTTCAAAAGCACTGTAAGTTTAATGAGGAAAACATCCAATTTTGTTCATAAAACAAAAAAATTGGATGATTGTGCTTACACCTTTTCTTTTCTGAATGGCTGAAGAATTCTGTATACTTACATATATTATGAATTGATCAAAAAAGGCTGTGAAAAATTGGACAAACTCATACTGTCACGTATTTGTACTGCAAATAGGCTCAATTCTTTCAAAAATCCATTGATACTGTGTAACAAAAATTATGAAAATGCTTCATACATGTTCACTGAATTGTATTACTAGACATTTGTTTTAATCAAAAAAATTTTTTTCTCTCTCAACGAAGACTCCCTCCTTGACCAAATTTTAGTTATGCTTTTGAGTCCTCTTCTCAACTAGCTCTGACCTTGGCTTCCTGTATGCGTGTCCTGTTCTTGCATAGCCCAGTTCAGTAAAAATCTGTGCCCTCCCCCTGTCCCACTCATATTGGGTCACCCTTGATATGTGACCAAGTTCATCCCCTACCTTTGATTTATAAGTCCTTGGCCCACCTTTAGCAAGAATCCTGTTAGGTCAGTTTAGTAAGAATCCTCCTACCTTGATGTCTCCTCTTAGTAATTTTCCATCCACTGATCCCCTCACTCTGTTCCTTGGCTATAAATAGTCTTGAATAAAGTCTTCCTTACTGGCTTAATGAGTGCCAGAATAATTACACACACACACAAACACACGATTATATAATTCTCTTTCTCTGATATATATACATATATTGGAGAGAGAACTAAAAGTGCAGTCTAAATATTTAGTAGGAGGAGATTGACTAAATGAATTAAAAATTACAATCTCTGAAATAGTATGCTGGCATTAATAGTCATCGACAATAGTATGCTGGCATTAATAGTCATCAACTTTCATAGAATGCCATTCTCCATACTGTACTAAGTGCTTTACGTGCTGGGCCTCCGAAGGAACTGAAAGCTACCAGGAACCTAAAGCAGCAGTGCTCTCCATCTCATGTTGTGCTTCATTCTTCCCTTCAGCAGTGGCTTCCTCTGCTCCTCAGATCTCATGGCAGATAACATGGCAGCTGCAAATTTTTATTGAGGAGTAGACTCTTCTCCTTTTCTCTCCAGAAGGAAGCAGTATTGAAGGTGTAAGAGCCAAGGTAAAACTCTTCCTTTGCCCTCTGAAGGTTTGCTGAACAATCGACTGACGAAAGGCAGATTAATAGGAGAAATGGCATCCAAATTTATTAGTGTGCACAGGAGAAAAACCACAGAGTGATTACCCAGTATCCCAATGGGTAACTGGGGAAGGGAAATGGAAAAGTGTGGATGATTTTTGGAGGGTAGTAACTGATTTTCAGGGGAATTCAATGGGCTTAGAGAACATATAATGGCCTGGGACAAAATCTATTGGGCCTGAAGAGCCTACGATGGTTTGTGACAAAATTCTGTCCAGGTTTGTTGACAGACTTCAGCTTTTCTTCCTGTGTATTAGTTCGGTTAATAAAAATTCAAAGAAGAAAACAGTGGTCATTGTTTCCTTTATTGCCAGGTCTAGACTTCAGGCAGACAAGGGATCTTCAGAGAACAACTTCACCTTGTGCTTTGAGAGAGACAGGATTGAGCGAAAGGAGGTAGGGGGAAGGTCAAATAAACCTTAAGGCTGCTTCTTCAGTTCAGCATATCGAAGTGCCATGTTTTGGTTTCTGAACCCCAACAGAGGAAGCAATTCCATCCTTCTTCCTATTCCTGTGGCATGTTCCTCCTCATAGGAGGAGGACTGGTTTGTGTTACTAGTGACATCAAGCAATACACTGAGGTTTGCTAAGCAGTGGTGAGGTCATGGCTTCAGATTGTGGGTGGCACAGTCCCATGTCTCTCCTGTCTTTTGTTAATTCGTGGACCTGTGTTGTCACTTGTCCTTTGTCTCCTGGTACTAACTAGACCAGACCAAAGATGGTCTCTGGCAAGCTCAGTTTAGTTTCTAAGCCCAATAATAGGTTACTAGATCAATTGGAACCTGCCCTGTGGGCCCAGAGAAAATTATTTCATAAGAAGAATTCGTTTCAGGCGAGGTCTTCATTTCAGGAGAGACCTCAGCCCAAAGTTGTGTGCCCCAACAGGAGTTAACAAAGCTCTTAGTTTGGAGATTATTTGATTTTGCCTGACCCGTATTGCTTCATCTGTACTTTGCTCTGTAAACAGAACAAAGGCACTCATCCTTTCTCAGGTGTTAGAATACTACAAAGGGAAGAAGGCAGTGGTGTGCTAGCAAATTGGCTGTCTGGGTGGAAAAAGACTGGATTTGTAACAGTTGCTGATTTTTCTAATGTAGGTACTTTCACCGTGGTCTATTTCCAACTCCCAATGGTTTGACAACTGCTTATGGATGAAGTTCCTCAGTTCTGACCATCAGCTCACTGAATGTGCTCCAGTAAAGTTGCAAAGCGAGTCATTAAGCTTCGTCCACCACAGTGAGAACAACTTTTCCTCAGTCCATTTCCCATCAACCCCTGGGGAAATTTCTGAGTTGCCCACCTTGTCTGTTAGGCTTCTTTCCCTAGTTTTATCAGGTATGACCAGGGGACCATGACTACATTGTAGACGCATGGTTGTTGGGAGTCTGCAATAATAGATCGGGGCAAATTTAGGGGTTAATGTGTGCTGGAATAACATCCCAGTCATAGGTTGGGTCTCTCCAAAGCAGAGCCTGAGACAAAGACTTATGTACCGGAAGTTTACTTAGAAATATGATTCTGGAAAGCAGAAGTGCAGAACCAAGAGGAAAGGAAAGACAAAATAAAGATGCATTATTAACTTCTACAAATCTGACCCTTCTGTCAATGTGAGTTACTAAAAGAGTAATCTCCTCAAATAATACATAGTAAGAAATGAGCTGGGAGTTGCCAGTCTTCACTGGAGCTTGAGAACAAATCCAATGCAGATGAAGGTAGACCTAAGATAGGTGCACAAACCAATCCCGGTGACGTCACTTGAATCTCTGGATTGAGATACGCTGTATGTACCATTCCCCCTTCTCCAATTTTGTCATGTGAACCAGTTCATTTCTTTGTTGTTTAAGCCAGTTTGAATCATGTTTTCTGTCATTTGCAACCAAAGAGTTCCAACTGCTATACTTCCACAATAAAAAGCTCACATTTTATTCTGTTTGTCAGTATCTTCTCCAATAGATTGCCACCTCCTTGAGTTAAGGGCCTATGCATCTTATTTAACTTGTATCCCCAGCATCTAACAGAGCACCTGGCATGTAGTAGATGCTCAATGCATGTTGGATTGAAGGAATATGTTACATTAATTTGACATCTGTAATACTGATCATTTCTAGTCTCATCAATGCTTTCTTAAAGAATGTAAGTGGGTTAAACTTTTCTTGTGCAGGGAAGAAAAGAAGATACAAATTTGCAAGAAAATGTGATAAAATGCATTTACTCAGGGGAAAAAAAAGAGACTGGTTATGTGAAAGAGTTAACATTGCAAACATAATGTATCTCCTTAGACCATTTTTTCCTTGTTGACTGTAATACAACTAAAATGTTAATAAAGGTATAGTTATAATTCACTCATTTACTGTACCTAATATATAATGAAATTTTTTCTCTGATTTTTTTTATTCCTAAGGGAAGAATCTCTATATAAAATGAAGATCTAGCAAGGAGAAAATGTCATGATGTTGATAATCTTATTTAGCCTAAAAGAGTTACCATGAATTATGAGCTTATTGATTAGAAACTCACAAAATAAAAGCTTATTTATAACCTACTTCATACTTTTATATTAAGACTACACTACTTCTTCCCCTTAATTGAAATCCTTTCAGAGTAAGAACTGGAAAGTTCAGAAAGTCGATAATTTAATCTAACTATCCATCATTCTATCTGCATTTTTTGCACATAGTTTGCTGAATGGAGCACTTAAAGCAAACTTAGCATAACATCTTTAAACTATACATAATCTTCCAAATTGAGTTGTGAAGCCATTATCTGGGATTCCTACCATATAACTTTACTATTGGTAAGAAACTCATGGAAGTTGCAAGTGCTATTCAAATATATTTCTCTAGAACCCAACATTTAGAAAAACAGTACGCAGATTTAAAAAGAATAATATTATCATTAATAATACAAATGTTAAAATCTTAATATTTGGGGGTCTACAGTAAGTTTTAAGCAAGCTACAAACTCTATTTCCCTTCAGAACCCCAAATCCTGTTATTCTCACTAAGCCAAAAACATTAGCAGCTAATAGATTTCAACCCCTAAGTAACCCCCTGCCTTAGACTAATGGCAAGATTTCCAAAAAAATTTTTTTGTAGTCAAAATTCCAGATTCTGAATCAATAGAAAAGAAAAAAAATTTCATCCTCCTTGCTTTTTAGTAGGATCCAGAAATCAGAAACAAACTAAGTGTGATAGAGCAGTTCATGCTTCTTTCTTACCAGATAAAGGACTGACATGTCAACATTGGCTTCCTCCAGGCTTGACAATGCCTGGGTTTCTCTGGGTGTATGTGTGGCTGTATCTGTGTGTGTGTACAGACTATTCTGAAGGCTGAGCAGATGATTTGCAGATGTATTCCAGACATGCACAAGGTTGGAATGCATCAGTCATGACTCTGCATTTCTATAATGTTTGTTTTTATTTGTAAATGTTCACTCTATATTTTCCTCTTCCATGAACCTCTCTGAAATAAAGTTTTTCTTGATTAATTTCCTTTAAAATCATTTGTGTTAATTAGGGAAATTATTAAAATCTGAAAAAGACCTAATGCTATGATTTTGTAATGTGAATTTGAGGTTAGAACATTTTAAATTAATGAATCTCTGGTAAAGATGAAATATTTGACCTCTTCTGTAATTAATAAAATTTCGTTGCAGGATTAGGTAGATATCTGGTCAGATAGAGAAAAGACGACTTTAAAATCTAACATCTTCTCTTGATTTATGAAGAACCCTTCCTTATTTGTTTTCTTCCTCCCTCCCTTCGACCCTTCCTTCCTTTCTGTCTCCTACCCTTCCTTTTCTGCCTCTCCACTTTCATCTCCCCCTCCCTCCTTACCCTCTTTGTCTGTGTCTTTTTTCTTTTTTTAAAAAGATGATCTCAGTTTGGAATAAACATTCTTGCGAAATTAGCCAGGAATTTTGCCAAGCTTAGTGTGTACACGTCAGCTGTTTTCTGGAAAATAATTGCACCATGTGACAATGTCTATTATTTTAATTGGTACTGAGGAATGCCTCCAAGATATTTCATCAGGTCAGTATTTCTTACACAGGCAATGGCTTTTTATTTCCTGATGTGCTGATTAAGCAGATAAATAACAGTTTGACATGCTGTATAGGTGAACAAAATAATTGCTATAATTAATAAGCCAGAACTCAAAGAAGTAGTAAACCATTCTTCCTGTATACAAAAGGCTTTAGGACCTGCAGCCTGAGGAAGTTGAAGTATTCAAATTACCCAAAGGAAATGTTAACCCAACTCTACAAGCATGGGAAGACCACTCTCTGGGAAGGCCCTGATGTGTCTGGGGAGCTCAAAGTGCTTTGTCATACAGTCTCTAAGCTTTAGCTAGTCATCTGGGGTCTGTTGCATTTCCAGAATACTTGCATATGTTTGCATACTAAATTCAAGAGGTATTAATTTCAAGAGCTGAAAAAAAGAGTCACTTTGTAAAACTGTATGGAGAATACATGTTCAGAAATTCGTGAATCTGAAAACAAAAATGTGTTTAATAGTGATAGAGGTGGTGGGGTGGGGAACAGAAGGATTATTTCCTCTTTCCACAGCTGTTCCCCAACATTACTGCAGGGTGAACTAAAGATTAGAATAAGAAGTGTTCCTCTGAAAAGGAAAATATTTAATAATTATTATGCTGTGTCACACTGTAACAATGGGATTTGGGGATATAACAAAATACACATTTGTATACTGTTTTTGTCTGTCTTCTGTGTGAGTAAAGGTGGTTAGTCAGTTTTATTGTGAGACTTTGTAGAGACTGGGAGGCCACACCCCTGTGGGTAGACATCATCTCTGGTCAAGGGAGTGCTAATCCCTGAGGTCAGCCACTCGGAGAAGAGGAGATTCTTAGCTGGGAACTGGACTAACAATGGTTGGAAGAAGAAATTCCCCTCTTCGAACTCGACTAACATGGGTGGGAAAAAGAAATTTTCCTGTTCTTCTGGGTCTTAATCTCTTAGTCTAAAAAATTCAGAGATACTGTGTTTGTACTTAGGAGAGGTGGTGTGTTAGGCCATTTTTGTGTTGCTATAAATACCCGAGACTGGGTCATTTATAAAGAAAAGAGGTTTAATTGGCTCTTGGTTCTGCAGGCTGTACAAGCATGGCACCAGCATCTTGGCTGGGCTTCTCAGGGGCCTCAGGGAGCTTTGCAAGCACATCACATGGCGAGAGTGGGAGCAAGGTGCGGGGAGGTGCCCTACAATTTTAAATAACCAGATCTCGTAAGAACTTACTCATTATCACAAAGTCGACACCAAGACATGATGGATCTGCCCCCATGACCTGAGCACCTCCCAGCCGGCCCCACCTCCAACCTTGGTGATTACATTTCAACATGAGATTTGGGGAGGACAAATATCCAAATCATATCTGGTGAGTTCTACGATAGTGCCTGTCACTTACTTGGATCCTAGAGCCTTGATTCAGCCAGGCTTCAAGCCGTGCACATCATAATGTGTGAGCTATATTATCTATGTAAAGAATGACATTGCTCAGTTTACACTCAGTATTTTTAAATGTCACATTTCCCTACTATTTGTCTGGTTCATCCCTCCATTCCTTAGCACGGACAAGAAGTTCAACATATATATGTTTAAAAGACACGGTCTTGATCTGTCACCCAGGCTGGAATGCAGTGGCACAATCACTGCTCATTGCAGCCTCGACCTCCTGGACTCAAGCGATCCTCCCACCTCAGTTTCCTGAGTAGCTGGGACCACAGTTGTGTGTCACCGCTCCTGGCTAATTTTCTTGTATTTCTTGTAGAGACGAGGTTTCACCATGTTTCCCAGGCTGGTCTCAAACTCTTGAGCTCAAGCAATCCACATGCCTCAGCCTCCCAGAGGGCTGGGATTACAGGCGTGAGCTACCGCCCCCAGCAGAAATTCAATATTAATATAATAAGTTGTCAGGGGACACCCTCTTCCCTTTGGATTGCATGAGAAACCTAGGCCTCACTCACCCAGAAAAATGGGGGGAAGCTCCCACGCAGTCTGTATTGTTGCTATCAGTTTTTATTGCCCAGGATAGTCCTGCAGTCCAGGCAAAGAGAGGAGGTATTGTCTGTGACTTCCTCTCTTGTGGTAAAGCCAGGCACAGAGATTTCTGCTGAGGCTCCCAGGCCCACTACCAGGGCCAAAGCTCCCATGATGCATTCTATATATGATGTTCTGCCATATCTAGGGGCCTATATTTGGGTCTTTTCTTTCCAGCTTTGTTGAGTTATAATTGACAAATAAAAATCACATAGACTTAGGGTATACAATATGATGTTTTAATACACTTATATATTGTGAAATGGTTAACCACAATCAAGATAATTAGCATATTCATCACCTCACATAGTGACCATTTTGTGTTTGTGTGCGTGTGCGTGTGTGTGGTGAGAACACTTAAGATCTCCTCTTTTGGCAAATTTCAAGTATACAGTACATTAAGTATAGTCACCATGCTGTACATTAGATTTTCAGAATTTATTCATCCTACATATCTGAAACCTTGTACCCTTTGGCCAACATCTTCCCCTTTCGCCCATCCCCCAGTCCCCGGCAACCACCTCTCTATTCTCTACTTCCATGAAATCAACTTGTTTATATTCCACATATGAGTATGATCATGTAGCATTTGTCTTTATGTGTCTGGCATATTTCACTTAGCATAATGTTTGCCAGGTTCATCCTCGTTGTTGCAAAAGGCAGAATTTCCCTCATTTTTAATGGCTGAATAGTATTCCATTGTGTATAATACCACATTTTCTTTATCCATTTATGGGCACTTAGGTTGATTCTATATCTTAGCTATTGTGAATAATGTTGCAATATCATATGTGTGCAGATGTCTCCTTGAGATACTGATTTCATTTCCAGTGGATATATACCCAGAAGTGGGATTACTGGATCATATGGTAGTCCTATTTTTAGTTTTTTGAGGAAACTCCATACTGTTTTTTGTAATAGCTGTACCATTTTACATTCCTATCAATGGTGTGCAAAAGTTCCATTTTTTCTAAATCCACCAAAATTTATCTTTAGACTTTTCAATAATAGCCTTTTTTTTGTTTTTTTTTCTTTGTTTTTTTTTGTTTTGTTTTTGTTTGAGACAGAGTCTCGCTCTGTCACCCAGGCTGGAGTGCAATGGCGTGATCTTGGCTCACTGCAACCTCTGCCTCCCAGGTTCAAGCAATTCTCCTGCCTCAGCCTCCCGAGTAGCTGGGATTACAGGCACCCACCACCATGCCCAGCTAATTTTTGTATTTTTAGTAGAGATGGGGTTTCACCATGTTGGCCAGGATGGTCTTGATCTCCTGAACTTGTGATCCACCTGCCTCGGCCTCCCAAGTGCTGGTATTACAGGTGTGAGCCACTGCGCCCGGCCTATAATGGCCATTTTAGCAGTTGTGAGGTGTTATCTCATTATGCATTTGGTTTATATTCCTTTGATGATTAGTAATGCTGAGCATTTTTTTCATATACCTGTTGGCCATTTATACTTCTTTGAGAACTGTTTATTCAAGTCCTTTGCCCATTTTCATATTGGGGTTTTTTGTTTTTACTGTTGAGTTGTTTGAGTTTCTTACATATTTTGGATATTAAGCCCTTATCAGATGTATGATTTTCATTTATTTTCTCCCATTCCATACATTATCTCTTCACTCTGTTGTTTCTTTTGCTGTGCAGAGCTTTTTAATTTAATCCAACCCCACTTGTCTATTTATGCTTTTGTTGCCCATGCTTTTTTTTTTGAAGGAGTTTTTGCTCCTTGTTGCCCAGGCTGGAGTGCAATGGCATGGTCTTGGCTCACTGCAACCTCTGCCTCTTGGGTTCAAGCAATTCTCCTGCCTCAGCCTCCTGAGTAGCTGGGATTACAGACACCCGCCACCACACCTGGCTAATCTTTATATTTTTAGTAGAGATGGGGTTTCACCATGTTGGCCAGGCTGGTCTCAAACTCCTGACCTCAGGTGATCCACCCACCTGGGCCTCCCAAAGTGCTGGGATTACAGGCATGAGCCACCATGCCCGGCCTTTGTTGACCATGCTTTTGAGGTCGTATAGTAAAAACAAAATCATTGTCCAGAGCAATGTCAAGAAGCTTTCCCCTGTTTTCTTCTAGCAGTTTTATAGCTTCAAATCTTTAATCCATTTTGAGTTGATTTTTGTATATAGTGTGAGATAAGGGTACAATTTTATTTTTCTGCATGTAGATATCCAGTTTTCCTGACATCATTTATTAAAGAGACTATTCTTTCACAAAGGTGTGTTTGGCACCTTTGCAGTTGACCATAAATGCATGGATTTATTTCCGTACTCTTTATTTTGTTCCATTGGTTTATATGTCTGCTTTTATGCTAGTACCATACTGTTTTGATTACTGAAGCTTTACAATATATTTTGAAATCAGGAAATATGATGCCTCCAGCTTTGTTCTTCCTCAAGATTGTGTGGCTATTCAGGGTTTTTTTGTGATTTCAGATGAATTTTAGAATTGATTTTTCTATTCATGTAAAAATGCCATTGGCATTTTGATAGGGATTGCATTGAATCTGTATATTGCTTTTGGTAGTGTGGACATTTTAACAATATTGATATTAACATGGGATATCTTTCTTTTTTTTGTTTCTTCTTGAATTTCTTTCATCAGTGATTTATAATTTTCAGTGTGCAGATCTTTCACCTCTTTGGATACATTTCTTCCCAAGTATTTTTATTCTTCTTGTTGATTTTGTAAATGGGATTTTTTTAACTTCTTTTTTGATAGTTCATTGTTAGGGTATAAAAATGCAACTGACTTTTGTATATTGACTTTGTATTCTGAAACTTTACTGCATTTGTTTATTAGTTTAATACTTTTTTGGTGGAGTTTTAGGGCTTTTTCCATATAAGATCATATCATTTGCAACCACATAATTTTACATCTATGTTTGTAATTTGGATGCTTTTTGTTTATTTTTTTTTGACCCATTGCGCTAGGTCTGATTTCCAGTACTATGTTAAATATAAGTAGTGATAGTGGGCACCCTTACTCTGTTCTTAATCTTTGCGGAAAAGCTTTCAGCTTTCATCATTGAGTGTATTATTTGCAGGTTTGACATTTATGGTCTTCATTGTGTTGAGGTACTTTCTTTCTCTGCCTAATTTGTTGATAGCTTTTATGATGAAATGATGTCGTGTTTTGTGAAATACTTTTTCTGCATTTATTGAGATGATTATATGATTATATGATTTTTATCCTTCATTCTGTTAATGTGGTGTATTACACTGATTGATTTACATATGTTGAACCATCTTTGCATGCCAGGGATAAATCCCACTTGATTGTGGTATGTGATCATTTTAATGTCCTGTTGAATTCAGTTTGCTAGTATTATTTGTGTTGAGGATTTTTGCATCTATATTAATCAGGGATATTGGCCTGTAATTTTTTAAAATAATTTCTTTGTCTGGCTTCAGTACAGGGTAATGTTGGTCTCATAAAATAATTTTGGAAGTGTTTCCTTCTCTTAAATTTTTAAAAGAGTTTGAGAAGAATTGGCATTAATTATTCTTTAAATGTTTGGCAGATTTTACCAGTGAAGCCATCAGGTACTGGGCTTTTCTTTGGTGGGACATTTTTTTTTTTTTATCAGTAATTCAATTTTCTTACTTGGTATTGGTCTGTTCAGAGTTTCTATTTCTTCCTAATTCTGTCTTGGTAAGTTTTATATTAAAAAGAATTTATCCATTTCTTCTAGGTTATCCAATTCGGTGTATAATTTTTCATAGTGGCCTCATCACCTTTCGCCTTTCTGTGGTATTAATTGTAATGCCTCCTTTTTCACTTGTAATTTTATTTGAGTATTCTCTTTTTCTCTTGGTTAGTCTGGCTAAAGGTTTGTCAAATTTGTTTAACTTTTCAAAAAACATTTAGTTTGTTGATCTTTTCTATTGTTATTCTAGTCTCTATTTCATTTATTTCTGCTCTAATCTTTATTATTTCCTTTCTTCTACTACCTTTGGGTTTGGTTTATTCTTTTTTTTTCTAGTTCCTCAAGGTATTCTTTTCTATACCTTGAGGTATAAAGTTCGACTGTTTATCTGAGAACTTTCCTTTTTCTTAATGTTGGCATTTGTCACTATAAACTTCTCTCTTAGAACTGCTTTTGCTGCATCTGATAAGTTTTGGTATGTTGTGTTGCCATTTTTGTTTGTCTCAAGTTATTTTTTAAAATTTCTTCTTTGACCCTTTGGTTGTTCAGGAGTGTTGTTCAATTTGGGGGTGAAGTTTTGGTCACCATCTGTATGGGAGTGGGTGGGAACATGCAGCCTGGTCCTCCCTCTTCTTCTTGGAGGACTCGAGTACTTGAGCTCAGCCATTTACCCCTCCACCCATTATGACAGGCCCCTTTTCAAACAATTTAGCCCACTTGCCTCATGTACCTTCCCAAAGTCCTGATTTTCTGCATATGTGTGAGGAGAGGGTTATTGGTGAAGATCACTTCTACATATTTTTAGTTCCAAAGCACAAAAAGGCTATTTCCTTGCCACCTTCCACCCCCAATGCTATCTCAAAGGTAATCAAATTCTATCAAGACTCAAGGTTTCCAAGCTCAAGTTTTTTCTTGTGAGGAATTAGAATCATTCCAGGGAAAGGACATGGTTTAATTTTCTCCCAGTGAGTACTCAAAAATCAAGGGGATAGTTAAATATTTTTACATATTAATTATAAAAACTATCAGGAAACTAGTTCTGATGGAACTAATGTAATTCTGTTTCTATCAAGCAATCTATAGTTATTCCTTTTTATTTAGTTAAGTCTCATTTAAATATGCTAGCTCTGTTGTAGTTTTGCTTATTGGTGTTAAAGGCAGGGTCTCTGTCCAAAAATGGGCTAGGATATTAAAGGTAAATGAGCATTCCTTTACTTCTTGTCTCAAACCTACCTAGTAGAGGCAGATGTCAGAAGCAAGAGCCCAAAGGAGAAATTAATACATTAACTAGAGTTGGGGCTTCATGCTCCTGCTAACGTTTTTTGTGTGCCTGGTGATCCTTTGACAGTTTTGGAAGATCTGGATTTTGTTTATATTAAGGAAAAGACAAATTTCTATACAAAAAGCCATGGCTCTGTTGGATGCTGATATATCATGTAGCACTTGCTGTTTCCAACTAGGAAAACCTCCTGAACAATGCATCTTGGATTTGTATTTCAGGATGGCATAGAGTATTTCTTTCTGATTGCCAGGATAAATTAGGAAGAGCCCTTAGCCTCAGAAGCAGGATAAAAGGGAGATAGAATGAAAGTCATAGCCCTCCCCTGCCAATATTTCTTCTTTAGCCATTGAAGACAGTACATAAATGAACCTAAGCTGACTCGTTGCCTAAATTTCTCATTGTTTTTTCTGCCTCTAAGTCTTTACTTAGTAAAATTTTGTTAATTAGTAATTATATAGAATCAATACAGTTGGATCCTACTGTGCTAATCACAGGACTTTAGTAGAAGAAGAAAAAATTGGTGAGATTCTTTTGCCTAGGTTGGGCATGCTAATAAAGGAAGCAAGTAGTTATTTTAATATTTTGCTTCTATTTGAGAAATAAATGATGATTAAAAGCATACTTTTTAATGCAATCAGTCTATGTTACAAAGCATATTATTTTAAAAACTGTAGTAATTTTTTTTACTTTTCAACAAAGTTATACCATAAAAAATAGATACTGCCTTTGAACATGAATAAACAATTTTAAAGGGAAATATACTGCCATCTAGTGTCTAACTTTCAGAATATCTGAATTACTGTATTTAGAAATATTTACAACACCGGTAGTACCACATGGTGGCACTATAGACATGTACATTAAAGGGACAACGCCAAATTTATGGGCTATCTGTTTTATCTTGGTCCATAAGTGTTTGTTAAATGTGGCAAATACATTATTTTCCTTTTTAGGTTAGCACTTTATATTTTCTAAGAAAACCTTACATATTTTTGGTACTGCTCTTTTTTTTTTTTTTTTTTTTTTTTGAGGCGGAATCTCTCTCGCCCAGGCTGGAGTGCAGTGGCGCGATCTCAGCTCACTGCAAGCTCCGCCTCCCGGGTTCACGCCATTCTCCCGCCTCAGCCTCCCTCAGCGTCCGGAGTAGCTAGGACTACAGGCGCCCGCTACCACGCCCGGCTAATTTTTTTGTAGTTTTAGTAGAGACGGGGTTTCACCGTGTTAGCCAGGATGGTCTCCATCTCCTGACCTCGTGATCCGCCCGCCTCGGCCTCCCAAAGCGTTGGGATTACAGGAGTGAGCCACCGCGCCCGGCCGGTACTGCTCTTTAAATTTTCATAAGTCAGAAAAAACTCGAATACCTTTATATTTAATTCCTGGTTTGTGAAGTTTTAGGGCTTTAAATACTTTAAACTATATTGTCCTTTCACCTCTTTCCCCCCCTTATTCGGATAACTATAACCGAAACCAGCTTCAACACGGAGAAAAAGGTTTAAAACATTTGCACAAATACTAAATGCAAATATGCAACACATT
This sequence comes from Homo sapiens, assembly GCF_000001405.40. NCBI lineage: Eukaryota > Metazoa > Chordata > Mammalia > Primates > Hominidae > Homo > Homo sapiens. Next base: position 102,430,842 of record NC_000004.12, on the reverse strand, counting down.
TCCCACATAATCTAAAAGAAAAAAGAAAAACAACTCAGATGAGACTATCTTATAACAGGGCTCTTTGTATTTAGAAAGTGTGGTGGTGGTGGGGACAACTTCTGTTTTAAGTGCTAAATCCAGTGGGAAAAATTTGCCTCCTCACAAGAACATTTGCCTGAGATGCTGATTCATTACAAAGGGACACAGAGCTTTGGGTTCAGAAAATAAAGAATGCTTCATATGGAAAATTTTGTAATTTATTATGTGAGCATGCTTCAGGTTTCACTTTGCTTTTGGTATCATCAAATGTTGTAGTAGTAACTGTACGAAATGAAATTCATTCTATTTACTCTAATAAGCAGATTCTTGAAGAAACTGCTCTCATAAGCTAAGGTTCCTTATGATTCTGCAAGGAAGAGAAGACTAAAGCAAATCACTGTCTGAAAACATAACAGCTGGCTAAAGTAAGCATTGAACAACACTAAGCACTTCAAAACATCAAGTAAAATTTTGGCATTTAGTATCACATAATGTATATGATCTATATAATATAATATAATATATACATACATAATATCTAGTATAGTGTTTGCAGTTTTGTAAGTCTAATGTATTACAAGAAGCTTAAGATGTAATTATAATGATTTTTATCTAAACACAATTGCTAGTGAAATAGGAAGACTAATTGCCAAAATACTTATTTGGTGTATTCTCTCATCAGTGGTTATCAAGATTTTAAAAACTTATGAGAAATGAGTTCCAAGAGCTTAATCCAGAGTAATACAAGTTTACTTGTTTTGCTTAGCTTTCTTTATCATCCTCTTTGGCTTCTATTCCAAATCTTCATCATTTCCTCAACATTTAACTGCCAATGTTCTCAGTAAACCACCTTGTTAATCTGCTTTTTTTTCTTTTTTTTTTTTTTTTTTGAGATGGAGTCTCGCTGTGTCGCCAGGCTGCAGTGCAGTGACGCGATCTTGGCTAACTGCAACCTCCGCCTTCCGGGTTCAAGCGATTCTCCTGCCTCAGGCTCCCAAAAACCACCTTGTTTCTTACTTGAGAAAGTTACAGTCATCCATCAATTGTCCACCCTGCCCAGCACTTACTAATATATAGACACTTTCTTAACTCCTTTCCACATATTTGGAGGATGATGTGTCCTTCTAGCACAAAGCCAAGCCCTCTCCTGGAGCCCTTGATTCCATTTCTTTCCTCCCCATCTCCATTCCTGGAATGTTGCTTCATCAGTCATTCCCACTCTGTTCTTATCTTCCACCTTAGCCCTTCTGTTGGCTCCAATCCTGAGTCCATACACCCCAAATCTTTCTCATCCTTAAAAAATGAACAAACGAAATACCCCAAAACAACAAAAAATAAATTCTCATGACCACAAAACAAAACAAACACAGCAAACAGAAAGTCAGCCCTTTCTTGACCACAAATTCTCTTTTGTCTTTCATTCCATCTTTTTTCTTCCTTTTTGTCCATGAGTTGCCACTGCTTTTCCACTCCCTTTTCACTCCTTAACTGACTGATCTCTAATTTTCTCTCCCATCACTAGACTAATACAATTCGTGAATGTTGCCAATGATCATTTTAACTCATCTTATTGGCCCTACTTGCCAAATTTGGGAAAATTGGTCACAGCCTCTTCTTGAAACTGTTTGATGTTTGCCGCTTTCTGATAATCTCTTCTTGGTCTTCTCCTAATCTGCTCATTTCATAATTTTTTTTTTCCTGTTTGATTCTCAGATTTTCCCTCTTCCCCTTGTACATCAAAAAATTTTAAACCCAGGTTCTTTAGTGATCCACAGGCCTCCTGAAATTCTGTGCAAAAATTTGGGTCTTTGATTATGTGTAATTTTCTAATAAGAAAGTCCATAGTTTACAGCTATTCTCAAAAGCATTAATTTCTCTCCAAAAGTGTAATAACCATTGTTCTATGTGGTCTTGCAAGGCAATCTTGGCAATTAATTTAGTTTTTTAAACAACTGACATATATCAAGAGCATACTAAGCAAAAGTATAGTAATTTTCTTAAGTAACCCTCAATTAGGTATGATAATCTTCACTTTACAAATCAGAAAATGGAGGCATAGAGAGGTGACTTGGCCTAGGAGACATAGCAGGTAGGTAGCTGTTATAGTTTTAATTGTCTTTTATTTGCTGATGATTCTCAAACCTGTATCACCAGCCCATATCCTCCAAGCTTCAGATTCATGAATAACTCAGTAAGTCATTTCTGGGGATACTCTATGGGGTATCAAACTCAGCATTTTTAACACTGAGCTTATTAACTTCTTGCCCCAACCTGTTTCTTCTGTATTCTCCATTCAGGGCCCATGCTACGGGAGTCATCTTGACTGTTTTCCTTTGTCTCCTACATTCAACCAATTTTCAGTCCTATTGAATTTAAATTCAAATTATAACTGTTTCTGCTAAGATACTAATCACCTTTTACCTGGTCTTATGTAACAGCGTCCTACCTATCTGAAATCCTTTGATGACACAGCATTTCATGGTGACTGAATAAATGGGCTATAAGGCCTTTGAAATATAATCCCAAGCCTGGCTGTCTCTTTACAACCTTCTCCAGCCTCTCCCTTCCCGTAACTTATACTTCAGCCACATCGCATGCCTGGATTGATCCAGGGATAAAAATCTAAACTATTTGTTGGGCTGGGTAGACTTTATCTCCTTGAATTATGAATTAATTATGGATTCTCTATGAATATTATTTCTTACGTCTTTTGATAAAAGCTGGGTAGTGACTGTCAGGTATTTTATTATCTGAAAAATGCCTTAGAGCAATTATTTGGTGTTATGATTGAAGCACATGTATTATAAAGCTAATATACTTCAAAAAGTATGTATTTTAGAGATCAATTGAGCAAAGAGAAAAAGGTTAATGTCCCCTTATGAAAATTAAGGTGCCTAAGCTAGACTTTGTCTTGAATAGACATTGGCCTACCTCTGCATGGAGAAGGCCTAGGAGCACTATAGACAGTTAATAGATTTTTCTCAGAATACAATTCTGGGTCTGCTCCAGGATAGGGGCAGATCAATCAACAAAGTTCCAAAGGTCTACACTGTAGACCGTGGCTTTGGCAATTTTAGCCTGGAAGATTTTCAAAGCAGAATTACCCCGAGAAAAATCTCAGAAATCCATCTGAGAAATGTCTGAGTTTGAAAGCTTCTCAGTGAACCCTCTAGAGAAAATTACTTGTGAAATGTGCCCCTTACTAATAAAAATGACTGACATGCTGTTTGGAGTTGTTTGATATAAACCAATTAAACCTTGGAGAATATTTGCCAAAACTGTGAATTTGTGTTTAGAGATAGTTGACCTTATGCAAACTGTTTTTTTTGTTGTTGGTTACCTGGTAGCAAAATTGTGTATTGAGTCCAGTACTACCATGGATTTTTTTTTTTTTTCGCAAGGGGAATTCTACTTGAGTTATGAAGTTGAGTGTGGTTTCTTTCAGCTTCTGATAGTCTCAATGAGATTGCTGCTAATTGGGTATTTGTTTACAGGTTTTAACAAACTGTAACTGTTAGAATTTTTCCATGCATTTATCCAAAAGAGGCAGATAATTTAAATAAGTACTCAGGGGCTACCTAATTTTTCACTTACTAGCTATGTACCAAAACATGGTGTGTTAGAGGAGCTCTCAGTGGCTCAACATGTATATAATGAATTGTGCCTCGATCACTTATAAAATGGCCCCTCTTGTCTATCAATAACCTCACACCTTCTTTGTTGAAATTTCAAATTCCAGTTTTGTGGGTACATAGTAGGTGTATGTACACAAATGTTCACAGCAGCAGTATTAATAATAGCCAAAAAAGTGGAAACAACCCAAATGTCATCAAGCGGTGAAAAGATTAAACAAGGTGATATATCTATAAAATTAAAAACTAGCAATAAAAAGGAACAGATTGCTGGGCACGGTAGCTCATGCCTGTAACCCCAGCACTTTGGGAGGCTGAGGCGGGCAGATCACCTGGGGTCAGAAATTTGAGACCAGGCAGGCCAACATGGCGAAACCCCATCTCTATGAAAAATAAAAAAAATTAGCCAGGTGTGGTGGTGGGCGCCTGAATCCCAGCTACTTGGGAGGCTGAGGCAGGAGAATTGCTTGAACCCGAGAGGCAGAAGTTGCTTGAGCCAAGATCGCGCCACTGCACTCCAGCCTGGGTGACAGAGCAGCAGAGCGAGACTCTGTCTCAAGAAAAAAAAAAAAAGAAAAGAAAAGAAAAGAAAGAACAGATTACTGATACATGCTGCAACATGGAGGACCTCAAAAACATTATGATTCCTGAAAGAAGCCAGAATTAAAAGACTACATATTGTAAAATTCCATTGTAATGAAATACCTAGAAAAGACAAATTTATAGAGACAGAAGCTCTGGGCATATGTGGGAGTAATTTACTGCAAATAGCCACAAGGGAATTTTGCCAGGTGATGGAAATATCCTAAAATTGTATTGTGGGTTTGACTGCACAGTTCTATAAATTTACTAAAAATCACTTACAATAGGCAGATTTTATTATATGTAAATTATATATCTCAATAAAGTTATTTAAAAGTGAAAAGAATTTCAAATTCTAAATCATGTGCTGTAGCACGTAGGATGCTAAGAGTAGATCAATAGACATTACCATGGGAGGATAAGGGAAAGAGGGGAAAAAATGCATGTTCTAAGGCGTTAAAAAAAATAACAACCTTCCCCCTTTAATTTCTCTTCAAAAATTGCAAGAGTAATGTGAACTTAGTGCAATAAGTGAAACAGTATAAAGGAAAATAAAGGCAAAATGAGCTATTAAAATCTTTTCACCTCATTTACCCCCTGCACTTCCCATCTCTGGGTCCCCAAATGACAAATGCTAACAATCTGGTGGGAATCCTTTCACGTATTTCTACATGTTCATGTGCATATGTGTGTGCTTTGGCTGGTGTTATTATTATTTTTTTTCCAAATCGGATCTCACCATATGCACAAGGTTATAGTTTACTTTTTGTATTTCCACACCTTCAAAACATCCCTTCAGGTCAATTACATGTTACCTATGGAGTTCCTTAATATTCCATGTTGCCAATGTATCACAGATAAGTTGAACACCCCTTACCAACTTCCAGATTGTATTCATCAATCTGAGAAATAAAACAAGTTGTTTGTTATTATTATCCCTTATTCTGGGATATTATCCCTTATGTTTGGGCTGCTATAACAAACTACCATAGAATAGGTGGATTATAAACAATAGACATTTATTTCTCACAGTTCTGGAGGCTGGGAAGCCCAAGATCAAGGTGTCAGAAAATTTGGTATCTGATGAGGGCCTGCTTCCTGGTTCATATAGACAGGCATCTCCTTGATGTGTTGATGTGTCCTTACATCATGGAAGGAGTGAGGGAGTTCTCTGGGGTCCCTTTTATAAGGGCACTAATACTATTGTGCCCTTTTAATTTGTGCACATAAATAAATTGGCAGAGCCCCCGTGACCTAATCACCTACCAAAGGCCCCACCACTAGATACTCTTAATACCATCACTTTGGGGTTAGGATTTCAACATAGGAATCTTTGGGGGACACAAATATTCAATCTGTAGCATCTTGTCAGTAAAAAAAAAAAAGTAAGACAGCACCTATCCTAAGAATAGAGAGAAAGATAGGACTTTATCATTGCTTTTACCTTTAATGAATGAGTTAATTCAACAAAAATTGATTGGACTGCTGTTTTCTTCAACATCTTTTTAACATAACTTTGTGTATTTATACTTTACTTTGATTTTCAAAAAGATTGAAAATGGCTTAGGAAAATTCATTTATATAACGTGAAGAAAATGGGACAGAGGGAAAGAAAATCAAGAATAAAATGAAGCTGGAGATAGTATCGGTGCATAAGAATGCTCAGAAAGATGGACTCCCAAGGCCCACATCTCTGCTGGGTTTGTCTATCTTAGTGCCCCTGAGACCCAGGAAGTTCAGCTCAAATCCTATGGGTCTTGAATTCAGCTCCTCCACTATCAGTGGAGCTGGACTTGGACTTTTTTTTTTTTCTTATGGACACCAAGTACTTGTTATAATAAATCTGGGTCTGAAATGAGGTGTAGTGAATAACTTGGAAAGGTGAGGTGGCTCTGGGACCTCAGCTGGGGTGACTCAAATGGCTGGGGTGACTTGGATGACTGGAGCTAGAGTTTTACTTCCAAGACAGCTTCTTCTCTCACGTGTCCCTCCTGGGCTGAGATGGCTGCAGGACCAGCTCAGTGGGGATTGTCGGTGGAGTATCTGCCTGTGCACCCTCCAGCATGGTGGTCTCAGGATAGTCAGAATTCTTCTATCTGGCTCAGGCAGCTCCAAGGGTGAACAAGGCAGAAGCTGCATGGCTTTTTAATGAGCTCACCTTAGAAATCAGATGGCATTTTCTCCTCTACACCCCACAAGCCCACCCAGATTCTAGCACATGGGCTTCACTTCTTGAAAGGAGGAAGATTAAAGAATTTGTGGCCACTCCATAAGAGTCCTCGTGTGAAATATTTACCTGAGAAGCTCATATTTGCATTGTATCAAAGAGTAATACTGAAAAGCTAATAGGCCAATAATTTTGTGTAAGAGTTGGTCTTTTAAAAATGGGGCTGACTGTATTCTGAGTCTAATCAGGCAGGATCATACTCTTAGAGACTGTAAATGTCAACAAACTGTCAAAGAAGACCTTGACTAAATTATGGCCAATTATTCAGCTTGAGCTATTTCTCAGCTCTTCTGAAGATGAAAACTTACTGGGACCAAGTAGAAGTAGGTCTGGGTCACAAAGTTCAGGGTCATTGCCCTAAAAATAAATCTGTGAAAAGCAAACTCAAGGTTCTCAGGTGTCTCATGTGATTTGAACTTTCATGGTCTCACTGAACGCATTAATACTTTGGATTCTCTGACTCCAGGTCTGCCTTCATTAGTGGTTCTAACAGTGAAACTCAGTCCCTGCACAATCATTTATTATGCCTAAGGGTTTTTAATGGAACAAGAAATTTATAGTAAAACCTTGGGTAAGTGGTGGGCACAGTAACAGGTACTCAAAATATAAGGAGGAATAAGGTGGCTGTCTTCAAGGAACTCACAGTCTGTTGGGTGTTTCAGTCATGTGAACAAATAAATTGTAATACAAGACACTACATGTAAAAGACCCATGGGATTTCAAAGAGAGACAATCTACCTGCCTGGGGTTCATATTGGATTGGCATTTTTAACCACTGTCTCTCTGTTCACACCTGAGCCTTAGAGCCTTCTCTTTCATGTGGGCTCCTAGGAAGTCTCTTTGATAGACTTCAAATTCAGTTTCTCTGTCTGCTTAGACTTTTTAGTTTACTGACTGACTAGGATTCTGTATTCCTCTTCTCCTAACATTCCCCCTTCCACCAAATTCCTGTCTCAACTATGTTCCTTGTCTCTGTGCTCTAATGACTAAAGAGCAAGAGATAAATTCATTAAACACATATAAACTGAACAAGGATTATGTGCTGGGAAAAATGTCAGCTGCTGGAGATACAGTGGTGAGCCAGTTAGACGCAGTTCATGTCTGTTGCAAGGAACATACTTTATAGCAGGATGCTTCCGAGGATCTTGGAATTACGTGCTTGTTCTTATCAAATGTGGGTGGATTAAACCTTGAGAAAATTAGAGAAGACTTTCTAGCCAGGTGACATTTGATCTATTTTTTAAATAAAAAAAAAAATAGAAGTTTTCCAGGTTGAGGTGTAGGTAGAGTGGGGAAGATCAGATATTTTACACAGAAGATACAACACATGTAAAATATAGGAAAGGCATAGCTGGTGTGGGGAATAAAGAGAGAAATTCATTTAAGAGTGTGGTGAGTCGTGTCAGAGAGCTCACCTGGTGAAGCAAAGTGGGTCATATTGAGAAAGGCCTGGTATGGCCCTTCTGATTAAATTTTCTTTTGTTGTTGATTTTGGTTTTTGAGATGGAGTCTTGCTCTGTCTCCCAGGCTGGAGTGCAGTGGTGCAATCTCAGCTCACTGCAACTTCCGCCTACAGGGTTCAAGCAATTCTCCTGCCTCAGCTTCCTGAGTAGCTAGGATTACAGGTGTGTGCCACCACACCCAACTAATTTTTCTATTTTTAGTAGAGACAGGGTTTCACCATGTTGGCCAGGATGATCTTAAAACTCCTGACCTCAGGCCGAGGCCTCCCAGAGTTTTGGGATTACAGGCGTGAGCCACCGAGCCAGGCCAAGTTTGGACTTAATCTTGTATGCAAGGGACAGTCAGCAAAAATTTACAAGCAGGACTGTGACAAAATTACATTTTGCTGTTCTTTAAGAAGAAAACCCAGGAGGATGATTGTGACAGTGGGGAAAAGACAAGTAGTAGGAGGATCAGTTAGCAGACTCTTGAATTAGCCTGGATGAGAAGTAATGAGAGCCTGAGCAAAGAGACGGAAAGTGGGGACATATCTCAGAGGTTAATTCTGAGATACAGTTTTAAGATGGAATCCAGAACATTTGTCAACCCAGTAGCCTGGAAGACTGAAGGAATGGTAAGATCATGAATCTAAGATGGGAAAAGAGGACCAGATTATTTGACAATAAGATGATATCAAGTTTTGTTTTGGATACTGGAATATCCAAGAGAAGATAAGCAGAAGGCATTTGGAGACTTTGATCTGAACCTTAAAAAGGAGAGAAGATATGCTGGAGACTCATTTTTTGGAGGCCGTAAAAAAGGCAAATGGACAGAATATTAAACAAATACTTAAGAAGTGAGGTGAAAAAGGCCAACAGAGATGTTGAATCAGCAAACCAGGAGGGGAACCAGCAAAGTTTCCCCTCCTGGAAGGGAGGAAGGATCAAGTACTTGAGGAATACTGCTGTGTTGTTGATCAAAGTTCTTTTAGTGCTTGGGTCAAATGTTGGCACATGTGATGACAGAGATAGAATAAGAACCAGGTGTCAGCTCTGCTGCTTGGGAAGTTGTCATTGATGGCTGCACCAAAGGTGGTACCATATGTGGTCTCGGGCCCTCCTTTTTGGTTCTTATCAGTCAGGAATCAGAGGGGAGTTAGAACACTCCCCAGATTGGTCTTACTTCTGAGAATGAGAGGCCTCTAGAACCTTGGTACATTACTTATCAAAAGTTGAAAAACATGAGGCATAATCTTTGCATCTTGGTTTAGCTCTAACTTTAAATCATTTTTTCAATTTCTGTGCCTGAATTTTATTTGCCTACTGTGTCTAGTTGAATATAATTTTTTGTTTTCTGATAAGCCGTACTCTGTTAGAGATGTTTTTGAGTGGATACGTTATGTAATTTTATGCTGAAAAACATTTCAAATTTTTCTAATAACTTCCTCCCCAAGGAAACTAAGAATTTTCTCTTTCCTCATCAGACATAAATATACAAGCTGACCTGAAAAAAGATTCTTGTCCAAATGTAATTTGTTTCCACAACATATTTATTCATTTAATTTACATTGGGAGGTATATTAATTATAAATACCCAGTTGTTCAAAAGGAGTCATTTAATTTGCATAGTCCCTTGTGAGCAGTGTTTGGTACCAAAGGATCTGGGCTCAATTTAGATGCTAAGTGGCACTAGGGTGTGGAGGAGTTAGGTAAGAATGCTTCTGGCTGAGTGCCCTGGAAAGATTAATATCCAAATACTGGATCATCTATCTGGATGAAAGCACTGATTGTAGATTCAAAGAGAGTAGAATGGCCTGGTGACCTGGAAATAATAACAGGGGAGAAAAGTTACCATAAAACCAAGCCAAACAAAATCCAGTCCAACAAAACCAGACACATGGTCTGTCCTAGAGAAGGTGGTATTAAAACAGGGCTTACAGCACTCAAAAATTCACTTCCAAGGTTTAGTCTTTGCATTCCCTCATTGCTAATAGCATTTTTATTTTTATTCCTTTTAAGTGTTAAGATCTATGTGATGACTCCTTCCTTCTCTTTTAAAATTAAGTGTTAATCAGCAGTGTAATTGAAGCCTTTCCTGTTTGGCTTATAAATGAAAGTTCTCCCTTGTAAGCATTTAATTAGGCTTTCCTTCAGATCATAATCTCTGTTGTGAAATACAGTGGTAATCATGCGACATCTACTGGCTTGTGTCTACTTAACTATCTGTGTTTAAGTTGTATTTTTCTTACTTGATAATAAGTACCTTGAGAGCAGGAAATGCTAGCTTTCAACCATCTATCCATCCATCTATCCATCCATGCATCCATCCATCCATCCACCCATCCACCCCCTCATCCATTCATTTATTGAACATTTGAGTATCTATATGTGTCAGGCACTATGATGAGCTTAGGGATAAACCAGACACAGTCTTTTCCCTCAAGGAGCTCATAGCCTAGTAAGGGCAGTAGTTCCCAACCAGGGCTGCATATAAGAATCACCTAGGCATCTGGGCTCCACTTCTAGGCAGTCTGTTTATATGGTGCTGAAGTCTGACCTGGGCATTGGTATATATTTTTTGGAACCATCAAGGTTATTCTAGTGGGCAAGAAGATTGAGAATCACTGAGTTAGGCAGCTGGGTCTACAATACATTGTCTTATAATTAAAAAAAAAAAAAAAAGAAAATACAGTCATATACTTTTTTTTTTCTTTTACTCCTAGAACCTAGTACAAGGCACAAGTTCTTATTACTTATTACTATTAGGCTTAATCACCTACTTCAATATCATTAGATATTCTGTATTATAATTAAATTATAGTAATTATTTCATTTGTTAATTGACTTTTTGTCCTAACTCAAAGAGACTTTTGGTGTCTATTATTTTTAAAGAAATAATGAACTTAGTTGTTGCCATATTTAGCTTTATAGTTTTCAGATTCTTGATTTTATTTGATGAAATGTCATTTATCTTTTTATGGATAAAATTTTTCTTGTGACATTAAATGCATTTAATATGTACGCACTCTTACTTTGAAAAATTAGACTTTTTTTCTTTTTAATTTCTAGTTTAGTCAGGTAGTTTTTGTTTTTTTTGTTTTTTGTTTTTTGTTTTTTTGAGACGCACTCTCACTCTGTCACCAGGCTGGAGTGCAGTGGCATGATCTCGGCTCACTGCAACCTCCGCCTCCCGGGTTCAAGTGATTCTCCTGCCTCAGCCTCCCAAATAGCTGTGATTACAGGTATGTGCCACCACGCCCAGCTAAGTTTTGTATTTTTAGTAGAGACAGGGTTTCACTATGTTGGCCAGGATGATCTCGATCTCTTGACCTTGTGATCTGCCTGCCTCGGCCTCCCAAAGTGCTGGGATTACAGGCGTGAGCCACCTCGCTCTGCCAGGTAGTTTATAAATTAATTATGACACAGGTAAATTATCTATTCTAATGTACATTATACATTTAAAATGGTAACTGCAACTTCCATCAAATGGCTATGAAATTAGACAATAAACTTCTGACCTAGGGAGAATTTGAAAGGGTTACTTTGGCAATATCTTGGCATTGGGTTTCTGTTCAATAGGGAACCCGTTGTTGCTCAGACACCCGATGTGGAAATTTTTCTTCTCCCTCAGTTCAAATGAGATAAAGATCCTCCTCTCCTCACAGTGAACATGAGGTAAGAGAGCACATGGGGCAGATTACTGAGTGCACAGATCAGCGAGCCCAACTGTAGTCATACTAAGAGAAGCCAGTTTTGGGTGAATAAGTAATTAGTGGCAGACACTGTGGTGTATTAAACATAGCAATTTCCTTAGAAATACTATTGATAAAAGAGTTCTTATGGTAAAATTTTGGCAGTGTTGGAACAAAAATGTAAAAATCTGCAACTAAGAATTTGGTATGGGAAAATAACATCTTGGCATATACCACATTTTCTGGGCTCCCTTGCAGGTCACAGTGTCCATGTAACTAACTCCTGGTTAAGAGGATATGGATAGAAGGCACATGTTCAACTTCTGGCTTCTGTCCTTGAAAAGTGTGATGATTCCATCCTTTGCTGTCTTCCTTCCCGCTGACTGGAATGTGGACTTGGTAGTGAGCTACCTTGGACTATGTGGATGAAGACAAAGATAAAAGGAACCAAGGACTCTGATGATTCTGTAGAGAAGAGGAACCGTAGCTGCTCAAACGTTCATGTGAAAGAAGAATAAACTATCAGATTTAAGCCACTGCTATTTTGGGTCTTTGTGATAAACAGTGTTTACCATATCCTAATTCACTATTCCTTCCATTTCTAGGTCAACCATGTTGAATTAAATATAGTGCTCTAACTTGCAATTTGGTTTTATGTCTTTTTATCTTTACCCATGCTGTTTTCTGTACCCGAACTGCACTTTCAAATACATTTTTCTCTATCAGCCGGATAAACTACTCATTTTTAAAAACTCAGATTATTACTTTCTCTGGGAAGTCTTCCTTTGATATTTCTATATAGAGAAGATAATCCTTTTATGCTTGCCCCCACTAGATCTCATAGATAATTACAATGATGACTCTATATACACTTTATTGAGCACCTACCACGTGCCATGTACTTTAAATTTACTTTACTTACAATAGGTCATTTAATCTCGCAGTGGTTTTATGGGGTGTGTATGTGTTAAACTCACTTTCTTTTATTTTTGTTTTTAATTTTTTTGAGATGGGGTATCACTCTGTTGCTCCCACTGGAGTGCAGTGGCATGATCATAGCTCACCTCACTGCAGCCTCAACCTCCTGGGCTCAAACAATCAACTCACCCTAGCCTCCTGAGGCTGGGACTACAGGTGCTCACTACCATATCGCAGCTGCTTGAAAAAAAAATCTTTTTCTTTTTGGTAGAGAGGGGGTCTTTGTTCCCCAGGCTGGTCTCAAACTCCAGGCCTCAAGCTATTCTCCCACCTTGACCTACCAAAATGCCGGGATTACAGATATGAGCTACTGTGCTCAGCCCTCAGCCTAAACTCATTTTATAGATGAGAAAATGCAGGCTTGGAAAGGAAGACTAGGCAATTTTCCCCATTTCATAATGTTAGAAGTCCTTGAATCTGAACACGAATTAACCTGGTTCCAATTCCACTTTCTATCCACTATGCCTTTATAGAGTTCACTTCATTTGGCATCACATTTATTTGTTTACATGTATATCTTGTCCAATTATACACTAGATTCCTCACATCTGGCTCATTGAGAGAACTCAATAGATATAAGTTTAATAACTAAACTATCATTCCATTTTCCTCACCAGTTACCTTCCAAAGTTATAGTATAACTCCAGGTCTAGCACAATACCCCAGGTGCAGAGCCAAGTATCATCGTGCATTTCATATTTCAGGTAATATATCTGTATTGATTTGATTCTCCATAACCTAGGCTGGCCTTTGTTACTGCTAGACAGTACATTAGTTGGCTAGGGATGCCATAGCAAAATACCATAGACTGGATGCTTCAAGAACAGAACTTTATTTCCTTACAGTTTAGAGGCTGGAAGTTCAAGATCAAGGCTTCAGCAGAGTTGGTTTCTGGTGAGGTCTCTCTCCGCAGCTGATAAATGGCTGTCATCTCACTGTGTCCTCACATGTGCAATCATCCCATCATCTCTAGTGTCTCTTTCACTCTTCTAAGGGTCCCAGTCCTACTGGATTAGGGCCTCACTCTTATGACCTCATTTAACCTTAATTACCACCTTAAAGCCCCAAACACAGTCATAGGGCTTAGGACTTCAACCTATGAATTTGGAGGGACATAATTCAGTCCATAGCAGACAGCATACTAGAAGATCTGGAGAAAGTTGGACATATTTTAGTGCACAAGTCAAGGTTCCAAGAGTGAGAAAGAGAGGAGAGTGACTGAGCACTTGGGCAACAGAGCCAGAAGACTGTGTTTGAAACTCAGCTGGCTCTCAACCAGTAGTGTGACTTTGAGCAAGTCACTCAACTTTATCATCATTAGTTTCCTTATCTATGCAATAAAGACAGTAACACCTAACTTAAAGGGATTGTTGTAAACATAATGAGTAATATAAAGCATATAAGGCAGTGTCTGAAACACAATAATGTCCAATAAAAGCCATTTTGCTCTCTTGAAAAAAATATTTATTATTATTTTTCCATTCAAAAAGACATGTCTTAGCTTCCTGTAATCCTATCAGCTCTGTCTTGGTGGTCCACTCTGCAGCTTCCTTTGGCCTCAACAATTCCTAAACTTGACTTGGTACTCTGGTTCTATCTGCTCTGTGTGCTGCTGCATTTCTCTCTCATATCTTTTCTGACTCAACAGAAAAGTTTTCCTGAAGCTGATCCTGCCTCCCATGTCCTGGGTATTGTTTGTTTGTTAAATGATTTGCATGAACTCAATTAAAGCAGTGCTGGCGCTCCCTTCAAATTGCACCAAACATGCTACAACTTGCTCCACTTTCTTTAAACTCCTTCTTTTCATCTTTGCTTTCCCAGTTCCCTCATTTCTAGGCGGTCAGCTCAAATATTTGCATATGATCTGCCTGTCAGACATCCTCATCAAATACAAACATTGGCATAAGCCATACGCAAAAATCTATCTTTACATTATGATTACTCCTGCCTTTGCTGACAGGATGGATCACATTCAAGCACACTTATATTTTGGGAGAGCATTTTTACCCTACATCCTTAAAAGGTAGAAGAAAATAGGGAAGATTTTCAAAATTATTATTCCTTCAAAAAGCCTTTGAGCTAAAACTTATTACTGTGTTAAATTAGGGGGAATTGCACAGAAGCTTAAAAGTGCTCTGCAAATACCTCTTTTTCTGCCTTAAAATTTAAAACCCAATTCCTACAAAAACCAGTTTTCCTCTCCAATGTGTTTCCATGTATACTATTGCCTGGATGTGTGATGTGGTATAAGATCAGCCTATCTGATCATCAGTATCCTAAACCTTCTAATCTTTAAAATGAACATATCGATAACAGTCCCACCTATCTCACACTCTTTTTCTTAGTATTAAACACCATAATATTTAGGAAATGCTTTAGTAACTGAAAGTGCTGTATCTGAAATAATGTTCAATCCCCTACTCTGGTAAATGCCAACTTATTTTTGAGACTTGGATTAAATATCACCTCCTTGGTGGAGCTATTATTTTCCTTATCATAATTGTTGACTGGTGGATGGGTGATATGGTTTGGCTCTGTGTCCCCACCCAAATCTCACCTTGAATTTTGATAATCCCCACATGTCAAAGGCACGACCAGGGGGAGAAAATTGAATCACGGGGTCAGTTTCCCCCATGCCGTTCTTGTGATAGTGAGTGAGTTCTCATGAGATCTGATGGTTTTATAAGGAGCTTTCCCCTTCATTTGACACTCATTCTGTCTCCTACCACCCTGTGAAGAGGTGCCTTCTGCCATGATTGTAAGTTTCCTGAGGCCTCCCCAGCCATGTGGAACTGTGAGTCAATTAAACCTCTTTTCTTTATAAATTACCCAGTCTTGGGTATTTCTTCATAGCAGCAAGAGAATAGACTAATACAATGGGTGAAGTCTTTACTCCCCCAGTGGCCAGGTTTATTTTTTTATTTTATTTTTATTTTATTATTATTTTTTTACTGGATAAGATTTTTTCTTTTATTTTTTCTTTTTAAAATTTATTTATTGTATTTTAAGTTCTATGGTACATGTGCACAACGTGCAGGTTTGTTAACATATGTATACATGAACCATGTTGGTGTGCTGCACCCATTAACTCGTCATTTACATTAGTTATATCTCCTAATGCTATCCCTCCCCCTCCCCCCACCCCATGACAGGCCCCAGTGTGTGATGTTCCCCTTCCTGTGTCCAAGTGTTCTCATGGTTCAATTCCCACCTGTGAGTGAGAACGTGCGGTGTTTGTTTTTTTGTCCTTGTGATAGTTTGCTAAAAATGATGGTTTCCAGCTTCACCCATGTCCCTACAAAGGACGTGAACTCATCCTTTTTTATGGCTGCATAGTGTGTATGTGTCACATTTTCTTAATCCAGTCTATCATTGATGGACATTTGGGTCGGTTCCAAGTCTTTGCTATTGTGAATAGTGCCACAATAAACATATGCGTGCATGTGTCTTTATAGCAGCATGATTTATAATCCTTTGGGTATATATCCAGTAATGGGATGGCTGGGTCATATGGTATTTCTAGTTCTAGATCCTTGAGGAATCGCCACACTGTCTTCTCCAGTGGCCAGGTTTAATACTGGTGGAATATGAATAGAACATAGATATTTTTCTGAAGTCTTGTTCATCAGCACTTGCTTCTCTAACTTTGGAGCTATGTGGTCCTGAATATGTCTGGACACAGAACAGACTTCTTGTTCTTTCCTTCCTTCTCACCTTACTTTTCATCAGTGTTTTATGGAAAAAGTATAAGATTTGGAGTTAGACTGATCAACGTTTCAATCTTCATTCTGCAACTATCACCTTACTGGACCTTGGGCACCTTATTTTATCTCTATGAGTCTCAGTGCTTCATCTGTAAAAAGATAATTGCAGCATCTGCTCTGCAGGTGATTATAAGGACTAGCAATGTTGACTGCCTGGTGAGTTGTAGTTGTTTAATGAGTGGAAATATTATTGTTATAATTACTAATATTAATATCATCATCATTCTTCCAGTGTGAAGGGTAAGACAAGACAATCTGCATATTGACATGGAGGTAGATCTATCCCATGATACTTCAGATACAGTTGCTTTGCTGATTTGGGCAACTCTATCTGCATGGGTATAAAGTGAAGGAGCTATGCAAGCAAAAGAGGAGGGGGCAGGGAGGGAGAGAGAGACAGAGAGAGTGGAAGGGAGGAGAGGGAGAGGAGGAAGTATTAACTGTGAAGACAAGTGACATTTGTGTGATCTTTTGTTGTTTTTATTACTGCATCCATCTCCAAATTGGAGTCTATCTCTAAAACCTATGGATCTTTTATATTAATTTCCCAGAAAGTAAAATGAGGCTCCTATAATGTCTTTCAAGTGGTTTTCTTTCCTGTGAGGAGACAGATGCCAGAGCTTACACACAGGCTTTCTGGAGCTAGAGGAGGAAGCAGGAGGCATGTCTGGTGAAGCACATGGGCAAGGTATGTACACCAAAAAAGTGTGTGTGTGTGTGTGTGTGTGTGTGTATTGGGGTGAGGGTTGGTTATTGTGACCTGGCCCAGAGTATAGGACAAGCCCTGACCCTGAGTCTCTTTGGGTCAGCTCTTGTAATAGAGGGCAAAAGAGCCACTTTCTCTCAAGATAGGTAGACTCAGATATCGATTAACTGAGGGAAGCCCTTTGACAAAAGCTGTGGTTGAGGCAGGTTATTTTCTTACAAAATTATTCATTTTAGCTTCTTTTTATGTCCTAATCTACTTTTCTTATTTTGTCCTATTCTCTCATGCTTAGGTAAAACACTATTTTCATTTTTTTCTACTAATCATGGATAATTCACTTTTTCAAATTATTTAGTTGTAAAAGTGTCACAAACTTTTAATTTGGCTTGGCTAGGGGGCAAATGACCACTTTGTGGGGCTAGTGTATAGTCAGGACATTGCTAAATTTTGGTAGAGTGAATTTGCCTCTAATTCAAAATAGAATATTTTCTGGAGTGCTCTTGGGAGCCAACATCATTGCTGAGAAATAATCTTGCTAGCACTTTAGATTTTACAATGTAAATAATTATATTTATTTATTCCAGGTAAATATCTGACTTAAGCTACCTCAAGAGCATCTCATATTGTCATCGATTAGGAGAGTGTGTTTTTCTCTTTTTGCTGTTTCCTGTTGAAGGCCAAAGCTACACTTTTTACAGGAAGATGAGAATGGCCATAAAGTCTTCCATAATCTAATTCTGGTCTCAGTCCTCCTCACTCTTTCACTTCGGCTCCAGAAATAATGAACCACTTATAACCCCTTCTTCTCCCTGATGTTGTTTTATGTTTCCCTGTCTTTGGTTGTCTCTATCTGCAGTCTCCTCCAGAAACCTCTTCCTGCCTTTCCTATGCCCTGTGTATATATAGCAAAATTGGACTCATTCATTTTTAAAAGTCAGCTTTATTAAGGCATAATACAATGCAATATATATGATAAATTTTACCAATTTTTAAGAGTATGTACAATTCAATGGCTTTTGACAGACTTATATAGTCATATAAGCACTACAATTGTAATCTAGAACATTACTCTGCAAAAATGTTCCTATGTCACCTTGCAGTCTATCCCCTCCTCCTGCCCCCGGCCCCAACATCTGCTGATTTGTTTTCTGTCACTATAGTTGTGTCTTTAAAATAATTTCATATAAATTGAATTATTCATTATGTAGTCTTCTACATCCAGCATACTGCACTTAGCATAATGTTTCTGTATTTTGTTTTTGAGACAGAGTCTCAATCTGTTGCCCAGGCTGGAGTGCAGTGGCCTGATCTTGGCTCATGGCAACCTCTGCCTCCCAGGCTCAAGTGATCCTTTCACCTCAGCCTCCTGAATAGCTGGGACTACAGGCATGCACCACTAACTTGGCTAATTTTTTGTAGAGAAATGTTCTCACTATAGTGCCCTGTCTGGTGTCTAACTCCTGGACTTAAGCAATCCTCCCTCCTCAGCCTCCCAATGTGCTGGGATTACAGGCATGAGCCACTGTGTCCAGCGAGCATAATGTTTTTGAGATTCATCCATGATGTTGCCTGTATCAGTAGTTCATTCTTACTGTTGTCAGGTATGCTACTGTGTGGATGTACCACAATTTGCTCATCCATTCAATAGTTATTGGGCATATGGTGTTCACACTTCCAACTTTCTCTAGTTCCTTTCCTGATATCTACCTCTGCCACAAAAAGCTACATAGGCTTAATCTTTTCCTTTGTATCTGTAGAAATGATTCTCACTGTTAATAATTATTTGTCTATGAATGTGTTTCCATTAATAGACTGAAATCCTTGAGAGTAGAAACTGGGTTTATTCATCCACTTTCCCCAATGCCTACTGCATAGTTAGGGCTCAATAAAGTTGGCTGACTAGAACAAATATACCCTTTAAAGCTGACCTCCAGTTTAGCCTAAAACAAGATGAAAGATTAAAATTAGAGCCATTGCTTCCTTACTGTGAATGTGGCACTAGTTTTATGACCCAAACAGTGAAGAAAAGGGGAGGAAAATGCATGTTTATGGTTGACATCTGGGAATAGCTTGAATTTTCCATGAAAAAAATGTATTTTGGCATTTGGGACTGTATGAAATGAATTAACCATCTCTGATTGGTTTCAGATTTACAAGTTTCTAAGGAATTTGAAAAGGGTGTGGCAGTTAAGCAATAGTGGAAGCTCTACATATTGAATAAACTAAGAATTTTGAAGGTTGCACAAGTTCCGAAAATGGTCCAGCCCTTTTCAGTAAACATCTAATAAGTTTCTCAATAGTGGAATTGGTAAAACAAAAAGAAAAAAAGGAAAAAGGAAACACCTAACAAGAAAGAACAAATTTATGAAAGGATAGGAAATATTTCTATCAAAAGACTTTCAGTAAATGCTATTTTGTTCAAAGATGATCTGAACTGTTAATAGTGACTTCGAAGCTTTATCTCTCCTTCCCCTATCCCACTGTTAGGTATAGTTCATTCTTTTATTTGTGTGTGTGCTTTTTTTTTTTCCCTATGGACAATATTTATCCTTATCCACATCCACTGATAGATTTAAAATAGGCAATGTAGAGTGGTTTGAGAGACTCCAGGGAAATTTAATTGACAGGTAGCTTACAGCAAAGTCCTGCAGTAATGATTGGGTTACAAAATTTGCATCTGAGAGGGTGTTTTGGCATGAGGAGGGAGGAGAATAAAGGAAACTGCTGAGAAGTGGGAGGCATGCAGAATTTTCCCCAGCCTATGGCCTGTCCTTTGAAACACTTTATTTGAAAAATCTTGCTTGGAGAAACAAACACATGCATATTCATCACTATCAAGCACATATATCTCAATCAAAAGGTGACTGAACGTTGAATGACTATATATATATAAAATGACTATATATATAGTGCATATATATATAATGACTATATATAGTGTATATATATAATGACTATATACAGTGTATATATACGTAATGACTATATATAGTATATATAGTCATTCAACGTTCAGTTACCTATGTATACATATATAGAGATATATATGTATGTATATGTATATATGTGTGTATCTATGTATACACATATATATGTGTGTGTATATATGTACACACACATATATGTGGACACATATATATGTGTGTATATATGTATACACGTACACATATATAGGTGTGTATATATGTATACACGTACACATATATAGGTGTGTATATATGTATACACATATATAGGTGTGTATATATGTATACACATATATAGGTGTGTATATATGTATACACATATATAGGTGTGTATATATGTATACACATATATAGGTGTGTATATATGTATACACATATATAGGTGTGTATATATGTATACACATATATAGGTGTGTATATATGTATACACATATATAGGTGTGTATATATGTATACACATATATAGGTGTGTATATATGTATACACATATATAGGTGTGTATATATGTATACACATATATAGGTGTGTATATATGTATACACATATATAGGTGTGTATATATGTATACACATATATAGGTGTGTATATATGTATACACATATATAGGTGTGTATATATGTATACACATATATAGGTGTGTATATATATGTACACATATATAGAGAGAGATATCAGAATTTTCTTTTGATTTTAATTTTAATTTCAATAGTTTTTGGGGTACAGGTTCATACCTGTACGTTCAGTTACCTATGTATACATATATATGTATATATAGAGATATACACGTATATGTATGTGTATATACAATATGTGCATATGCACATACATACATATATGTGCATATGCACATACATACATATATGTGCATATGCACATACATACATATATGTGTATATGCACATACATACATATATGTGTATATGCACATAGATACATATATGTGTATATGCACATAGATACATATATGTGTATATGCACATAGATACATATATGTGTATATGCACATACATACATATATGTGTATATGCACATACATACATATATGTGTATATGCACATACATACATATATGTGTATATGCACATAAACACACATATATGTGTATATGCACATAAACACACATATATGTGTATATGCACATAAACACACATATATGTGTATATGCACATACATACATATATGTGTATATGCACATACATACATATATGTGTATATGCACATACATACATATATGTGTATATGCACATAAACACACATATATGTGTATATGCACATAAACACACATATATGTGTATATGCACATAAACACACATATATGTGTATATGCACATAAACACACATATATGTGTATATGCACATACATACATATATGTGTATATGCACATACATACACATATGTGTATATGCACATACATACACATATGTGTATATGCACATACATACACATATGTGTATATGCACATACATACATATATGTGTATATGCACATACATACATATATGTGTATATGCACATACATACATATATGTGTATATGCACATACATACATATATGTGTATATGCACATACATACATATATGTGTATATGCACATACATACATATATGTGTATATGCACATACATACATGCGTACATATACAGATATGTGTTTATATATGCACATATACATATATATGTGTTTATGTATGCACATATACATATATGTGTTTATGTATGCACATATACATATATGTGTTTATGTATGCACATATACATATATGTGTTTATGTATGCACATATACATATATGTGTTTATGTATGCACATATACATATATGTGTTTATGTATGCACATATACATATATGTGTTTATGTATGCACATATACATATATATGTGCTTATGTATGCACATATACATATATATGTGCTTATGTGTGTACATATACATATATGTGCTTATGTGTGTACATATACATATATGTGTTTATACATGTACATATACATATATGTGTGTTTATATATACATATGTGTGTCTTTATATGTGTATGTATACATATATGTGTGTTTATGTGTATATATACATATATGTGTGTTTATATATGTGTATATATACATGTATGTGTGTTTATATATGTGTATATATACATATATGTGTGTTTATATATGTGTATATATACATATATGTGTGTTTATATATGTGTATATATACATATATGTGTGTTTATATATGTGTATATACATATATGTGTTTATATACATATAATACACATATGTATTTATATATGTATACATATGTATACATATATACATAGATACACATATATAGTATTTATATATGTATACATATGTATACATATGTATATACATATGTAGGGTGTTTTGGCATGAGGAGGGAGGAGAATAAAGGAAACTGCTGAGAAGTGGGAGGCATGCAGAATTTTCCCCAGCCTATGGCCTGTCCTTTGAAACACTTTATTTGAAAAATCTTGCTTGGAGAAACAAACACATGCATATTCATCAGTATCAAGCACATATATCTCAATCAAAAGGTGACTGAACGTTGAATGACTATATATATATAAAATGACTATATATATGTATTTATATATGTATACATATGTATACATATATACATAGATACACATATATAGTATTTATATATGTATACATATATATACACATATATATAGAGAGAAAGACATCAGAATTTTCTTTTAATTTTAATTTTTATTTCAATAGTTTTTGGGGTACAGGTAGTTTTTGGTTACATGAATAAGTTCTTTAGTGGAGATTTCTGAGATTTTGGTGCACCTGTCACCCAAACAGTGTGCACTGCACCCAATATGTAGTCTTTCATCCCTCACTCCATTCCCACCCTTCCCCTCCATGTCCCCAAAGTACATTATATCAGTCTTATGCTTTTGCATCCTCATAGCTTAGCTCCCACTTATAAGTGAGAACATATGATATTTGGTTTTCCATTCCTGACTTACTTCACTTAGAATAATGGTCTCCAACTCCATCCAAGTTGCTGCAAAAGACATTCCTTTTTATGGCTAGGCAGTATTACATATTGTGTGTATATTGCATGTTCTTTATCCACTCATTGGTTGATGGATATTTTGATTGGTTTCCTATCTTTGCAGTTGCAAATTGTGCTGCTATAAAATATGTGTGCATGTGTGAATGACTATATTTTAAATTAAGAAATTGTGTGGCCTTTGTTTACATTCTTTTAAGCCTCAATTTCCTATTCTGAAAAGTGGAGACAATTATAATAGCTATGTTTTTTTGATCATGCGCTACATGTTGCATGTTCATTATTTTTTATCTCCTTACCTTATAAAGCATGAACTATTTTCCCATGTAAGAGAGGAAGAAGTGAGGTACAAAGAAGGTAAGTAATATGCCTGAAGTCATAAAGAGTGAGTGGCTAAGCCAGGATTCAAACTACACCGGTTGTACTTGACAGCCTGTTCTTGTTCCACTGCACCACAGGACTCATGATGCTACTCTGTCTTGTAAGCATTTTAAAAATGTTAGTTCCCTTGCCCTTTACCCCAAGTGACAAATGCCTGCCCATATCAGAGTTATTTCCAGCTCTAAATCCTGTGTGCACGTGTGTGTGCATGTGTGGTGCAGGAAGGAGGGATGTTAAATGCACATGATGATAGTACCATAATGATTAATCATGAAACAGATGTTTAGCTGTGGATCATTTAATTTTCATCGATGTAAGGGAAAATAGGGTTCCATTTTTTATTGTGCTGTTGGCATAGATATAAGGGTAGGCCAAAAAATTGGGAGGTTAGGGAAAGATACACACTTACATTGGAATCTGTGGCACCATGTTCAGCACACAACAAGGCACGCCAGGAGCCTTCTCAGTGGGGTTCAAGAGGAAGCAGAAAGCAGAAAGTGGCTGATGTGAAAATCCCCACAATTAGGGAGTCCAGAATAAGCTGAGTGTTGCAGGACAAGGACTTAACAGGCTGCTGTGAGATAAAAGTTTCATCTTGTAGGCTAGAGTCTTGTGGTGTGGCAAGATTTTTGATTTGACAAAAGGACATACTTCCTAGGAAGTGGTAATAAAGCAATATTCTTGAGGGTCACTGGGTGACTTAGCACTCCAGTAATGATGAGGTTCATCTCATCTCTGAAAGGCCTTCAACCATATCTGTCTAATCCATCAGCTCTGAGAATCAGTCTAGCTCTGATAGATCTGAGGTTATGTATTGACTGATATTCTCTTTGAAGAGAACTTTCAACTACAGCTTCAAACTAGAAAGAAAAAATAATCAACAATCAAAGAAAGGCAAGTCACATAATGAGCCCTGGTTTTAGGCTCTTGAGTAGTTACATGTACTGCAAATATATTCCAGGAATTTATGCTATGGAGTGAATTAGAAGCTGAACCTTCCTAGAGGAGATTTCAATAAAGACACCAGCCTCCTTTCTTTTCTTTGAGCAGGAGACTACATCTATTCTCATGTTACAGAATGGAAAAATAATGCATGAGCTGGCAAAGATGGCCAGACTGACAGTTGAGTTTTGTGCAGCACAAACTGTCATACACACTTACCTGTTAATCCCTAGCACATGAATGTGGGTCACAGCCCTAAATCTTGTCAGTGGTCTTTCAGCCCTACTAAATCAAGGGAAGAAGAGTTTGGTGTAATAGCTCCCTCTCTTCCCCACATTGCACCACCACTGCAAAAACAAAAACAAATAAAGCACACTGAACAAAAACGAAATCCTACATCAGAGAGTTAGTGATTTACCGTCATGGGGATTAGAGACTACAGAGGCTGCACTCACAAAATGATGAATGTCTGTATAGCTGTCACTGTGGGCTGTTACCATATATTAGTCTGGCCCAGGCATGCTATTCAATTAAAGAAGGTACTAAATCCAGGGATTTGGTATTGAGGATTTAATTAAGGACCATAATTACTTTTGGGCCTTTAATATGCCTAAAGGCAGAGTGAGTGATGCAGGGCCCCAGCCTTCACTTGCGGGCTTACTGTGACCTCTTATCTGAAGAGCTATCACCAAAGAAATCTCATAAATTTCTCTCAAACTCTTCTCCTTTCAATCCAGTAAGAAAGTGTTATGCATGTACTTCTTGAATAGTTCTTTTGAAATTTGTATCTTAGTGTCTGCCTCAAAACTCAGTTTTATGTCTGTTATCTCTTGTATCTTGGATTTTCAGTTGCAGCTTCCAATTCAATATTCTGGTGTGTGTGTATGTGTGTTGTGTGTGTGTGTGTGTGTGTGTGTGTGTGTGTAGAAAGAGAGATTTATTATTTTGTGTTTTATGTTTACCTGTATTTTCTTATTTTTCAGTAATAACCGTATGTTACTTTTACAATAAGAATGCCTAGACAACTGGGCAGCCAACTTATGAGACAGTTTGATACATTCTGATATTTCTTTTAGTAAAGAATGCATGCTAATTTGCTGATATTATTTGAGGAGAAAATATAAAATATACATTTATCTTACAATTATCTGTTTCATAACTCAATTATAAAATATGGAGGTTAAAAAAGCTCAATATGCTTTAAAATAATAATAAAATAATAATCAGGTAATATTTATTGAGCATCTAGGATGTGTTAAACAATATTGATTAAATCATTTAATGCTCACAATAATCCTAGGAAGTAAAGAAAGATTTATTCCCATATTTAGAGGTCAAGAAATTATTATTAGCTTAGTGTCTAAGGTCACAGAGAGGTTTGGGAGTAATGGATTTCTACTGAACTGTAACTGACTCTAGAGATAAATTCCTTTGCCCTTCCAAACAGTACTAAATTTCACTAAATTTTATTGGATAGCTGTGATGATAAATGTTTTGTGTCAACTTGGCTAGGTCACTGTACTCAGATACTTGGTCAAACATTATTCTAGATGTTTCCATAAAGACATATTTTAGATGAGATTAACAGTTTAATTAGTAGACTCTGACAGAGTAAAGCAGATTACCCTCCATAATGTGGGTGAACCTCATCCAAACCGTTGAAGTCCATAAAAGAAAAGATTACTCCCCTTGACCCCTGTCACTGACCCCTAAAGAAGTGGAAAGTCAGCCAGTACATTGCCTTCAGACTTAAACTGCAATTCCCTGGGTCTCCAGGGAATTGGCCTGCCCTACAGATTTTGGTCTTGCCAGCCTCCACAACTGTGTGAGCCAATTACTTAAATCTCTCTCTGTTTCTCTCACTCTCTCTTTGCACATCCTGTTGGTTCTGTTTCTTTGGAGAATGCTGGCTAAGAGGATAGCATACACTTTTGTTCTCACAAAACTTTTACTAGACTTCCTGAAACTGAGTAATTAATCTTTCTGCTTCTTTGTATCTTACTGAAATTCAGGACAGAATTGCCCAACATACAATAAAAGAGAAGAAGAGTAAAAAAAGCTCAAGAAATCCAACTGACCATTTGAATAGTCAGCTCCTAAATAATTGAGTCAGCTGGTAAATAATTTTAGTAGTAGGATTTTTATTTTTATTTTTATTTTTTTTTTTGAGGCAGAGTTTTGCTTTTGTTGCCCAGGCTGGCATGCAATGGCACGATCTCAGCTCACCGCAACCTCCACCTCCTGGGTTCAAGTGATTCTTCTGCCTCAGCCTCCCGAGAAGCTGGGATTACAGGTATGCACCACCACGCCGGTCTAATTTTTGCATTTTTAGTAGAGATGGGGTTTCTCCATGTGGATCAGGCTGGTCTTGAACTCCTGACCTCAGGTAATCTGCCCCCCTCGGCCTCCCAAAATGCGGGGATTATAGGCATTAGCCACTGCGCCTGGCCTAGTAGAAAATTTCTAAACATGTGAGTAAAATACAATGGGTCAGTAGAACTTGAATGCCAAGGTAAGGCAAAGAATTTTGGTACAGGTTTTATGGGTTCAAAGATTTTAAAAAATATTGAAAACTATAAATTAGTAGAATTTTATTTGTTTGTTTGCTTGGTTGCTTAATTTTTGTGGTTCTAGTATACATTCCTTTTATTTTCATTTGTTTATGCTGCTAACAGCCTGGATCCATGTTTCTGAACAGGTTAAATGATAGTCTTCCCTTTGATTATGCTGTCAATATGATCCCCTTCCCAGTCAGCCCCAGTTATATATCTGGCTGCTCTTCTAAGTTGTGTTGTTCTATGAAATTCTTCCTTCAGTGTTTTCTGTGACAATCTTACTTAAAATACCATAACTGTTCTCATTGTCAGATCTAGCAATATTGGAAAAGAGTTGCAATTACTATATTTGATAATAAAAGATACATGTATTAAAGGATATCCATATTTGTAGCTCAAGGAGAGTCACAATTCAACATTCTGACAACTGGGTCAATCTGTTTTAATAATAATCACTAAAGGAAGTTGAGATAACCATACAGGGAGTTCTTGCTTGCTCCCAAATTTCATTAAGGGAGTTCCCAAATCATAAATTTGCAATAAGGAACCGAAAGTCTGTATGACATGAATATATTTACTAATGAACTTCTACATACGAGATTAATCTCCACTTATGCTTCCTTCCCCTTTAGCACCACTAGGGATTTTTGCTGACTGTCTTGTGCCTTCTCCATCAGCTCTTCCCGATTTTTGGATGTCACAATAAAATACAAACTAATTGCAAAGTGAAATTCTAAATCTCACAAAAACATGGATTTATGCAGTCACTGAACACAATGTTGAACTTCTCAACTCTTTATTGCAAAAAGTACATTAGGCATAATTAAACCAGTTAACAATAGAAGACAATGAAAATCTACCCAGATGATGGAGTACACAGTACTTCAAGAGATTGACTTGTGGCTGGGCGCAGTGGCTCACGCCTGTAACTCCAGCACTTTGGGAGGCCGAGACGGGCTGATCACCTGAGGTCAGCAGTTCGAGACTAGTCTGGCCAACATGGTGAAACCTTGTCTGTACTAAAAATACAAAAATTAGCCGGGATCAGTGGTGTGCACCTGTAATCCCAGCTAATTGGGAGGCTGAGGCAGGAGAATCGCTTGAAGCCGGTAGGAGGAGGTTGCAGTGATCCGAGATGGTGCCATTGCACTCCAGCCTGGGCAATAGAGTGAGACTCTGTCCCACAAAAAACAAAACAAAACAAAACAAAACAAAACAAAACAAAAACAGAGAGAGAGAGATTGATTTGAATATCAAAGTATTAAGATATGTACTAAGGAAAACTAATGAAGCACTCATATATATTTTTGCAAAAATGGCAAGATTTACATAATACTGCACAAATCAAATAGGAAGGTTATCATATTGTGATCTCTTGGAATTTTGTTCGAAAAAATGCTACCAAGAAATACTGGAAATGCAAATAATACTTGGTTCATTTTTTTCATCACTGTAAGTGCAATGAGCTATCCATTGAGCCACAGAGCTACCTACTTGGTTAATTCTTTACCCTTTTCTCTTTTGTTTGGCCACAGATAGAGAAGGTTGAGTTAATAAATAATACTTTTTGGTTCAATGGCATACCATCCTCATTATTCTATTAGGTTCTTTTCTTTTTTTTTTTCTTTTTCCTTCCTTCCTTCCTTCCTTTCTTCATCCATTTTAACCGCATTCCATAATTTTGTTCAGCTTCTTCCCATAGGAGCTCTATTAATATATTTAGCATGTATCCTACTGTTGTCATCCTTTGACCTTTGGCTCTTGACTTAGACCCCATGTTAGAGGGTTCTGAATATTACAAAAACAAGAATGTATTATAGAATACCTGGGAAACTCTATCACTCACCTTCCAGTGTTCATGGCTGGCACAACATAATTTGTAGCCCTCAATATTCACTCTTCTGACTCTTCATTGAGTCCCCAGGAAAGTACTTCTCGGTATCTCTCGCTCGTATCCTCTCAGTTCAAATGCACTGAAAGGCGGTGCGTGTGCTGTTGGCAGCATTAGGGCAGATAACGTCTGAAGTACAGGGAGGATTTGAACAGTGGAAACACAGGTAAGAGAAAAGACAAATTACCTTGTTAAATCTTTGCTCTGAGATAGTATGAATGTTATAGACTGTGGCTAAATGAAGTATTATTTCCAGTGGTGAATATTTCCTTGATTTCTCTTCAAATTGTGGCTTAGATTTGTGAATTAGCATGTTGTTTACAACAGCTGCACATGGTAGCTCAGAAATAGTTTGTAATATTAAATAATTACTCAGCCAAACATTGTTGGCCCATTGACAGAACATCCAGATGTGTGCGATAATGATTAAGTCCAGTCTAATCTCTAATATTTTGCCAACTTTTCATCATACATATATAAACATATCTTTATGTATGTTTTCCAATTTTATCATTAGGAAGATATTTTGTGAAATAAAAAGATAAAATATTGCATTTAATAATCTTTCAGCTTGATTTATCACTTTTAAATCTATAGATACATG
This sequence comes from Homo sapiens, assembly GCF_000001405.40. Classification (NCBI taxonomy): domain Eukaryota; kingdom Metazoa; phylum Chordata; class Mammalia; order Primates; family Hominidae; genus Homo; species Homo sapiens. The sequence continues at coordinate 102,401,440 of NC_000004.12, read as the reverse complement.
TGAACCTCCATTTACATTCTTTGGCTCAGGCCCTGCAATAGTTATGTATGGACTTGATCCATTTATTTGTTTGTTTTAAAAAATGTGATTATCCTATAGACTCTATCTCATTCATCCTTTATTTTTTTAAAGCTCAGCTTCTTGATGTAAGCTCTACCCCTGTAACTGTGTGTAGAAACAGCATGATCCTTCTAAATATCATGGAATATTTTTTACTGGGCATCTATCACATTGTACTTACCTGTTCACCTGGTGGAAGACAGTGAGATTGTCTTCAATTTTTTAAAATGGCAATACTGTGACGAGCATTCTTGTATATGTTCCCTATGTACTTGTATGATTGTGCAATTTCTCTCCAGAAAGGCAGCACAAGTTTGCACTACTGCCAGCCGAGCATGGGGGTGCTTATATTACTACATCCGTGTCAAAATATGGCGGTAACCTGCTTGCTAATTTTTGACAATTCTTGGTAAAGTGACAATCCTTGTTTTAAATTTAATTTCTCTAACTACCAATGAGTTTGGTTTCTTTTGTTCATAACTAAACTGTGTCTTTTTGTTTTTAAAGAATTCATGTGTATTTTAGATATTAGATCCTTATCAATTTTACAAATTGCACATACTTCTTTCAATCTGCTATTTATTTGCTTACTTTATTTACAATGTCACTTACTGGAAAGACATATTTATTTTTCATCCAATCAAATTCATCAAATTTTACCTTATAATTTGTACTATTGGGATTTTTGTCTAAGAATTACAAATATTGTCCTACTCCAGCTCTCTAAAATATGTCGTTTTATCTTTCAGTCCTGGGTCTTCAATGCATCTGTGATCCCATGTTTATGTGGTGTTAGGCCTTTTGTCCATATAGTGACTTAGTTTTCCATTGATATTGACTGCAGCAGTCTTTATTATCCTCATTGATTTGTGCCTTTTTCATCAAGTAGTAAATTTTCATGTATGCAATGATCTTCTGAGTTGTCTACTCTGATACATTGTTCTACTTTCTATTCCTGCACTATTATAGTGTGTTTTCTTACACTATTACATATTTTAGTATCCAGAAAGAAAGTTCTCCTTGCTCTTTTTTTTTTAAGTTGTTTTAGCTATTTATGGGCATTTATTCTTCTGTATCAATTTTAGGATTATTTCATCACGTTCCTAATAAGATCTCACTAGAATTTCTATTGGCATCATTTCAAAATTGTAGATTAATTTGCTGAGCATTGATAACTTTATAAAATTAAGTTGCCCCATTCAAGAACATGAGATATCACTTTAATTATTCATTTAAAATGTCTTCTCATAGAGTCTTAAGTTTCTCCACAAGGGAAATAATTCTTCACCTCAAATTGCTATTTTCTCTCTTTCTGAAAGTCTTATTTTCAAGATGTTGGCATTTATACTTCTATTCTTTATATCCCTTAGTTTTGTTTTGTCTTATTTTTTTAAATTTTCAGTCCCATCGCCCTTTTCTGATACTTTCTGGAGGAGTTCCTTCAACTTTTCTTCCAGATTATTGATTTATTAATTAGTAGTATATCCTATTTACCCAATTTATTGTTTTAGTTCAATTATAATATTTCTTCAACTTTTAGGACATCTTTATCCCGGTTCATATTACTTATACCCTCTGTATTTCGTTGAGGATATTTACTGTTCTGACTTCAAATTCTTCATGTGGTATATTATTTTCCATTTGATTTTTTTCTTTCATACTGGTTGTACTCCTCAGGTGATCAGTTATGTCAGCAGCTTGCTAAATTTCCTTGGGGATATTATATAATATGTATTGGGAAGAATTCTAAAGTGAGGAAGTTCACAAATGGATAAATAATTCCAGTGAAGATAAATGGTATGTGGAACACAAATCAGGCAAAAGTGACAGCATGAATGTGGGGACATTTGTGTGTTAGTCTTGATTAGTTGATAAGGGAAGGCCTCTGAGGAGGTTACAGGTGAGCCAAGAGGGAACCAAAAGAGAGCAGTAATGAGAAGATCTGGGAGAAGGAGCATCCCAGGTAGAAGCAACACCTATGTAGGCATTTTGAGGAGAAACAAACTTGGTTATACTTGAAGGACACACAGAAAGCCAAGGTCATTGGGAAAGAATGACAAAGTAGCAGAGTGATATGGAATGAGAGTAAAGAGATAGATAGGGCCCAGTTACATAGGTCCTTACAGGCAGAAGGAGTTCCTGTTTTGTTTTTCTGAATGAAATGGGAAGTGTCCGTAGGTTTCTAAATATGGAAGGATATGATCTCATTTGCTCCTCCTGCCCAACATTTTTATTACAGTAATTTTAAGCATACAACAAAGTGGAAAGAATTTTTACAGTGAACACTTGTATGCTCACCAATGTTACTGTTAATATTTTACAAAACCTGTCTTATCACATATCTATTCATTTGTTAATTCCTCTAACTATCCATTAATCGGTCAGATTGATTGACCTATTTCAAAATAATATACAGACTCCAGTATATTTACTCCTAAATACTTCAGTATGTAGATCATTACCTAGAGTTTTGGGTTCTTTCTTTTTTTGACAGGGTCTCACTCTGTCGCCCAGGCTGGAGTGCAGTGGTGCAATCTCAGCTCACTGCAGCCTCAACCTCCTGAGTTCGGGCGATCTTCCCACCTCAGCCTCCTGAGTAGCTGGGATCACAAGCACGCACCACCATGCCCAGCTAATGTTTGTATTTTTTGTAGACAGTTTTGCCATGTTGCCCAGGCTGGTCTCAATTCCTGGGCTCAAGCGATTCTCACACCTTGGCCTTCCAAAGTGCTGGGATTACAGGTGTGAGCCACCACACCTGGCCTGTGTTCTTTCATTTTGATTAAAAATTTACATAAAATGAAATGCTTAAATTGCTGACTTTTGACAAATATTTCCACCTCTGCAACTCAAACTTCCATAAAAATACAGTCCATTACCTTCACCTTAGGAAGTTTCCTTGTGACCATTGCCAGTCAATCTCTGTACTCACTGCCTCAGAGGCAACCAGTATACTGATTGTTTTTCATCATTGGTTAGTGCAGCTTGTTGTAGAATTTCATATAAATATATTAATATGGTATGTACTTTATTGATAAAGTGTTTTGCAGTCAACATAATATTTTAAAAATTCATCCATGTTGTTGCATGTATCAGTACTTTATTACTTTTTATTGTGGAGTACTATTATTATTATATAAATATACCACAGTTTATGTATTCTATTGACATTTGGGCTGTCTGTAGTTTATGAATAAAGCTGTGCTCAACATTCTTGTACAAATCTTTGTGTAAGTGTATACTATTTTTTCTCTTGGGTAAATATCTGGGAGTGAAATTGACGGGTCATTGAATATGTTTCATTTTGTGAGAAATTAGGAAGTCTTTTCCTAAAGTGCTCATAGTGTTTTCATTTGTTTTTTAAAAACAATCATTTTGGTTGCAAGGAGACAAGAATAGAAGCTAGGAAGTCAGGGTATTGTCAAAATCTGTAGCCAGAAACTATATATAGCTTTTAGCCAGAATTTCTGTAAAATATTTGTATAATAATATTAGTTGCCAGCAAAGCTGATATGTGACTGAGAATGAGATAACTAATCACAGAGCCAATTTCAGGTGTATACTTTGGGGGTATGAAAGGAATTAAAAACCCAAGTTCTACTTACAACCCCTCATTTAGGAGAAAGGTATCACACAGTAAATTACATGGAGAAAACACTGCTCTGAGCCTCTGTGGTGTTTTCCACGTGAGTGATGAGACAGAGTCTCGCTTTGTTGCCAGGCTGGAGTACAGTGATGTGATCTTGGCCCACTGCAACCTCTGACTCCCTGGTTTAAGCAATTCTCCTGCCTCAGCCTCCCAAGTAGCTGGGATTACAGGTATGCGCCACCATGCCCAGCTAATTTTTGTATTTTTAGTAGAGATGGGGTTTCACTATATTGGCCAGGATGGTCTCGATCTCCTGACCTCTTGATCCTCCCACCTTGGCCTCCCAAAGTGCTGGCATTACAGGTGTGAGCTATCACGCCTCGCCAGGATTTTGTTTTAAATTACAGGTTTATTAGTCAGGGTTCTCTAGAGGGACAGAACTAATGGAAGATATATACACATAAAGGGAAGTTTACTAAGTATTAACTCACATGATCACAAGGTCCCACAATAGGTCATCTGCAGGCTGAGGAGCAAAGAGAGACAGTCCTAGTTGCAAAACTGAAGAACTTAGAGTTCGATGTTTGAGGGCAGAAAGCATCCAGCAAAGGAGGAAGACTTAGGCCGGGAGGCTAAGCCAGTTTAGTCTTCTACCTGCTTGTATTCTAGCCACGCTGGCAGCTGATTAGATTGTGCCCACCCAGATTGAGGGTGGGTCTGCCTTTCCCAGCCCACTGACTCAAATGTTAATCTCCTTTGGCAGCACCCTCAAAGACACACCCGGGATCAATACTTTGCATCCAATCAAGTTGACACTTAGTATTAACCATCACAAGTCCACCCCTTGTCAACTTGAACCCATACACATCTCCTGAGACCATACATAATCTTCAAATAAAAACGAAAATAAGTTCATTATTACACCTAATATAATACAACTATCCTTCGTACAACTGGAAACGCACCAATCCTCAACCCAAATACTATTATATAAAGTTAACCATACTTAAATGCTGATGTGAAGTCAATAAATCTTATGTCACATGATAAAGGAGAAAGTAATAAAATGAAGATATTTTCTTAGTACAAGTGTATACATGCACAAACATGCTTTTAACAAAAGAAGGAGGAAATAGGAGATACATAAAACAATTACTGTCCTTGTTTCTGCAACTGGTCATGTGTTTGTAGCTGGTATTGATTACTACCTTCTTCTACTACCCCATTATGTATTCACTTTGCCTTCAGCAAGCACCTCAGCAGGTCATGGTTTTTTTTTTCCTGGTGGAGTGACCCAGACTTTCATTCCTGAAGAGTCTGGGTCATTTGTGGTCCTGCCTGGATTGGGCTGTTGTAGTTTCCCATTGACCTTAATCACAGAGCATGATAATACTAAGAGATGCCCTAATGGATTTCCTGTATTCAATGCATACTCTTCCTGACTTCTGTGTGGAGTAGTAGACTGATTTCATCTTGATAGTCCAGGTCAATCACCCCAGCCAACACTGCAACTCCCTTCTTAGCCTGTTGACTTAAAGGTAGGAGGAGCCCAAAGTGTCGAGGTGGCAATCTTAACTTCCAGTTTAATGGGATCGTTGTTGTGTCTCCCTGTGGCAGCATTCCTGCCTCTGGAAATAAGACCTCTGGGCTAGCAGAACATAATGTCGTGAGAACAGGAAGCAAAAATGTTGCTAGTGGATCACTATGGGTGTTGGTGAGTGGTGCCACTTCCACTTCCACCCCTTGAATCCTGGACCCGTGAATCCTGGCTATGGGAGAAACAGTACCATATATTGGATGCTGATTTAGAGCACACGTGACCTTCTGGAGAACTTTGCCCCAGCCCTGTGAAGTATTGTAACTTAGTTGGTGTTGTAATTGTGGCTTCAACAGGCCATTCCACTGTTCTATTAATCTGGCTGCTTCAGGATGATGGAGAACATGGTAAGACCAGCGAATTCCATGAGCATGAAGCCACTGCCACATTTCTTTAGCGGTAAAGTGAGTGCCTTGATCAGAGGCAATGCTGTGTGGAATATCATCACAGTGGATAAGGCATTCTGTGAGTCCACAGATGGTAGTCTTGGCAGAAGCATTGCATGCAGGATAGGCAAACCCATATCCAGAGTAAGTGTCTATTCCAGTGAGGACAAACCTCTGTCCTTTCCATGATGGAAGAAGTCGAGTATAATCAACCTGCCACCAGGTAGCTGGCTGATCACCCCCAGGAATGGTGCCATATTGAGGGCTCAGTGTTGGTCTCTGCTGCTGGAAAATTGAGCACACATCAGTGGCCGTAGCCAGGTCAGCCTTGGTGAGTAGAAGTCCATGTTACTGAGCCCATTCATAACCTCCATCCCTACCACCATGGCCACTTTGTTCATGGGCCTATTGGGTGACAGCACGGGTGGCTGGGGAAAGAAGCTGAGTGGTGTCCACAGAATGGGTCATCCTATTCACTTGATTATTAAAATCCTCCTCTGCTGAGGTCACCTGTTGATGAGCACTCACATTGGATACAAATATCTTGCTTTTGACCACTTAGAGAGGTGCATCCACATACGTCTTCCCCGAATTTCTTTGTCACCAATTTTCCAATCATGCTTCTTCCAAGTCACTGACCACCCAGCCAAACCATTGGCTACAGCCCATGAATCAGTATATAATCACGTATCCGGCCATTTTTCCTTCCAAACAAAGTGCACAACCAGGCACACTGCTCAAAGTTCTGCCCACTGGGAAGATTTCCCTTCACCGCTGTCCTTCAGGGATGTCCTAGAAAGGGGCTGTAGTGCTGCAGCTATCCACTTTCAAGTGGTGCCTGCATATCGTGCAGAACCATCTATGAACCAGGCCCTGGTCTTCTCTTCCTCTGTCAACTGGTCATAGGGAACTCCCCATGAGGCCATTGGTCCAGGCTAGGGGAGAGAAGGCAGGGTGGCAGGAGTGGACACCATGGGCATTTGAGCCACTTCCTCATGTAACTTACTTGTGCCTTCAGGACCTGCTCGAGCCCGATGACGTATATACCACTTCCATTTGATGATGGAATGCTGCTATGCACCACCTACTTTATGGCTAGATGGGTCAGAAAGCACCCAGTTCATGATAGGCAGTTCAGGTTACATGGTGACTTACATAGTACATATATATATGTAAAGAGGGGTTCTTTAATTATTAACTCACATGATCACAAGGTCCCACAGTAGGCCATCTGCAGGCTGAAGAGCAAGGAGAGCCAGTATGAGTTCCAAAACTGAAGAACCTGGAGTTTGATGTTTGAGGGCAGGAAGCATCCAGCACGGGAGAAACATGTAGGCTGGGAGGCTAGGCTAGTCTCTCTTTTCACATTTTTCTGCCTGCTTATATTATAGCCATGCTGGCAGCTGATTAGATTGTGCCCACCCAGGTTAAGGGTGGGTCTGCCTTTCCCAGCCCACTGACTCAAATGTTAATCTCCTTTGGCAGCACCCTCACAGACACAGCCAGGATCAATACTTTGTATCCAATCAAGTTGATACTCAGTATCAACCATCATGCAAGGCTTATATATTTTTCTTTTTTATTGTGAAATAAAATACATATCGAGAAAAACCACACAAAATAATTGTCTGGCTTTGAATTATTGAAGTTAAACACTTTCAACTTCCACCCAGGCCAAAATATAGTTTTGCCAGCCATTCTAGTAGCTTCTCCAGGTGACCTTTCCCAATCACACCTGTCCTTCTTTTGAAAATTAACCATGTAACTTCTATCCAAGTTTTTTTTTTTTTTTGGCAGGGTCTCACTCTGTTGCCCAGGCTGGAGTGCAGTGGTGCAATCACGGCTCACTGCATCCTCAACCTCCAGGGCTCAAGCGACCCTCCCACCTCAGCCCCCCGAGTAACTGAGACTACAGGTGTGTGCCACCACACCTGGCTAACTTTTTCTTTTTTTGTAGAGATGCTGGTCTTACTATGTTGCTCAAGCTGGGTTGCTTCCTTCTTTATGGTTTCATCACTTGTGTGCATTATTAGACACTCTAATTGTTTTTGTCTATTTAAAAAATTTGTATGTCTTTTAATCTATGGACTTATCCTCCATTTCATTCTTTGCCTTATAGTTTATCTGTTGAAAAACTTAGGGCATTTAACACAAAGTGTCCTGCAGTCTGAATTTTTGTTTTTTGTTTTGAATCCTCATAGTGAAGCTCAACATGCTCTTTTGTCTTCTGTATTTCCTGAAAATTGGCAGCTAAATCCAGGGACTTGATCAGACTCAAGTTTGATTTTATTGACCTATAATTCCTGGCTGTTTGTCTTTTTCTGATGTTAGAAGACATTGACGCTCCTTGCCTCAATTCGTTAAATCATTGCAGATTGCAAAAGGGTGATGTTCTATTTCCATCATTTGGTTTTCAATTATTAGTTGAAATACCTTGCATAAAGAGATGCTGCTTTCATCTTCTATTTGTTTGGATAGTGGCACAGTTTATATAAGAAAGGCAAAATAAATGTCTGATTCTAGCCCTTTACCTGTTTTTAAGATAATACATTGGTTCTATATCATCCTCTGAAGCTAAGCAATTAATTTTATATACATAGTTTTTGAAAAAAGAGAGGGAAGGAGTTTGAAAAAATATTGGAAAAGCTCTTTTACATGAAATGCTAACAATTGTACCAGCATTCTAAAGGAATGGCTTCTTTGTCAAGTTATACTGTGTGTATCCCTCTGTGTTTGTGTGTGTGCATATGCCAAAGGAGAAACACACTGTCATTATAAAAAACATTGATAAGTAATTGTTCTTTGGCTAATATAACTTAGCACTCCTCATTTTCCACACAGTAAATTTTCTGTAAAACAAGACAAATTACTGCTGTTTGTCTGTACTATGACATAATGCACTATATTAAATCATCTTTATGGAAGTTTCTATCCTTACATTTATGTGAGAAACTTTATGTAGCCATTTACTTGCTTTACAAATTCTTCAGCAGTATAATAAATCAGAGTTACCTAATTAAGTGTTAATATGTAAGGATATAAAGTTGGCCAGACTCACATAATCTCACTTTATTTATTTCTTTCAGGAAGTAGAATAACATCCCCTCTAACAAATAAAAAGTAATAACACACTCCTATGAAAAGGCTGTCCTTTGGTGGCCAGACATTTTGGAACGTGGAATTACAGCTCTAATCTGGGCAAAGCTGCTGTGGCTTCTGTTCCAGGCTGGCTGACTCTGTTGTACCTAGCATAGCACTGTTCCACTTCTTTAAAGGGGGCCACACATAGGAATCTTTGTTTCCTCTCTGGCGGTGATCAAGTAAATGGAGTGTATTTTTTCAGGCCTCAGATAGAATCAGCCACATAACTAAGCCTGAAAAAATCTTGTTCCCAGGGCCTTGTCAGCTAAAATCCTCTCAGACTAGCTGATAGGGTGTGTAGAGATTTAAAATAATAGCTCCACATGCCCTTTGCAATAATAATGAACAGGTATTAGAAAATCTGTTACGGTACCCTAGCCCAGTTTTCAACTCTGTTTCGCAAACACTCTCTTGGTCTGGTAGCTACTTGCATAATTGCTGGCATTTCAGGTAAAGGAATTTTAAAACATTTTTCAAATTCCACACTGTTTTCCATCTTAAAAAAAAACAAAAAACAAAAAACTAGGGCTATTCTTAGCAACATTAGAAAGCACTTTCTGTAAATAATCTATGAATTGTATATCAAAGTTCAACACTGAAATGATTTGCCACTTGAGAGCTGAAAGGATTCTTGCCTCTATTTTTGGCTTTGTTTTGATTATATGTTATTTATTTCCTAAATGATGCCACCCACTTAATGGAGGTAAGGTATAAACATGTGAAATGAAGAAAGCACATTTGCCATTTAATGTGGAAGCATAATGTTGTTATTATGAACCCATGGCCCTATACACGATTGATTAGGAGTTGAGCTGATCCTAGCAAGTTTCTAACACTGGTGGCCTGAATCGATTGATTTGTTTATTGCTGAAGCTGCCATTAGAAGTAGGTTGATTGGTTCAATTTAACCAGTGAGCAATCTTTCCTACCCGTGCCCATTTTGCGCTACCTGAGCAGATTCAGAGGTGAATAAAACATGCCTCTGTCCTTGAAGAATATATAGTCTAAAACAGTGATACTCAAAGTGTGGGCCATGGACCCATGCTGACCTACAAACTGTTTCTTACCCAGTCCATAATGAAATAAGCACGGCAATTGAGAGTAAACTTTTAGGAACTCTCATAGCAATTTAACAGAGTAATTTTAAGTGTGTTTATTTTGTTCTGCTAGTAATTTCTTCCTATTGTAGTTTTAAAAGTATTGGTCCAAAACTGAGAGGAAATTGAAAAAAAAATTGGTTCTAAACCACTGATAGTTTGATAGCACTGGTTGCAAGCATAAGTCAAGTGTGTTCACAGATAACTACAGGTGGTTTGATCTACTGTAAGTAGTTTGATCTTTCTTTTTCATTATTTTTGAATTAAGATACAATTCCCATACCATAAAACCTGCCCCTTTAAATAAAATGTACAATTCAGTAGTTTTTAGTATATTCACAAGGTTGTGTACTCCTCACCATTATCTAATTTCAGAACATTTTTATCATTGAAAAACCCCAAACCTATAAGCAGTCACTCCCCATGCCCCCATTCCCCCAAGCCCTTGGCAAAAACACTAATCTACCTTTTGTCCTTGTAATAGAGATCTGCCTCTTCTAGTCATTTGCTATAAATAGAATCCTACAATATGTGGCCTTTTGTGTCTGACTTTTTTCACCTAACATAATGTTTTCAAGATTCATCCAAGTTTTGGCAAGCATCAGTAATTTATCCCTTTTTATGGCTGAATGATATTCTAATTTATTATTTATCTAATGATATTGCTTATCCAGACATCCGTTGGTGAACATTTTGGTTATTTCCACTTTTTGGCTATTGTGAATAATGCTGCTCTGAGCATTTCTGTACAATTTTTCTGTGAATGTACATTTTCAATTTGGGGGTTATATATACAGGAGTGGAATTGCTGGGTCATATGGTAACTCTGTGTTTAACTTTTTGAGGAAGTGACAAACTGTTTCCAAGTGGCTATACTATTTTGCATTTCAACAGCAATGTGTGAGGTTTTCAATTTCTTCACCTTTGCCGACACATCTTGTTCCTCCTTTCATTATAGCCATCCTAGTGGCTGTGAAGTAATATTTCACTGTGGTTTTTATTCCCCCAATGACTAACACTAATGACTAACAATCTTGAATGACTTTTCATGTACTTATTGTTCATTTGTATGTCTTCTTTGGATAAATGTCTATTCAAGCTCTTTGTTCGTTTTTAAATTGTTTTTTTTTTTAAATTGTTGAATCATACAACTTCTGTATATATTCTGGATACTAGAGCTTTACTGAATACATGATTTGCAAATATCTTTTTGTATCTGTGAGCTGTCTTTTCATTTTCTGAAAAGTATCCTTTAAGGTAAAAATGTTTTTAATTTTGATGAAGTCAAATGTATATACACTTTTCTTTCTTATGCTTTAGGTGTTAAATCTAAGAAACCATTGTCTAATCCAAGGTCATGAAGATTTATACCGATGTTATGTTCTAAGAGTTTTATAATCCTAGCTGGATATTTAGGCCTTTGATCTCTTTTGAGTTAATTTTTGTATGTGGTGTTAGTTAGGGGTCCAAATTCATTCTTTTCATGTGGATATCTGGTTGTCACAGGACCATTTGTTGAAAAAGACTATTCTTTCTCCACTCAATAGTCTTGGCACCCTTGTGGAAAATTAGTTACCTCATTAATGAATGTATGAGTTTGTGTTTGAACTCTCAAGTCTATTTCATTAATCTGTATGTCTATCTTTATGCCAAGTTTTGAAATCTGGGAATATAAGTCAAACAAGTTTGATCCTCATTTTTTATTATTTTTTGGCTATTCTATATTCCTTAAATTTTTATATGAATTATGATATAAGCTTGTCAATTTGTTCAAAAAAAAAGCCAGCTGAGATTTTGATAAGGATTTCATTGAATTTCTAGATAATTTGTAGAGTATCACCATTTAAAAAAATTAAGTCTTCTGACCGGTGATGATAAAATGTTTCTCCATTTAATTAGGCCTTTTAAAATTTGTTTCAATGGTGTTTTGTAGTGTTTAGTACAAAGTGTTGCAACTCTTTAATTTATTTCTAAGTATTTTATTCCTTTTAGTGTTATTTTAAATGGAATTATTTTCTTAATTTTATATTCAGATTATTCATTCCTAGTGTACAGAAATATAATTGAGTTTTGTATATTGATCTTGTGTCCTGTTACCTCACTGAACTAATTTATTAGCTCTAATAGTTTGTGTGTGTGTGTATATGTGTGTATTCCTTAGGATTTTCTATATACAAGATCATGTCATTTGTAAATAGAGTTAGTTTTACTTCTTTTCAGTTTGGATGTCTTTAATTTCTTTTTCTTGTTTAATTGCCGTGGCTAGAACCTTCAGTATAATGCTGAATAGAAGTTATGAAAGGAGACATCCTTTTCTTTTTACTGATCTTACTGATGACTCTTCTGTTTTAATCAAAGATTTATAAAATGTGGGCTATATCTTCACTGTGTTTTCAACCCAGTCTTTCCTGTTGGAGGGGGGTCACTGTTATCATTTCTCAGGCTGTCCATTATCTTAACACTTTAGGAATATAAAGAATAACTATTCGTTTTGTTAAAATATAAGTAAGCCCAGACAAGGGTAATAAACATTATAATACCTATATACATAATAATTTTTTACAAATCCAAATGATAATCCACACAATGTTAGACTAAAGAGCTAGTTTTCTTGTAATTTATCATTAACTGTAAGCTTTGTTATGGTTACTTTAATGAACCATTGTGAATGTAAGTAAATTACAGGGCATATTTCAGAGGTGAGGTGGCAAGGAGGGAACAGGCAACTTTTGGTTGTTCAGAATCTACTTACTCAGCAAGTGGAATTTAGAATTACAGGATTTCAAGGTTGAAATGGTAAATTCAAAAAGTTCAATCATTATCTGATGTTTGAATTCCCCCATAGATATCTTTTCTAAGTATTTATGTAACTTGTGAGTCAATCTCTCTAGTGAGAAGAAACTATCATAAAGGTCACCCATTACACCTCAATTCAGAGTATTTATTGTTTTAATGACTTAAATTATTTTTCACATTAAAACTTCCTGCAGAGAGGGTTGAAGAAAGAAAAATGAGTATTATTATTATTAGTAGTAGTAGTACAGTTGGTTAAAAAGTTAAAATTAATTGCTCAGAAGTGATTTAAGGATAATAACTATTAGTTTAGAAAACGAAATAAGATGGAAAATAAAAAATAAGCACAATAGTATGTATTTTTAAAATTAATGGCCAATTTTTCAACTATTGGGTCACAGTGACCTTAGCATCATGTGTACAGTAGGAAAAATCAATCAAAACATTTTTATGGAGGACCTTTGCTCTAAGTGCAACAAGCTAGAAAAACTTAAGATATATTTTCTTTTAAGGAACTTAAAATCTCCTTGGAAAGGTAAGATAAGAATGTAGAAAGTAACAGAAAATATGAGTACACCAATAATGTGCACCAGTGAAAAGGTTAAAAATAATAAGATTTAAGGCTTTCTCAGAAGTATGGGGTGGTCAGTGAATGCATTCACTGGGGGATGAAGGACATGGGAAGGGGGCTGAGACTTGAAGGATTCAGGGACTGATAAGATGCCGTGAAGATGAGGCAAGGGAGCCATTTCAAGCTAAAGAGTGGGAGGAGGATGGTTTGAGCAGAGATCTGGTGCAGAAAAGAGAAGAATGCCTGGAGGCAAGTTGGGTAACTGCAGGAGATAAGGTTTGGCAAGGTAAAAATGGGCCAGATGGTTGAGGGCTAGGCACAGGAATTCAGATTTTTGTCTTGCACAGATTTCAGAGTTTGAATTAGGAAATAATTTGACTTAGAGACTGTAAACACCCAGAAAAATGTAAGAGACAGCAGTTATGTAGGCTTTGTGATTATTGTAGAACTTCAGAACGGAAATGAATAATCTGACCTATGTGGACAGTGATGGGGATGGAAAAGCAGGGATGCATGTTAGTGAAGTTGCACAAGAGGAATCAAAAGCATTTGGTAACATGATCTAGGGGTGAGGGGCAGGTAACTTTCAAACTTTTTGATGATGATCATAACAAGAAATGCATTTATATATTTTGCTTATAATTACATATACATATATATGTTGTACATTTATAAAAAACGGAAATGAAAATTCTAAAAAAAAGTTTACGCTTACTCTAATTGATGTACATTGATATTTGTTTCCTTCCATTCTATTAAAAAATAAACTGATATTAATCCATGAAAATGATTTTATGAACCATGAGTGAGTTGTTATTTGAACACAATGTTTGTAGGGGTATAATTTAAAGGATACCAGAAAATTGTCCTTCTCCAAGATTTCTTACTGATTTTGCATTTCCAGAATTGGAAATTGAAATTTTGGTCCTGTGTTAAAGCAAATCTCTTTGGAAAGGCATAAACTTTGCAACCTTTTACCTTACAGTGAGCAATTTATTATCTTTCCTGGAAATCATGTTACGTTAGAGCAGACAATAGGGAAAATATGGAAGCCTGAGATGTTTGTCTGAAAGGTTGCGAAAGGCAAGACGGTGTTGAGACAGAAATGTTGTCCTCTTTAAAATTTTATATAGAAGTTACTACAATAAGTACAAGACAAAATTAATATTCACTCATTCATTCTCACTTAATCACAAGATAAAATTAATATTCACTCATTCATTCTCACTTAATCTTAGCCAAAAAACTGAGAAGCAATAATATTCATTCTCTGAATGAGGAAGAAAGACTTGAAGGAAGGTGGAACAAGGATTGGCAAACAGGATAGTAAGCCATTGTTTCTCAGCCATGAGGAGAAGATGCTAACCAGTACATCTGGAAGGTGAAGAACAGGAGAAGGAGAGGTTTGGAATAACCAGGAATAGGAATAGAGGGAGAAGGTGGGAGTGTAACTGTCTCAGGAGAGCGTTATATGTCAATGTATCATGTCAATGAGCCATGATAAAAGTGACTCTAGTCCTCAGGTTTAGGCAAGTTGCTTAGTCTGGGTCCTCTATCTTTTGTTGTGAAGACTCGATTTCACTAGAGTAACTGTCCAAACAAACCAACACACAGAGAATTAGGAAAATGGGTTCCTAATTCATCTGTGGTATTGTCAGGAGAATAGGAGAGTCAGGCAGTTAGTGTTCTTCTAGTGGTTCCAAGGATTAGAGGAAAATCATATTGGAGAAAGGGCATAGGGCACATGCCTTAATTTATGTGTATGGAGAAGGATGCTCTCTGGATGGCTGTGATAATCCCAGGTATCTCACGTTTTCAGCTTCAATTTGGTGTGTGGTCTGCATCTCCATGATTTTGTCTGGGCTGAGGGGTCAGTCGTGAACACTTCAGGGTTATTTTGCACCAGGCCGCTTAGTCCTATCTAGAATATGGCAAATCACTCTTAGATCTAAGATATCAATTTAGCAGAAACAGCAGTCAGTGAGTGAAGTCAAATAATTTCAATGGTGCACAATGGATGTATTAAATTTTATCATAGCACTAACCTCTTCTATCAATTGTGTAAGATTACTTTTCTCTTGAAAGACCAGTACCCTTAGAAGAAAGATCAATCTTCTCTTATTAATGCCTCTCTTAAACAGAGGCATTAAACTTACATATTTGCAACTTCTGCTTAACATTTATAATTAAGAATTCCTCCTTAATTTGGAGTAAATTATATAGAACTAGAATAAAAGATGAGTTCCCTTTGCCAATTTATAGAGCAGGAGCTGGATAAAAGGATGCGGCCATGCTGTTTTCTTCTCAGAGCTACATCTGCTCCAGTGCCTGAGGAGATGCCCAAGGCACAGTTCAAAGTCTCTATTTCTAATCTCTAGTGAGAGTTTGATAGGAAGAATGTGGACTTATCCTTCCTTGTCCTGAAATTGAGAGGAAGAGAGGGATGTGTGTGACTCCCCTCCCCGTGTTCAGGGACTTTGCCATCAAAGCCTTGCATTATTCCAGGAGTCCCCACTTGCTTTAGTTCGATGGAAAGAGAATTTAGCTGGATGGAGGAATCAGGAATTCCCCCTGAATATTGTGTGCCAAGGAAATCTTTTTTGTTTCCAGTAATCATAAAATAACCCATAACACCCAGATGGGTCTGATTCCTGGACCTCAACACAAATGTCCCCTCATTCTCTACTCTCTTTCAGATATAAAGGTAAATGCTATCTAAGCCACAGTAACCTTGAGATACTGTGGGCCTGGGGCAGAGAAGAGCATCTGTAGAAGAGGCAGTGGACCACAGTACTGGATCTGGAAGTTCTGAGCCTTTACTTGTTGAGGAGCAGTGAGTACCTATTTGGGATTTCTGGTGAGTAACATCACCTGCCTCCTCTGACAGAACTCCATTATCATGTCATTGATTTCTCAGTGAACCATACTCTAAAGGTATTACTAGGAGAATCTGGTCTGTGAACATATGCTCATAGTTCTGTGTCATAGGAACAGGTATAAGAATTTCAAGGAAATAAGCATATCAAATGGTCACTGTGGAAGACTAATTCGCTGTCTACATTGAGTTAGCATTTGCACATTTCACATGACTCCACACCCATGATAAATGATGAAGAACAACAATAGGAAGCATGCAACCAGCCAACTGCTCTGAGGGCCCAGAAGGGCTGACTTTGGGAAACTGACTCTCCATCCTTTGGAAAACAAGGCTGAAGGGTCCTGACTTTTTCAGCACAGCCCTCTCCATGCAAACTGTCATGAGGCAAAACACTGGGTCATAGACCTGTGATTCCCAGCCAGTGTGATATAGGTGTCAGATGATATGTTCATAAGAACATGGTAAAATGAGAAAAATCACAAAATGGAGTAAGTTTGTAAATAGGTCCAAGATTATTACAGTTAAAGGAATTTTCCTTATTTTAAGATTATACTCGGGGATGTGGCAAGATGACCAAATAGGAACAGCTGTAGTCTGCAGCTCCTAGTGAGACCAACACAGAAGGGGGGTGATTTCTGCATTTCCAACTGAAGTACCCAGTTCATCTCACTGGGACTGGTTAGGCAGTGGGTACAGCCCAAGGAGGGTGAGCAGAAGCAGGGTGTGGCATCACCTCACCCAGGAAGTGCAAAGTGCTGGGGACCTCCCTCCCCTACCCAAGGGAAGCTGTGAGGGACTGTGCTATCCAGCCTGGATACTAAGCTTTTCCCATGGTTTTTGCAATCCGCAGATCAGGAGACTCCCTCGTGTGCCTACACCACCAGGGACCTGGGTTTCAATCACAAAACTGGGGTGGCTGTTTGGGAAGACACTGAGCTAACTGCAGGAGTGTTTTTCATACCCCAGTGGTGCCTGGAACCCCAGCGAGACAGAACTGTTCACTCTCCTGGAAAGGAAGCTGAAGCCAGGGAGCCAAGTGGTCTAGCTTAGTGGGTCCCACTCTCACAGAGCCCAGAAAGCTAAGAAGCACTGGCTTGAAATTCTCACTGCAAGCACAGCAGTCTGAAGTCGATCTGGGACAATCAAGCTTGGTGGGGAGAGGGGTGTCTGCCATTACTAAGGCTTGAGTAGGCAATTTTTCCCTGACAGTGCTAAGGAGGCCAGGAAGTTTGGACTGGGTGGAATTCACCACAGCACGGCAAAGTGACTATGGCCAGACTTTCTCTCTAGATTCTTCCTCACAGGGCAGAACATGCCTGAAAGAAAGGCAGCAACCCCAGTCAGGGGCTTATAGATAAAACTCCCATCTACCTGGGACAGAGCACCTGGGGGAAGGGGAGACTGTGGGCGCAGCTTCAGCGGACTTAAAGGTTCTTGCTTGCCAGCTCCAAAGACAGCAGTGGATCCTGACAAGGAAAGATCTCCTAGCACAGTGCTCAAGCTCTGCTGAAGGACAGAGTGCCTCCTCAAGTGGGTCCCTGATCCCCTGTGCCTCCTGACTGGGAGATACCTCCCAACAGGGGTTGACAGACACCTCATATAGGAGAGCTCTGACTGGCATCAGGCCAGTGCCCCTCTGGGATAAAGCTTCTAGAGGAAGGAGCAAGCAGCAATCTTTGCTATTCTACAGCCTTCACTGGTGATACCCAGGCAAACAGGGTCTGGAGTGGACTGCCAGCAAACTACAGCAGACCTGCAGAAGAGGGGCCTGACTTTTAGAAGGAAAACTAACAAACAGAAAGCAACAACATCAACATCAACAAAAAGGACCCCCACACAAAAACCCCATCCAAAAATCAGCTTCAAAGATCAAAGGTAGATAAATCCAAGAAGATGAGGAAAAACTAATGCAAAAATGCTGAAAAATCCAAAAACCAAAATGCCTCTTCTCCACCAAATGATCACAACTCTTCTCCAGCAAGGGCACAAAACTAGACGGAGACGGTGATTGATGAATTGACAGAAGTAGACTTCAGAAGGTGGGTAAAAACAAACTCCTCTGAGCTAAAGAGCATGATCTAACCCAATGCAAGGAAGCTAAGAACCTTGATAACAGGTTACAGGAATTGCTAACTAGAATAACCAGTTTAGAGAAGAACATAAATGACCTGATGGAGCTGAAAAACACAGCACAAGAACTTCATGAAGCATACACAAGTATCACTAGCCAAATTGATCAAGTGGAAGAAAGGATATCAGACTGTAGATCAACTTAGTGAGATGAGGGGTAAAGACAAGATTAGAGAAAAAAGAATGAAAAGGAACAAACAAAGTCTCCAAGAAATATGGGACTATGTGAAAAGACGAAACCTACGTTTGATTGGTGTACCTGAAAGTGACGGGGAGAATGGAACCAAGTTGGAAAACACACTTCAGGATATTATCCAGGAGAACTTCCCCAACCTAGCAAGACAGGCCAACATTCAAATTCAGGAAATACAGAGAACACAACAAAGATACTCATCGAGAAGAGCAACCCCAAGACACATAATCTTCAGATTCTCTAGGTTGAAATGAAGGAAAAATGTTAAGGGCAGCCAGAGAGAAAAGTCAGGTTACCTACAAAGGGAAGCCCATCAGACTAACAGCGAATCTCTCTGCAGAAACCCTACAAGACAGAAGAGAGTGGGGGCCAATATTCAACATTCTTAAAGAAAAGAATTTTCAACCCAGAATTTCATATCCAGCCAAACTAAGCTTCATAAGCAAAGGAAAAAATATTTTACAGACAAGCAAATGCTAAGGGATTTTGTCACCACCAGGCCTGCCTTACGAGAGCTCCTGAAGGAAGCAGTAAATATGGAAAGGAAAAACCGGTACCAGCCACTGCAAAAACACACCAAAATATAAAGATCAATGACACTATGAAGAAACTGCTTCAACTAATGTGCAAAATAACCAGCTAGCATCATGATGACAGGATCACATTCACACATAACAACATTAACGATAAATGTAAAGGGGCTACATGCCCCAATTAGAAGATACAGGTTGGAAATTGGATAAAGAGTCAAGACCCATCAGTGTGCTATATTCAGGAGACCCATCTCACATGCAAAGACACACTTAGGCTCAAAATAAAGGCATGGAGAAATATTTACCAAGCAAATGGAAAGCAAAAAAAAAAAAGCAGGGGTTGCAATCCTAGTCTCTGATAAAACAGACTTTAAAGCAACAAAGATCAAAAAAGACAAAGAAGAGCATTAAATAATGGAAAGGGATCAATGCAATGAGAAGAGCTAACTATCCTGAATATACATGCACCCAATGCAGGAGCACCCAGATTCATTAAACAAGTTCTTAATGACCTACAAAGAGACTTGGGCTTCCACAAAATAATAGTGGGATACTTTAACATCACACTGTCAATATGAGACAGATCAATGAGACAGAAAATTAACAAGGATATTGAACTCAGCTCTGCACCAAGCAGACCTAATAGACATCTACAGAACTCTCCACCTCAAATCAACAGAATATACATTTTTCTCAGCATCACATAGTACTTATTCTAAAATCAACTGTGTAATTGGAAGTAAAACACTCCTCAGCAAATGCAAAAGAAAGGAAATTGGCCAGGCACAGTGGCTCACACCGGTAATCCCAGCACTTTAGGAGGCTGAGGTGGGCAGATCATGAGGTCAGGAGTTTGAGACCAGCCTGGCCAACATGGTGAAACTCTGCCTCTACTAAAAATACAAAAATTAGCCAGGCATGGTGACGCATGCCTGTAATCCCAGCTACTTGGGAGGCTGAGGCAGGAGAATCGTTTGAACCCAAGAAGCAGGGGTTTCAGTGAGCCAAGATCTCACCACTGCACTCCAGCCTGGGCAAAGGAGCAAGACTCCAGCTGAAAAAAAAAGAAAAGAAAAGAAAAGAAAAAAGAACGGAAATCATACCAGTCTCTCAGGCCACAGTGCAATCAAGTTAGAACTCAGGATTATGAAAGTCACTCAAAACCATGTAACTACATGGAAATTGAACAACCTGCTCCTGAATGACTACTGGGTAAATAAGAAATTAAGGCATAAATAAAGAAGTTATTTGAAACCAACAAGAACAAAGAGACAACATGCCAGAATCTCTGTGACATAGCTAAAGCAATGTTAAGAGGGAAATTTATAGCACTAAATGCCCACATCCAAAAGCTAGAAAGATCTGAAATCAACACCCGAACATCAAAATGAAGAGAACTAGAGAAGCAAGAGCAAACAAATTCAAAAGCTAGCAGAAGACAAGAAATAACTAAGATCAGAACAGAACTGAAGGAGATAGAGACATGAAAAACCCTTCAAAAAATCAATGAACTGTTTTTTTTTGAAAAGATTAACAAAACACACCATTAGCTAGACTAGTAAAGAAAAAGAGAGGGGTGGAGCCAAGATGGCTGAATAGGAACAGCTCCAGTCTACAGCTCCCAGCGTGAGCAACGCAGAAGACGGGTGATTTCTGCATTTCCAACTGAGGTACCGGGTTCATCTCACTGGGGAGTGTCGGAAAGTGGGTGCAGGACAGTGGTTGCAGTGCACCGAGCATGAGCCAAAGCAGGGCACGCCATTGCCTCTCCTGGGAAGTGCAAGGGGTCAGGGAATTCCCTTTCCTAGTCAAAGAAAGGGGTGACAGATGGCACCTGGAAAATCAGGTCACTCCCACCCTAATACTGCGCTTTTCCAATGGCCTTAGCAAACGGCACACCAGGAGATTATATCCCGCACGTGGCTCAGAGGGTCCTACACCCACGTAGCCTCACTCATTGCTAGCACAGCAGTCTGAGATCAAACTGCAAGGTGGCAGCGAGGCTGGGGGAGGGGCGGCCACCATTGCCGAGGCTAGAGTAGGTAAACAAAGCAGCCGGGAAGCTCGAACTGGGTGGAGCCTACCACAGCTCAAGGAGGCCTGCCTGCCTCTGTAGACTCCACCTCTGGGGGCAGGGCATAGACAAACAAAAGGCAGCAGAATCCTCTGCAGACTTAAATGTCCCTGTCTGACAACTTTGAAGAGAGTAGTGGTTCTTCCAGCATGCAGCTGGAGATCTGAGAACGGATAGACTGCCTCCTCAAGTGGGTCCCTGACCCCCAAATAGCCTAACTGGGAGGCACCCCCTAGTAGGGGCAGACTGACACCTCATATGTCTGGGTACTCTTCTGAGACAAAACTTCCAGAGGAACAATCAGGCAACAACATTTGCTGCTCACCAGTATCCGCTGTTCTGCAGCCTCCGCTGCTGATACCCAGGCAAACAGGGTCTGGAGTGGACCTCCAGCAAACTCCAACAGACCTGCAGCTGAGGGTCCTGACTGTTAGAAGGAAAACTAACAAACAGAAAGGACATCCTCACCAAAACCCCATCTGTACATCACCATCATCAAAGACCAAAGGTAGATAAAACTACAAAGATGGGGAAAAAACAGAACAGAAAAACTGGAAACTCTAAAAATCAGAGCACCTCTCCTCCTCCAAAGGAACGCAGCTCCTCACCAGCAATGGAACAAAGCTGGACAGAGAATGACTTTGACGAGTTGAGAGAAGAAGGCTTCAGACAATCAAACTACTCCAAGCTAAAGGAGGAAGTTCGAACCCATGGTAAAGAAGTTAAAAACCTTGAAAAGAAATTAGATGAATGGCTAACTAGAATAACCAATGCAGAGAGGTCCTTAAAGGACCTGAAGGGGCTGAAAACCAAGGCACGAGAACTATGTGACGAATGCACAAGCCTCAGTAGCCGATTGGATCAACTGGAAGAAAGGGTATCAGTGATGGAAGATCAAATGAATGAAATGAAGTGAGAAGAGAAGTTTAGAGAAAAAAGAATAAAAAGAAACAAACAAAACCTCCAAGAAATATGGGACTATGTGAAAAGACCAAATCTATGTCTGATTGGTGTACCTGAAAGTGACTGGGAGAATGGAACCAAGTTGGAAAACACTCTGCAGGATATTATCCAGGAGAACTTCTCCAATCTAGCAAGGCAGGCCAACATTCAAATTCAGGAAATACAGAGAACGCCACAAAGATACTCCTTGAGAAGAGCAACCCCAAGACACATAATTGTCAGATTCACCAAAGTTGAAATGAAGGAAAAAATGTTAAGGGCAGCCGGAGAGAAAGGTCAGGTTACCCACAAAGGGAAGCCCATCAGACTAACAGCTGATCTCTTGGCAGAAACTTTACAAGCCAGAAGAGAGTGGGGGCCAATATTCAACATTCTTAAAGAAAAAAATTTTCAACCCAGAATTTCATATCCTGCCAAACTAAGCTTCATAAGTGAAGGAGAAATAAAATCCTTTACAGACAAGCAAATGCTGAGAGATTTTGTCACCACCAGGCCTGCCCTAAAAGAGCTCCTGAAGGAAGCACTAAACATGGAAAGGAACAACTGGTACCAGCCACTGCAAAAACATGCCAAATTGTAAAGACCATCGAGGCTAGGAAGAAACTGCATCAACCAATGAGCAAAATAACCAGCTAACATCATTATGACAGGATCAAATTCACACATAACAATATTAACCTTAAATGTAAATGGGCTAAATTCTCCAGTTAAAAGACACAGGCTGGCAAATTGGATAGAGTCAAGACCCATCAGTGTGCTGTATTCAGGAAACCCATCTCCCATGCAGAGACACACATAGGCTCAAAATAAAGGGATGTAGGAAGATCTACCAAGCAAATGGAAAACAAAAAAA
The DNA here is from genome assembly GCF_000001405.40 of Homo sapiens. Classification (NCBI taxonomy): domain Eukaryota; kingdom Metazoa; phylum Chordata; class Mammalia; order Primates; family Hominidae; genus Homo; species Homo sapiens. The sequence continues at coordinate 102,378,582 of NC_000004.12, read as the reverse complement.
GGCAGGGGTTGCAATCCTAGTCTCTGATAAAAGAGACTTTAAACCAACAAAGATCAAAAGAGACAAAGAAGGCCATTACATAATGGTAAAGGGATCAATTCAACAAGAAGAGCTAACTATCCTAAATATATATGCACCCAATACAGGAGCACCCAGATTCATAAAGCAAGTCCTTAGAGACCTACAAAGAAACTTAGACTCCCACACAATAATAATGGGAGACTTTAACACCCCACTGTCAACATTAGACAGATCAATGAGACAGAAAGTTAACAAGGATATCCAGGAATTGAACTCAGCTCTGCACCAAGCAGACCTAATAGACATCTACAGAACTCTCCACCCCAAATCAACAGAATATACATTCTTCTCAGCACCACACTGCACTTATTCCAAAATTGACCACATAGTTGGAAGTAAAGCACTCCTCAGCAAATGTAAAAGAATAGAAATTATAACAAACTGTCTCTCAGACCACAGTGCAATCAAACTAGAACTCAGGATTAAGAAACTCACTCAAAACTGCTCAACTACATGGAAACTGAACAACCTGCTCCTGAATGACTACTGGGTACATAACAAAATGAAGGCAGAAATAAAGATGTTTTTTGAAACCAACGAGAACAAAGACACAACTTACCAGAATCTCTGGGACACATTCAAAGCAGTGTGTAGAGGGAAATTTATAGCACTAAATGCCTATAAGAGAAAGCAGGAAAGATCCAAAATTGACACCCTAACATCACAATTAAAAGAACTAGAAAAGCAAGAGCAAACACATTCAAAAGCTAGCAGAAGGCAAGAAATAACTAAGATCAGAGCAGAACTCAAGGAAATAGAGACACAAAAAACCCTTCAAAAAATCAATGAATCCAGGAGCTGGTTTTTTGAAAAGATCAACAAAATTGATAGACCACTAGCAAGACTAATAAAGAGGAAAAGAGAGAAGAATCAAATAGACACAATAAAAAATGATAATGGGGATATCACCACAGATCCCACAGAAATACAAACTACCATCAGAGAATACTGTAAACACCTCTATGCAAATAAACTAGAAAATCTAGAAGAAATGGATAAATTCCTTGACACATACACCCTCCCAAGGCTAAACCAAGAAAAAGTTGAATCTCTGAATAGACCAATAACAGGTGCTGAAATTGAGGCAATAATTAATAGCTTACCAACCAAAAAAAGTCCAGGACCAGATGGATTCACAGCCGAATTCTACCAGAGGTACAAGGAGGAGCTGGTACCATTCCTTCTGAAACTATTCTAATCAACAGAAAAAGAGGGAATCCTCCCTAACTCATTTTATGAGGCCAGCATCATCCTGATACCAAAGCCTGGCAGAGACACAACAAAAAAAGAGAATTTTAGACCAATATCCCTGATGAATGTCGATGCAAAAATCCTCAATAAAATACTGGCAAACCAAATCCAGCAGCACATCAAAAAGCTTATCCACCATGATCAAGTGGGCTTCATCCCTGGGATGCGAGGCTGGTTCAACATACACAAATCAATAAACGTAATCCAGCGTATAAACAGAACCAATGACAAAAACCATATGATTATCTCAATAGATGCAGAAAAGGCCTTTGACAAAATTCAACAACCCTTCATGCTAAAAACTCTCAATAAATTAGGTATTGATGGCATGTATCTCAAAATAATGAGAGCTATCTATGACAAACCCACAGCCAATATCATACTGAATGGGCAAAAACTGGAAGCATTCCCTTTGAAAACTGGCACAAGACAGGGATGCCCTCTCTCACCACTCCTATTTAACACAGTGTTGGAAGTTCTGGCCAGGGCAATCAGGTGGGAGAAGGAAATAAAGGGTATTTAAGTAGGAAAAGAGGAAGTCAAATTGTCCCTGTTTGCAGATGACATGACTGTATATCTAGAAAACCCCATCATCTCAGCCCAAAATCTCCTTATGCTAATAAGCAATTTCAGCAAAGTCTCAGGATACAAAATCAATGTGCAAAAATCACAGGCATTCTTATACACCAATAACAGACAAACAGAGAGCCAAATCATGAGTGAACTCCCACTTGCAATTGCGTCAAAGAAAACAAAATACCTAGGAATCCAACTTACAAGGGATGTGAAGGACCTCTTCAAGGAGAACTACAAACCACTGCTCAAGGAAATAAAAGAGGATACAAACAAATGGAAGAACATTCCATGCTCATGGGTAGGAAGAATCAATATCGTGAAAATGGCCATACTGCCAAGGTAATTTATAGATTCAATGCCATCCCCATCAAGCTACCAATGACTTTCTTCACAGAATTGGAAAAAACTACTTTAAAGTTCATATGGAACCAAAAAAGAGCCCGCATTGCCAAGACAATCCTAAGCCAAAAGAACAAAGCTGGAGGCATCATGCTACCTGACTTCAAACTATACTACAAGGCAACAGTAACCAAAACAGCATGGTACTGGTACCAAAACAGCATGGTACTGGTACCAAAACAGAGATATAGACCAGTGGAACAGAACAGAGCCCTCAGAAATAATACCACACATCTACAACCATCTGATCTTTGACAAACCTGAGAAAAACAAGCAATGGGGAAAGGATTCCCTATTTAATAAATGATGCTGGGAAAACTGGCTAGCCATATGTAGAAAGCTGAAACTGGATCCCTTCCTTACACCTTATACAAAAATTAATTCAAGATGGATTAAAGACTTACATGTTAGACCTAAAACCATAAAAACCCTAGAAGAAAACCTAGGCAATACCATTCAGGACATAGGCATGGGCAAGGACTTCATGTCTAAAACACTGAAATCAATGGCAACAAAAGCCAAAATTGACAAATGGGATCTAATTAAACTAAAGAGCTTCTGCACAGCAAAAGAAACTACTGTCAGAGTGAACAGGAAACCTACAGAATGGGAGAAAATTTTTGCAATCTACTCATCTGACAAAGGGCTAATATCCAGAATCTACAAAGAACTCAAACAAATTTACAAGAAAAAACAAACAACCCTATCAACAAGTGGGCAAAGGATATGAACAGACACTTCTCAAAAGAAGATATTTATGCAGCCAAAAGACCCATGAAAAAATGCTCATCATCACTGGCCATCAGAGAAATGCAAATCAAAACCACAATGAGATACCATCTCACACCAGTTAGAATGGCGATCATTAAAAAGTCAGGAAACAACAGATGCTGGAGAGGATGTGGAGACATAGGAACACTTTTACACTGTTGGTGGGATTGTAAACTAGTTCAACCATTGTGGAAGTCAGTGTGGCGATTCCTCAGGGATCTAGAACTAGAAATACCATTTGACCCAGCCATCCCATTACTGGGTGTATGCCCAAAGGATTATAAATCATGCTGTTATAAAGACACATGCACACTTATGTTTATTGTGGCACTATTCACAATAGCAAAAACTTGGAACCAACCCAAATGTCCAACAATGATAGACTGGATTAAGAAAATGTGGCACATATACACCATGGAATACTATGCAGCCATAAAAAATGATGAGTTCATGTCCTTTTTAGGGACATGGATGAAGCTGGAAACCATCATTCTCAGCAAAGTGTCTCAAGGACAAAAAACCAAACATTGCATGTTCTCACTCATAAGTGGGAATTGAACAATGAGAACACATGGACACAGGAAGGGGAACATCACACACCAGGGCCTGTTGTGGGGTGGGGGGAGGGGGCAGGATAGCATTAGGAGATATACCTAATGTTAAATGATGAATTAATGGGTGCAGCACACCAACATGGCACATGTATACATATGTAACTAACCTGCACGTTGTGCACATGTACCCTAAAACTTCCAGTATAATAAAAAAAAAGAAAAAGAGAAAAATCAAATAGGCACAACAAAAAATGATGAAGGAGATATCACCACTGATCCCAGAGAAGTACAAACTACCATCAGAGAATACTATAAACACCTCTATGCAAATAAACTAGAAAATTTAGGAGAAATGAATAATTTCCTGGACACATACATCCCCTCAAGAGCAAACCAGGAAGAAGTTGAATCCTTGAATAGACCAATAACAAGTTCTGAAATTGAGGCAATAATTAATAGCCTACCAACCAAAAAAATCCCAGGACCAGATGGATTTACAGCTGAATTCTACCAGAGGTACAAAGAGGAGCTGGTGCCATTACTTCTGAAACTATTCCAAATAATAGAAAAAGAGGAACTCCTCTCAGTCATCCTGATACCAAAACCTGGCAGGGACACAACAAAAAAAGAAAATTTCAAGTCAATATCCCTGATGAACATCGACACAAAAATCGTCAATAAAATACTGGCAAACTGAATCCAGCAGCACATCAAAAAGCTTATCCACCACAATCAAGTCGGCTTCGTCCCTGGGATGCAATGCTGGGTCAACGTACACAAATCAATAAACGTAATCCATCATATAAACAGAACCAATGACAAAAACCACACGATTTCCTCAATAGATGCAGAAAAGGCCTTTGATAAAATTCATCATCCCTTCATGGTAAAAACTCTCAATAAACTGGGTATTGATGGAACATATCTAAAAATAATAAGAGCTATCTATGACAAACCCATAGCCAATATTATACTGAATGGCAAAAGCTGGAAGCATTCCCTTTGAAAACCAGCACAAGACAAGGATGGCCTCTCTCACCACTCCTATTTAACATAGTATTGGGAGTTCCGGCCAGGGCAATCAGGCAAGAGAAAGAAATAAAGGTAATCAAATAGGAAGAGAGGAAGTCAAACTATCTCTGTTTGCAGATGACATGATTGTATATTTTAGAAAACCCCATTGTTGGCTGGGCATGGTGGCTCACACCTGCAATCCCAGCACTTTGGGAGGCCGAGGCAGGTGGCTCACCTGAGGTTGGGAGTTCAAGACCACCCTGAACAACATGGAGAAACCCCATCTCTACTAAAAATACAAAATTAGCCAGGCGTGGTTGCACTTGCCTGTAATCCCAGCTACACAGGAGGCTGAGGCAGGAGAATTGCTAGAACCCGGGAGACAGAGGTTTCGGTAAGCCAAGCTTGCACCATTGCGCTCCAGCCTGGGCAACAAGAGCAAAACTTCGTCTCAAAAACAAACAAACCCATTGTCTCAGCCCCAAAACTCCTTGTCTCAGCCCCAAAACTCCTAAAGCTGATAAGCAACTTCAGCAAAGTCTCAGGATATAAAATCAATGTGCAAAAATCGCAAGCATTCCTATACACCAATAATAGACAAGCAGAGAGCCAAATCATGAGTGAACTCCCATTCACAATCACTACAAAGAGAATAAAATACCTAGGAATACAAATTACAAGGGATGTGAAGGACCTCTTCAAGGAGAATGACAAACCACTGCTCAAGGAAATAAGAGAGGACACAAACAAATGGAAAAAATTTCCTGCTCTTGGATAGGAAAAATCATCGTGAAAATGGCCATACTGCCCAAAGTAATTTATAGATTCACTGCTATTCCCATCAAGCTACCATTGCCTTTCTTTGCAGAATTTGAAAAACTACTTTAAATTTCATATGGAACCAAAGGAGCCTGTATAACCAAGACAATCCTAAGCAAAAATAACAAAGCTGGAGGCATCATGCTACCTGACTTCAAACTATACTACAAGACTACAGTAACCAAAACAACATGGTACAGGAACCAAAACAGACTTATAGACGAAAGGGGAGACAGAACAGAGGCCTCAGACAAAACACCACACGTTTACAATCATCTGATCTTCAACAAACCTGACAAAAACAAGCAATGGGGAAATGATTCCCTACTTAATAAATGGTGCTGGGAAAACTGGCTAGCCATATGCAGAAAACTAAAACTGGACCCCTTCCTTACACCTTATACAAAAATTAACTCAAGATGGATTAAAGACTTAAACCTAAAACCATAAAAACCCTAGAAGAAAACCTAGGTAATACCATTCAAAACATAGGCATGGGCAAAGACTTCATGACTAAGACACCAAAAGCAATGGCAACAAAAGCCAAAATTGACAAATGGGATCTAATTAAAGAGCTTCTGCACAGCAAAATAAACTATCATCAGAGTGAACAGGTAACCTACAGAATGGGAGAAAATTTTTGCAACCTATCCATCTGATATAGATCTAATATCCAGAATCTACGAGGAACTTAAACAAATTTACAAGAAAAATCAAACAACCCCATCAAAAAGTGTTGGAAGGATATGAACAGACCCTTCTCAGAAGAAGATATTTATGTGGCCAACAAACATATGAAAAAAAGCTCATCATCACTGGTCATTAGAGAAATGCAAATCAAGGCCGGGTGTAGTGGCTCACGCCTGTAATCCCAGCACTTTGGGAGGCCAAGGCAGGCAGATCACGAGGTCAGGAGATAGAGACAATCTTGACTAACATGGTGAAACCCTGTCTCTACTAAAAATACAAAAAAAATTAGCCGGGCGTGCTGGTGGGTGCCAGTAGTCCCAGCTACTCAGGAGGCTGAGGCAGGAGAATGGCATGAACCTGGGAGATGGAGGTTACAGTGAGCAGAGATCATGCCACTACACTCCAGCCTGGGCGACAGAGTGAGACTCCATCTCAAACAAACAAAGAAACAAACAAAAAAAGAGAAATGCAAATCAAAACCACAATGAGATACCATCTCACACCAGTTAGAATGGCTATCACTAAAAAATTGGGAAACAACAGATGCTGGCAAGGCGCTGGAGAAATAGGGACACTTTTATGCTGTTGGTGGGAGTGTGAACTAGTTCAACCATTGTGGAAGACAGTGTGGGGATTCCTCAAAGATCTAGAACCAGAAATACCATTTGACTCAGCAATCCCATTACTGTGTCTATAGCCAAAGGATTATACATCATTCTACTTTAAAGACACATGCACACATATGTTTATTGCAGCACTATTTACAATAGCAAAGACTTGGAACCAACCCCAATGCCCAACAATGATAGACTGGATAAGGAAAATGTGGCACATATACACCATGGAGTACTGTGCAGCTATAAAAAACGATGAGTTCATGTCTTTGCAGGAACATGGGTCTAGCTGGAAACCATCATTCTCAGCAAACTAACACAGGAACAGAAAACCAAACACTGCATATTTTCACTCATAAGTGGTAGTTGAACAATGAGAACACATGGACACAGGGAGCAGAACATCACACACTGGGGCCTGTCGGGGGGTGGGGGGCAAAGGGAGGGAGAGCATTAGGACAAATACCTAATGCATGCAGGACTTAAAACCTAGATGATGGGTTAATAGGTGAAGCAAACCACCATGGCACGTGTAAACCTATATAACAAACCTGCACATTCTGCACATGTATCCCAGAACCTAAAGTAAAATAATAAAATAAAATAAAATACACTTACTATAGAATTAAGCCATTCCACTCCTAGGTAATTATCCAAAAAACAAAAAACAAAAAAGAAAGCATGCATCCACACAAAGACTTGTATATGAATGTTAATAACCATTTCATTTGCAACAGCCAAAAATAGAAAAAAACCTAAATGGTCTCTTTTGCTGATGCCCAGATAAACAAATTGTTGGATATAAACAATGGAATACTATTAAGCAATAAAAACAGTGAACTTCTGATACATACAACAAAAATGAATTGTGTAATAATTATGCTAAATAAAAAAAGCCATAAAGAGTTTAAAAAATCATACTCTTAATTTTTATGTGATAAAATGTCCTTCTCCTTAATGGAATACTGTGAAGAGAGATTCTTTTTTATGGAATATTGTCTGGTTATATGTGTGTGTGTATGTGTGTGTGTGTGTGCAGATACACATGTGTATGTTTAGTGTGCTTACTTGGCAAAGGAGGAGTGGAAAACTCTTTGTCTTCTCCCCTTAACCTTTTAAGGAAAATTTTATTGTTTCTAAAGTTCCAAGATCTGGGAATCACTGTTTTGTTCAGTATCAATCATAATCCTAAAATACATAGTCCCAAATGTTGAAATCCTGAAAACTTGAAATCCGTAAAAGTCGCTAATATCTAAATTGCTAATAACTAAAATCTTGAAAATTATACCCCTGAAAGATTAAATTCCAAATGTTTAAATCCTGAAAGCTGAATTCTAAGGAAGGAATTAGTGTGTTTTTTATTTTATGCAAGATAGATGCATTATGCTCGTTGCACCATGTTAGGCAGAACTATTACCTCGTTACTGTCATTATTTGGAAATTAAGTATGGTTTAAGGAGATGCATATGGGTGCCAAGTTTTGTGGATTTAATTTTAGGTGTTAACTTGAATGGATTAAGGGATACCTAGAAACCTGGTAGGGCATTATTTTGGGTATGTGTGTGAAGGTGTTTCTGGAGAAGATGAGTGTGTGAGTCTGAGTGGACTAGGTGGGGAAATCCTTTCCTCTGTGCTGGTGGACACCCTCTAATCGGCAGGGGGCACAGAGTGAACAAATATAGAAGGAGAATTGGTCTCTCTCTGAGAGCTGAGACACTTTTCTTTTTGTTTTTTTGAGACAGAGTCTTACTCTGTCCCTCAGGGTGGAATGCAGTGGTTCAATCTTGGCTTACCGCAACCTCCGCCTCCCAGGTTCAAGCGATTCTCCATGTCTCAGCCTCCTAAGTAGCTGGAATTACAGGCATGAGCCACCACGCCGGCTAATTTTTGTATTTTTTAGTTTCACCATGTTGGCCAGGCTGGTCTCGAACTCCTGACCTCAAGTGATCCTTCTGTCTTGGCCTCCCAAAGTGCTGGGATTACAGCTGTGAGCCACCATGCCTGACCTGGGACAGACTTTTTTCTGCCTTGAACATCAGAACTCCAGGCTTGCTGACCTTTGGACTCCAGAGCTTACACCAGTGGTCTCCCAGCTTCTGAGACTTTTGGCCTCAGACAAAGTTATAACATTGGCTTTCCTGATTCTGAGGCCTTCTGAGTTGGACTAAGCCACATTACTCACATTCCAGGGTCTCCAGCTTGCAGACTGTTGGACTTCTCAGCCACCATAATTGCATGAGCCAATTCCACTATTAGATTCCCTGTCATGTGTCTATATACATATCTTACTGGTTCTGTTACTCTGGTGAACCCTAACACAGATTCGATACTGGGAAAGCCAAATATTATTCCTTCTTACTGCATTTCTTGAAACACAAAGGAAGAGATCAGTGAAATTATCCCCATGCATAAAGGCTGTGATAAATTAAGTGTACAAAGCTACTTAACTATGAAAGATATAAGTTTGAAAATTAATTATTATTGGTGTTGTGAAAGTAGAAAATTGTTTAATTGCAATGGCCAAGCAATAACCAGATTTTCAAATGGACAGCATATACTTACAAAATTTATAGGTTACAACCACTCTCTAAACACAAGTGCAGCAAGTATTTCAATCATAGAAGTGAAAACACAGAAGAAATCTCTTCTGCCAAATTATTCAATCACATGTAACTTCTGCCACTTCCACATTGTGTCAATTTGCTATGCTACGTATCTTATCTTTGCATCATTTCCAATACTGGAGGTATAAATTGTGCAAAAACTTTTAGAGAGTGCTAATTTATTTTATGCATTTTTTTTGCAAATTTGACTCCACAAAAGTGCATTGGCACAAGGTTCTTTCCGTGTAAGTATTGTGTATGTATATAAAAATGTTGAAACTTCCTCAGTAAATGAAGAGATGTCCCTTTTGTACATCTGCATTTGTGAAAGATAAAATTCTCAAGCTCTCAACTCTTTGGGTGACTGCATATGTGGTGATGACCCCATCATGGTCTTTGATTGATCTTATTAAAAGAATTAGGTTAGGGGCCAGGCACGGTGGCTCACGCCTGTAATCCCAGCACTTTGGGAGGCAGAGGTGGGTGGATCACGAGGTCAGGAGTTCAAGACCAGCCTGATCAACATGGTGAAACCCCATCTCTACTAAAAATACAAAAGTTAGCCGGGTGTGGTGGTGCACACCTGTAATCCCAGCTACTCAGGAGGCTGAGGCACGAGAATCACTTGAACCCAGGGAACGGAGGTTGCAGTGAGCTGAGATCATGCCACTGCACTCCAGCCTGGGCAACAGAGTGAGACTCCATCTCAAAAAAAAATAAAAAAGAATTAGGTTGTCTGATATGGTATTTCAGATGACTGCAGTTATAAAGCTGGGAGCTCACAACTACCAACCATAGTTACATGGGTTTATACATTTTGCTTTTGACATATTTCTTTTTTAAAAAATAAACTTTTATTTTATGTTCAGAGGTACGTGTGCAGATTTGTTATATAGATAAACACGTGTCATGGGGGTTTATTGTACAGATTATTTTGTCACCCAGGTACTAAGCCTAGTACCCAGTAGTAATTTTTTTCTGATCCTCTCCCTCTTCCCACCCTGGCTCCACTCTCAACTAGGCCCCAGTGTCTATTGTTCCCCTTTTTGTGTCTATGTGTTCTTCTCATTTAGCTCCCACTTATAAGTGAGAACATGCGGTATTTGTTCCTGTTCCTGCATTAGTTTGCTAAGGATAATGGTCTCCAGCTCCATCTACATTCTGGCAAAAGACAAGAGCTTGTTTGTTTTTTATGGCTGCATAGTATTTCATGGTATATATTTACCATATTTTCTTTATCCAGTCTACCATTGATGGGAATTTAGGTTGATTCTATATCTTTGCGATTGTGAGTAGTGTTGAAGTGAACATTCGAGTGCATGTGTCTTTATGGCAGAATGATTTATATTCTTTTGGATATATACCCAGTAATGGGATTGTTGGGTTGAATGGTAGTTCTGTTTTTAGCTCTTTGAGGAATCACTACACTGCTTTCTACAATGGTTGAACTAATTTACACTCTCACTAATAGTGTACAAGCATTCCCTTTTCTCTGCAACCTTGCCAGCATCTCTTATTTTTTGACTGTTTAATAATAGTCATTCTGACTGGTATGAGATGGTATCTCATTATGGCTTTGGTTTGCATTTCTCTAATGATCATGATATTGAGCGTTTTTTTTTATATGCTTGTTGGCCTCATGTATGTCTTCTTTTGAAAAGTGTCTATTCATGTCCTTTGCCCACTTTTTTTATGTGGATGTTTGTTTTCTTTCTTGAAAATTTATTTAAGTTTCTTATAGATGCTGGATATTAGGCCTTTGTCAGATACGTAATTTGCAGATATTTTCTCCCATTCTGTATGTTTGTTTCTGTATGTTTGCTTACTCTGTCGATAGTTTCTTTTGCTTTACAGAAGCTCTTAAGTTTGATTAGATCCCATTTGTCAATTTTTGCTTTTGTTGCAATTGCTTTTGGCATCTTTGTCATGAAATCTTTGCAGTTCTTATGTCCAGAATGGTATCACCTAGGTTGTCTTCCAGGGTTTTTTCAGTTTTGGGTTTTACATTCAAGTCTTTAATGCATCTTGAGTTGATTTTTGTATATGATGTAAAAAAGGGGTCCAATTTCAGTCTTCTGCATATGGCTAGCCAATTATCCCAGCACCATTTTACTGAATAGGGAGTCTTTTCCCCATTGCTTGTTTTTGTCAGCTTTGTCAAAGATCAGATGGTTGTAGGTGTGCAGGTTTATTTCTCTGTTCTCTATTCTGTTTCATTGGTTTGTGTATCTGTTTTTGTACCAGTACCATGCTGTTTTGGTTACTGTAGCCCTGTAGTATAGTTTGAAGTTGGGAAATGTGATGCTTCCTGGTTTGCTCTTTTTGCTTAGGATTGCCTTGGATATTAGGGCTCTTTTTTGGTTCCATACGAATTTTAAAATAGTGTTTTTCTAGTTCTGTGAAGAATGTCATTGGTAGTTTGATAGGTATTGCATTGAATCTGTAAATTGCTTTTGGCAGTATGGTCATTTTAATGATATTGATTCTTCCTATCTATGAGAATGGAATGTTTTTCCATTTGTTTGTATCATCTCTGATTTCTTTGAGTAGTGTTTGTAATTCTCATTGTAGAGATCTTTCATCTCCCTAGTTAATGATATTCCTAGGTATTTTATTCTTTTTGTGGCAATTGTGAATGGAATTACATTCCTGATTTTGTTCTTGGCTTGGCCATTGTTAATGTATAGGAATGCTAGTGATTTTTATATGCTCATTTTGTATCCTGAAACTTTGCTGAAATTGTTTATCAATTAAAGGGCTTTGGGGCTGAGACTATGGGGTTTCTAGATATAGAAACATGTCGTTTGCAAACAGGGATAGTTTGACTTCCTCTCTTCCTATTTGGATGCCTTTTATTTCTTTCTCTTGCTTGGGCTTCCAATACTATGTTGAATAGAAATGATGAGAGAGGGCATTCCTGTCTTGTTCTGGCTTTCAAGGGGAATACGTTTAGCTTTTCCCCAAGACATATTTCTTTATGAATACAGTTTGTCTGTCTGTCTGTTTGTCTGTTTGTTTTTTGAGATGGAATCTCACTGTGTTGCCCAGGCTAGAGTGTAGTGGTGCCATCTCAGCTCACTGCAACCTCCGCCTCCTGGCTTCAAGCGATTCTCCTGCCTCAGCCTCCTGAGTAGCTGGGATTACAGGCGCCCAGCACCACGCCCAGCTAATTTTTGTATTTTTAGTAGAGACAGAGTTTCACCATGTTGGTCAGGCTTGTCTCAAACCCTGATCTCCGGTGATCCACCCACCTCGGCCTCCCAAAGTGTTGGGATTACAGGCATGAGCCACTGCGCCCGGCCAGTTTGTCTGCTTATAACTGCCACACTTGTGCAACTGTTGTTAGTATACCTGAGTTTTATTCTTGCAAAAATATGTCATTATCATTGCCCATTTTATTGCAAAAAGTGGCATATGAAGTGTTCAGCTATGTTTTTACGTGTTTCTCAAGTAAGTTTCCTTTTAAAAATGTAGGCTGGGTGCGGTGGCTCATGCCTATAATCACAACACTTGGGAGGCCAAGGTGAGTGGATCACTTGAGGTCAGGAGTTTCAGACCAGTCTGGCCAACATAGCGAAATCCCATCTCTACTAAAAATGCAAAAAATTAGCTGGGCATGGTGGTGTGCGCCTGTACTTCTGGGAGTTTGAGGCACGAGAGTCACTTGTACCGGGAGGCAGAAGTTTCAGTGAACCAAGATTGAGCCACTGCACTCCAGCCTGAGTGACAAAGTGACTCTGTCTCAAATAATAATAATAATAAGTAATAAAAATGAAAATGTAAACAAATGTCTTTTAAATAATTTTTTAAATTTATTTTTTCCAGAGTTTTATTTTTGGAATTTTGACTTTTCAGGATGGTGATTTTTGGGATTTTAAGGATTTTGATCTTTTGGGATTTCAACATTTGGGATTATGGCCTTCAGGATTGTGTCTTTTGGGGTTACGGCCCAAACCTGTATTATCCATGGGTTGAATCCTATAACACTGGAAGGTCAAAGTGAGAGAGTTCATCTTAGCCTATTGCTTAAAAAATTAATAAATTCTATTTTAGAACAGTTTTAGGTCGACAGAAAAATGAGCAGAGAGTTGCCATAAACCTCCTTGTATCCCTCTACAAGTTTCTCTTAGTAACATTTTGCATTATTGCAATATATTTGTTGCAATTGATGAGCCAGTATTGATACATTATTATTAACTAAAGCCCACTGTTTACATTAAGCTTCGCTCTTGGTGCTGTACGTCAGGGTTTGGTAATATATAATATATATCCACCACTACGGTGTATACTGAATAGTAGTACTGTCCTAAAATGCTCTGTGTTGTACCTATTAAGCATCCCTGCCTCCTCTCGGCCTTTTGGCAACTGCTGATCGTTTGATTGTTGCCATAGTTTTGCCTTCCCTGGAAGGTCACATAGTTGGAATCATACAGTATGTAGCCCTTGCAGATTGACTTCTTTCATTTATCAATATGCACTTAAATTCCTCCATGTCTTTTTGTGGCTCGATAGTTTATTTCTTTTTATAATATTCCATTGTATGCCTACACTACTGTATAATATTCCATTGTATGCCTATACTACTGTTTATTTTTACATTCACCTACTGAAGGAGATCTTGGTTGCCTCCAAGTTTTGGCAGTGATGAATAAAGTGGCATCTTATCCTGTTTTTTGCATTTAAACATACATGATGTAGTATTAATTTGCCACCGATGATGTACTCATTATGAAATTTTAGAAAGCGCAGAAAATACTTTAAAAAATACTATTGGTAATCTCATGCCAAATATAACACTAGTAGCTGTTATGTATATCTATGTTTTCTTTTCTTTTCCTAAATCAATATCTATGTCTGAAAGCTTATTTTTGCCTATATATGCCTCAATTAATTGTTCTTATAAGCTCAAGTATTATATTCTATAGTTTTGTATTCTTGTGTTTTTCTCCCCACTTAATATTATATGCACATCATGGAAGATGGGGTATTCACTCCCTCAAGCATTTATCCTTTGTGTTGCAATCTAATTATATTCTTCTAGTTATTTTTAAATGTACAATTAAATTATTATTGACGATAGTCACCCTGTTGTGCTGTCAGATACTAGGACTTATTCATTAATTTTAATTATTTTTTTGTACCTATTAACCATCCCCTCCCCTTCTCCTCCCCACCACCCGGCAACCTGTTTTGTTCATCGATGATTCTTCAGTACACAGAAGAGTGTCTACTAGGCACCCCAAAAATATCTGTTGAATAAGTGAAGGAATTGTATTTTTGAAATTTGCATGATCTCGTTAGCTATTCTTTGGAATCAAACCAAAGTTTACTTGTAGTAAAAGTTATTGCCTGTTAAATTGAGAATCAAAATAATCATGCAGTCTTACAGTGTTTTTAAGGAACTGATTTCTATAGTGGCTTTCTCATATAGTTAGTGATGGCAATGTTTTTACCAGCTCATCATTAGCATGTTCTGCAACTTGAGGGTTTTTCAGTGATGGGGTAATATTGTTCCTGCCCTGCCCCTTCTCTTGAGAATAATGGCACACGGTTGCTAAGAGGCTGGTAGGGATTAAGCATTCTCTTGAGCAAAACAACACTGGTTTGTGCTGGAAATAACTTTAACTTGGTGGTAGCAATGCGCTGCTGACAGGGTCCCAGCTAGAACATGCATTCTTCACCATCTTGAGGCTTCCTTGATGAGAACCACTCACTGAGAGCAGTTTGTAAGGTTCATCAAGGCTGTGCCTTGCCCTCCATGTATTTCCTGTAGATTTCCTGGGAAACCAACCTCTTCACTTCAGCTGACCTGAAATCCCCACAGGTCCGCTCAAATGCTGTATTTGTTTGCATCCAACAAAGTGGAAGTATAGGGAGTGTCAGTAATAACATACTGTTTACATGGGTGATAGCTGGGAAGAGAAATTCACCAGGAAATCCTGGTGAGACTCTTACATTCACCAAGGTGTGTGGCAGTGGGCAGACTCAGGAGTCTTCAGATTTCAGAGCAAGGACCTGCAGCATAAGCAGGAAGAGGAGAAAGGGTGTTGTCAGGGTGAGAGATTATGGAGTCAAAGGCCTGGAACAGATGTTATGTACTTTTAAGTCTTAGTGAAGGCTAGCTCTGTTCAACACCTTGCAGTTCTATTGGGCGAGTTCATAAATTAAAGCCATCTCCATAAAATGCCATTCCAGACTAACATATGGGATTGACTTAATTTTTCCATTTAAAAATGCCTGCTTTATAGTATAAGCTTTAAAATTGCTTTCTAAGTAATGCATTTAAAAAAATCCGAGTAGGCGTGTATCCATGGTTATGGCAATGATGATAGCAAAGATTTCTGAAGATAGGGTTTTTGTCCTAGATTTTTATAGGGTTTCTATTTATCCACCTTGCTTCTGTTTTCCTTCAGCTCTTTTTATATGATTTGAAAATTTGTTTGCCAGTTTTTTTGTTGTTAAAAAATTTAACATTATTTAACATTTTTATTTTACTCATTAATTCATTTATTCTATCAGTATTTATTGAATACCTAAAATATGTGGAGCATTTTAGACACAATGAGAAATAGAAAACTTCAAATACTCTAATTGAATAGATGACATAAACAAATCTAGACAGGTAATTAAAATACAGTGTAATGTTTTAAGAACACATAGGAGGGGCACTTAACCAAAAATTAACATGAGAAGATTTTCAAGAGTAAATGCGGTCTAAACTAGAAGTAGTAAGAAGCTGGAAGTGGAGATGAGGAATGAAGAAGTGCATCTCAAGAGAAAGAGGCAGCATGTGCAAAGGTCCTGAGGTGACAGACCACATGGCTGGTCAGAGACCTGAGAGTAGCTCAGTGTGATTAGTGTATGAAGTAAGAAGTAGGAATGGTGAGAGATGTGACTGTGGAGGAAAACTAGGTCTTTATTAGGACAAACCTCAAAAATCATATTAAGGAACTCATATTAAAGACAATGGGAAATAATTGAAGGTTACTGTGAGTGAGTAGGATTAGATAGTCCATTTAGAAAGCACACATTGACTTCCCCATGGAAAATAACTTGGTAAGGGACAATTTGCAAGGCAGGGAGACAGAAGACAGCAAATTATCCAGTTAAGAGTTGATGATAGCCTATCTTAAGATAAAGGCAGTGGACTTAAAGAGAGTAGATCAATTTGAAAACCATAGTAGAATTACTATGGCTTGATAATTGATGGCCAGAGAGGGTATATAAAGGAGAAAGATAAGGGAATGATATTGACTCTCTTAGTGTGGTTTCTCCCTAAAAGCAAGTCTGTGTCAATAACTGGGATGCAGGAAGTTTATTTTAGAGATGATCCCAAGAAATAAGAGTGACAGAATGAGGAGAGTGTGTTAGGGAAGGAGAAAATCTAATTCAGGGAAGGAAGAAAGCCAGTAAAGGGTGCATTATTGAACTATTTATTGCTGTAAAACCCTGGGGCACATATTGTAGGAATTCCCTGAGAAACCATGTTGAAAGCTTTTCAGAAGTGACCCTTTGAAAGACTGAAGACTGAGCCTTTCTTCTCTGACTCTCATTTCTCTTTGGTTTAGGGTTGCCTCCAGGGATGTTAACTCCTCTATGCTTGAAAGCTGCTGAGCAGGTTATTAGAATTCTAAAGAAAACCTGAGGTAAAAAATATGAGAGAATGACTTGAAGTGAAACTACAATTAGAGGTGGGCTAAGAGGATATGATGTGGGGTACAAGTAGGGTCTAATACAGTGACCATGTTTCTGGCACAGGTAACTGGATGAGCCAACATACATTGAATTCTTGAAATATTTTTGAGACATCCATGTGGTGACATCCAGTAGGTAGAGGGATACAGTCTGGCATTCAGAGCTGGCACCACAGTAATGAGTTTAGGAGCCACAGTCTAATCAGAGGGAGTGTATTAGTTTTCCAGGGCTGCCCTAACAAAATACCACAGGCTGGATGGCTTAAAAAACAGAAACATATTGCCTTCCAGTTCTGGAGGCTGCTGACAGGATTGATTTCTTCTCAGGTCTCTCCCTGGCTTGTGGATGGCCATCTTCTCCCTCTGTCTTTACATAGTCTTTCCTCTGTGTCTGTGTCTGAATTTCACCTTTTTATAAGAATGCCAATCATACTGTATTAGGGCCCACCCATGTGACTTCATTTTACCTTAATTACCTCTTTAAAGGCCTTATCTCCAAATAGAGTCACATTCTGAGGTACTGGGGGTTAGGAATTCAGCATAGCAATTTTTTTTTGTGGGGGATGGGACACAACTAAGCCCATAACAGGTAGCAATCGACACAAAGGGAATAGATAAGGTGTTCAAGAAGCATGTGTAGAATGAGGGAAAGAACAAGGTTTGAAGGGATACCAACATTTAAAATGACTAGCATTTAACACTAACAAAACAATACGAAAAATGGAAGGAAAACTGGGAAAGTGTGGCTTCCTGGAAGTCAAGGGCAGGACTGCTTGAAGACGGATGGAGTAGTCAGCCAATGCCCAGTGCTCCTGAGAGGCCCAGTAGAGGAAGATACTGTGAGATTGTTGAGCTTATGGGTTGGTGTTTGAAAAGAAGGTGAAAACTTGTGCTGGGAGAAGGAGCATCTTCAGGACACCACCGAGTAGGTGTATAGGTTTGGGTGCTGCTGGGAAGAAGCCGCAGGTGGGTGAGGAAAGGGCTAAAGAGGAAGGAAAGAGAGCAGCTGACTGGCTTGCAGCAGTGGAAGAGAAAAGTGTCCATAGCTCAGACACGGAATTCATCTTAGATGAGTGTAGAGTCACCACTTCCACGTAACTAGGGTGGAAGGAGGAGGTAATGTGAAAAATGATTGGAGAGTAATAGGGATATGAGCAGAGCTTTGAGGGAGAGAGAAGTTCGTTTGAATTAAACTAAAGTTTGAAGTAAGATGTGATAAAAGAGCATACAAATGTATATTTAAATAATTTCTATGTTGTGAAGTCCAATATCACTTCATCATTGAAATTTCTCAAATCTTTCTTCATGAAATCAGTATTGTCACGACATCCTTTTAAAAAAGATGAGTTCAGTGGAAATATGAACATAATGTATTAATAAAATTATTGTTATTATGTACACACATAGATGACTAAAATGCTGTTGTTATATTAACTCATGTCCAAAAGGTAGCTTGAATAAAACATATAGTGTTCTTCTTCTATGGAGGCCTTGATAGAAAGTATAGCAATTTAAGAAAGTGTAATAATTCATCCCTGATATTTTCAGTTAGCAAAGTTACAGTATCTTTAATATGCTGCTTTATCTTGCTATTAAGCTGCTGTTTACTACCGATAAACAAGGCAACCAGAAAATGGAAAAGACAAATTTATGTGGATATAAGTGGTGATTACTGTAAACTATCACATCATAGACTAATGTGATCATAGCCCCCTTCAAATTAGATACTGCATTTTATGAATACATTTAACAGTGCTCCTTAATTTTCTCTTTTTATTCAGTTCATTGTGCTAAATTTCTGCTGGCCCACAGAATAAGAACTGAGCAAGAAATCTTCATTTATTGCATATATTTGCATAATATATGATTTCATATTCCTCATCTGTAAATTGCTTTAATATCCAGGAGGAAGTTGTTTTTTCTCATTTAATATAATTAAGATAATAATCTTACATGCCAATGAAATTATAAGGTGGTGTTGCTGCTGAGGGATTTTAGTGGAAATTAAACTGATTTGACAGTTCAAAGTTCTTATCCCAGTTTGCATTTTATCATATATCCACTTAGATATCACAGAAAGGCCCTTTGGTCTTAAGTCCCTTAATTTCCAAATCTGTAAATTAAAAGTTAAACACCGCTTTTTCCTAATACATAGGATGAATGTGAAGATTAGTATCTTCTAATAGCTGTGGAAGGTGCAATATAAAGACATCATAATTTACCTTGGGATAAAATATAAGTGATAATGTATGCTGGCACAGCATGTATGCTTCATATTAGTAGTAACTTCCAAATTCTTGAAAAATTATAACAAAATCCTTGCAAAATATTACCATCCATAAACAAAGAGTGTTTATATCCAAATGGAAATTTTATGTACTAAATGTAATTAAAAATCTAAAAGCAAATGTATTTCATCAATTTTCTTTGAGGATATATGAAGTACCAGGGCCTGGAGTATGGTTAAAAAATACATCTATCCCCTGTCTTTTTGGAACTTACAGAGTCTAGTAAGTGAAACAGAGAATAGCTACATTAAAAATAAACATATAATATTACATGTCATAAAGAAAAATAAAGTACAATAAATTACTTTGACAAAGCTATCTTCTGGGGAGTGGAGAGTGGGATGAGGGATCATGACCAGAATGAGTGCATTCGAGAATGGGAGGAGCAGAAGTAAATACAGCAATTGTAGGTAACTCAAGAAATTTGCCATCAAAAGTAAGCAAAACAATAAGGCAGTAGCTTAAGAGAGATGTAGGGTCAAGGAAACTTCTAAGAGATAAGAGATAATGTTTTCTGCTCATGGGAATAATTTAGTATAGAGTGGGAAACTGATGACCTATAAGTCTCCTAGGGCTGCTGTAACAAAGTGCCACAAACTGGGTGACTTTACTGTCTCGCACACAGTTTTGGACGCTAAAAGTCTGAAATACAGTTGTTGGCAAGGGCCATGCTCCCGTGAAACCTCTAGGGTAATCTTTACATGCCTTTTCCTAGCTTCTGGTGGTTGCTGGCAATCTTTGGCATTTCTTGGCTTGCAACCGCATAATCCAATCTCTGTCTTTGTCATCACATGGCGTTCTCCCTGTGTGTCCCTGTGTGTCTTCACATGGCTATCTTCTTAAAAGGACAGCAGTCATATCGGATCAAGGGCCCACCCTGTTAGTTAAGATGACCTCATCTTAACTAATTCCATCTGCAACAACCCTATTTCCAAACAAGGTTACATTCTGAGTTACTGAAGTTTAGGACTTCAGCATATCTTCCTTTTGGGGACACAATTCAACCCATAACAAATAGAGCAGTAGCTTGACAGAGATGTAGGGTGAAAGGAACTTTTAAGAGAAAAGAGACAATATTTTCTGCTCATGGGAATGATCTAGTCCAGAGCCGATGATATAGTAGGAGAAAGAAGGTTAGAATTGTGGAGACAAATAACTTGAGTAGGAAAGAGGATGAGATCCACTGGAAGGCTGGTCTTGCAAGAAAGCATGGAAAATTCATTTGCTGTAATAGAACAGAAGGCAGAGTTTAAGAATTCAGATAAGGTTGGGTTGTAGATTTTATGATGGCAAAAGTTTCTCTTTTCAGTGTTTATATTTTTTTAGTAAAGAAGAAATACATTTCCTTCCTTCCTTCCTTCCTTCCTTCCTTCCTTCCTTCCTTCCTTCCTTCCCTTTCTTTCTCTCTCTTTTCTTTCTCTTTCTTTCTCTCTTTATTTCTCTCTCTCTTTCTCTTTCTTTCTTTCTCTCTCTCTCTCTTTCTTTCTTTCTTTCTCTCTCTCTCTCCCCCCCTTCCTCCCTGCTCACTCTCTCTCTCCCCTCCCTCCCTCCCTCCCTCCCTCCCTTCCTTCCTTCCTTCCTCTTTCATTCTCTCCTTTATCTTTTTTTTCTTTTTTTGTGATAGGATCTCTCTCTGTTGCCAAAGTTGCAGTGTAGTGATACAATCTCAGCCCACTGCAGCCTCAACTTCCTGGGCTCAAGCCATCCTCCCCACTCAGCCTCCTCAGCAGCTGGGATTACAGACGTGTGCTACCATGCCTGGCTAATTTTTTAAAAAAACTTTTTGTAGAGATGATGTCTCACTATGTTGTTCAGGCTAGTCTAGAACTCCTGGCTCAAGAAATCCTCCAGCCTCGGTCTCTCAAAGTGTTGGGATTATAGGCGTGAGCCACTGCATCTGGCCACAAATGTTTCTGATATGAAATTCAGACCAATGTCCTAATCATCATTAGTATCCTTTTAGGGCATTGTGGGATATACTGGAAAAGGAAAGAAGTATATGAAAGCATAGCACCATGCTTGAGATACACATGCACATACTTTTATACATTTTACATTTACTGAGCCTCTGCTATGTGGCTTTATGCTAGACACTTTATATATACTATCTACTTTAATCCTCACAACATTTCTAATGGCATTCCCTGGCCAAAAAATGCCTCTTTTTCCATATATACTTATACTATCTAAATATTAAATAAGCTCACGTCATAGGCCAGAGGCTACTAGCGCACAGTCACGTGAACAGGTCCTTTGAAGGTTGTTATGTAGTCAGTACAAAGTTGAGAATCATAGAGTTTTACAACTTTTTAAAAAGAAATATTTAGGATATAGATTAAAGAACAATTAAAAAATAAAAAAGCAAGTATTTTAACAATTTTAAAATAATTGAAGGTAAAAATACACTGTGACCAAGCACACCTAGGTTCTTCATAACAAACTTCATAGGCTGATCAAACACTGCAGTCTCTTTGTACTTTAACCTGGGCTCTTGGCAAGAAGCCCAGTCAGTAGGCATTCTTTTGTTTGTTTGTTTCTCAAATGTAGATCAGCTTATTAATAGGTAATGGTCTTGATCATCTCTATCAATATTTATATCAAAAGAAGATTATAAATTTGAAATATGTATTGCTTATGATTTTTAACTTTGACTTTTGTTTTAAATGAATCGACATTTTAAAACAAATTTGTTCTTCTGTATTTTGTCTTTGATTTAAATTCACTCCTAATACTTAAGAATACACACTATATGCAAAGTGTTCTTGTCTGGTTAAGGCAATAAATTAATTTTCTACATATTCACATACCAGAATTGAAATGTCAGATAACAAGTCAAGCAAAGGTTATACAAGGAAATGAACATCTGTAAGAAAATGATGGCCGTTAGCCGATGACATGTTAATCTGAATGGTATAGTGAGAATACTGTTATCTTCAAAATAGGCTTCCATCAGGTCTATCCCATAGACCTAATTTCTCCGGAGTGATTATGTCATCATAATAACTGCGGATTAGAGAGGATAATTATAGATATTATTTTTGTTGATGGTATTGTTTCTATAGTCATAAACATTGAGTTCTACAGTGTCAACAGGGACATAGGTGAGTTAAAAAAAAAACAGTGATAAACATTCTCTATTTATCTTAAAACCCAGGCATCTCTGAACTAACTCTGCAAACGGGTTTGATATGATTTGGTCTGTGATGATGCCCAACTCCATTCTTCAGTTCTGTACCTATCACACAGGCCAGGTGTGGTGTTTGCAGACAGTAATGCTAAACATTCCTTTTCTAGTCCCATTTTTCTAATCTTACTCTCCAGCATTGGCTAAGATGGAGGACTTACAGGCTTCTCTTAAGATAAAAGAGCAGAAAGGACATTTGAGCTTATCGGCTTTGACTTTCTGTCCTACTCTCTGGATGGCAAATTTATTTTGGCTCCATGTTTGTTCCAAGATTTTTCTGAGTATTTTTAAAGATTCAAATCCTGGAATCAGAAAATGATACAGAACAAAACAGGCAGTGACCTAAAAGACATAATTTTGCATTTTAAAGATTGAAAACTTTGACATAACATTGGTAAAAGTTTTCTTTGTATTAAATCTCAGTAGTCTAAGTAGGAAGAAACAACTTGGAGAAGTTGCATTTTATTCCTGTTTTAGATACTCATAAGAAAAATTTTTGGTGATTTTATTTTAGATTAAATATTTAAAGTTTATTTAGACATTTAGTAATATTTTAGATTAAAACTCTCTAACTTAATTACTATCCCTATGAAATATTTTAGATGAAAACTCTGTAATGTGGTAGCTATCCAGAATTTATTAGGTCACCTATTATATCTTACTCATTTGGATTTTAATGTTTTAGTCTAAATTTTCCCTTTACATGTGGGAGGGTGCAGTTGCAGTTGCAGTTGGCAAGTTTTATGGAGCATAATAATTCTGGCCTTGGGGAATTTCTTTTCCTGCTAAATATAGGGTTTGCTTACTTAGTTCTTGTTTTTACAGCAGTAGGATTACAGTTCAAATATATAATAAGCCCTCAAGGTAGTTTGAAAATAAAAGTTTGAAAATTACAGTTTGAACATGTGATTACACCTTTAATGAGAAAACAAATGAGAAATGTCAAAGGAAAGAACTTAATTCAATATGTGAAACATATTGTCAAACTTATCCTGTTATAGAAAATCTCTTCTACCCTCCTTATTTCTTCCTCTCTTTCCCCCTCAAATTCACAAATGAGAAATAATAAAATATTGAAAACGAATCCATATGAACTCCCTATTTTGCTGGAATTAACTCCATCGTAGCAATTTATTCTTCTTTTAGATGAGAGAAATGTAGGTGATTAGGCAAATGGGACTTTGGAACAAAGCAGAGCACCTACTTATGCCTGTTTGTTGTTAACCTTAAAAAGACTCATGAGCTTTTGTCTAAGTAAGGTTTTGCACTTCTTTTAACATCAAAAAATTGTTTCAAATCTAAATTAGTTTCAAAACTGCAGTGGAAAGCATATTTTTCATTTTTAGAAAGATAATAAACATGTTTTGATTAACTTGAATTAATGACTGGATTGTAGGGTTCATAGAAGACATACAAGGTCCATATGTTGCCCACACACTTTGAGAAATACACATTTACCAAAGAAGGCAAAGTGTAGTGTTTGCAGACTTTGTAAGTCTGCAAGAATTAGGGCCTGGAACATAAAAATCATTGGACATTAGTAAATCTGTCAATTTTTCCATGGCACCAGACTTCATGTCTTGCAAATGTTTCTTCTGTCTCAAATACAAATTGAACATTTCTTTATGGTTCTTAGGATATTAGGATTTATTATTTTTGGATTGCAAGTTTCTTGTGTATTTAAACCATTATCTTTTCCTGTAAAATCTATCCTTAGTTTTAGTTTATTTTTGTGTAAATCATACTTTATTTCAAGTGCATTGATCCTCATTAAGGCTTGAATACAAGAATGGCTTATATATAAATGTAAAACCACAGGTACCAAATATTGGTTTGTCATTTGTTTGTGCCCCCCCAAATTTTTTCTCTTCCTGAAGTGTACCAACCAAAAGTATCAGAACAGGAAATAGAACTGGAAAACATTAAAACAGTCCATGGTAAAATGAAAAATTCCACACAGGTTTAAAAAAAAAAAGAGAGAGAGCAGTGTTGTCTGCAGTAGGTTCCCTAGACCTGCAGAGAACTAATTTTCCATTCTAGAGAGGATGTGCTACCTGGCTTGTTTGGTGTTGTTATGTGCGTACAGACGAGCAAGTAGTGTCACAATGCTGTAAATCATGTTCAAAATGACTTCTCAACCTGGTTTGGCCAGTTTGAAATTTTAGATTTTCTTGAATATATAGCTTATAAAATGCTTTGATTTATGTTATCTTAACTAATTCTTGTAATAACCTCCTGAGATACACAGAATTGTTAAGAGACTCAAACTATGAATATTACAAAGCTGTTCACATTGTTTCAGTTAGAATCAGAACTCAAATCTTCATTCTTATTTCATTGTTCTTTCCACAGCACTGTGCTGCCAGGAAACCTTGGGTTAGGATAGTTGATGCTCATTCCTTAGAGAACATAAACCTCTTTTAAACAGGGCTTTATGATTTAACCACAAGTTACAGATGAGTACCTAATAACAGTGAGAGTAAACATGTCATTTCACAAAGGTGTTCTGCAGCAAGAATGTGATGTGAATAAATATCTGGAAAATACTGAAACTAATCAAGAAAATTCTTATATGGATTTAAGCTCTTAGTAGTGCATATACTGAAAAGAGAAGACTTTTTCTGTTTGCTTTTTAAATTTCCAATAGTCTCACTTAAATTCTTAAGTTAAAGCTATTTGCAAATTATGTAAACCAAGGATATCATTAACAAAAATAAAAAATGAAAAAATGCAAATAGAGCTTGATCAGTTATCATTTTTTGTTCTTAATTTTTAATATTTTTAGCATGCATAAAGTTTCTGAGGTTAGGAGATTTGAAGGAAAAGAAGGAAAGGGAAGAAAGGGAAGAGAAGAGGCTGTAGGTTCCTGGTACTAAGGGGTTGAGAACCCAGGGGAGAAGAGTTCCTTGTCATAGTTTCATTTCATAAGTTTGTCTAAGGCTAGGCTTTGTACTAAGCTCTTATCTTGAAAGCAAAATTTTTAATTGTTCTCACATGATTACATTTCCCAGCAGCTCAATTTCAGTCAGGCTTTCGGACTCTGATCCTTAAGAGTTGGGAGAGTGGACATATGGGAAGTACTCTCGTGGAGAATTATTCATGCCTGCTGTTCAGCTTACCCCATGCTGCATCAAAGACTTGGCGTTATTGAGAATTCAGAGTGAAAGGAGTTGGATGCTTTTCTGGGCTTCGTAAGACATTTATTTTAAATAAATCTCTGCTTTTTGGTTAGCTTTCGGTGATAAAGAAGCATGCCAGCCACGCAGCATGGGGTCTTCCTGTTTGCTGCTCAGGACTTTCTTCTCATCAGGTACAGGGAGACAATTTACTGAGCCTTATTCTCTCTGTCCCCATTTAGAGTCTACTCAAACTTTTTCCATCATCTACATTTTGATAACTTTTTATTCCTTTAAGTAAAACATGCCTTTTGAAAAAATGTTAAGTACAGGCCGGGTGCGGTGGCTCACACCTATAATCCCAACACTTTGGGAGGCTGAGGCGGGTGGATCACCTGAAGTCAGGGGTTCAAGACCAGCCTAGCCAACATGGTGAAACCCCGTCTCCACTAAAAATACAAAAATTAGCTGGGCATAGTGGCATACGCCTGTAGTCCCAGCTACTTGGGAGGCTGAGGCAGGAGGATTGCTTGAACCTGGGAGGCGGAGGTCACAGTGAGCCGAGATCGTGCCCACTGCACTCCAGCCTGGGCGACAGAGTGAGACTCTGTCTCAAAAAAAAAAAGGAGGATATAAAGGAAAACAACACATTTTTCTCCACAGAGAAAGGTATTGTTCTTCCCCCTTTGAATCACCTGTCCTCAGACCTACTTCTTACATTTACTTCTTAAAAGGAAAACATTGTAAACAACTTGGCACATATTCCTCAGAACTTTGTTAATGTACACACAAACACGCATGTGCGCAGCTGTTTCATTGTTTTAAAACGTGTTCTGCCTCATTTTTTTTAATTAATTTACTCAGTATATTTCCATGTTAGTATATATAAAATTTCCCAACATTCTAATAATAATTTTAAAATTTGTAGAATTATAAAGCATAAAAACCATGCTGAGATAATGCTGGGTGAGCTCAGGTGAAACAGCAGCATAAAGGGTGGGGACACTGGTTCATTAGAAAATAATTGAAGAAAAGGGATGAAGAAGAAGAACTAGGAAGAACATAGGTTAGTATAATTTCCAATTTCACTTTCTCAATCACATTGAAGTCATAAGGGTGTTATCCTTGAAACATTGACTGGTGTTTATTTTGTCGTGGTGAAATGGAAAAAGACAAGTTTGGGCTTCTGTTCCGGTCTAAATATGTTACTTGGCCATACTGCTTAACTCTCCTGAGCATTCTTTTCCTTATCCCCTAAATGACAAGATTAGACTTGGTGTAATTTATGGATCTTTCCATTTCCGATTAGCACTTCAATTTCCTAGGAAAAAACCTGAGTTTTGTAAGGTATAAAGTAGTCTTTGTCCTGAGATATTCTTGGTTGTTCTTGTCCATTTCCCATTGGCCCTTTGCTAGGCCTATTACACGGGTCACGTTACCCTACCATTCCAGCATATATTAACACCTGCATTCTGCTTTAGAGTTGATAAAGAGATTTCACATACTTTATCACATCTGATTTTCACAATTATTCAGTGAGGTAAATTGAGCAGGTATTATTTTAATCCCCATTTTAGAGATTAGGAATTAAGTTAAGAGGGGCCTTGCAGAAATCTGATTCCTACCTCTACTGTCTCTGGTATGGATGGCTGAATAGACATAGATGGTCCAGATAGAATCATTATCTTGGTCTTATTTGAGCATTTTAGGTATGGCTTATTTGTAATAATGAGGACTAAATATTGATACTGATAATACAGGATAAAGAGGTTTAAATTCACTGAAGAGATTTTGTTGTTGTTGCCTCAGATGATCATAAGGAATCTTTGGGGACATCATTAGACAAAGACTTGGAACTTTGAGACTTTTCCTGATTCTGCCAGATGCTGCCTTTCTATTCCAGATTCTCCAATTCCAAGAAACCCCTTGCAGTTCTCTTTATTCTCTCAGGCCTCTCAAGCATTTTATTTTGCATTTTCTTGTCTTGGAATGTTCTTCCATTTTTTTTTGTCTTTCTGTCAAACTTCTACTTATCCTTAAAGCTCAGGGATTACCTACTCTGTAAACTATGTGCTCACTATCATCTGCAGACACTAGTGCTCCTATCTATCTCCACCGCAACATTTAAAAGTCTTCATTACAGCAACCATCTTTCACCTTCCTCCAACCTGTAACTACAAGCTACTTAAGAGTAAAAGAAGGAGTATCTTCTCATTCTTGTATTCCAGACACAATGGACTGTGATGCAAACGCTAAAAATATGTATTAGTGAGTAAATTAATTTCACAGAAAATTATACTTTTTGTAAAATTTTAGATTTAATTTTAATGTAATTTGTTGCAGGAACGTTCTCCTTTCCTCATTAGTATTCAATGTTTAAATTTTAAAATTATGAGGTACTTACAGAAAAGTGGCCAGCACAGTAAAAATACTTTTATTCCTTCTGATCCATTTTAGAGTAAGTTGCTAATCTCATGTTATCCTGGAATAATGTAACATGCATTTCTGCATTTTTGGACCATTCCCTTGCTTTCAAGCACAAGGTGATATTCCAGGTTCATCCTGTTCTTTGTCTGCTTCTGGAATCAGCCCTTTTTCTAAGGGGCTCTGGTTCTGTTTAGTAGAGGATAGTAATATTTAGAAGCCAAGCTCAGTGCCCTAGTTATGCTCTTTGCTATTAGTGTCATTGTTCTCAGACCCTGTCAGTGGACAGAGCTGGTAATTATTCATAACTCTCTCTCTCTCTCTCTCTCTCTCTCTCTCTCTCTCTCTCTCTCTCTCTCTCTCTATATATATATATATATATATATATATATATATATCTGTTTCTACACCGCAAACCATGAATTGATACTGATCTCTCCAATTCCAACCTAAGACCAGAGGGTTCGTTCATTCTAGTTTTCTCCCTCTCCATATTTGCAACTCCCTTCTGTGATAACGAGAAAACTGGCTATTATAATCTAATATATTTACTTATTTAATGAATCCCCTTATGTATAACTAATGTATTTCTGCTGCCATCCTCTTCCCCACTGATTCCTTCCTTATCCTCTTTGGGTTCTGACACACCGTGCCAGGCTGCCATCCTCACTGCACAGACTCCGATACCTCATGCTACTGCTCTTCAGGGTCACCTTCCTCCCCCTTGCCCATCTCTGACATTCTGTTATGACCACCTCAGGCCTGACTGCCTTCATCACCTTCTCAGGCTCTGACTCTCCACACTGGCTGACTCTTTCTCTCTCCCCTAGATCCATGGATGCTTCCTAGCTGTGCTCAGTCTCTGGCACCCAACACCTGGCCACTACTTTGGTGGGCACCCTACTCTTCCAGCTTGGGCTCTGACAGATCATGCTGGGAAGGATGCTCTGCTGATCATACTTGGGTTTGATAGTCAGTGCTTGTGCACACACATACACCCTTATCCCATTAGTGATGCAGCTCTGATTTCCCATGTCTCTTCCCAAATCTGGACACCTTCAGGACCCTGCTTGGGCTCCTACTGTCCATGCTATGTTCTCTCCTACTTAGATATCCTTTTTTTCTTGTTCAAGCTCCAACACCCCTCTTTGGGCCACTATGGCTCCCCTCCACACAGACACTGCTATACTCCACCTAACGACTTCCAGGCTGGATGGCAAGGAAGAGAAGGGAAGAAGAGAAAGGGGTGTGTCATCTTTTAGATTTCCTTATTAGTCCTTCCACAGAGAAAATGCATGCATGAAAATGTTTACAAGAGGCCAGTTTGCTTTATATTTGCGATAGTCACAAAAGATCTGAACTGAGAAAAAACTGAAATCATTAGAGAAAGTAAGATTTGAAGTTAACTGTCCTTTCACTTGGGGAAGTGAAGTCTTATTTCTTTTTTAGGGGTTTCATGTTTTGTTCTGATAAGTGACTTCCAAATTAGACACTTAGAAATAAAAAGGCTGGAATGGAGACTTGATATTCTTCTGTCCCAATTATCTTGTTTTACAGACAAGGGAATTCATCCTGGTGAGGTCAAATGAGTTTCCCAGGTTTCCCAAGTGCCTGAGTCAGAAACGTGACATTTTTCAACATCCTGGCCAGTGTACTTGGCATGCTACCCTCATTATCATTTAAAAGTATTCGACCTTTAAGGCAAATTTCTAAGAAAAATATATTTTATACATTATACATTATATTTTAAATGGGAAGTGTTTTTCTTTTGTAATAATATGACTTATAGAATTTGGACCCTAAAATTTATCTGGCTAGGTGCAGTGGCACAGGCCTGTAATCCCAGCTGTTGAGGAGGCTGAGGTGGGAGGATCACTCGAGCCCAGGAGCTCTGGGATGTAGTGGGCTGTGCCAGTCACTAAGTTTGGCATCAATATGATGACCTTCAGATGTGGGGTGGTGGTGACTGGGGACCACCAGGTTGTCTGAGGAGGTGTGAACTGGCTCAGGTCTGAATGGAGTAGGTCAAAACTCCGTGGTGGTCAATAGTTGGATTGTGCCTGTGAATAGCCACTGCGTCCTAGCTTGAGCAACATAGTGAGATCCTGCCTCTTAAAAAATAAATAAATAAATAAATGAAACATTATTTGGTTATGAGTTGATTTGAAATGCTTGGGACCAGAAGTGTTTCAAATTTGGATTATTAAAGATTTCTGAATATTTACATATATATAAAATGAGATATTTTGGGGATGGGACCCAAGTCTAAACACAAAATTCATTTATGTTTCATATACACCCTATAAACATAGGCTGAAAGTAATTCTATATAATATTTCCAATAATTTTGTGCACCTGTCAAATGAGGTCAGGTGTAGAATTTTCCATTGGTGTCATTTCAGCACTCAAAAAGTTTCATATTTTGCAGTATTTTGGATTTGGAATTTTTGAATTAGAGATGCCTAACCTGTAGTTCTTTGGTGATTATAGTTTATTAGACTGGATGATCTAGAAATTAGCCTTACCTATTTGGTAGTTAGTAACCTGAAATTTTCTGAACACTTTCTCTTAATTGCATTATGTTAACTGGGCTTAGTAAAGTTGGCATGCAGGTTGGTCATTTATTTTACTGTTTCTTATTTTGTGGACTTGATGGGCTGGCGAAATGTATGTGCATAGACATGAATGACTGATAAATAGATAAATTATATATTCTAAAAATCCCACAATGTAAGATTTGTATTTGTATTTGTATTATTTTCTTTTTTGAGGCAGAGTCTCACTCTGTCACCCAGGTTGGAGTGCAGTGTCCTGATCTTGGCTCACTGCAACCTCTGTCTCCTAGGTTCAAGCGATTTTCATGCCTCAGCCTCCCGAGTAGCAAGGATTACAAGCGTGCGCCACCATGCCTGGCTAATTTTTGTACTTTTAGTAGACACAGGGTTTTTACATGTTGGCCAGGTTGGTCTGAACTCCTGATCTCAAGCTATCTGCCCACCTTATTCTCCCAAAGTGCTGAGATTACAGGCGTGAGCCACAGTGCCCAGCCAAGATTTGTATTTTTAAAAACCTTTTATATTTGTTAAAATCTAACACTTTATGGACAAATTTAGTTTTAGAAAAGCTGGAAATAAACAACTTGCTGGGTATAGATTAGCCATTTAGAGCATTCATTAATTTCCAAAAATCATTTTGCATCACGGAGGTCCAAAGGAAAAATAGGCAACAAACTATATTTTAAAATCCAATGAAAGGCTTGAAGAGTCCCACGAGCTGAGTGATTTAAGAGGACAACTGTGATATTAACTTACTTCTGGCCCTTAGATGAAATATTTGCCCTTTTAGCATCAACATAATTCTGTAAATTATTATTAACAAATACGTAGATTTTATAATTGGAAAGAGCACAGTATTAAGATCATTTAGTTCATCTCCCTTCAGGCATGAATCCTCCTACCACCTACTAAAGGCGGTCACCCAGGATCTGTTGATTTGAATCACTTTTGATCATGGAGAAATCACTATCTTCCAAGGCAGCCATGCCTTATAATTCCACAGAAACCTTCCTCTGGGTGACTTTGCCCCATGACTGCTGCCTTCTGTCCTCTGAAGTTAGATATAATATAGTTAAACCTTCTTCCATATGACAATCCTTCAGCTTCGTCTGCCTAGATCCTTAGCCTCTGGGAATGTTCTCTACCTGTCTCTTTCTTCTGCAGTTATGTCTTTAGGTTCCTCTTCTAAGATTAAGATTTTTTCCCTTTCCCCATCTTTTCCCCTTTGTCTAGACTTAATGTCTCTTTAAAATGTGCTATTTTAGGAGGCTGTGCATTCTCCTGATGAAAGGCAAGAACGGCATCTTGTATTCTTTTTATTGTCCTTAGTCACGTGAATGCAAAATGTCTGAGACAGGTCTCAGTCAATTTAGAAAGTTTATTTTGGCAAGGTTAAGGATGTGCCCCTGACACAGCCTCAGGAAGTCCTGAGACATGTGCCCAAGGTGGTCGGGGGTACAGTTTGCTTTTATATATTTTAGAGAGACATGAGACATCAATCAATATGTGTAAGATGTACATTGGTTCAGTCCAGTAAGGTGAGACAATTGGAAGTGGGGGCTTCCAGGTTAGAAGTATAATAGACAAGAGACAAAAGGTTGCATTCTTTTGAGGCCATGATCAGCCTTCCACTCAATAGACAGTTTAGTCTGGCCCAGTGAATCTGCATTTTTTGCATAAACGATGGAGAAGAGAAAGCAATCAGATATGCATTTGTCTCAGGTGAGCCTCAGAGGGATGAATTTGAATAGAATGGCAGGCAGGTTTGCCCTAAGCTGGTCCCTTCTTGATGTTTCCCTTTAGCTTGGTGATTTTGAAGTCTCAAGATTTATTTTCCTTTCACAGCCATCTAACAGTGAAGCATGGTTTCACTTTACACTTGAACCACTATATCCACCAGATACAAACTTTGCCTCAAACACCACACTCACTTTACACAAACCTGTTGACATCACACCTAAGTCAGCTTTTCTTGAGCTCCCATATGAACAAATAAACATTCCTCTGATCTGCGGATATCCCGCCAGGAAGGGCCGGCTTGGGCAGTGCTGGCTCAGCTAGCCCGCCACCGCTACCATTGGATTTCCTCTTTCTCCTCTGATTTTAAGAAGTGAGAAAAAAAAGCAATTCCTGTTAATTATGTAGACAATGCAAGGGTCTCCAGGCTCCATTTCAGCAAGTTGGTTTCATCAAGATCACGAAAAGATGCATGCGTCCCCGAGACCAGAGAGGAGTTAGGGACCCCGACACGGAGGTGGCATCAGGTAACCCTCAGGAGTGAGGGTGGGGAAGAGGGCATGGCTGATGCTGGGAATGAGCAGCGCCCGCGGAGGGAAGGCCGGCGGTCCTGCGCCCCGGCGTGGACGCGCGCGGGAGTTCAGGCTGGGGAAATGGGTCACCACGTGCTACGGAGGCGGGGACAGGGCCCTCCTCCCCTTATTTGTAAAGAGCGCCGGAGCGGATCGCGGAGTTTCACCGCGGACCTGTCAGAGATACAGAGGTTGTGGGGGCGGGAGACAGAAAGAGAGAGAGATCCAGAGACCGAGTCTTACGTTGACACGCAGAGAGAAAGACGCAGAGACAGACAAACAAACAGATAGGAGAGGTGAGAGGCCAGCGAGTGCTTCCGATTAACTTGCCAAGCTCAGAGAAGATCCGGGGAGAGGGAGGGTCCCCTTTAAACGCGCAATCCCCAGGACTCCGGAAGAGCCCTTTTCTGCAGCTCCTTGGGGACTGCACGTCTCACTTCTAAGTTTGCGGCGGAGAGAATAAAGCAGAAAGACAGGAAGAGGAGGTGGAGTTCTACAGTTAGTGTGGTTTTAGTTTTTCCTAAGAAGTGGCGTGGTTTGGGGCTTTATATCCGGGAGGAGCATATGTACGCAAATCCTGGGGCGTTTGCAAACCCGGATCCGGGGCGTCTGGCCCCATGCCCGGCCGGGCGTTTGAGGGCTACTGCCACGCAGCGTTTCTGGAGCCTGCCGGCTGGTGCCCTGGTGGCCTTTATCTCTGTCCCCCTTTGTCCTCTTTATCTCAGGCTCTCCAGGAGGCCGGGGGGCCCACTCCGCCTATCGCTCCCCTCGGCTACGCTGCCACTTCAATGCCCCGCAGGTCGCGAGCTGCTGTTCTTTCGAAGGCGTCGGAGAACCAGGGGCGTCCCGCGCCACCTCTGACTCGGAGCAGCGCCGAGCACTGACGCTCCCGCCCTTGGGCAAGGACGCCAGTGCGCCCGCGCGCGTCCCTCTGCGCGGCAGCCCGTCGCGGGCCCTCAAGGGGAAGCCCAGGCCAGGATGGCCCCGGGTCGCGCGGTGGCCGGGCTCCTGTTGCTGGCGGCCGCCGGCCTCGGAGGAGTGGCGGAGGGGCCAGGGCTAGCCTTCAGCGAGGATGTGCTGAGCGTGTTCGGCGCGAATCTGAGCCTGTCGGCGGCGCAGCTCCAGCACTTGCTGGAGCAGATGGGAGCCGCCTCCCGCGTGGGCGTCCCGGAGCCTGGCCAGCTGCACTTCAACCAGGTAAGGCCGCCAGGTCCGGGCAGCCCTCCGTACTGTGGGTGTCCCTAGACTTCACTTTGTATATGAGCCGTTTTTATTTGGGAAAAGTGCAGGAGAAAGAATCTTGTTATATTTCTCAAGTAGAAGGCGGTATCTGGTGACACTTGCTTTTCACTAGACGAGGCTGAAGGATTAAAAGGTTAACGTTGTTAAGGGATTTGGCAGCCGGAAACTGCAGTTTTACGCCTGATGAACTGAGAGGTCCGACTCTGGTGATTTTAACATTTTATAGAAAACTTTATGAAGTAGTTGAGGGTGTGACGCCACTTTAACAGATGCTTTTTAGATAGGAATGAGTTACTTAAATCTTGCCAGAAAGATAACGGCTCGCACACTTCCTACAAGGTTAGCAAGGAAGATTATCACATGCCACCCTGGTTAACAGTTGCCCGGTGCGTAACCAGTGCTATTTGAAAACGAGATATAATGTAGTTCTGGCTCCTGTGTACATTACATGAGGCATTCAGGGCTGAAACAGGGGCGGCCTTGAGACTAAGATTCTAATTTGGTCATCCAGATGGTGGTAGACTAGGCTTATATTGTTAGTTCCTTGTCATATGTCAGGTCAAATATTTGATTCTAGTATTTATCCAAAATGATTAAAAAAATTTTTTCAGTAATAAACAGGGTACTACTAGGCATTTGGCAATACCTTGGGTTTAAGAACAAGCTTCAAACTACGTAGGAGCAGTTAAACATCATACCTCTTTGTAAACATAAAATCAAATTATTCCTAATTATTTCTATAATAAATACTCTGTGATTGGGTAGTTCTTAAAATTGTTAAGTAGACAAAGTGTAGTTTCTGCATCCTTCCAAAACTGCTCTCCGTCTTTTAAAACTCAGTTAACTCAGTGCTTTGACTTGTTTTCCTTTACTCCTGTCCCACTGACAGCTGATATTGGAGGGTAGAATACGGTATTTTCCATATCGTTTGTCATTTTTGGACGATGTTAGTTTGTTACAAGAAGTTTTTGGGGTCCAAGATGTTTGGGAAATGCTGCATATTATACTCTGCTCTTGGAAATTTGGCGTTTCCTAATGAATATGACTTTAGATTACAGTTAGGGAAACTGTAATCAAATAAATTCCATGTTAATAACATTATACGTAGATTGATCTTTTTGTTAGAAATATCTTACCACAATTAAAGTATATGGCTCTTAAGAAAAGTAGAACTTTCTGATGCCATGGCATGTCAGAGGTGGTCTCTCTTTGATCTAGAAGGGTTTTGTGGTCCCCTTATGCATGTTCTTTAGTAAATTGTCTATAATTCCAGTTCTGGGCATGGTATTTTATCTGGGGTAATATCTGAGAAATGATGTGTTGGAAAAATGGAAATGCCCACAAATTATGCTAATATTTAAGAAAATAAAGTGTTTGCTGGCTAGTTGCATTCTTTTCTTATCAAATAGGGGAAACAACTGAGCTGACTCCAGTATTTCCAGGTAGGTATGGTCACGTGCTTGGAAAGAAGTTTAGAGGATTGACTTGAAGCTGCATATCTGTAGCCCACACATTGTTTTGACTTGCATGACCTCCTTATCTTGCAGTGTCTGGAGGTGTTGATGAATTTTAAAGGGGCAAAAGACCTCCCCACATCACCTTTGCAAAGACATTGGAAAACATGCCTAAATTATTTAGGAAAATTGGTTAAGTGTACCAGTAATACGATTCTCTGTTTATTAGCAGGCAGGATGTCTCAATAGGTAAAATTATATGTATCTTGACACCTGTTTTCTCATTCTCATGTTTGCATATTTAACTGCCCTCATTATGGCCTCTGTGGGCATCAAAAAGAGACAGGAAGAAGCCCATAATTACCTTGGAAAGAAAAGGAAGCCAAGGAAAATTTACCACTTAATAAGCCTAACAAACATCTCTTTGATGTTCTTGCTTTTTTTTTGAGACTGAGTTTTACTCTTGTTGCTCAGGCTGGAGTGCAATGGCACGATCTCAGTTCACCACAACCTCCCCCTCTGGGTTCAAGCAATTCTCCTGCCTCAGCCTTCCAGGTAGCTGGGATTACAGGCGTGTGCCACCACACCGGGCTAATTTGTATTTTTAGTAGAGATGAGGTTTCTCCCTGTTGGTCAGTCTGGTCTCAAACTCCCGACCTCAGGTGATCCGCCGGCCTCGGTCTCCCAAAGTGCTGGGATTACAGGCATGAGCCACGGTACCTTGCCTGATGTTCTAAAAAGTCCTAATGATGACAATAATCATTGGTTAAATGATGACAAATGAAATACCAATCTAAAAGAATCCATTGATTTGCTGGTAAGTGATGGACTTGAGCCCACAACATTCATGTATGCTCCAGTGTGAAACCACCCAATTCTGGAGTAAAATTTTAGGGTCATTAATGCTTACATACCCTGAGGAATACAACTTCAGTTTCCTCACAGGGTGGAATAAACAATGCACATGTCTATTGTGAGACACTGGTTTTTGGCTTTGAAAAAGGCTAAGAAGATAAAATTTGTTTCAAGGTCCAGGAATTTATTGAATCTTCTACAAGATTTAGTTTTCAAATAACATTGTTCTTTTGGTTGAGGGCTGTGATATTTATTAGGTCAGCTTTTCTCAGGTAATAGACTAATGAACTCTGGAGATTTGTTAGACAATTTTGGAAGGTTTTCTAAATATTTTTCTTCGTATCCTTAAGTAAGGACTACTAAATTAGCTTGTTGCTTTGGGATATCAAAGAGGTCAGAGTTCAAACTGTAGACAGTAGAACAATTGAGCCAATAGTTTTGCTTCTTATAGCTACTGACAGTGCGAAGAGTTAGGTAGAAGCAGTGACCAAAACAACAAAGAAGAGGGAGCCCTTTTAGCCAAATAGGTCTCTGGGGCCCTCATTTCTGGATAAAGGTCTGATCTATTGAGGGGAGTTCCTAGAATACACAGGGAAGCCCCAAATATCTGGATACCCCTGGGTTATTAATCTAGGACATTTAAGAATGGCCTCAGTGCTGCCTTTTGTTTGTTCAGCTGTTCCTTTCTCATTCTTCAAATGTTCCTTTTCCTCATTTCCTCTTTCAAACACTGTATTTTCAAGTTCTTATGTGTAGATAGTGGTTAAACAGCCTGATAAAAGGAAGATCCTATTTTCTAAATTATCACACTGAGCTGCTGGAAATGCCTCCATTCAGAATTTCTTCTTCTGATATATATTTTTTGATATATATCTTGCAGCCCATCTCCTGTAGTGCACATAGTTTTTTTCTTCTCACATTTCTACTGGTAACCAAGTTCTGTTTTTAACCTTTTTCAGTTCATATTCAGTCTTCTCAAAGCAACACTCTTTCAAAAAGCCTCCATGAACTGTCTCAGCTGGCAAACTCTAAATCTTGAGCCTAGCATTTAAGGCCTGATCCTCCTGTGTCAACCTACCTCTCCAGACCTAGCACCCACTAAACTAAACTACTCACTGCTCTATGGATTCCCATAAGCTTTTGCTCAACCACTTCTTAACTCATTATCTTCCTTGGACCTTTCCTGCCTTTGACTGAAATGTTCTTCTTTTCCTTGAATTGCCCTGTGAAAATCTACTCTCTTAAGCCCAGTTAAACTTCACCATAAAACCTTTCTGGGGTATCACAGCCAGCACTGATTTACTGATTTCTCTATTTTCTGAATTCCTGAAATATTTTTTACCATGCTGATGTCACTTCTATTCCTGTGTTCAGCAGACATTTTAAATGACTGCTGCACTCTAATTTGAATGGTTATTTAAAAATACAAATCTGATCATATCATTCATCCTGTTAAACAATTCAGTGACTTTTAGATAAACTACAAACACTTAGAGTGGCTTCAAAGTCCTTTTCTGATTTGGTCCCTGTATGTTTCTTAAACCGTATCCTTTGTCACAGTTCCAATCTTAATGGACCATTTACACTGCCTGGTTCTCTAGAAATACCTGATTATGCTCTGGTATCAGTTTAGACATTACTTCTTCTGAGAAGCCTTTCTTGATCTTCTCAAGAGTGTAGTCGAAGTCCCTTCAATGCAATCCTGTATTTCTTGGTGCTTGTGCAATTATAACATATTATATATTGCAATTATATTATAACATGTAAATTATTTTATATGTATTACAGTTTTCTGCTTATGTGGCTATAACCCCTGCTGCCTCTCTCTACCCTCCAAAAGATTTTTAACAAGTTGAAGGGCATGGTCTGACTCCTCTCTCTAGAGACTAGTGTAGTGCCTGGTTTATAACATGTATTCATTATAATTTTTTTGAATAGATGGGTGAAGATGGTTTAAGATGAGTTTGATAATTTGAGTCCTCACATGACTTTACAGTCTATTGGAGGAGACATGACATATGCACATATAATTATAATGCACGAAACAGTGATATGCCTGATTAAGGAACTAACCCATTTATGCCTGAGGTTGCAATTTTTTGAATTTTTGCAATCAGACCTTGGCAATGACCTTGAGCAGTGGGATATAAATAACTCCCACATGCTTAGTGTTTCAATAATGGAACACTAGGAATAAATGTGTTTAAAAACCAATGTGAGATAAGACCTGTGTTTTCAGAACATTAATCTGACATGAGAGTGTGGAATGTATTGGAGTGGGTCAAGGTGGGAGCTAAGGAGCCATCTGCAGTGGATTTCATGAGATGTAAGGACCACTTGAATTTGGAGAAACTCAGAAGGTAATATAAAGGCTCTGCCTTCAGAGACTTCAAGAAGAGCAGGCATGGCTGAAGAGTATGCAAAAGGCCCCAAAGATAAGCCTTTTCTATTTCAATATTTTGCCTGTAATCATTATTTATTTAAGTATTGCTAGATCTCTTCCTTCATTATCTTCTGACCCTGTGATGCCAGAAGGAGAAAGAATAACTCCGGGCTCATATTAATGGATGGCCAGGCTAGTGGTATGTAGCAAAAAGGAGTGTATGTATGTGTGTGGATACTGCAAACATGTTTTTTGCATTGCCTGTTGTCATCTACTGCACTTTTTCCTGGGGTGGGGGTAATGATGGGTTAGATGAGGGTGTTTCTGGGAAGCACTGACTATGGACAGAAGAGATAAAGAACATTTGTTCTTTTTTTTTTTTCCCCTTTATGTGCTGAGAAATGGTGGGGGTAAACCTTCTAGGAATGCCTTCTAACCTGCTTGTTCAGGTGAGAAACTGGAAGGGCAGGACAGAGGGTGAGGTTACCTAGGTCTCTTGTTAAGAATCCTCCAAGACAATGGCCCCATTCTGATCTATTAGATCACTCTCACATAAGTTGATTGTGTACAGTGTGTTGATTGTATTTCAAGGCTTTGGGAAAATGAGGGACATTCGTAATTCATTTGACTGTGATGTCAAGAGCTTAGTTTGCCTTGATGCCAGGTGTGATTGGGATCCATTAGGAAAATGCTTTTCATTCCTTTCATATCTAACTCCCAAAATCACATCTTTACCCACTATTCTAGGAGTCATATGAACCCTTTTATATGTAATGTAATAATTATAGCTAGGATTTATTAATCTTTTACTGTGTGGCATTACTCCCTTAACCAATTTATTTGTATTATCATGTTTCATACTCATACCAACTCTATGATAAAGGTCCCATTATTATCTTCATTTTATGTGTAAGAAAAATGTGGCACAGAGAGGTTAAGTAACTGGACCAACGTCACGAAGTAAGTGGTAGAACCTCAGGCAGTCTTACACACTATGCTATAGTGCATTTTTTGAATTACAATCTAGAAAACCATACTTTCTCTAGCTAGAGCAACCATGACCTTAGATTTTGAACTACAGGGAGAAGTTACTAGTCATCGACTGCCTATCTGGTTACATTGCTTAGTCACATTAAGGAAATGGTACTAGAGCTGTGGAGGCTACGATGATGATGACTTGTCTTTGTCCTCAGAGACCTTATAATTAAGAAATAAGATGGAGGCTGGGCGCGGTGGCTAACGCCTGTAATCCCAGCACTTTGGGAGGCTGAGGGGGGCAGATCACAAGGTCAGGAGATCGAGACCATCCTGGTTAACATGGTGAAACCCCATCTCTACTAAAAATACAAAAAATTAGCCGGGAGTAGTGGTGGGTGCCTGTAGTCCCAGCTACTCAGGAGGCTGAGGCAGGAGAATGGCGTGAACCCGGGAGGCAGAGCTTGCAGTGAGCCGAGATGGCGCCACTGCACTCCAGCCTGGGTGACAAAGTAAGACTCCGTCTCGAAAAAAAAAAAAAAAAAGAAATAAGATGGAAACTGTGAAAAGTGACTATGGAAGGCAAAGCTGCAGTAATCACGAAAGCAGACATTGTAAAACATATCACAAGGCCATATATGATTGTCACATGGATACTAGAAAACATCTGCTACTAGTTTAGAAAGGTGAGGGATTTTTTGGGGTTGGAAATGCCTCATGGAAAAGTTATAACTCAGTCAATTTGGCTTATCTGGTTTGGTTTTTAAAAAATTTATTGATTGAACTCTTGCTTATACCAAATGTGATGAATTTTCATGTGAATTACATGAATTCTTTTTTAGAGGATGAAATTTTCTTTTATTGTTTCATATATAATGAATTTTTTTAAGGGACTATATTTTGAGCAACAATAGTACTTTCTTCTATGGATAGACTTCAGGCATGTCTAGTATGAAACCTTTCAGTTCATTTCTCACTTTTATGCTAGAAGTTTTCGGCCAATGAATCCACTGTCTCTTCTGGCGGTTTAGAATGGAAATCTTCCCTTATGATGCCTCTGAAGCAATTGCATTCTTAACTGCACAACACTGGAGAAAGTGGTTTGTGCATAGGTGTTGGGGAATGAGTTGAAGCAAGGAGGGAAGAGTAGGTGAGCCGAGCCAAGTACTTCAACAGAATCACTGACTCTTAACTATAGGTAAGACAGTGCTGCTAGGAGGCAGTTTGAGCTTTCTCACACAGTTATCAGGTGAACTTTCCATAATTGGGATAGATCTTTCTCTCTAGGGATGTTCCCTAGGGTTGTTCTCTCATCTGGGTGGGAGATTTGCAGCTGTTATGCTTTCCATGATTTATTCTTATCTTGGGATATATTGAGGGGCAGGGACTTAGTTTTCTGCTTTCTAGTCATAAAAACCTATTACTTTTCAACCATAATAATTGTTTAAAGGTGTTTTCTTTAAATTTAATATACTTTTGATTCTTTTTTTTTTTTTTTGAGAAAAGTGAATTCCTTTTGGTGGTAGTAGGGATTGGGGGAGAAAAATAGGAATATAAATAGAAATGGAAAATAAGGCCTGAAGTTGAGAAGGATCAGTGATCCTCAGGAAAAGAAAAGCAACATCTAATGAAGGCAATTTAATGTGGCTGGTAATGGGTTTGCAAGTTACTTGTATTCCAAGTGGTGTTTCCTCAAGGGATGTACACATTACTAAGTGCAAACAGCTAGTATTAGGGTCATTTACAATGCAATTTATTTTAAAAAAAGAATGTTACTAAACTCTAGGCTATCTAAAAAACTAGGTAATTTTCAGAATTTTCCCATTTCCAACTTTATATAACAGTAGATTCCTGTTTGTAATCAAAACTAATTAATTTATTCTCAAATTATTCCCAATTGTCTGTTTCAGTAGCCTTGAGATTTATTTTATAAAGAAATGAACCTTTCATCGAATTACCTTTGTGTTGATAGGATTTGGGAGCATAGAAAACATTCAGAATGGAGCCTTGTTTAATTTGGCTTCCGTCTCTTTCTAAAGATACTCTGTTGTTTTTCCTGGCCTGAAGTTTAAGGAGAATAAAAACAAAAATCTGTTGAGTCTAGATTAAAGGTGAACCTGAAATGTAGCATTATGCCCTCCAAGGCCAAATATTTAACACCTTGACTTTTTTTCTTTAAATAACTAATTGAATAGCTAGAGAAAAAAATCAAGTGAGCATTGATAATGCCTCTAAGTCTTTAGTTCTTTGAACCTAATTAAAAAATAAACCATAATTGTAACCAATTTATTTGGTGAGCTTCTTAGACCTCTAACTATCTTAGAGAATACAGCATAATGGTTTACAATCTGGCTTCTGGAGTCAGGCAAGCTTGCGCTGAAATTCTAATTCTCTTGTTTACCACCTGGGAAATCACAGCCAAGTGACTTACCCTCTTTTTGTAATCCTTAGTTTTCACATCCGTAAATTGAGAAAAAAAGAGCCTTACTCATAGGACAGTTTTTTGGACTAGAAAATAAGAACAATATTAACATTTATTGAGCATTTAACATATTTCGGGCACTTATATATTCAGTATGTTATACGTGCCAACTCAATAAAGATATAAGACTTTTTTCCATTACCTATATTGCTTCCAATAATACGTAATACAAAAGACAATGTATGTAAAATACTTAGCATTGGGCCTGGCTCAAATTATGTGCTCAATGCATAGTTATTATCATCATAATAGTATGTTACTCGATATAGCTACATTATCCTTAACAAAATTGTCTTCCATTGATGATCTGAACACCCAAGCGTCTGTCAACTAAAAGAAGAAAGCACAGCCATGAAAAGACAGCAAGAATTAATGAAAAAAAAGATCAGTGAGAAATAAGTCAGTCCAGTGCCTTTGATTTCAGTCTTGGTTTCCATGGTGACTCACCTTCAGAGAGGCTTTTACAGTTTACCTCCACTTCCCTTTCTCCAAACACTGGTAGTAAATTCTTGAAAATGTAAACCTTAGGAGTAGAGACTAATAAA
Organism: Homo sapiens; assembly: GCF_000001405.40. Lineage (NCBI taxonomy): Eukaryota > Metazoa > Chordata > Mammalia > Primates > Hominidae > Homo > Homo sapiens. Next base: position 102,335,704 of record NC_000004.12, on the reverse strand, counting down.
ATAATTTGAGTACTTCAATGTGCATTGAAATTATTACCTCCCTTCCAGAGGACTTCTGATGCTACATTTAGAAGTTGGCTTTATTTTATTATTTTTGCCCCAGATTGGCATCACCACTGAAATGTGAATGTTTGGGGAACCATATAATACTTCCAGAAATGGATAGAATTGCGGTTTTAAATTGAGATCTACTTCTAAATCTGTATGGACCTCTATATGGGTTTTGCAAGCCGAAGAATCCAGGACCCTCTGCATTTAGCTGAACCCTGTTGGATAGAAAACAGATAAGAGAATGAGCATTATTTTAGTCTAACTGGAAGAAGTGAGAGATGTATCTCTTCAGCGACAGGGAAACAGAAAGTTAGCCCGAACTTCAGCGAACAGTAAAATCAGTACACCGATTCTGAGCTTGGCAAAAGTTCCTGCTTTATATAAATATTCATCATATGTTCTATAAAACATGCAGTCCCTTATGTTAAGAGATGCATGCTATGATGGTACCAGGTAATAGAGTTTGAATGTTAAATCATAATGCTCTACAGTTTTCTTCAGGAGCAGAGTTCCCCAGAACGTAAGTATATTATTCGGTTACTTCACCTACACATTAGCATGAACAGCTAGACACTGGCTCTGTCTCTAGTCTTGGGATGAACGCTGTTTAAGTAAATGTTGTGGGTAGGGCCTTTACTGTGGCAGAGGAAACAGGTCCTGTCCTAGTAAGAATATTTACTAACAATTACGGAGCACTTCTTGTGTTCCAGGCATCCTGCTCAGTTCTTCTTTATACACCATTCTGTTAAACCTCCTGATCCCATGGAGTAAACACTCTTGTTATTCCCTTGAGGAAACTCAACCTTAGGTAGGTTAAGTAACTCACTTTAAATCAGATGACTCATATTGGCAGAGCACATATTCCATTCCAGGGTGACTGGATTCTATAACCGATGCACTTTCCACTATTGCCTCTCATGCTGAAGAGTATCATCCCACAGAAGGACTTATTTTCCAAAAAGCCAAGTGCCTCTTGTGTCATCCAAGTGCCTGAATGTCAAGGTAGAACTAATGCCATTTTCTTGAAGCCACTGGGAACTGTACAATCATTTATTTGAAGCTGGCATATGTTCTCTGCTGATGTTCCCCTCTTGTTTGAGTGAAAAGAGGGAAAAAATGTCTTTTCTTCCCCTTGTTAAAGTTGTACTTGCAATAATCAGGGCCGGCCCTAAAACTCATTATTACTTCCTCTACAAACTAGTTTTTAACCTTGCAAAGTTATTTCCTGACAATTAACATTTGATACTCGAAACAATATTGTGAGAAAATTGGGACATATCAGTTCCCCCAGAAACTGAGATACGAATAAGTCATTTGGTAAAAGTTAGACAAAGTCCCCAGATTTTTCTGGGAGACCAGACATTCCAATTTTGAATCCTCAGTTCTTTTTCCTTGGGCTAACTTTAATCAGATGCTGTATTAGCAAGGCCACGGTGCTCTGACTAACCTGAATATTCCATGATCTTTGTGTTTCATTTACTGTGTATAACTGGACCATAGAAAGGTGCGAATGCCTGTTCTGTTTTCTCACCTCTCAGTCACTATTCAAACCATTGGTTCTGGCTTTTTTCTGTCCCCACCACTTCCCTGAAATTTATACCAAGTCACATGGAACCACCTTATTGTTAGGTTCAGTGGGTGCTTCTCAGGCCTCACCGCTCTGATAATTTTGTTGGTGTTGATTACATCCTACCTGAAACACATTCTTTCCTTGCTTGCAGCTGTTTGTGCCATGTTTTTCTTACTTCTCTGGCTGCTGCTTTTCAATTTTGATTTCCTTTGCTCATTCTTTAAATATTAGTGCTCCTCAGGTTTCCATCTCGAGCCTGTTTTATTTTGATGTCACACACTCTTTCTGTATATCTTCAAGGACTCATATGGCTGTGATTATCTATCTGTAGATGCTTTCTACATGAGTTGGCTTACTTCAGATTTCTCTCTTGAGATTCAGCCTTGCGCACCCAGCTGACAATTGATGTCTAACTCTTTTCTTTTCCCCAACTCAACAGGTCTAAACCTGTCTCAAACAAAACTCATCAACTCCATCTCTTTCTCCATCAAAACCTTTTGGTATTCCTGTTTTGCCCATCTTAGTGATAGGTATTACTATCTGCTCACTGAACTAAGCTGTGAAACTGGATGTTAATATTGACTCCTCACTTTTTCTTTCCCCTTCCCATATCAAATGCACATAAGTCTTGTCATAATAACTTATAAATATCTCTTAGTTAATCTCTTGAAGCTCCAACATCCTCTTTGTGTAATGGGGAAAATTGTACCTACCTTATGGGATTGTAGTAGAGATGAAATCAGATAATATGTCTAGCCACTCTGTCTTTTGCCTGGCATGCTGTAAGTATTCAATACACATACACTCTGTTACTGCTGCCGCCCTCTGCATCCAGTCTTGCCTCACATATCTCTTTCCTCTACATTTCTTCCAGTCTTGAATACATATATATGTATATATATACACATTTTATTATTTTATTAGACTTCAAGTTCTGGGATACATGTGCAGAACATGCAGGTTTGTTACTTAGGTATACGCGTGACATGGTGGTTTACTGCACCCATCAGCCATTATCTACATTAGGTATTTCTCCTAATGCTATACCTCCCCTAGCCCCGCAGCCCCTGACAGACCCCAGTGTGTGATGTTCCCCTCCCTGTGTCCATGTGTTCTCATTGTTCAATTCCCACTTATGAGTGAGAACATGCGGTGTTTGGTTTTCTGTTGCTGTGTTAGTTTGCTGAGGATGATGGTTTCCAGCTTCATCCATGTCTCTAAAAATGACATGAACTCATCCTTTTTTTATGGCTGCATGGTATTCCATGGTGTATATGTGCCACATTTTCTTTATACAATCCATCATTGATGGGCATTTGGGTTGGTTCCAAGTCTTTGCTACTGTGAAAGTGCTGCAATAAACATATGTGTTCATGTGTCTTTAAAGTAGAGTGATTTATAATCCTTTGGGTATATACCCAGTAATGGGACTGCAAACCATCAATTGGTATTTCTGGTTCTAGATCCTTGAGGAATTGCCACACTGTCTTTCCCAATGGTTGAACTAATTTATACTCCCACCAACAGTGTAAAAGCTTTCCCATTTCTCCACATCCTCTCCAGCATCTGTTGTTCCCTGACCTTTTACTGATCGCCATTCTAACTGGCATGAGATGGTATATCAGTGTGGTTTTGATTTGCATTTCTCTAACAATCAGTGGATGATGAGCTTTTTTTCATATGTTTCTTGGCCAAATAAATGTCTTCTTTTGAAAAGTGTTCTTATCCTTTGCCCAGTTTTTGGTGGGGTTGTTTGTTTTTGTTCTTGTAAATTTGTTTCAGTTCCTTATAGATTCTGGATATTAGCCCTTTGTCAGATGGATAGATTACGAAATTTTCACCCATTCTGTAGGTTGCCTGTTCACTTTGATGATAGCTTCTTTTGCTGTGCAGAAGCTCTTTAGTTTAATTAGATCCCATTTGTCAATTTTGGCTTTTGTTGCCATTGCTTTTGGTGTTTTAGTCATGAAGTCTTTGCCCATGTCTATGTCCTGAATGGTATTGCCTAGGTTTTCTTCTAGGGTTTTTATGGTTTTAGGTCTTATGTTCAAATCTTCAATTTATTTTCAGTTAATTTTTGTATAAGGTGTAAGGAAGGGATCCAGTTTCAGTTTTCTACATAGGGCTAGTCAGTTTTCCCAACACCATTTATTAAATAGGAAATTCTTTCCCCATTGCTTGTTTTTGTGAGGTTTGTCAAAGATCAGATGGTTGTAGATGTCTGGCGTTATTTCTGAGGCCTCTGTTCTGTTCCATTGGTCTATATATCTGTTGTGGTACCAGTACTATGCTGTTTTTGTTACTGTAGCCTTGTACTATAGTTTGAAGTCAGGTAGCGTGATGCCTCCAGCTTTGTTCTTTTTCCTTAGGTTTGTCTTGGCTTTATGGGCTCTTGTTTGGTTCCATATGAAATTTAAAGTAGTTTTTTCCAATTCTGTGAAGAAAGTAAATGGCAGCTTGATGGGGATAGCATTGAATCTATAAATTACGTTGGGCAGTATGGCCGTTTTCATGATATTGATTCTTCCTATCCATGAACATGGAATGTTTTTCATTTGTTTGTGTCCTCTCTTATTTTGTTGAGCAGTGGTTTGTAGTTCTCCTAGAAGAGGTCCTTCACATCCCTTTTAAGCTGTATTCCTAGGTATTTTATTCTCTTTGTAGCAATTGTGAATGGGAGTTCACTCACGATTTGGCTCTCATCTGTTATTGGTGTATAGGAATGCTTGTGATTTTAGCACATCAATTCTGTATCCTGAGACTGCTGAGTTGCTTATCAGCCTAAGGAGATTTTGGGCTGAGACGATGGGGTTTTCTAAATATACAATCATGTCATCTGCAAACGAGACAATTTGACTGCTTCTTTTCCTGTTTGAATACCCTTCATTTCTTTCTCTTGCCTGATTGCCCTGGCCAGAACTTCCAGTACTATGTTGAATAGGAGTGGTAATAGAGGGCATCCTTGTCTTGTGCTGGTTTTCAAAGGGACTGCTTCCAGCTTTTGCCCATTCAGTATGATATTGGCTGTGGGCTTGTCATAAGCAGCTCTTATTATTTTGAGATACATCCCATCAATACGTAGTTTATTGAGCGTTTTTAGCATGAAGTGGTGTTGAATCTTATCAAAAGCCTTTTCTGCATCTATTGAGATAATCATGTGGTTTTTGTCATTGGTTCTGTTTATGTGATGGATTACGTTTATTGATTTGCATATGTTGAACCAGCACTGCATTCCAGGGATGAAACTGACTTGATCATAATGGATAAGCTTTTTGATGTGCTGCTGGAATTGGTTTGCCAGTATTTTATTGAGGAGTTTTGCATCCATGTTCATCAGGGATATTGACCTGAAATTTTCTTTTTCTGTTATGTCTTTGCCAGGTTTTGGTATCAGGATGATGCTGACCTCGTAAAATGAGTTAGGGAAGAGTCTCTCTTTTTCTACTGTTTGGGATAGTATCAGAAGGAATGGTACCAGCTCCTCTGTATCCGTGAATACCGATACAGAGCTGTGAATCCATCCAGTCCTGGACTTTTTTTGATTGGTAGGCTATTAATTACTGCCTCCATTTCAGAACTTGTTATTGGTCTATTCAGGGATTAAACTTCTTCCTGGTTTAGTCCTGGGAGGGTGTATGTGTCCAGGAATTTACCTATTTCTTCTTTATTTTCAAGTTTATTTGCGTTGAGGTGTTTATAGTATTCTCTGATGGTAGTTTGAATTTCTGTGGGATAAGTGGTAATTTCCCCTTTATCATTTTTAATATGTCCTTTTGATTCTTCTCTCTTTTCTTCTTTATTTGTCTAGCTAACAATCTATCTATTTTGTTAATCTTTTCAAAAAAACCAGCTCCTGGATTCAGAGATTTTTTGAAGGGTTTTTTTGTGCCTCTGTCTCCTTCAGTTCTGCTCTGATCTTAGTTATTTCTTGTCTTCTGCCAGCTTTTGAATTTGTTTGCTCTTGCTTCTCTAGTTCTTTTAATTGTGATGTTATGGTGTTGATTTTAGATCTTTTTCGCTTTCTCCTGTGGATACTTAATGCTATAAATTTCCTTCTAAACACTGCTTTAGCTGTGTCCCAGAGATTCTGGTATGTTGTGTCTTTGTTCTTAAAGAAATTACTTATTTCTGCGTTAATTTCGTTATTACCCAGTAATCAGTCAGGAGCAGGTTGTTCAGTTTCCATGTAGTTGTGTGGTTTTGAGTGAGTATCTTAATCCTGAGTTCTAATTTGATTGCACTGAGCTGGGAGAGACAGTTTGTTATGATTACCATTCTTTTGCATTTACTGAGGAGTGTTTTACTTCCAATTATGTGGTCAATTTTAGAATAAGTGCGATGTGGTGCTGAGAAGAATGTATATTCTGTTGATTTGGGGTGGAGAGTTCTGTAAATGTCTATTAACTCAGCTTGGTCCAGAGCTGAGTTCACAGACTTGAATCTTTTTTTTTTTTTTTTTTTGAGACAGATTCTTGCTCTCTCCCCCAGGCTGGATTGCAGTGGCACTATCTCAGCTCACTGCAACCTCCATCTTCCAGGTTCAAGCAATTCTCCTGTCTCAGCTTCCGAAATAGCTGGGACTACAGGCGCCCACCACCATGCCCAGCTAATTTTTGTATTTTTAGTAGAGACAGGGTTTCACCATATTGGTCAGGCTGGTCTTGAACTCTTGACATCAGGTGATCCGCCTGCCGTGGCCTCCCAAAGTGCTGAGAATACAGGCATGAGCCACTGTGCCCAGCCAACTTGAATCTTTAATATGCAAATCTGAGCATGTCACTATCCTCACATGACTTCCCATTATTGTGAAAATAAACTCTAAACTATTTGCCTGGTATTTACGGCAGAAGCATCTGCCCCCACTCCCATATTTCTCCAGCCTTATTTCTACTTTTTCCTTCACATTTCACCTTCAGTGCTGCTTTCTCCAGGAAGGCTTTGACAGTCCCATTACTTCAGAGTTGGCTAATACCTCTGTCTTCTCCAAATTCATGGAGCCTACCTCCACACTTACCAGACTATGCTACAGTTATATATGTCTTTTTTTTTTTTTTTTGAGATTCAGTCTCTCTCTGTCACCCAAGCTGGAGTGCAGTGGTGCAGTCTTGGCTCACTGCAAGCTCCGCCTCCCGGGTTCACACCATTCTCCTGCCTCAGCCTCCCGAGTAGCTGGGACTACAGGCGCCCACCACCAAGCCCAGCTAATTTTTTTGTATTTTTTTAGTAGAGACGGGGTTTCACCGTGTTAACCAGGATGGTCTCGATCTCCTGACCTCGTGATCCTCCCACCTTGGTCTCCCAAAGTGCTGGGATTACAGGCGTGAGCCACCGTGCCCGGCCCCTGCAGTTATATATGCCTTAATATGGACTCTGCAATAGTCTGTATGGTCCATGAGGCAAAGGACTGGGTTTACCTGGAAAGCCTCCGCTATGCCCATAACTAGCATAATGTCTGACATTTAGGCGATATTCAAGAAATATTTGTTGAATGAATGAAATACTTGATAAATAACTTCAACCTTTTTAACTGATAAATTTTTAAATGATTAATTTTAAACCAACATAACCTTCTAAATTAATATTCCTTTCCCTCCTCATCATCCTCTAAAAGGACACATGAACTCTCTATTCTGCTGGTTTAAGCAGATGATCTAGACATCAACCTAGATGCATCATTTAATTTAATTTAAGGTAAACCAGCAATTCCATTTTTTGTTGCCGACAATGAATTAAAAAAAAAAAAACAGAGAGATAAGGCCTGAGAAGCACCCATTGTATTTAGCAATAGGGAGGTTCCAGTGACCTTGTATAGAATAATTTCAAGGAAGTGGTGGGAATAGAAGCCAGACCACAATGGGTTGAGGAATGACTGAGAGGTGAGGAAATGGAATAGGTATTCATGCATTTCCATGGGTCCAATTACACACATAAAAAACCTAAAAGAATAGTACATTAAAATTTAACCCATGGGCCATCTAAATAGAAGGAAATAAAGTTTTTATTACTTTTAGTTTATGAACTTTCCAGGAATTTTTTTCTTCTCATTTAGCCTGGGATTTTCTCTGTAGCCCATTACTATATTCTTTACGGCAACTTAGAAACACTGATATCAGGATTAGTTTATTTGTAGCATCAGGGCCACATTAAACTGATTCTAGGAAAGTTTCATAGAATGAGAAGAAAAACTTATGGCTGGAATATTTGCCTCCTCAGAGGTCTTGGTAGATGATTCCCAGGTTATTGATTTATATTTCTCAGAATTATATTCAAACACAGTGTGCTAGTTTGAAATCTCCTTTCATTCACCTTCTTTCCTTAATCTACAAAATTAGCAATTGTTTATAAATTGAGTGTCTTATGTGTCCAAGGACTTATTAGGGGTTGAAGAAGATATAAAAAGGAAGAAGTCCATTCTCTGTAGATTTTTATGATCTTATTGAAGGAATATCCATTTCATGAGAAGATAATAATACATGGAAGCACACATTAAGTGCTAAACAAATAGATAACAGGGATGTCTGGAGTCTGGAGAAGGGATGGGTATAGCAATATTAGGCAGTGAAGATGGATTCCAAATGGGCCTTGCAGGACAGACAGGAGTTGGGTAGTTTGAGAGGAGATGTATCATATTCTAGGCAGGGGTCATGGGAGATGCAAAGTCACAGTGAAGTTACAATATAAGGCTGATTATAACTGGTTAGGATAGAGTATTCATCTATCCTTTTACAGCATGCTGAAGGGGGAAGGAATATTAGAGACAGGCAAGTGAGGTTCTTAAGTGTTAGGACTTTAGACTCTCGGCATAAATGTGTACAATTTTTTTGAGACAGGGTCTCACTGTGTCACCCAGGCTGGATTGCAGTGGCACGATCATGACTCACTGCAGCCTTGACCTCCTGGGCTCAAGCGATCCTCCTGCTCATCCTTCTGAGTAACTGGGACTACTGGTGTGCACCATCATGCTTAGCTAATTTTTAATTATTTTTGTCATTCAAGCTGGTTTTGAACTCCTGGGCTTAAGTGATCCTCCTGCCTTGGTGTCTCAAAGTGCTAGGATTACAAGTGTGAGCCACCATGCCAGGCCAGAAATGTGTAATTTTGAAGGTTTTTGTTTTTGTTTTTTTGGTATGTGTGTGTGCAAGGGTTGCAGTTTGGGCAGAAGAAGGACATGCTGATGGGTGATGCATCAGTAGAAACAACCTTGTGGAGTTGTAGGATAACCAGGATGAGAAGGGTATTGGATACGATTAGGTTAGAAGCTCCTAGCTCCTCAGTGAAGTGGTACATAAGGGCTCTCTCTGCTGGTGTGTCATTTTTATCTGCTAGATTCTCAAACATTTTGGTCTCAGGACCCCCTTGTACTCTTAAAAATTATTGAGAATACCAAAGAGCCTTAATATATGTGATTTATATCTATTAATACTTACCATTATAGAAATTAATGTTAAGAAAACTTGAAAATATTTAATTTATTAAACATAACAATAAACCCATTCCATGCTAATTTTATTTTTTATTTTTTTGAGACGGAGTCTTGCTCTGTCGCCCAGGCTGGAATGCAGTGGCGCGATCTCGGCTCACTGCAAGCTCTGCCTCCTGGGTGCACCCCATTCTCAGACCTCAGCCTCCCGAGTAGCTGGGACTACAGGCGCCCGCCACGAGGCCTGGCTAATTTTTTGTAGTTTTAGTAGAGACGGGGTTTCACCGTGTTAGCCAGGATGGTCTCGATCTCCTGACCTTGTGATCTGCCCGCCTCGGCCTCCCAAAGTGCTGGGATTACAGGCGTGAGCCACCGCACCCGGCCAAGGTGCACTCATTTCTTGTGGCAACTCCCCAGCCCTGAGTTGAAGAAGCAGCATGCCCTCCACACTTTATCCTCAGAAGGACTGAGTGGGAAACCCTTGGTGTACATCAAGGAAACAAAGGCTTTTGATCTTGGCAAAATGGGATAATGCCCATGGGATTCCCTAGCAGATGATGGGAAGTAGGGTGGCCTCTGCCCCCTGAAGACATGTCAGGGGTGGGAAGCGAAGGATCTAGATTGGGTGTCTGTGCTCTGACACCACACCACACTTTTAGGAGTCTAAAAGAACACCTTCTCTTTTCAAGACAAGACCTCGAAAAGCTGAATATGGAATGGGGTAGGGCTGGGAAACTTGTCCATCACTATGACAAAGACAGAAAATGTTGTAAACCTCTTTTAAAAAGATTGTTGTAGCTTTCAACATTCTTTCTTTTTCTTTAGTAAAATCTCTAAGAATTCCAGCCTGCCTTTTGTTTAGGGGAACCTGGAAAAAGAGATTTTAAACAAACAAAACATGACTTAATTTTATTTTTCTTAAAAGAAACTGAAATACAAGTACATTGTTAAAAACTTTGGCAGATATAAAGAAGCAGAAAGGAAAAAAAATAAAACCACACATAATTTTACCACTCAGAGATAAACACTGTTAACATTTGGAGCACAGATTTATCCTTATTTATAGCAGCATTCTCTATATATTGTTTCATAATAATCTTTTTATCCCTAGCAGTGCATCATAAAACAAGGCATCTTTATCCTTTAAATTGTATATTCAGGAAAAGCGTTCTTCATCTTCCCTTCAAAAAGAGTTTTGAGAGTGAACGTAAGTGTGTGTGTATGTATGTGTATGCATGTGAGTGTGTGTGTATATGAGTGTGAGTGTGCATGTATGTGAGAGTGCATGTGTGTTGGTGGCATCAGTGCCAGAGTGACTTCAGTAAGAAGTGTAAGAAAACCTGAGGAAAAATGGAAAAATTAATCTTGGGGAAACAGAGTTGGGGTCACTTGACTGGCCACCTCTTAAACCTAGAGATTATTTTTATAGAGTGTTCTTGGCTTAAACCTTAGAAAACTGTCTTTTATCTTGATAGAATAATAATGAGTAAACTTTGAAGAGGACTTTAAAGAGGGGAAAACTTCAAGAGAAGGTGGAGAGAGAGATTCAGCGTGTGTATATATGTATACATATATATATGTATATATAAGTATGTATGTATATATCAGGGAGATTTGGAAGTGAAACTTGAGTGCCTTGTAATTGAGGCAGTTTCATTATTGCAGGAAGAACAAATCTGGAAGCAATTTCCTCAGTCACTCGTGCTTTGAATGTTCCTGCTGTGAGTGTGGAACATGTAAGTCACCAATTCCATTGTTCAGTGAGCCCTAAAAGGATAAATTAATGGGACGGTTCACTTGTTTCAAGGGTCAGAAGTGGTCTCCCAATTGTTAAATTCAAACTACCATTTTAAATGTATGTATTTCAATTGCTCTCTTGGGATCTTTGGCCAGTTGCCATATTCAAAACACTTTTAGGTATCCCAATGATTATTTAATGGGAAAGAAACCTCTGGAATCCTGGAATTCATATCTACTTTAGTATTTATTAAGATGATTACTAATATTGCTATGTACCTGGCATGCAGTAGTGCTCGGTAAATATGTGTTGAATGTATGAATGAGTAAATAAATGAATGAATCTCTCACTTGTCTTCACAGCATTTTTGGAGCCAACTGCAAAAATGGTTTAAGTTCATAGCTGCAAACTAAACAAAATTATGAAAAAGCAAAAGAAATGAAGTGCAGAAAGCGAAGTATACCTAAAATTCTCACTCTGGTGAGAAAAGTTGGCTGATGTTTGAACTGTAGGATTTTTTTTTTTCTTTCTTGAGCCGGAGTCTTGGTTTGTCACCAGGCTGGAGTGTAGTGGCACTATCTCGGCTCACTGCAGCCTCCGCCTTCTGGGTTCAAGCGATTCTCCTGCCTCAGCCTTCCGAGTAGCTGGGATTACAGGCATGCACCAACACGCTCAGGTAATTTTTATATTTTTAGTATAGACGGGGTTTCACCATGTTGGCCAGGATGGTCTTGATCTCTTGACCTCATGATCTGCCCGCCTCGGCCTCCCAAAGTGCTGGGATTACAGGTGTGAGCCACTGCAGCTGGCCGGACTTTTTTATTTGTATAAATGTAAGTACAAGGGCAGTTTTGTTACATGAATATATTGGGTAGTGGTGAAATCTGGGCTTTTAGTGTAGCCATCACCTGAATAATACATATTGTGTCCATTAAGTAATTTCTTATTGTAGGGTTATTTTTGAAGTCTGTCTCTGAGTGGGATCCTAAATATGGTTTAACAGTTAATTTAATTGTGTGTTTCAACTCACTATTAGGGGCAACAAAGTGCATTCTCTGCCAGGGTCTCAATGATTCTTTCATTGAATCCTTCTCAGTGTTGGACCAAGACATAGCAGCCAGAATACTGGCTTACAAGTCAAAAGGCATGAGAACACATATATCTGAATTCTGTCTTTAACACTTTTACATTGTTTAATCTTGTACCGTTAGAAATTTACCTTTCTAGACAGGATTTCTTCATCCAAATTTAACCTAAAATCTATTTAAGTGGTTGATTAAAGAGGTTATACGTGTTAAGCATATATTATGGTTTGCTATTACTGTAGTCCTTATATGCTTCCCAGAACTCTTATGATAACTATTGCTTATAAAATTTATTCACCAACTAATTGCATACTCATTTGCGTTACTGATCTCTCCATTAATTTTTTTGTGTATCATGTCTTATTTCCCCAAGAATCAGATGCATCAAAATAACAAACTTAGCACATGTATCTCCTCCTCTAGGAAGCCTTCCCTGACCTCATTCCTTTAATCACATGATATGTTGTGCATATTTTTATTTGCTTATCTGTTTTATATGTATCTCCTTTCTATGCTGAATGATGAGATTGTTGAAGATGAAAACCATGTCTTATTCTCAACACCTACTGGAATACCTGACTCAGAGAAGGTGTGAGCAACCTGTTCAGTTAATGAATAAATGAATGAGAATGAAGGAGAAGTGGAATGGGCTTCTATAAGAGCAGAACAGATGAAGATTATAGGTGGATTCTTATTAAACCTCTTACTTGTTGCATCTCTTTAAAGAACAGGAGATCGCCACTTACTTGGGGTGGGGGAAGGATGGGTTTCATGGCTTTCATCACAGCTGCATACATGGCAAATTTCAGAAAGTAGCTGTAGTTCTTACTGAATAGCAACAGCTGTAGCAATCACTGGCAGGGCAGCGCAGGGTAGAGGTGACTAAAATAAAAGAAGCTAGACAGAGCTCTTTCAGACTTGGATTCTAACCCCAGTTCTGCTGCTTGCTCCCTCTGGGGCTTTGTAATGGTATTTAAAGTTGATTGTCATTGAGTCTAAATGCATTACAAAAATCTGTGTCTCCCTGCCTTTACCTCCACAGAGAGAATACAACCACACCTAGCACTTTCCTTATTGGGAATGTGAGCTACTCAGCCTCCCACAGAATCTCAATCTATTGCAAAACAAAATCTGAAACCATTTCTGGGGTGGCTTTTGAATGGGATGATATTTCATTTCTGGTGTGATGTGAAGGCCTTGGTATAATGGTACAGGATCAGATGGTCTTACTGTATTGTATTATTTAATGGGTGCCACTTGATAAGACAACCAAGCAGACAAAACAGCCTGTGTGTGGAGAACAGGAAGAAGTGTGGAAGCTTTAAAGAGTGGAAAGGCTTATCTTTTTGTTTTCCTATAGGTTATGATGTAGCATTCATTCACTAGCTTTTAAAAGTGACTTTTAAATAATTACTTTATGTATCCATCAGTACTCTTTTATTTGTAAGAGTGAAAAAAAATCAACTTTAATTAGCTTAAGCCGAAAGGGAATTCATTGGCCCACATAACTTAAGAGTCAGGGTGCACATCAGCTTTAGGTACAGCTTATCCAGGGTATTGTGATGGTATTGAAAATCTGTCTTTCTCCACTTCTTAGTTAGCCTTCTTTCACATGGCGGCAGAAATGGTTTAAGATGTCCCCAGACTCACAGCAGGACTAGTGGAGAAAGAGTTTTTCAGTAGCACAGGTGATTATAGGATCCAGACTGCTCCTATGCTTACCAAAATCACATGGAAGGCAGTTCCCATGGCAGTAAGGAGGTCTGTTACTAGATGATGGGACAAAAACCCAAGGGTTACATGTCTTTCATCATTCCAGGAAGGCAAAAACCACAGACATCTACCAAATTTGACTGGTCTGGATTGTTTCTTATGTTTTGAGCTTAATTCACTCGGGCTTATATACTGGCTCTTTTTCGTGCTTTTGCACAAATCGTGTATGCATTCTCAAGCCTTTGTTCTTCTTTCTATATGCTGATTCTCCTGATCAGCTCCACTACTCCCACTCAGCTATGACCTCATTGCAGAAGAAGCCACATCCTTGTCTCTGGTCTCTACCTTTCTCAGGGAAAGCTCACCAATCATTTGCATTTGGGGTCCCAGGAGCATTGCAACTTGAAATGTCTAAAACCAAAGTTGCCACCATCCTGCCAAATGGGCTTCTCTTCCTAGGTTCCCTAATCACAGTGTTGCAGAACTTTGTTCCTTAGTTCAGCTTATACTGGGTTCTTGTCACACGACCAGAAAAAATTAGGCACATAGACACATTGAAGGGTGAGGAGAATGGAATTTATTGGGCGAAAAGGAAAAAAGAAAAAAACGACCTCTCAGCAAAGCTAGCGGAGTTCCTGCTAACAGGCCCCCATCTCACAGATTGGTTCCAGGTCACAAACACAGGAACTGAAGAGGGCAGGCTCCTGCCCCTTGCACGCACGGGAAATTCCCATGGCTCCATCCTATTCTCCCACTGCTCAGGCAGGTAGAGATTCTCCGAGGACCCTCCCTTTTATCTGCCTCCTGCATCTATCAACAGCAGTAGCAGCATCCTCTTTCTACTCTCCCAGCATTCTATCGTCAATGTTGTTTTTGACTATTTCCTCTGCATATCATTTCTCCCTCATGTGAACTCTCATAGTTCTTTATTATTATGTTTTTTGTGAATTTATAATTTCCTCTCTGGTTTTATAGACCTTCATGTATCTAATTTATTTCTGCCACAGTGATTTAAGTTTGCTGATGGAAGGCAGTTTTACTTATTTATCTTTGTACTATTTCCTTCCTGGTTGTCATCCTCCAGCTTTCCCCACTTTCTACTTCTCCCATCAATATTATACCTAGACTTTTATGGTTTGATAAATATTTGTAGAATAAAGGAAGGAGTTAATGCAATCTGTAGTATAACTACATGGCTACTATACTTGATATTGTTAAAAAACCAGTGCCTAACAGCAGTCGAAGTGGTAAAAACAGATTTCATTCAGGAAACATTGCAATAGGGGTATGTTAGAGTTCTCCAGAGAAACAAAACCAACAGGATATATATATATATATTTTTTCTCATATATATATTCTCATATATATATACTCTCATATATATATTCTCATATATATATACTCTCATATATATATTCTCATATATATATACTCTCATATATATATTCTCATATATATATACTCTCATATATATATTCTCATATATATATACTCTCATATATATATTCTCATATATATATACTCTCATATATATATTCTCATATATATATACTCTCATATATATATTCTCATATATATATACTCTCATATATATATTCTCATATATATATACTCTCATATATATATTCTCATATATATATACTCTCATATATATATTCTCATATGTATATATACTCTCATATATATATTCTCATATATATATATTCTCATATATATATTCTCATATATATATACTCATATATATATTCTCATATATATATACTCATATATATATTCTCATATATATATACTCATATATACATTCTCATATATATATACTCATATATATATTCTCATATATATACTCATATATAATATTCTCATATATATACTCATATATATATTCTCATATATATATACTCATACATATATACATATATATATACATATATATATACATATATATATATATATATATATGTATATATATATGAGAGATTATGAGGAATTGGCTCATGTGATTGTGGAGGCTGAGAAGTCCCAGGATCTGCTGTCTGCAGGCTACAGATTGGGAAAGCCAATGCTTTAATTTAGCCTGTGTCTGAAAGCCCGAGAACCAGAGGAGCCAGTGGTGTAAACTCTAGAGGGAGGGTTGAAGAAACTGAAATCAAATGACCCAGTTCAAGCAGTGAGGAAGGAAAAAAGGGACAAATTCCTTCCTCTGCCTTTTGTTCTGTTCAGACCTTCAATGGGTTGGACTCACACTGGGGAGGGCAATCTACTTAACGGAGTCCACCGATTCAAATGCTAATCTCATCTGGAACCACCCTGCAGACACCTCAGAAGTAATGTTTAACGCCCTAGAAATAATGTTTAATTTGGGAAGCCAGTGGCCAGTCAAATTGACACAAAATTAATGATCACAAGGGGAAAAGAGACCTCAGTATGGAACTTGGCTCAACTCCAAATACAACATGGACAAGTAGGGATTTACAGCCAAGGAGGAGCAGGGGTAGGAGTGGGGAGGGGGTCAGTGAATGGAAAATTACTAAGAGGAAACATTAAGGGTAGGGGGGATTTTGGTTAAACAGACCTAACAGGATTCTTGCTGAAGGCAGGACCAGGGTGGTCAGACATGGAGGGTGAGGGAACTCTCTTTAAACTGAGTTAGAAGGTTTCTTGCTAACACCAGGTGATGCAGGTCCTGTAAGGATGGATGCTAGGGTCGAGGCCTGGGCTCAGAGGAGCCTGACTGCAGTTTAGTCAAGGAGAGAATCTTTGTCAGTATTGAAGCTTTCAGATTCAGCATTTATTATAACCAGATCTCAATTGTGTAAAATGCTAAGGAAGGAACTTGCCCTAATTCCTTGAGCTTCCTTCATCCTCTCTCTGAACCAGCCCCCCACTTTCCCATAAGGACATGTTTAGGAAAGAGGCAGAAAAACTTCTGACTCATAAAAACTGGTGAGGAAGAAGGAAGAGCAGAAGCGGAAGCCAAAATGCACATAACTATTTGCTGAAACGGTTTTGAGCATACTTTGCGGTCTCTTTTGTAATATATACCTAGCCCCTACCTATAATGCTACCTTACTTTGGTGTTTCACACATACAAGGCCCATTTGAGGTCACCCTAATGTGGCAAGAGACCAGTGAATAGGAGCTTAACTTCAAACTTAGAGTCTTTATGAAAAATGTCAACGCGCTGAACACGAGGACATCTGAAACCTTAAAAGGCCACAGCAAACATCAGGGCAGCATGCTTGAGAACAGCAGTGTCATAGATACAAGCATGAAAAGAAGTAAAGCTGTCATAAATGTGAAGGAGCTGGCGAAAGCACATGGAGTTTTATTAAGGCAGATAGCATTCCGTACAATCATCCTGAATAGTTTTCTGAGTAGCACTTGATGATCCTACCCTTTCCGTAATTTGTTTGTTCATTGTTTTGGAGGTGAAAGGGTGTGCTTGTGAGGGTGTTTGAGCCTCCTTGTCCATGGTATAACCGGTTGGTTTTGTTGCCCTCACTCTTCAGGCGCTGGACTCTCATCCTGTTTGTTCCCACTCTGGGAGGCACCACCCTTTCTAAGACAACTGCTTTCTTTTGTTTCTGGTTCAACTTTGTTAAGTCAAAGTATAATAAATATCAAGATTGTTTGAAGCCAGAAATAGGCCACTGTCCAAAATTGTGTTCATTCCACTTGCTGGTAGATAGCTATTTTAAATAAGTCAGGCTTGCCATTAATTCAGTTCTGCTGCACTGTTCGTATTCTGTTCTCATTCTCTTATCATGAGGGGAGCTTTGAGTTTTATCATCTCTACATCTCTGTGTTCTTCGTGGTGATTGGACAGTTGCCACTCTCCATGACTACCGTGACTATCCCTGACCACCTGTCCAGCTAAAATTTCAACACAAATGCTGCACAGCTAAGCTATCTGATGGTATTAATTATATATTTATTTGACTGCACTGTTTCTTTTTTTCTAATTGTATGTAGGAGGGTGTCTTTAATGATGTACAGTTGGCAATTCTGACATCCTTAAGGGTGGTGGCATTCAAGCTCGTGACTGCCATTCACAGCAAGAAATACATTTTACATCATGATCCAGTATACATGTTCATGTTATATATGATGTGTAACTAAAGTTTGGTTAAGCAACACTTACCCTATTATGTGTGATATGGTCTATAGTTTCTATTATTTTGTATTTTACTTCATTAAAAAATGCAGACTGTGCCTTAGCAAGTGGGCGTCCTGATTCAGGAATGGGTTACAATTTGAGTCTGAAAAAGAACTGCTTAACAGTCATCAGGTATTAGGGAGCCTTAGCATGCTAATTCTGAAAAGTCTTTGGAGATTATCTATAGGCATCTTCCCGTTTTCCTCCTATTTTACAGTTGGAGGAATTTAAAGTCCAAGTAGGGTAAGTCTTCCTTGCAGGGAAACAGTGGTGCTCTCTGTGTGTGCTATCATGTGCTATCACACCTATTTATTCCTGGAAGCACACAGTGTCCAGTTGAACCACAAGGGCTGTCTACTTTTTGAATCTAGCAATTATGCTTCTGGATGCCTTCCTGGTGATGAATAAACTGTTCACACTTTCCCTTCCCCAATTAAATCTTGAGGTATTTTCTCCCTCCATTAGTTTATTATACATCATTCTGAGCTAAAGGGAAGACTGTTAACAGGGCATTGAGTGTGGTGTATCCTCTTCTATGGATGGCATGCAGCTATCATTAATCATAAACTCAAAACAGTGGGTTGAATAAGGAACAATTTTAGGTACATACTTAGACATTAAAAAAATCTAAATGTGCATTTTCTGTAAGGTAGTTGTAATCTTAGCGTTGGACAACTGCATAGATCTTGGTGTATTTGATTATTTGATGTTTTTTCATTTTTCCTTTATAAACAGTAGTGATCTCCTTGTAACAAAATATGACATTTTAAATTTCATTGTTTCTGTAGTAAAGGGAATTACAGCATCTTATGGTCAAACAATTAACATCAACTTTGAGTTATTGATACCATTCATAGTGTATTAGTCAGCTCAGGCTGCCATAACAAAATACCAAAGCCTAGGTGGCTTAAGCAACAGAAATTTATTTTCTCATAGTTGGAGACTTGAAGTCCAGACCAAGGTGCCAGAATGGTTGCTGTCTGTGAGGGCTCTCTCCTTGGGTCACAGAGAGCATTTTCTCGCTTCCTCATATAGCAGAGAAAGAGCAAGTGAGCAGGCTCTTTGATGTCTCTTTTTATAAGTGCACTAATCCCACTGGACCAGGGCCCCAACTTCATGAACTCATCTAAACTTAATTACCTCTCAAAGGCCCCATCTCCAAATACCATCACACTGGGGATTAGGGCTTCAACATGTGAATCTGGGGAGACATAATTCAGATCATAGTACATAGCTAAGGTCTTATTGGGGTTTAAGCATTGGCTGAAGCATGCAAATAACTTGCCTAAATTACGTTTATTAAAGACAGACTCTTCCATTTGAGTGAATGGATATTTTTCACACTATAATTCTTATGACATTCAGTAGCATTTATTTTATATTTTTCTTAATAATGCAAGTACTGTATATGGAAGAGCTTACAGTTAAAATGTGAGAACAACATTATACCTTTAAAAAATTATTTTTGCAGTTTTTTTCCTAATGTAGATTCTAGTCCTTGTTAATAGTTAATGAATTTCTAAACAGCCCAGCACTATTTTCAAAACTTAATATAGAAAAGTTACCCAACGTCATTGAGAATAATGCATATTTTAATGAAAAACAGTTTGTGCAAAAGACATATTTTAAAACAACTTTTTATATTTATATTTATTGCAGTGTAGAGAAGAGAGGAATTTCTTAGCATGAAACTGTAGGGAGCCAGGTATTTGTCTACAAGAAATGCTATAGAGAGCCATGCCAGTGACACACACAAAATATCCATTCAAACTGAAGAAAAGTAAACTAAGAGGGGGTACTGACAATAAAAAATTGTTTTAAAACCCTTTGTTTGAATGGTGTTGGTGCACCCCTATTTTAAATAAAGTCCTTAGATATGCCCAAACCAATTCTTATTTATTTTCTGCTGTAGGAAAGCTGTTGATTAAGAAGGGATTTTTTTTTTTCTATTTTTCTTGTTTCTAGGTTTAAACTGGTGTGGGCTGTTTTACAACTTTAGGGGCCTTTCAATTTCTGTGGTGGGCTTTTGTATAAAGAGTGCTGTGCATCTAGATGAAATAGTCTGTGTCTCTTTATAGCATCTTTGCTTATGTGCTTTTACACATTATTATCACATTTTTTTTTTGTTTATTCTATTTCAGTGTTTAACTGCTGAAGAGATCTTTTCCCTTCATGGCTTTTCAAATGCTACCCAAATAACCAGCTCCAAATTCTCTGTCATCTGTCCAGCAGTCTTACAGCAATTGAACTTTCACCCATGTGAGGATCGGCCCAAGCACAAAACAAGACCAAGTCATTCAGAAGGTATATTAGAAGCATTTTTTCTCTTTTATTTGAAAAGTCTATGAACCATTGTGAAATGAAGTTAATATGCCTCTTTTTCTGCTTTATTGCTTTTAATTAATCTACATAGAACTTCTTCGAATAATACTTATATTTTGAAAGTATTTGGAATAAGAAGAATTATAACTCATTTAAGCTTCATAAGTTATGCTCTTCTCTTTGTTGAATCAAAATTACATTTAGTACACTTAAAAACTTTATAAAATCCAGTTCTTGATTTTAAACAATATATATTTTATGCTGTGCATATTGGATTGCATTTTCTTTGGCTTATAATTGATCATTTCATTTCCATTATCTTTTGCTTACCATATTATTTTAAAGCTTGTCAGTTTATCTGCAGTTACCAATGAAGAGATAAGAGAACTAGCATGCTTCTAGATTAAATTTTCAGGGACCAAATTATTAGTTTTAATTTTCATAGGTGAAAGAAAATACCAGAGACTATTTTAAGTGACTATAATGGTATTTCCATGAATATGTACTTTAACGGTATGATCTGATGCAAAGAAATTTTAAACCATAATAAAATATATGTATGCTTAATATACAGCTCACATGCTTAAATGTGTAGAAGGGTCACTTTCACCAATGAGATAAACCAATTGTTCAGGGAGTCTGTTTGAAAATTATGTTGGAATTTTAAAGTTTCGTTCATTTGTTCATTAAGCAAATATTTATTGAACGACATACCAAGTATTGTTCTGTGCACTAAGGAGTCAATGGTAAACAAGAAGAATAATTATCTGTCTTTTTAGGGCTTACAGTGTAGTGGAGAAGATTTAAACAAGCAAATTTAAACAAGCAAATAAACAACATAGTTTCAGAGTGAAAGGTGCTATGAAGAAAATAAAATATTAGTAGGTGAGGGATAGAAGGTGATAGTGGGTGAGTGTCATCTTAGATAGATCAAGGAAGCCCTCTCTGATGAGGTATCATCTGAGCAGAAGGAGAGGGCCACAGCAAGGTCGTCTCTAGTGAAGAGCATTCTTGATTGAGGGCACAGCCAACATAGCTTGGCAATGAGCTTGGCATGAGTGAGGAGCAGCAAGAGGCTCCTATGTGTCTGGAGCCTAGTGAGTTGGTGGGGAAGGTAGAAGGATATATGTCCTGGCGGGAGATGGAGACCAGGTGAGGAAGCCTTGCGGGAGGTGGTAAATTGATTGGGTTTTATTCTGAATGTAGTGTGAAGTCACTGTACCATTCTAAACAGGGGAATGCTGTGATCTCATTCAAATCTGTTAAAAGGGCATTCCACCTGCCTACAATCTGAAGAACAGATTGTAATGGGGCAAGAGTAGAAGCAGGGTGATTGGTCAGGAAGCGATTGCCAGGAGCTGATGCCAGGATGATGGGGACTTGGACTAAAGTGGGGGAAGTAGAAGTGGGGAGAAGCAGTAGATTCGGGATGAGTCCTGGAGATCATGCTAAATGGTTTGCCCTGGATTGATTGTGGGAGAGGGAACAATGAGTCAAGTCTTGAGCCAGAGAAACCGGAGAGATCGTTATACCATTTCCCGGGATGGAGAAGACTGGGAAGAGCCCTTTATTGTAGAGGAAGGGAGTGGTGAGGATAAAGAATATAATTTTTGGCGTGGTTGCTTTGAGACATTGACATACACAGGTAGACAGGGAGGTCCAGTAGGCAAAGGCACACAGACATTTGGAGAGGAGATTGCTTTCAGAGGAGAGGTCAAGACTGGGGATTTGCCAGTCTAGAGATGATATTTAAAGACACTGGGGCTAGGCACGGTGACTCATCCCTGTAATCCCAGCACTTTGGGAGGCCAAGGCAGAGGATTGCTTGAGGCCAGGAGTTCAACACCAGCCTGGGAAACATAGTGAGACCCCATCACAACAAAAGTTAAAAGAATTAGCTGACATGGTGGCATGCACCTGTAGGCCTAGCTACTTGGGAGGCTGAGGCAGGAGGATCACTTGAACATAGGAGGTCAAGGCTGCAGTGACCTATGATTACCCCACTGTACTCCAGCCTGGGTGGCAGAGGGAGACCTCATCTCAAAAAAATAAAAATAAAGATGCTGTTCTGAGTGAGCTCATCTGACAGGAGTATAGATAGATAAAGAGAGTAAAGATAGAGAAGAAAAGGGAAGACTTAACAAAGAAAGTGCCTGTTTTCATTTCCGGATTCCTTTGTGCATGTACACTTCAGTCTCCCTCTATATGAATAAAAGAAATAACAACAACAATGACAAAAATAACAATGATGATAGCCAATTCTTTTGTGGTACTTACTATATGACAGGCACTCTTTGAAGTACTTTACATATTCATATATTAATTTCATGCAACTATATGATGTAGACACTACTATTCCCATTTTACAGCCAAGAAAACAAAGGTACAGGGAGTTTAAAGTCATTTGCTCAAAGTTACACAACTTGCATGTGGTAGAGCCAGATTCAGCCCAGGTTGTCTTGGCTTCAGAACCCATGTTCTCATTGATATTCTGTATTTATATATACAAAGCATAGAAATCACCAAGTATCATTTATCAATATAATTTGCAATTTTGTGAATAACAGTAATTTCAATTTTGAAATATTAGTAATTTTGAATTGCTAATTGTTCAAGCAAATATTTTTGCTAGAGTATATTTATATTTCTACAAGCCTGTTTAATACAGTTTGCACTTTACATTAAAAAGTAAATTCAGCAAACGCTTTAGGATACTACCCTTGACTAATAGTATTGCACAGTAAAAGCACAGACTCTGAAGCCAGTTTACCTGGGCTCAAATCCCAGCTCTGTAATTTTCCAGCTATGTTGAGAACATGACTTTAACCTTTTCCTGCCTCAGCTTCCTCATCTAAAATAGTACCTTTCTTATGGGCTTGCTGTAAAGATTAAATGACTTAATATTTGTAAAGTACTTCGAACATTATTCAGTACCTAGGTGCTGTGGTAGGCCTGTTAGTTAGGTCTGTTAAATAACTACATCTAACGTGCATAACTCTAGGTACAGGAAGTGAGGTTTCAGAAAAAGCAAATACTCTACTCTGTGCAGGTTACTTACTTATATTCAAAAGTAATTTTTTAACCCCAGTTGCTCTGTGCAAGTTAATTACTCATATTCAAAAGTAATTTTTAAACCCCAGTTGACTAGGTTACTCTGTTTCAGGAACCAGGAGTTGAGAACTGGGAAGTCAGAAGCAGGGTGTGAGAGGTAGAATTCTAGGGACAACACTACAAAGTCATAAAATGGAAAAGTCAGCAATTCTAAGTTATGGGATCACCAAATATTCAGACAGATAACCCAATAAAAAGAGAAATGCCTCTTAGGGTGCATATTGTCTTAGGAATTGAAATGAGGCTGGAGTGGAGTGGGATCGGGGGGAGAAGATATGGAAATGTTTCCAGGGGAATTTAGGGAAACTAGTAGAGTGCTTGTTACTACTCATCTAAGATGTTTAACTTGGCACTCTATTGCCTTTTTGATGTGATATCTTGATTGTTTTATTTTAGTGCAGCTGTATGATTATTTAATATCTCTATGGGTCAGTTACTTTAATAGTACCTTTATAGAATTGTTGGGAGTATCAAATGAGTTAATATACGTAAGTGCCTAGAACAATGCCTGGCACAGAGGAAGAAGAATGTCTTTGTTCTTATACATGTGTTCATAGGTTCACCACATTCCCTGGCCCCTGTGTTATCCTATTGTTTTTCTCACTAAGAAAAACATTTTAAAATAATTAAATGCACTGGATTTTTCATATAACTTTTCACTTAATGAAGAGTCAAGTCTTTAGCTCATCCAAAGCAATAAAAAATCAACATAAAAACAATCCAAATGATACAAAAATTTGAATACATTTATGTTGACATTTCAGTGGGTAGACAGTAAAATTTCTCAGAGGCCTCACATTTTATTTTTGAAAGTATTTCATGTGCTTTATAAAATGATATTGATGAGTACAGTAAACTGATGATAAGTTAAATTCTCTAGGAGAGAAATTAATTGCATTTTAGTAATAATTTAATGGTCTGAAATTGCCTCACTTTTTGATGAAGTTGCAGAATCATATTTAATTCATATAGTAGATAAAATAAAGAATATTAATTGAAGCATCCTTGGAGATCATATTGTCCAACTCTGTAATACAACTAGTGATGTAAGTCCAAGTTCCAGAGAGGTTAAGTGGCTTCTTGTAGGTGTCGTACCTAAGGTGAAATGAGAGCTCCTGATTCTTAGTTTGTTCTTCTTTTCACTGAGTAACAGTGAATTAAATGAACTAACATTTATATCATGGTCTACTTACTAATTTTTTAAACATAATTGTAATCAACATTTATTAAAGGCTTGCTATATTCCAGGGACAGCATTAACTGGTTTTATTTTATTCTTGTAATAACTCTATGAAATAGGAGCTATTTTAATCTGCATTTTAAATATGAGAAAACTGAAACTTAGGGAAGTCAAGGAACCAACCTATGATGCCAGTGAGGGGATGAGCTGGGATTTGAACACAAATCCTCTGGCTCCAGAGTTCACACTGTTAAACACCATTCTATACAGTTTCACAGTTAAATGGGGCCAGGCAAAAATTGAAGCCTGGGCTGTATGCAGGTCTGCAAAATGGGTATCATAATAGAACCATATTTCCTCACTATTAAAATGGGAAAAATAGCAGCACCTATCTCATAGGGTTGTTGTGAGAATTAAATGAGTTAAAATAGGTAAAGTTCTTAGAAGAATCTTACACAGTGGACAGTCAATAAATGTAAACTATCCTGACTGTATTTCTTTGAAATCTATTAAAATCTTTCAGGGTTCACTTATAAGGAGACTGGTCCCTCTCTGAAACAGATCGTTTGAGAAAGTCCCACGTATATATGGAGATGTCCAAGGAATAGATTCATACTAATGTATACTTTTGGTGCTTCAGTTAAGTGGAAAGTGCTTCAGTTGAATGGAAACTCCAGACATTTTTTTCTGAATGATGTTCTAACAATACAAGAAGGGGAAGCTATGCAGTGTGCTTAGAATGTGATGAATTACACTCCCACCATCCCCCAAGTTGTGCTGATAAATGTGCAAGGGCAAAGAAAGTTAGAAAGTTGGATAAGCAGATCGATTGGTATTTCTTTTTGACAGAGTTCTGCTGCACCTTGAAATGGGGAATTTATCAATTCATTCAGCAAGGAATGTGTGCTTTTTCGTGGACAATTTTCTAGGCACTGAGGATGAATAAAACATAGCCCTTCTCATTGAGAATCACACAGTTTATATGATGTAGGCAAATATATCAGTGATAAAATTACTGTAGCACACAAGAAGTGGTAAGTGAACAAAGAGTAATGGGAATCCTGACCAGCCAGGGAGTACTGCCTGGAGAGCAGGGAAGCTTCATAGAGGAGATCTTTGTGTTGGCTTGGAAGGCCACGTATGACTTTCTTAGGCAAGGAAGATAGGAAAGTGTTTTCAGACAGAGAACCACAGTGTAAAGGTAAAGCTCGGTTGGGAAAACATAGTGTTTGGGTAAAGGCCATGTTGAGAAGGGGGTAAATAACACTGGAGAGGCTGTGCAAGGGTCAGTTTATGAGGGGCGATTTCAAATGGGGGCATGAGATGATCACTTTTGTGATTTAGTATAAGTCTGTAGGCCATGTCAGCTAGTAGGAGGGGCACCAGATCGATAACTGTCATGTTATATAAGATGAGGGAGTGAGAGGTGATGAGGGTCTGACTTCAAGACCACTGGCAATGAGGATGGAGAGGCTAGAGGTGAGAGATGCCTGAAGCAGAACTGGTAGGGTTTGATCACCAGTTGTCTATGGAATTAATTGGTGGAAAGTGAAAAACTGAAATTGATCCTACTGTTCCTGTTATTTATGTAGGTAGTGAACAAGGGTAATGGAACAGGTGTTTGCAGGGAAGCTGATGAGTTTAACATGTGCATGTGGCTTTGCTTCTATTGGCACTTAACAATTTCTTTGCCTTTTAATTTTAGTTTTCAACATGTATATATCTTGTCTACCCAATGAGATTATAAATATTTGTTGAATGAATGAAGGCATGTAGGCTAGTGATGGATAGAAGTATGTTTGTGTTAAGAGAAATTCCATGTAGATCTACCACGATAAAAGGTGTGGAATTGAGAACTCTCTCCAAGTGGAATGTCTGTGGGGACTAGTAGTATTGTTTAAGGTGATAAGGTAATAAATGGGAATGAAGTGGGCTGTTAGGTGAAGTTGTAGGGCATGGCCAGGACCTGCAACTGATAGGAAAGTGTCTGGAGAAGATGCAGTCGTCATGGTCAGTGCTGTGATGATTCTCGGGGTTACATAGTACCATTTATAATCTGACCTTTTCATTTGGTACTTAGCACAGGTGACTTTGTATCACTCTGTGTGTGTGTTTGCACTTGTGTGTGTTTGTGTGTGTGTGGTGGCAGGAGCCATGGTTTGGTCCACGTCATCTAGGCTGAATGAACATTTACTAAGTTTGTTTATTTGTACATAGAAATTCTAGACTAACAATAATTATAGTGAACAATCTCGTGTTAATAAAGTATGTATAATTCAGGAAAACATTTTTACAGTTTTATTGAGTCCTTTGGGCTTTTGAAAAATGAGATTATCTCTAAAGGAATAATAAAGCATATGCTAAAAAATGTGGGCCTGGGAGCCAGACTGTCCAGGTTCAAAATCCAGCTTTCTATCTGCGTGATTCTGGCAGGTTACTTGAATTCCATCTGCTTTGGTTTCCCCAACTGTATGAAGGAGGTAGTAGTATTTCTCTTACAGGGTTTTGTGAGGTTCAAATAAGTTGACATATGTTGATCACTTAGCACAGGGCCTGGCACATGGCAAATGCTCCCTGAGCTGTAGGTGTTACTAGTGTACTCCACTGACAGTGCCATGGAGAAAAGTGGCCCACCATTTAAACATGCTTTCTGGATATTTTAAAGAAGTGGCTATGCAGAGGCAGCTTTCTCCTCTGTCACACTGTACTTTGTGTACAGTGTGTGGGGCCAGAGGCAAAGTCACATGTTGCACAGCCCTGAGGCCACGTTGTATCTCAGCCTGCACCCACACATAGGTGACTGTCCTGGGTATGTTTCACTTGTGTTCCCATTTTGTCCTTACACCAGCCCCTTTAAGATAGAGAGAGGGAAATTGAGGCCCAAAGGCAATAGGTCACACATGCCATTAGCTATAGAGCTTAGGATAGTATTCATTCATTTTATTCTAAGCAATACTTATTGTGTGCCTACTGGGTGCCAGGCCCTGGGTCTCCAGAGATGAAAGATGCACCACCTTTTTCTGTCACCAGCATCTCTTCTGTATGGAATATTTTTGCCTAATTTGTGTCTCACAGGGTGGGTTATGTAATGCAGCTGCTCCCTCCTGCCCCATGTGCTCACTTCCTGAGTGCTTATTGCATCAGACTGACTTTGATTCCCAGGAGGCTCCAGCTGGGGACCTGAGGTGCTGCTGGTGCCACCTTCTCTGAGGAGATGCTGTCCTCAGGAGTCTGAAGACAAATGATTGTGACAAACTCAGTGTTAGCAGCTATGGTCACCTTGAAGCTAGCTCACTGTGACCCATCTCCATCCCTGCCCTCCCACCCATCACCCCATACCTTTGTCCTGAGGCTCACACTGCCCCTGTTTTTTCTTTTTTTTCAAAATGCTGTTTTAATCTATTCCTTGAGCCATAGATGAAACTAGGTGGCTTGGAGCCTGTGGATCTCAGATTGTTTGTCGCTGTTCGCTGTTCTAGATGTTCTCCAATTTCCCTGCAAGCTGTAAAACTCATTAATCCCATAATGATGATTTAGGGCTGATTAAAACATAAACAGTATTACTATTAATGCTTGCTATGCCATATTTGTATTCTCAGTTTTCTATATACTTTTCATTGAGTAGATTTTGTTCTTTTAAAGAAGATATGTGTCTTAAGCTTTTAAAGACACTTTTAAGCTTAATGTACAGGAAAACATCATTTGGTTCCTTGCTCTGATTAATTTCTACTCTCTTTTCCCTCTGACCCACAGTTTGGGGATATGGATTCCTGTCAGTGACGATTATTAATCTGGCATCTCTCCTCGGATTGATTTTGACTCCACTGATAAAGAAATCTTATTTCCCAAAGATTTTGACCTTTTTTGTGGGGCTGGCTATTGGGACTCTTTTTTCAAATGCAATTTTCCAACTTATTCCAGAGGTAAGGATGTTGGCTATTTGTTTCTGTGAATAATTGTTTCTTTTGAACGTTTTAGCACTTTGTATGTTTTTAGCCTCCATAATTCTTACAGCGTTTTATGGTCTAGTTTATAGTGTCTTGGATAAGAGAAAGCTGAATCACAGCAATTGTAAAGGCTTGTCCCAAGCTGCAGTGGATATCACTATCAGAGACAAAATTAATATTCTAGGAGGCCAGCCACTAGGACGTGCTCAGACAGCTCTGGGACACCTCAGAAGGCCTTAAAACTTTATTCTGCCTTGCACTTGGCAAATTTAATTTTTCCACACACTGTTTCATTATTTATTTATTTATTTATTTTTCTAAAGAGCATGCAATGTCAACTGTACTGCAAATGTCAAATGTAAATTTATAATGTATTTAACATATACCACTAAATTCCCTCATATATTTACTACAGTTATAAGTGACTAGAGAGTAAATGAGAGCATGGTTGACAAACCTTTTCATTTTTTCCAACTGTGGAAAAAATATCAATTGAGGACTAATAAATAAATAGCAACTTATTTTTTTTCTTTGATAAAATGTGTTATTGATCTATCTTGACTATAGTGCACACTATTCAATTTATTTCAAATCTGTGTTGTGCCCATATAAGGAAGAGAAATGGAGGAAGGGAAATAAATGAAAGGAAAAGAGAGGCAATGTTGAAGAGGAAGGAAAGGAGAAAGAGACTTTCATAGAAGGGATCCACAAAGGGGAACTAGAGAAATATATGTATACATGGACTGTATCTGCCACCCACAATGCACACACACAGGGAGAGACAAACCCCATACAGAGAGAAAATATTAATAGTATTTCAGGGAGTACCACCCTTATCTCGTAATTTTTAGAAAATTATAACTAAAGCTTCCTTTAATTTTTCAAGCTATACATTGAAAGTGGGTATATAACTTTTTAGAGTTATAGATTTATTATCATTATTTGATCTAGGACCTAAGATAATATCTATTTCACAGCCTCAATTGTAGAGATAAAAAATATTAAAATTTAGGGTGGTTAAATAATTTGATTATAGCCTTACAATCAGCTAGTAACAAAGCTAGGATGACAATACAGATTTTCTGATTTAAAAGAGTATTATATACATAATACATTTAATATGATATAATATAT
Source organism: Homo sapiens (assembly GCF_000001405.40). NCBI lineage: Eukaryota > Metazoa > Chordata > Mammalia > Primates > Hominidae > Homo > Homo sapiens. Next base: position 102,306,277 of record NC_000004.12, on the reverse strand, counting down.
GTATTTATTATCTCATCTGCTTTATGGGTCAAAGTAAATTAAACAAACTAATACTGTATGTGGACTAAAGACTCTACATTGATGATGTTAAGGTTTTCTATTTTCTTGAAGTTTAACAATATAAAGAATCTGTCTTTGTAATAATCTCTCAAATTTTCATAGAGTTTTTTGTAGCAAAATGATTTTCCTTTTCTTATTTCACTTTATTTTCATAACCTCAATGTTAGGTAAATGGAACATTTATATTTATATAGCCATTTTGCATTGTATAAACAGGCACAAAGAAGTTATTCAAATGAGGATGCGGCCATGATGTCTCCCCAGAGGCAAACATAGGACAAGAACCCAGACATCTTCTATTCTGCTTCAGAGGGGAGATTTACAATGTGTGGAATGGTGTAAAGTTGTGGCTTTTCACCCATTAGTCTCTCCTCTGATTCTATTTATTTGAAGTTTATGTGTCTTGTCTGTTAGGAACATCTTGACTCTTTATAACTTCAAACTCTAACTCCAGTTCTTTGTCCTTTAAAGAAAGAATTATTCCATTCTTATTGCTGTGTGTGTGTGAAAGAGAGAGAGAGAGTGGTGGCAATTTTAAATCTTCTTTTTGCTTTTATTCTTGGGCCTAGGCCTTGATTTATTTACCTTTTTAGGATTTATCACAGTTCTGTAGGTATAAGAGGATTTCTCTTGGGAAAACAGTAATCCAAGTGGCCTGCCATATTTGTTTTAAAAGTTTGATTCTGGATATCATGGACTAATATATTACTTTTAGAGACAGTAGGTAATCAATATCTCATTTATCTTCATTATCTAGACCTAATATCGTATTCTAAAGATGAGAATCAGAGCTGCTGCTTTACTGCTAAAAGTTTACTCTTTCAAGGCAAATATTGCTGTAGGTGTTATAGGTGGGAAACTGTAAGATTCTCTGGTGGCTTTATTTAATGAGACTTCTAGTTGTAAGGTTTTTGTGCCATCTCATACAGTTTTGTCATTCAAATTTCAAAGTTTTTGTTTTGTGATTTTTGGCAGCTAAGTTTCCAATATTACTTGGATGTGAAGAGAGACTTAGAACATTGGTGAGAATTGCATACTGGTATTATTTTCCAGAAATCAAGTTAAATTTCTTGGTTTTACTTGAATTGCCCTTTTTTCTCCCTTAGGCATTTGGATTTGATCCCAAAGTCGACAGTTATGTTGAGAAGGCAGTTGCTGTGTTTGGTGGATTTTACCTACTTTTCTTTTTTGAAAGAATGCTAAAGATGTTATTAAAGACATATGGTCAGGTAAATGGACTTTATTTAAAACATCCAATATTTTACCCCCTAAAGCTACTTTATATAGGCAAATAAAGACAGAAATTTTATTTTTAGAATTATGAGAATGGTCCAGTTATTAGGCTTGTGAGTTTAAGGAGAACAAAGAGTCAATATATTGACAAGTATAAGATAAATACTTGATTCATGTTGTAAAATTTGGAGGTTATTTTTGTTTTTTTTCAAGTATCAGCAATTTAATATTGAATAACAGATGTGCATAATTCATATTCTATTCATATTCATCAAAATAAGAGTGTATACGTGTTCTAACACGAACAAACAGTAACAGCAGAATCTAATAAATGAAAATACATGTAAAAAAGAGAAATTTTATATATCTAAAAATACTTCTTTACACATAGAATAGACATACAATTTTCCTCTTATAAATAAAAAGCAGTAAACTCTATTTCCTTGTCTGTATGAATCATCTTTTTTCTTCTTATAATCTCTTTGGTTTTTGTTCCCATATAGAATGGTCATACCCACTTTGGAAATGATAACTTTGGTCCTCAAGAAAAAACTCATCAACCTAAAGCATTACCTGCCATCAATGGTGTGACATGCTATGCAAATCCTGCTGTCACAGAAGCTAATGGACATATCCATTTTGATAATGTCAGTGTGGTATCTCTACAGGTATATGTTAATTCCATTTTTCCTTCATTATACTGCATTCTTTATACTGTGTAAACATGACTGTTTATGCAGCTAAGTCAGTTTTTGTACATTTATGTATGTCAGACTTATTCCTATATATGTGGGGTAACTGGAATGTAAGTCTGCATTGTTTTTCCACCTTCCCTGTATATGTTTACTCTAAACAAGTGAGTTAAGAAAGAAATTGTGGATCACTGTTCTGGACTTCATTATTCTCTAAGATTATTTACTATATGAGAGTCTCTCAATTGCATTTATACAATATTATATAGCAAAATTTATTCAGAGCATTTATTTTACAATTCTTTGAAGATCCAGAATCAAATAATCCTTTGATTGATTTTGAAATTGCAAGAAGATTTGCAAATTATTAAAATTGTTTTTATTAATTGTCTGACTTATAATTTATATTTATATCCACATCTTCTAAATAATATTAATAGGCACAATTTCTTGAGCACGTATCATATACCAGGTAATATGCTTAGCACTTAATTATTTGATCTCATTTACTTTTTATAACAACTACTCAGTGTAGGGATTATTTCTTATGTATTAGAACTATATTGGTTTCAAGTGATAGAAATCAAACAAAATTATATATGCACAAAGGACAACTTACTGGAAAGATACTAGATGACTAATAGAACAGCCAAGCTACAGGAAAAACAAGAACCTAGGAAACATTAGAACCCCTAGGACTCTCCCTCCTTCTCTTTCCTGTCTCTTAGTATCATTCTTTTCTTTCACTGTAGGCTATCTTTTCCATAAGTGGGATACATAGCCACTAGCAGTTCCTGAGGTTTGTCTTATAATTTCAGCTACTAGAAGGAAATTGACCTGACTCTTTCAGTCCTAAATCCAAAATCTCTGGCAAGTGTCTTCCTGGTTCAGCTTGAATTAGATGATCACTTCTAGACTAATCTAAGTGCTTAGAGGGCTGGGCCCCTTTAATGGTATCAAGGGAATGTGGATGGAGTAGAGGAGTGGTTATCAAAAAGGGATGCTGAAAAGATAGTATCACTGGTGTCTACAACAATTCTCATTTGACAGATGAAGAAAGTGGAACTTTAGATGTTAAATAACCCCTCCAGGTTTACTCAGCTAGTGAATGGCAGATCCACAAGCTATATAGTTAAACATGATATAAAAGTGAACAGCTAAAAACAAAATAAAAAGGAAAGCCAGTTAAGGGGAAAAAAAGCAAAAAAAATAGAGCAATCTGGAAGAGATTATTATGGCAAATACCTGAGTTTCCTTCTGGAAAGAAAACATGATTGGTCATATGCTTCTCTCCACCTGATTAAGGAAAATCTCAAGTGTATTTGAAGAGCCAGTTCTGTGTTAGCACTCAGCTAAGAGGAAATTATTTTTTGCAGTGTAATGAATGATGCTTTCAGCCAAGAGTTTGCAAAGAATCTGGAAATGTTCAAGTATATAATTTCTTACAATAATAATTACAATTAACATTCATTAAATGCTCAAGGACTATGCCTAGAACGTTAGATGAATTACTTCATTTGATCTTCCTAATAACCTAGGGGGCAAGTGCTGTTGTAATTAGGAGAGTATGACTTAGAGAGGTTAAATAGCAAACCCAAAGATGCTCAGTTCCTAATGGCAAAGCTTGGATTAGTACCAAGGCTGCCTTATACCGAAGCCTGTGTTCTTATATACTTTGCTGGACTGCCTTCCTTATGTTGCTGCTCTACTGTAAGCAAGATGACAACATCAACTGTTAAATATTTATTTTTTGTAGTGGGGAAAAATAATTTGACCCAAGGATATTGCTTTCTGAGGATATATTATTTAATGCGAGGCACAGCAGAGAAAGCCTAAAGAATAGTAGTTAAAACCCTTCCTTATACCATGTGTCTAAATTCTAGTTGCCTTACACAAGCTTTTGGCAAATACTGGATTATAGTGAGATTGTGGTTGAACTCTGACAAGTCATTCAAGAGGTGCCAGTCAGCTATATTGCTAATTTAAACATTGATTAATAATTCTTTAGATACCAGATGGCAGAGGGATAATCTGCCATGAAATTTGGAGCCTAACTTGAATTCTTGCTCTGATGGAAGATTTTCCTGTATCTTTCCAGCGTTAACAAGATAACTTTAGGCAGGGCTACACTTCTACAGAGAAGGAGCTTTGAACCTGGTCCAACCTTGAACAAGTTCTCCCCTGGGATCCTCAAGTCCTGTAACACAAAGCACGGAAGAGATACAGTTTGAGATTTAAAATATTTAAAGGGCTGATCACCTCCTTGACCATACTAGAAACTCAGTGTGACCTCTCCTGATTTCAGGAAAGTTCCTTCTGATGAACCTACTAGGATAAACTAGCTGCTAAATGTGCCTTGAGTATCAGAATGAGCTGATAGGCATATTTATATTTAGAAAGGAGGATGGCTGTCAAAGCCTTCAGCTTTTGTGAGAGGCTAAATTATTTTTTTAAATCATAATTAACAAATAAGTTTAACTTCTCCAAAGTTATATTTTAGTTAAAGATTTAAGGCTCCTGATTTAGGATTAGCTATGGGCAGAAGACATGTTTGCAGTAAATCTAAGCACCATGACAAAGATGAGGCCCTCGACATGATCCTGTTTTACATAATTTTGAAATAAAATCAGAAGGCTGTTTTTATTCCACTTATGACAGTAATGCTTTCATTTACTTATTCAATAAACATTTATTGAGTTCCTGTTCATTGTCCTAGGCACTGGAAATTCAGAAGCAAATTCTTGAGGAGCTTACAGTTTATTCAATGGAAACATAAAATATAGAAATGAGCAAAACAAGAAAATATCATATAGTAATAACCTACCTTGATGAAACTAAAGCATGGTGATGTGAGAGTGATGTGTGGGAGCTTCTTTTGATTGACTGTTCAGAAAAGGTCCCTCAAGGTGTCAGTAGGGAATTGTATAATGAGAAAGAACCAGTCATGCAAATATCGGGGAAGAAAATATGCTAAAGACTTTGAGAATAATCAAACAGGTCACACACAAGGGACCTGGAAGCTGAATGGTAGTGGACTTCCCCACATCAATGCTGGAGAGCAGTGGCACAATTCCTTCAATATTCTGAATGAAAACAACTGTGGAATTATAAACCTAGGTAAACTACCTATCTAGTGAGAGGGAATAATGGAACTAAGATTCTGGAAATACACTTCCAGGAATAAGAAGGCAGCTGAAGAAAGAAGAGAAGGTGCGTGCCAGGGTGACAGCCCTGCACCAGGCCTTGAGATAATAGTTTTGACGTTAATTTCTTATGGGGACTATTTTCTCGCTATTTTGGTTGAAGGTATAGTCTCAAATAAATAGACATTTAAACAAATTGAGCAACAGACTGCAATTTTCAGTTTTGTTTACATTGCACAAAAAATCAAAAGAAATGAAATTTAAGAAATAAGTAGGTCTGGATATTGCTTTAAGAGAGTAAGTATTACAATATAAGTGATAGTGATTTTAATAATAAAATTAAAATACTTTCTAATATTTTATATTATAAAAATAATCTAACCTAGGTGACCCCATTAAAAGGATTGAACATGATAATATAACTCAGGGTTCAATTTGAGTTACAAGTATGGATTTAAGAATTTTGTTGACAATCCCGGCTGTCACTGCTTCAACAAAGTTTTTCCAAATTGAAAATAATAAGGAACTCTCTAAAAATTACAGTGAGTTAAGAAAGGTGGTCTAATTGGCATTACTGTCAATAGAATGTAAATTATGTGAAAATCTAGATTATAAAAGCATAATTTTTGATCTTGCTGAAATGTAGAAAGAACAAAGACATGTTATAGAATACTTAAACTGTATGACTTAGGAATGTCTTTATTATTCATCCAAGCAATTCTGGCTCATTACAGAATACTCAGCTAAGCAATAATATTTAAATTTAGAAGTCTCTGGTGTTTTATCTGTGTTTAGTCATATAAAAATCATAGTTTTACACATATGTTTTTATTTTGTTTTCATGGAAGCATATTTATCACAGTGAAATAATAGAAGATATTAACATTTAACAGTTAGCTTGATTATAACTTTTAAATATTTAGACGAAATGATTTGAGAGTTCCTTAATACCTTTGCTCCAGGCCTACTAAGTGTGAGGCACAACAGTCTATGTGGCATGCGTGTGGGCACGTGCATGCTTTTTGGGGAAAAGTGGGGGTCACAGAGGGGTAAAAAGGAAGATGTAGGAAAAAGAGGGGTGCACAAGATGCTATTTCCCCAGTTATTCAGTTATTGTTACTAGGTAATGTGTCACATGTCACCTTGTGACATGCTTTGTGTTTTTCTCTTCGACGTTCCTGTGTAGCCAAGTGTGGAGTCATTTCACTATCTCTGCAGCCGGGTGGGGCTCCCCAGCCCAGACACAGCCTTGGTGTTTGTTGGATGTTGATTGCTGAGGAATGTTTGGTACTTTGGGGAGGGTGTCAGCTCTTCAAGGCCACTAGAGGGACCCTGGAGCTCGTTCCTCCAGCAATCTGTCATCAGTCTCTCTTTTTATGAAATTTCCTGTGCTTTCATTTAAGAATAGATACTATTAAATATAAAGTGATTTTTAGAAGTTGATTATTGTGAATTTTATGTGTAAAGTTGAGGTGCAATAAAATAGAATTTAGCTGCAAAGTGTGGAGATGTTAGGGAGATTTTCTTTGTTGATGACTGATATGAAGTGACACTCTATGAATAGAATGCTAACATTTTTGAGGTGGTTGGGCCTCCATGAGAGTTTAAATACACATAATTCATTCAACAAGTATTTTTCCAGTACTTAACATATACTTGGCATTATTCTAAGTGCTGGCACATAGGGCACAGTGGAGAGGAGATGAGGACCCAGAGCAGTTTTCAAGAAGTAACAGATGAGGTGAGACAGCAGAGTTCACAGATTCCAAACTTTCCACCCTTCCATAACATAACTGAAATATTACACATTTTGCACAGAAAAATGGAAAGCACTCTTTTTTTTTTTTTAAGTATGAAATACAAAAAAAACTGACTGGAAGTTCTGTGTGTACATATATGCATGGGGCTTGTCTACCAGTCTTTTGGGTGGTGTGTTTTTCTCCATTCTTGCCTGGCGGTGGGAAGAAGGGTAGAATATTACTGGCTATCACTTGGGAAGTGGAGTGGGAGGAGAAGGGGACTGGGGCACTAAGAATATTTGACATAACACCCCTTTCTTTAGTACTGTACTTCCCAACTGTCTTCAGTTTGCTTTGTGTCTTTGAATTGAGGGTCTCTCTAGTTCACTTTCCCCAGGGGTAGATCTCCAGTCATCATTTGGGGTGGCTGCCTTGCCACATTGGCTTGGGAGGAAGGACTTGAGGTTCTACTTGTTCCCTAAATAGACTTGCAGCCACTTCTCTTATGTTTAGTTCCGGTCTTTGCCCTCTGCCTTCAGAAGTACTTGGTGCCTCTAATCCCTGAACTTTTTTGAGGTTCTGGGTCCTGCATCACTTTGCTTCTTGTTGACTTTCTTTGTGAAGTCAGTCAGAACTTGCCTTCCTCTTTCCATCTTCCAAAATACAAATCTCAATGCTGTCATGTTGTCTCTCTTTCCTCCTGTCCTTGCAGTTTTATGTCTTTATTCCTTTATAAGGACATAGCTTCAAGAGGGCATTTCAGGATGGACTAGAGATAAATATGTATATCTGGTCTGCACTATTTCACTAAAAGACCATTTACTATTTTAAATCATATAGTTCTTGAACATCACAAGATTTAAAAACAGAAATTAGTTAATTTCCCCTATAATAACAATTAATTAAAATAGAAAACTATACAAATAATAAAATGACATAAGAAATGATTTCCACTGATCTTGATTGACTGGTACTTACATAAAAACAGTAACTAGAGGCAGATGATATAGCCAATCATGAGGAGAAATTCTGGGTTGTCTTTGCTGTTAGTGGAATTTCTCTCTCACTGGGTCTATCTCAGAGCATCCCTGCCCTGGACAGGTCATTTTATCTGGCTTTACTCTATGTGTTGCTAAGGTCATGAAAATTGGTACCTGAATCCACTGAATTTAGCCTACTTTCACTGATATGAAGTATACTTTTATTCATGAAAAACTGTTCTAAAGTTTTTTTTTTATTACTCCACAAAATTCTTATTTCTTATTTTCTTACTTTAACAAGGAGACTGAGATGATGATTTGGAATGTGTGAACTCTGCTGTCTCACCTCATTACTTCTGTTACTTCTTAAAAAAACTACTCTGGGTCCTCATCTTCTCTCCACTGTCCCCTTTGTGCCAGAACTGGTGTCCTTTCTCCTTTTTAAGGCCAGTTCCTCTAAATATTCTCATCTTTCCTGTGGCCTCTTCCAGTTTTGTTTTGTTTTGTTGTTTTAGGACAGGGTCTCACTCCATAACCCAGGCTGGAGTGCAGGGCTTAATCAGAGCTCACTGAAATCTCAAACTCCTTAGCCTCAAGGGATCCTCCCACCTCAGCCTCCCAAGTAGCTGAGACTGCAGGCACATGCCACCATGCCTGGCTAACTAAATTTTTTTTGTGTAGAAATGGGGTCTTGCTATGTTGCCCAGGCTGATCTTGAACTCCAGGTCTCAAGTGATCTTACTGCCTTAGCCTCCCAAAGTATTGGGATTACAGGTGTGAGCCACCACATCTGGCCTGTTTTCATTTATCTTTCCTGAATCTCTCCTTTTCCCGTGTCTACAAACAAGTTCCATCTTTTCTACCTCAAGGTGTTATTTTTTTCCTCAATCTGCTACTCCCAAGTTTTCTCAAACCTTCTTTCCCACAACTGTCCAACTTTTCTAAAGATTGGCTAATTCTGAAATAAGACTATATATGTTAGACATATTCTTAAATGCTTTACATATATTAACTCGTTTAATCTTCACAGTAACAACCCTGTGAGGCAAGTACGATTATTATTTCCATCTTGCAGATTTGGAAACTGATGTACAGAGAAGGTAAGGAACTTACCCAAGGTCACACAGGTACCACATTAGGATTGAAGTGCAGGAATCCTGTTTCCTGGTCTGTTTGGTTAACTTACCTTACACTACGCTGCCTATTGTTTCCATTTGTTAACCAGCCTTCCTCATCATCTCCGTACATGCTTAATCATGTACAGTTTCTAAACTCACTACCTATTCTCTGAACATTTTTAGAATAATGTAAGTGGTTGTTCTAGGCAGCATGTGATATTCCTCTTTTTAAAATTAAATTAAATTATTCATTTTTTTTGAGACAGGGTCATTGTAACCTCAGACACCTGGGCTCAAGCAATGCTCCCACTCCGCCTTCAGAGTAATTAGGACTACAGGCGTGGGCCACAAGCTATGTTCCTAATCCTCATTCACTCTTTCTTCCTGAGCCATTCCTATAGTTTAACACGTAAGTGAGTACCTATTGTGGGCTAAATGCTAGAAATATAAAGGCAGGTTTTTCGCTGGAGCCCCTCCCCTCCCTGTTGAGTTACTTATGAGGTGGTCTTGGTAACATGATACCATCCTTGCTCTGTCACCATTTTAGCTGCTGTAATACTTTCCTGGTGCTTCTTCTGAGTCTCCTTTTCTTGCAAGGCAGTTGGATGTGGAAGAGAAGCATAGGCTTTGGAATTACACAGGCCATTGTTTGCATCTTAGGATTAAAATATGTTGTTTGATTTGGGAAAAAATAATTAACACCTTTGAGCCTTTGCTCATCTGTTAAATGAGGAGCAAAGATTCTTAATTTACTGATTTTTGTGAAAGTGAAATAATTTCTTATGGGTCAACTATGCAACATTGTGTCTAATACATTGTACACTTGTGATAAATATACATCTCCCTCCCTCTTCCATTTACCATTTTTGTCTTTTCTTAGTTTTTATCATAGTCATCAAGTCGCATCACTTCATCTTTTGCACCTTTGGGAATAGCTTCTAAATCCATATGCTTAATTATGTAAAGATCATCACTTAAAAAGATGACTTCTTGTAATAAACCACATAGCTGTTTGAATCTATTTGTATATGTTCCTTCTAGGTTAGGGTAACAAAATGAGAAGGTAAAATATACAGAATTCCATTCTTTCTCATTTTTCTTATCTACCTTAAAATTTGAGTAGATTTTCTAGAAAGTAAAGCTGGACTTTAAAAGCTCATAGGTAATTTAGTAATAAAGACAACCTTCTGAATATAAATGCCCACAAGCCTGCCTTTGACCTGTCAGATAAATTAAGAGAATTTGGAACATTTACTCTCTCTTAATGGAAGAGAATCTTAAAGTCCAATATAATTTGCTATTCAAATGACGATTTATCAGGCTTTGCACCACCGATTCTCTGTTAGAGCCTTGAAATACCAGCTAGAGCCACTTGCCAAGGAAGGAAAACACTACATTAAGAACTACTTGCTTTTCCCCAGATAAAAGCTTGTCCAAGTTATGTAAATTTGACAAAAGCATTTTATTTGATAGCTAATGTCAGGAGGGATCTAGGGTTATCTGTTCTGGTTCCTTATGTTAGCTAATCATTTGGCCAGCTAGTATATTCCATTCTTGTGGAGGCTGGTGGCATCAACATTTACACAGAAAGTTCATTAAAAAATAAAACAAACATTGGGCCAGGCACTGTTGGCTCATGCCTGTAATTCCAGCACTTTGAGAGGCCAAGGCAGGTGGATCACTTGAGTCCAGGAGCTGAAGACCAGAGTCCAGGAGTTGAAGACCAGCCTGGGCAACAGTGAGACCCTATCTTAAACAAACAAACAAAATGTTGATATTGCCAACTCTTAGGTCAGCTAGTATAATCAAATAAGATTAGGTATGAATGTGCTTTTAAAGGTACAAAAATCTGTACTATTTACTCTGTTTGGAGAACAGTCAGTTTCTTATGGGTGTCAGTCATGGACTACTTTGATATCCATATGAAAAGATAACATTCTCATTAATTGTGTGATAAACATTTAAATAGTCAGCATTTTTGTGGAGTTTATAATTTTAATCCTTTGGAATGTGCTTTCAGGTCCATGCAAACACAATTCCAATGTTATGAAGTTTTGAGTTCTGGAGATAATCTGTAGACTTTTAGGTTTTTCTTTTCCCTCTGTGAATAGTTTTTTATATACATATATATAATATATATATTTACATATATACACATATAAACACATATATAAAGTTTTATATTATATATTAATATGTATCATATACATATATATTATTATCTAATAAATAGATGTGTAAAAATGGGTCATGGAGTATGCACACATTTAATTTTGCTGAATAACAACAAAATGCTTTCCAGCCTCTTATGTTTGTTTACCTTCTCATGAACAGCAAAAAATAATTCCTGTTTTCTCTTTGTCTTTAGCAATACTTGGAAATTTCAGACTTAAAAAGATTATTGCCAATTTAATAAGTCTGAAGTGGTATCTTTTTCTGATTTGTCTTTCTGATTATAGTGCAGTTGAGCATCTTTTCATATGCGTTTTGGTCATAAGTTTACTTTTATGTTTCCTATTCATCTGTTTTGCACATTTTTAGTTGAGTTTTTTTTTCTTAATGATTTGTGTTAAAGAAAAAACTATTCTGACACTTGTTAAAACAGTAAGGAAGAGTGTATTCAAGACTGTTGCAATAAGGGTTGCTTCTATGGCAACAGCGGAGAGAGATTGGGTTCAACTCTAAATAAAGTAAAGACAGGTTGGCATTTATAGCCAATTAGCAGAGAGAGGGGAAGAATGCATGGAATATTCTTAAGAGAAAACATCAAGGGTAGGGGGATTCCTACTAAACCAATTTAATGGAATTCTTGCTGAAGGCAGGCCAGGGTGATTATATATCACTTTGGGGATGGTGGAGAATGAAGAATTTTTTAAAAATAATTATTTGATTTTTCCCTGAGTCAGAGGGAATGAGGAATTTGATCAGATATTAAGAGTGATCATATATAAAGGATGAGGGGATTCTTGCTAAACTGACTTGGCAGGATTCTTGCTATGACTGAATTCTGCAAAAATGGACACAGAAGTCGAAGGTCTGGTTGAGAAGAGACCTCAGAGGAGCCTAACTGAAATTTGGTCTAAGAAAGAGTCTGTCATTTGTAGGAGTTTTACATATATTCTGGATGTTAATTTTCCTTGATTAAATGATTTATAAATGTATTCTCCAAATCTGTGGTTTCTCTTTTCACTAAGATTTCCTTCCATATTTTCTTTCAAAAATTTTAAGTTTAATTTATTTTTGTATATGAGGATCCAGTTTTTTCCTGTATAAATAAGCAGTTATCCTCGCTTCTTTTGCTGAACAGATCATTTTATTCCTGCCGTGTATCAAGTTTGTATGTATTAATGTATCTGTATTTTGGCTTTCTAGTCTCTTTCACTTGTCTATTTGGAAAAAAAAAACAAAACTCTGACCTACCACCACACTGCCATAATTATTATAGTTTTTAGTCAGCTATAAAGACAAGGTCTGCTCCTCACCTTGTTTTTTCACTAAAAGTTGTCTTTGTTTTTCCATATCAATATCATTGTGGAGATTTTCATTGACATTGCATTGAATTTAGAGATTAACTAGGCTGCAGCTTACATTTTTATGATATTTAAGATTTTTTGGTTTGGTAATTTACTATATTAGAAATATTTTTAAAATATTCTGTTAGATTTCTTCCTAATTACTTTGTAGCTCCACAGGTATCACAAATGATAACTTTTTTCCTACTGTTTTCTAGTTGATTATTACTGCTATGTAAGAGTACACTGATTTTAGTACACTGGTTTTGCGTCCTGCAGTAGTGCTGAATTCTCCCAGTATTGTTTTGTTTGTTTATTCTTTTGGACTTTCTGCATCCATATTGAAGAGCAAAGAAGCCCTTTTTAATTTGTTTTCTAATTGTTTTAACTCTTATTTCTCTTGTTTTATTGGCAAGGGCTCGTAGGACAATGTTGAGTAGAAGTGGTGATAGTTGGTAATTTGTCTTGTTTCCAACTTTAATAGGAATGCTTCTAAGCTCAGTAGGTTGCTTTCTTTAGTTTTCTTTTTCTTTTAAATAGCCTTAATTAGATTAAGAAACATTTTTCTCAGTGTTGAATTTCATTGCAACTTTTTTCTTTTTCTATATTACAGCTAAATATAGGTAATCTGTACTTGGCTGATTTTTCTACTTTTAGAATTAGGGAGGCTTAAAGCAGAGTGAAAAATTAAATGAGTGAATAATTATATTTTCTCACAAAATTTGTGTCATTTTTGAATTATACATTGTTCATTAGGTGTTAATTAGTAACATGAACATTAGTGCAACTTATCTTTGTCAAAAGTACTTGAGTCAGGTAGATTTGAGTTTAAATCTGACTCTGATAACTAATCGGGTTTCTTCAACTTCTAAAACTCACTTTCTTCATCTGTAAACTGGCAATAATATCTACAAGGCAGGATTATTATGAGGATTAAATGAAATATTTTTAAAGTTATGACTAAGAGTAGGTATGCATTAAATACTAAATCTTATTATTTCTGTGTCTACCATACAACCATACATCACCATCATGCTCCTGAGAAGTGAGGGTGATGGGGATTAAGTAAGAGAAACAGCATCTAACATTATGTATAGATGCAAAGCCACAAAGTCCTCTATTTCAATGACGGAATATTGAGCAACTGTTGAAAGAGTAGGAGACTTGGTTCAAAGTCATCGAATCATATGCCAGATTTATAAGCACTTATCAACTGGAAGGAGGAAAGCATTTTATGCAGTGGGGTTTCTTGAAGACATAATGGGGATCATTTTGAAGATTCAAAAGTAGATGGATTAGTTCATGTAAGAGCAATTTATAGCCAAGAGTGATATATATGAGGGCTTCCAGAATAGACTAAGAGAACAGGGCCTCCATGGCAGTTTGCAGAGAACAAAATCAAATAGCAAGTTTGAGCAAAGGCTATAAAGGCAGTTGGATTGAATTTTTAGAAGTTAATTAATTAAATTGACAAATAATAATTGCATATATTTATAGGGTATAATGTTATGTTTTAATATATGTACACATTGTAGAAAGATGAAATTAAACTTATTAACATATTCATCACTTCACCTATTTTTCATTTGTTTTGTTGTGAAAGCATGTAAAGTCTACTTTTTTAAAAGCAGTTTTGAACTATACATTATGCTATCATTAACTATGGTCACTATGCTGTGTAATAGAGCTCTAAATCTTATTTTTCCTTTCTAAGTATAACTCTGTCCCTTTTGACCAACATCTCTCCTCCTCCCAGTCCCCAGGCCTCTGGTATCAAACATTCTACTTTGTTTTTATGAGCTCAACTTTTTTAGATTCCATGTGAAAATGAAATCATGCAGTATTTATTTCTGTGCCTGGCTTAGTATCCTCCCAGGTTTTAAAATATGCAGCCTTTAAAAAGAAGGAAATGACAGGATTTCCTTCTTTTTAAAGGCTGCATAGTATTCTCTTGTGTGTTGATACCACATTTTCTTTGTCCATTTGTCTGTTGATGGATTGAATTTTGATGCTTTGCTTCTTCCTGAGAACACATTTCCTGGTGTCAGGTTCATTAGAAGAGAGCTTGATGGACAAAGTCCCATGTGCTAGGCCATCCCATCCTTAGGGGCATAACAAAGAAAAAACAGAAGAAACAGAAGAAAATGACCAGGGGCCAGAGTGGAATGGAGTGGTGGTATATTTTTAGCTGTGAATACAGGAACCCCTGTGGACCCTAGTATATTGGACCTTCTTTGAGAAGGTGTGTCTTTGTTTGCATTGCCCTGGCTCAGACGAATGAGAATAATAGATCATCTTCCATAGTATGTTTATCTGAAGATAGAGAACTGGTGTGGGGTAGGGAGAGAACATTTTGGAATAATTTTCAAGAAAGAGGAGATTGGGAAGATCTGCCATGGACAGCAGAAACTCTGTGGGTAAGGTGAGAGGTCCAAAGTGTATTTAGGACGTGTTGCTGTGTGGTGTGTGTGTGTGTGCTGAATAACTCATTCCTTGGTTTAGAAAAGGCTTTGGCAAAGAATGCATACATTTTCAATGCTTCTAAAGTTACATGTAGCTACTCTGGGGAACATTATTTTGCTGCAAGTAGCTGAAAGAAGAGGAAAGGCTGGATCTGGTAAAGAGATATAGGAAAAGACTAGAAAAGTAAACTATTTTAAGGAGTTTGTCATTGAAGTGAAAAAAAAATGAGGGAGAAGAGCAGTTCAGTGGAGTATCAGGATTTGGGATTGTGTTAGATTTAAGACAGAGAGGAAAGGCCAGGCAGACAGGGAGAGGTTGAACGTTCAAAAGAGAATGGAAGTCATGGTAGGGATATCTTATGGAGCACATTTCTAGAGAAAAAATGAAAATAGAGTACAAGTGGAGCTGTTCACAATGAAAAGGAAAAGGGTTCTTATTCTAAGATGGGATGGAAGGTGGAGAAAGTGTTTGTGGGTGGATTGTGAGTTAGATGTTCTCAATTTCAGGCAGGTGGGAAGTAGTAATGAAGGACTGTGGGGTTGGGGAAAAGTGGGAAAGGCTTTTAATAGGCTCTCTCTTAATGTGGTTCACGTTGACTAGCGATGATAATACATTGCTGAGTAGAAAGTCAGAATCCTCAGCCCTGAGCCAGTGTCCTCATTTTCAGGGGCCAAATTGTTGACGTTTACCTTCTTCACACCTACAAACTCAACCATGTACTACACAGCTGTGAGATACAGAGTGGTGGCCCATCTAGTTAGAATCACACACTGTTGTAGACAAGGAGAACAGTATGCCTTGAAACTCTGGAGTGCACTGGGAGCCAGGTGATCACATGAAAGTAGTCTGCTTCTTTGTATGAAGTTCCAGAAACATCATTATGTTCTTTACCTCCTGGAAGGCTGTCCCTGCTCAGATATTCTCTGAACCATAGTCGGTGTCAAAATCAGATGAATTTGGTTCCAGACCACTGCAATAAAGTAAATATCACAATAAAGCAGGTCACATGATTTCTGGTTTCCCAGTGAATATAAAAGATATGTTTTCACTACACTATAGTCTATTAAGTGTGCACTGTCATTATGTCTAAACAATGACATTGATATCTTAATTTAAAAATACCTTATTGCTAAAAAGTGCTACTGATCATCCAAGCTTTCAGCAAGTTCTAATGTTTTTGTAAGTGGAGGGCCGTGCCTCTGATGTTGACGGCTGCTGACCAGGGTGGTGGTTGCTGAAGTTTGGAGTGACTGTGGAAGTATTTTAAAACAATGAAGTTTGCAACATCGATTGCTTCTTTCATGAAAGATTTCTCTGTACATGCGAGAACATGCTGTTTGACAGCATTTTACCCACAGTAGAACTTCTTTCCACATTGGATGCCATCCTCTGAACCTCTACCACTGCTTTGTCAACTACATTTATGAAGTATTCTAAATCCTTTGTTGTCATTTCAACGTTGTTCACAGCATCTATACCAGCAGTAGATTCTGTTTCAAGAAACCACTTTGTTTGCTCATTCATGAGAAGCAACTGCTCATTTATTCAAGTTTGATCATGAGATTGCAGCAATTCACTTCCATCTTCAAGCTTAACTTCTCATTGTAATTCTCTTGCTATTTCCCGTACACCTACCGTGACTTCCTTTACTGGATTCTTGAACACCTCAAAGTTATCCATGAAGGTTGGAATCAACTTCTTCCCAACTCCTGTAAATGTGGATATTTTGACCTCCTCCCATGAATCATAAATGTTCTTAATGGCATCTAGATTGATGAATCCTTTCTAGAAGGTTTTCAACTTCCTTTGCTGAGATTCATTATAGGAATCACTACTATGGCAGCTACAGTCTTACACAATGTATTTCTTAAATAATATGACTTGTAAGTCAAAACTACTCCTTGACCCATGGACTTCAGGAGGGATGTTATGTTGGCAGGCATGAAAACGACATTCATCTCCTTGTACATCCCCGTAAGAGCTCTTAGGTGACTAGATGCACTGTCAATAAGCAGTAATATTTTGAAAGGAATTTCTTTTATTTTTCTGAGCTGTAGGTCCCAACAGTGGACTGAAAATATTCAGTAAACCATGCTGTAAACAGATGTGTTACCATCCAGGCTGTGTTGTTTCATTTCTAGAGCACAGACAGAGTAAATTTAGCACAATTATTAAGGGCCCTAGAAGTTTTGGAATGGTAAATGATCATTGGTCTCAACTTAAAGTTACCAGCTGCATTAACCCCAAACAAGAGAGTCAGCCTGTCCTTTGAAGCTTTGAAACCAGGCACTGACTTCTTCTCTTTAGCTATGAAAGCCCTGGATGGCATCTTCTTCCAACAGAAGGCTGTTTTACCAACATTGAAAATTTGGTGTTTAGTGTGCCACCTTCATCAATGATTTTAGTTAGATCTCCTGGATAACTTCTCCATCAGAACTTGCTACTTCACTTGGCACTTCTATGTCATAGAGATGGCTTCTTTTCTTAAACCCAATGAACCAATTCTGCTACCTTCCAACCTTTCTTCTTCAGCTTTGTCACCTCTCTCAGCCTTCATAGAATTGAAAAGAGGGGCTTGCTCCTACTTTAGGGTATGTTGTGGGTGGTTTGATCTTCTATCCAAACCACTCAAATTTTACTCATGTCAGCAATAATGCTGCTTTGCTTTCCTATCATTTGTGTGTTCATTGGAGTAGCACTTTTAATTTCCTTCAAGAAGTTCTCCTTTGCATTCACAGCTTGGCTGTTTGGCACACAAAACCTAGATTTGGTCTATCTTGGCTTTTGACATGTTTTCCTCACTAAGTTTAATCATTTCTATCTTTTGATTTTAAGTGAGAGACATGCAATTCTCCTTTTACCTGATCACATAGAGGCCATTTTAGGATTATTAGTTAGCATAATTTCAATTCTCTTGTGTCTCAGGGAATAGAGAGGCCCTACAGAAGGGAGGAAATTGGGGGAATGGCTGGTCACCGGAGCAGTCAGAACACATACAACATTAATTGGTTAAGTCTGCCATCTTATGGGGGCACAGTCATGGTGTCCCAAAACAATGACAATAGTAACATCAAAATCACTGATTACAGATCACCATAATAGATATAATAATAATGAAAAAGTTTGAAATATTGTGAGAATTGCCAAAATGTGGCACAGAGGCATGAAATGAGCACATGCTGATAGAAAAATGGTGCTGATAGACTTGCTCAATGCAGGGTTGCAACAAACCTTCAATTTGTAAAAATCACAATATCTGAGAAGCACAATAAAGTGAAGTGCAGGAAAAAGAGGTATGCCTGTACCTGTCACTCCTGAATAACTAATAGAAATAATAATGGTGGTAGTTGGTGGTGTGATGCTGGTGGTACCTGTCACGTGCAAGAAATATACCCATACTTTGTAAATATTATTCATATGCAACATTCATTTAGGTGTAATTATCTTGATTGTACAGATAGGAAAGCTGAATTTCAGGGAGGTTTAACATCAGAGTAACGATTTGAACTTAGATTTGTTACACTCAGAGTTCTTTTAAAAAAGCAAAATTACTTCCTGATTTGTATGCTTCTCATCGATTAAAATGGCTACTTTAAATAAAATCTAAGTATACATTTATTTTTGTGAAAAAATTCATATTTATTTGACTAGAAATTTTTGAGCATATAAAACTAGAACTTACTGACATAAAAAATAGTTATTGTGTAGTGTGATGAGTACTAGAGTAGAGGCATATGCAAGTTACTATGTTGAGAGAGACGTGGTGTGTTTTGGGGTGGGACGTGATGCAAATGGAGTGGCGCATATTGGGATGGAACATGATGAAAGCGAAATGGTCAAGGATGCTCTTCTGAGAAAATCATGCTTGTATCCATCTTGACAGATATGTAAGACTTTACTGGGATAATACAGTTGGGCAGAACAGCAACTTAAGTGCAGAGAGTGCTTCCAGTCATTGTTTTTAAACATTTGTCATTTTCTAATTTTGAAACATTCAAGAAAGTGGCTATAGAACAATGGTTTTTAATCATTCCCTTAGACAGCCGCTTGATGAAGCCCATTACCTGTTGCAACAGACCTACCAAATTTTGCATACAATTTAAAGGGGTTCATGAACTCACTGATGCTCCTCTATGACCTGCCAGCCAATACTCTCTGATATAGAGAAATACTTGAAAAAGGAACATAAATGGCTATGGGTAAGAGTAGAGGGCACTGGGGTAGCTTTTTAGCTATTATTATATTAAATTCCTACAATAGCACTATGAACTTGGTATTAAGTCAACTTACAGCTGCATAAATTAAGATCCAGTTAAGTACAGTGACTCCCTCAAGTTCACACAGATAATAAACAGCAAAACTATGCTGAGGTCCCCTTCTGGGGTCTTGCATCCCAAGCTCATGTTTGCTCCATATACATGATACTAATTTCCTAATGAGAATATTGCTGTAATAAGTTATGATTTCTAACAATTAGCTTACAAATGAACTTTTGTAAAACAACTTGTAGTGAGTTGAGGATTGCCCGCATAGTGAAACCTTGTTAGTTTTGATTACCAGTCTGTCATAGCTGATAATTTATGATTTGTTTTATTTTGCTATGGGCTTGGCTATAGAGTATTTTGGCAGCATCTGTAAAAATTTCTTTTGAAACAATTTTTTTGGCAAGATTGCACCTAAAGCTTCTCAATTATCTAGAGAAATTCCAAGTTGTTATTATGTGTTTGATATGTTGTGTTAGTCTTATCCATACACTGTGGCAGGTTTTGTGAAGAACCTCTACCGTTATCTCGCCTTTGATGCTGGAGAGCCCAGTTTGTTAGTGTTAAGTTCTGGAAAGCAATAAAAGTGCATCTATCTAAACATGTTCTATACTAAATTGCTTTCACTAATCAAGCAGGACTTATCCCTATTTAGAAGAATTAGTGAGGTTTTAGTCAATTAGGCTTGATGTCAAGTTAATTTTTCCTCCATTAGTGTAATGAAGAATTGCTGTGTTGTTCTGTCATGCATGCTGATTGATAAAAAAAGTTAATAATGAATGCCAATACATTTTTCTCTTGAAAAATGAACCAATAATATATGAGGTTCAAGTAAATTATTCTGCTCATCAGAAAGAATTGCTTATTCTACTGTGTGGAAAGCCCAGTGGCAAACCAGGGGAAGCAATGGAATATTTAAATACTTATTCTATTGCTGGTCAGTCTTTAACATCAGCTTTTTAAAAGATTGCCTTATAAAGGATGTCCATTTCATAATTGTTGGATGACTAAAATAGACCACTTTGTTTTCTTTGGCTTCTGCTATTTGCTTATTTAAAAATATTTATATTGTGCTCTATTCTTTGCATGCTGCATTCTGCAGTTTGGGAATACTGAATCAAGACCTGGTGAGTAACTTTTACTCAGTGGATTGCATGATGAAAGATTTGCCAAACCATAAGGTGTTTTATTGTAATAAATGAAATCCATCTCCCTTGAAGAAGCACTTGCAGAGGCAGAATTTACTCTACATTTTATTATTCCATTTTATTTATTCTATATATTCAAAGTAAGGATTCTAAATCAAAAAGATACCAAAGCTAATGCATCCTGTAAATGAAGTGTGGTCTTGCCAAACTGCTTTTTGAGGTTGACATTACTATATTATATAGTAATTAGCAGACTGGCTCATGCACACATACACACATGCACACACACACACACACACCCTCATCTATAATATTTATTTGTCTCTACAATCATATCTATTCAGTTTTGTGTCTGAGGTAAATTTCCAGATAACAAATTTCACTTTTATAACTATTAATACTTCACTAATAATCTTAGTGAATAAAAAAAGAATTGAAGATATTTGAAGAACAATTTAAGTGCTGACTCTTAATAAAAGTATTAAGGGTTAGAGTTAGGGCATTGATTAGGTAGTGAAATTTGATTCTACTATATGTCTGCTTCTTAGATAGAGAATTTCAGTCCCATTCTAAGGCTCTCAATTCAATTAATAACTCTTCATTTATTTAAATTAAGTGGTGACATTCTCCTGCCTTTAACTTTGCTCTCCATGCTAATTATTGGCTCAATTTATTTAGAAGTATTATTATAGAAGTTTTGAATCCTAATAAGTAGAAAGAGAGACCAATGTGTGAGCCTAATTCTTTTTCGAAGTGATTAAGGTATTATTACTTTTTATTTGTTATCAGGTATCAGAACATTAAAAGTAAAATAAAAGAACAGACTTTATTTTACTGAATCTCTTTCTACTTAGGAATATCAAAGTGCTTAATGAACATGACTTTATCGAACCTTTATACCAACTTAGTGAAAGTGGATAAAAGTCAGAAACGTTTAGCAGCAGAGGAAACACCAATAGAGATTACATTGGAGGGTTCCATAAGACATTCCGGCCTCTGGTCTTATGCTTTCTAGTGTATCCTCCTCTATTACCAGGTTACAAAATATATATTGGAAAAAATAAGTGAGGGATCAGCCATCATTATAGTTTCCTGGGTTGCAAACAAACACCCAAATCTAGAGATTATTTCCATTTAGAAAGTAGAATCTCAAACATTCTTTTCTGGACAAACATCACTTTTGCAAAAATAGTCTGTATTTTTTTTGTAATTTTTATAGTGTTTGTGACTTTGATCAAAATCCCAGAATCATGTAACTTTTATATTAAAACAATAATGGCAATCTTAAACTGGGCCTCTGTGATATATCAGGCTACTTTTGTGACAACATTTTATATTCTGAATGATATCCTGGTCCATACATTAAATCAGTGATGCTATATTAAAGCGTAGGAAGATGGTATTCAGTCATTCATTTCATCATTTATTTTCTTCTCATCTATTCAGTGATCACCTGCCAAGTGCCAAGCTCTGCTCTACACCTTAGAAATTCCATGACAAACTAGACAGAAAATGTTCATGCGCTCTGCCATTCTGGTTCATTCTAGTGGGACACACAGCCCAACATCATAGAGTTACAAATGCCATGCAGGCACTTATAAGTAGGAGCTAACTAATGTGTACATGTGGACATAGAATATGGAATGATAGACAATGGAGATTCAGAAGGGTGAGCAGGAGGGAAGAGGGTGCATGATAAGATATTACTTAATGGGTACAATATACTTTATTTGGGTGATGGATACCCTGACATCACCACTACTCAATCTATACATGTAACAAAATTATAGTTGTACCCCATACATTTATACACATAAAATACAAAAATAAATTTTAAAATGTCCTGCAGGGAATTAAAATGTGATATGATGATGTCTGGGTCACTATGTTAGTGTGGGTGGTCAGGGATGACTTCCTCAAGGAGAACACATTTAAGTTAAAATCAGAATTGTAAGAAGGAACCATCCATGTGAATATCCGAGAGAATAATATTATGGCTGAGGAAACAGCCAGTGAGAAATCTCTATGGTAGGAAACAGTTCAGTGGGTTTTAGGAACAGAAAGATGAACAGAGTAGGTAGGCACAGTGGATGCTTGTATAAAATGACATTGGAAAACATTCTAGATAGAAATTCTTCTTCAAAGTAAGCATTCCTGTGTTCTAACACTTAAACAGTGTTAATAATACAAGACATTGGCTCCAAAATTACATTTTATTAAATGTTATAAACTAAGAACGGGTCAGTCAGGAAAACAACTGTCTTTTGCAATCAGTTTTTGCAATCTGTAAACAGTAGATTATATGTAGTGGATTTGAAAGCTCTAGGATGGTGTTTTTTTTCTCCTCAACAATTGGAAGTATTATTTTAATTGTGTGTGAAGTGTTAGCAATCCTCAGAACACCTCAGCACATTAGTTCAGTGTCTTCTACTCAAAACCAGAGGTACTTGAATCCTGGAGGTACTCCACCTTCCAGGATGGAGACTGGCAAACAGCAATAAAATAATAATTTCTTACCTTATAGCAACAAGCTACTTAATTCAGAAATTCCTCATCTGAAAAACTCAATTCTCTTGAGCAGTATCTTGACCTCTTATTGCATAGGCTTAGGAGTCAAATAGTCTGGGCACAAATCCTGACTTTCCCATTTTCTAGCTGTGTCGTTTTGGGCAAGTCCCTTCTTCCAGTGTCCTCATTTATTTCCTCTGTAATCAGGATGATGTACTTATCACAGGCATTTAGAAAAGCATCTTGCAAACAATAAATCTTTAACAGGTTATCTGCTTTCATTGCTAATATTCTTACTTTTATGCCCTCCCTTTCCAAACCATCTTCTGAAAAAATATGTAAGTCCACAAAGTTAGATGCAAGATGGTTGCCAATAAAAGTCTTCTGCCTTGAGGGCTGGGTGTGGTGGCTCACGCCTGTAATCCCAGCACTTTGGGAGGCTGAGGCAGGTGGATCATGAGGTCAAGAGATCGAGACCATCCCGGCTAACACGGTGAAACCCTGTCTCTACTAAAAATACAAAAAATTAGCCAGGCATGGTGGCACGCACCTGTAGTCCCAGCTACTTGGGAGGCTGAGGCAAGAGAATCGCTTGAACCGGGGAGGCAGAAATTGCAGTGAGCCAAGATTGCGTCACTGCCTTCCAGCCTGGACGACAGAGTGGGACTCCGTCTCAAAACAAACAAACAAACAAACAAAAAACTGCCTTGATCACTAGAATAGAGGAGGAAGCCTCTGAGATCCATTGACTGAAATGTATTTTGATATTTCATTTCTCTACTTAATTCAGCACCCCCCCCCACCATTTAATTAAAAATAATATTTATTGAACACCCATTAAACGCTAAATTCTCGGCCAAAAAGGAAAAAAACATCTTGTCCTGCCAGGAGATTTTAATCCAGTTCTTCAACTCTCAGTAGCTAAGAATTGGCAAACAAACAACAAAAGCATCTCTGCACTGAATTTTATGTTATATTGGTGAACCAATTTGGAATTGATTAATGAACTTTTTTTATGCACATCCTTTCCATGTTGTGCATAAATGTCCATGTGTTTGCTCTTTGGAAAGACTGGAATACATGCTTCATGGGACAATGATTTGTGAACATGTCATGAGAGAAGATGTACTTTTAATATTACTACACATTTATTTAGTCAACAAACACTCACTGAGTGCCTACAGTGCTACTACATTCTGGGTGAACAGGAACCAACAACACAGAAAATAAAATCCTGTATCTCCTGGGGATCACAGGCTTAGCTTCTTTGGCATGGAGGCTCAAATCCTGTTTCTGCACATTTCTAGAGGTATGACTTTGGTTAATTTACCTAACCTTTCTATACCTCAGTTCCCTCATTTGTAAAATGGGGATAATATCTATATAGGGCAGTTGTGAAGATTAAACGATGGTATATGTAAAATGCGTAGGACAGTACCAGGAGCATAGTGAGAATGCGGCAGGAGGCTCTGTTATTACTATAAATATTATTATCACTACTGCTCTGTGCTCCAGTGGTGTATTCTGTATATTTCATGCCCGATTCTTCTTTTCTTAAACGGGTCAGCACATCTTTAGAGTGGCACAGTGACAGCTTTCAGAGGGAATGTGGTCCTGGTACCCTTATCTTGTGTGGCTCCTACTTCTCACGCTCCATGTACAGAGTAGAGACAGCCTCTGTTTTTCTGAACTATTGAAATATAAACCAGGGTGCCAGTTGCCCCTTGCAGAGAATAGCTTTATATTTGTCTCTCTGTTGGCACCTTGCCTATTCCTTATCACCCCCACTTGGTCCTAAGTGCCTGTTCTGTCATGGTGGTTGCAGTTACCACTGGCTCTAATCTCTCTTCTCATCTATTTCTTTGCCTCTTACCACTTTCCCTAAGCTCCTTGACCGTGTGTTTCTAGATCTTCTCTGCCACAGAAAGCAGTCTCTCTTTTTTTGCAGGTGAGTCACATGGAGTATATTGAGTGGGATCTTGAATATTTCAGTTCTTGATGTAATTCATGTCAAATGTTAAGACATGACAGGCAGCTGCTGCACGGGGTTGGTTTCTCCACGGCATCCCATCCTACCCCTGTTTTCTCATATGAATTATTCTGAAAGCCTTGAGGCTGATCAGTGTAGATATTCCTATATTTTGGAAACACTACTTTTAAGGATCCTAGCAACTGATTTCTCCAACTTACATTGAAATTTAAACAATTTCCTGGTGCCTCCTGAATCCCTTTAAGATGTTGCAGTAAGAATGAGAGTTGTGTAGGCGGGGAGGTACATTTTATGGGCTTTTTATAAGAAATGATATCCTGTGTCCTGAATGTACCAGTGCATTAATGCCATCCTCATCTGTAGCAACAGTAAGCAGCCTTTTAGAGTGGTATAAATAGTCCATTAGGATAACCATAAATATTTAACTATTATTTACTTTAGATTCCATTGGCAAAGTAGCAGATTTCTTGAAAACCTCTCAGGTTTCTCCTAAATTGTTCTTTTCAAGGCAGTAAAAATGCTATGGTCCCAAACTGAAAATAACTGATTATTAATTAAACTACTAAAGACCAAAACAACTTTACTCACATTCCACAGGATTGGAGAGACAGGAAACAACTTGCGAGGTTTCTAGAAATTGTTATTTTCTTGTTAATGGTTATTTTAATTAGCAAAGAGAGTTTTGGAAATAGTTTTGAGCTTTACCTGAAACTGAATGACTGGAAGGTAAGTGCATTTGAATTATATTTGGTTACATGCATTAAAGGATAAATAATTTCTCTTTTCTCATGTGAAGCTTCATTTTGGTAGTTAGCTGACTTTTCAGGTAAGGAGAAGGACCAAGTAATCACCAGCTATAAAATACAAACATTTATCACTGGAAAACCTAGTAATGAAAGCAAAGCCTATCAAAACTTTATGTTTACAGAATGCGTTTAACTCTTTTTAATATATTCATGTCTATGTAATCCTTTTGTTACTTTTTTCATGAAAACTTATTTAACAGTATATATAGTTCATAGTATTGTGTTGTGGAATGAGCATTAGACTTTGGATATGTCAAATCCTTTCCAGAGAGAGATGGCCTACTCAAATAAGGATAAATAATAAATAGGGGAGAGACACTTTGTAAAACTCTGAGCACAGTGTAGGTGAACCACAGGGCAGTAACCTGAGGCTAGTAACAGTGGAGCTGTCAACAACCTATGACCAAAGGGAAAAGGGAAGAAAAAAGGTTCTCTAGAACTTGAAAGGAGCTAGTTTTGTGTAGAAAGCTACTGTACGTGGAACAGTGATCTTTAGTTGTGGACATAGCCAGCCTAAGTTAACCTTCAAGGAGGGAGCCAAGGGAATAAATATCCCGATCCCCACTCCTCCTTCCCTCCAATTTTGTTAGAGCTCACTGTCTGGAACCTGCTGAGCACCTGGACATGAGGGCCTTTGATAGAGTGCCTGCAGGTCTTATGGGGAAAGAAGAGCGGAAAGCGGATCTGGAGGGAGAAATGAAAGATACCTTGAATACTCTACCACTTTTCTCTCTATCAACCTCCAATCTTGTCCTCCATGTGGTTGACAAATGCATGTTCCTAACACAGGGTATGCACAAAATCCCATCAACTACCATATCATTCCCATGATGTCTTTTACTAATACTGCAACCTGACTAAAATATTGGTCCCCAGCAACACTCTTCATATAAAATATTGGGAGAAGAGGATGCAATTAAGGAACATTAATTATAGCTGCAGCTCACTTCTGGAGCTGGTCATGAGGCCTAAACTGCTCATTATAGGGCCCCCCCATCGACAATACCTTCTGTATTTACCTTACTGTCTGACATCACCTTGACTGGATGAGTCATTTTCCAGTTAGGGCAATTGAAATCTTCATTTCTTTAAGATCTGAGTGCTTGGTAGTCTTGTTTTTATTGGGGGATCGTTGCTATTTTCCCTTGACCAGGACTATCGGGAAGGGAGTACTAAGAGGCATCCCACTGAATTCCCTGAGTTTTAAGCACTGTCCTTGTCTTCATTCTGTAGCAGAAAATCAATTCCCCCTGATCATTAGGTGTGATTACCCTAGCTAGTTATAGTGACTTTCTCATCTCTGTTGGTTCAGGGCCATAAATAAATTTAAATTGCCAGGAGTTAGTCTCTACTTCCAGTGAATCAGAAAATGACCATGTTTCCTGGTATAAGAATTACTGCCTTGGACAGTAGGGCCATCAAACTCATCAAGTCCAAGGTTTCGGGGACAGGAGGCAAGAATTCTTTTTTTTTTTATTATTATACTTAAAGTTTTGGGATACATGTGCAGAACGTGTAGGTTTGTTATATAGGTATACATGTGCCATGGTGATTTGCTGCATCCATCAACCCGTCATCTACATTAGTTATTTCTCCTAATGCTATCCCTCCCCTTGCCCCCCACCCCACTAACAGGCCCCAGTGTGTGATGTTTCCCTCCCTGTGCCCGTAAGTTCTCATTGTTCAACTCTCACTTATGAGTGAGAACATGCGGTGTTTGGTTTTCTGTTCCTGTGTTAATTTGCTGAGAATGAGAATGATGGTTTCCAGCTTGATCCATGTCCCTGCAAAGGACATGAACTCATCCTTTTTTATGTCTGCATAGTATTCCGTGGTGTATACATGCCACATTTTCTTTATCCATTCTATCATTGATGGGCATTTGGGTTGGTTCCAAGTCTTTGCTATTGTAAATAGTGCAGCAGTAAACATACATGTGCATGTGTCTTTATAGTAGAATGATTTATAATCCTTTGGGTATATACCCAGTAATAGGATTGCTGGGTCAAATGGCATTTCTGGTTCTAGATCCTTGAGGAATTGCTACACTGTCTTCCACAATGGTTGAACTAATTTATACTCCCACCAACAGTGTAAAAGTGTTCCTATTTCTCCACAGCCTTGCCAGCATCTGTTGTTTCCTGACATTTTAGTGATCGACATTCTAACTGGCATGAGATGGTATCTTATTGTGGTTTTGATTTGCATTTCGCTAATGATCAGTGGATGATGAGCCTTTTTTCATATGTTTGTTGGCCACATAAATGTCTTCTTTTGAAAAGTGTCTGTTCATATTCTTCACCCACTTTTTGATGGGGCTGTTTGTTTTTTTCTTCTAAATTTGTTTAAGTTCCTTGTAGATTCTGGATATTAGCCCTTTGTCAGATGGATAAGATTGCAAAAATTTTCTCCCATTCTGTAGGTTGCCTGTTCACTCTGATGATAGTTTCTTTTGCTGTGCAGAAGCTCTTTAGTTTAATTAGATCCCATTTGTCAATTTTGGCTTTTGTTGCCATTGCTTTTTGTGTTTTAGTCATGAAGTCTTTGCCCATACCTATGTCTTGAATGGTATTGCCTAGGTTTCCTTCTAGGGTTTCTAGGGTTTTAGGTCTTACATTTAAATCTTCAATCCATCTTGAGTTAATTTTTGTATAAAGTGTAAGGAAGGGGTCCAGTTTCAGTTTTCTGCATATGGCTAGCCAGTTTTCCCAAAACCATTTATTAAATAGGGAATTCTTTCCCCATTGCTTGTTTTTGTCAGGTTTGTTGAAGATCAGATGGCTGTAGATGTGTGGTGTTATTTCTGAGGCCTCTGTTCTATTCTATTGGTCTATATATCTGTTTTGGTACCAGTACTATGCTGTCTTGGTTACTGTAGCCTTGTAGGATAGTTTGAAGTCAGGTAGCGTGATGCCTCCAACTTTGTTCTTTTTGCTTAGGCTTGTCTTGGCTATACAGGCTCTTTTTTGGTTCTATAAGAAATTTAAAGTAGTTTTTTTCTAATTCTTTGAAGAAAGTCAATGGTAGCTTGTTGGAAATAGCATTGAATCTATAAATTTGGACTGTATGGCCATTTTCATGATATTGATTCTTTTTATCCATGAGCATGGAATGTTTTTCATTTGTTTGCGTCCTCTCTTATTTTGTTGAGCAGTGGTTTGTAGTTCTCCTTGAAGAGGTCCTTCACATCCCTTGTAAGTTGTATTCCTAGGTATTTTATTCTCTTGGTAGCAATTGTGAATGAAAGTTTGCTCATGATTTGGCTTTCTGTTTGTCTGTTATTGGTGTATAGGAATGCTTGTGATTTTAGCACATTGATTTTATATCTTGAGACTTTGCTGAAGTTGCTTAGCAGCTTAAGGAGTTTTGGGGCTGAGATGATGGGGTTTTCTAAATATATAATCATGTCATCTGCAAACAGAGATAATTTGACTACCTCTTTTCCTATTTGAATACCCCTTATTTCTTTCTCTTGCCTGATTGCCCTGGCCAGAACTTCCAATACTATGTTGAATAGGAGTGGTGAGAGAGGGCATCCTTGTCTTGTGCTGGTTTTCAAAGGGACTGCTTCCAGCTTTTGCCCATTGACTATGAAGTGGGCTGTGGGTTTGTCATAAATAGTTCTTATTATTGTGAGATATGTTCCATCAATACCTAGTTTATTGAGTGTTTTTAGCTTGAAAGGGTGTTGAATTTTATTGAAGGCCTTTTCTGCATCTATCGAGATAATCATGTGTTTTTTGTCATTGGTTCTGTTTATGTGACGGATTGTGTTTATTGGTTTGCATATGTTGAACCATCCTCGCATCCCAGGGATGAAGCCTACTTGATCATATTGGATAAGCTTTTTAATGTGCTACTGGATTTGGTATACCAGTATTTTATTGAGGATTT
Source organism: Homo sapiens (assembly GCF_000001405.40). Taxonomy (NCBI): domain Eukaryota; kingdom Metazoa; phylum Chordata; class Mammalia; order Primates; family Hominidae; genus Homo; species Homo sapiens. The sequence goes on along the minus strand of NC_000004.12, from coordinate 102,276,729 downwards.
TTGCGTCGATGTTCATCAGGGATATTAGGCTGAAATTTTCTTTTTTTGTTTTGTCTCTACCTGGTTTTGGTATCAGGATGATGCTGGCCTCATAAAATGAGCTAGGGAAGAGTCCCTCTTTTTCTATTGTTTGGAATAGTTTCAGAAGGAATGGTACCAGCTTCTCTTTGTACATCTGGTAGAATTCGACTGTGAATCTCTCTAGTCCTGGGCTTTTTTTGGTTGTTAAGACTATTAATTACTGCTTCAATTTCAGGACTTGTTATTGGCCTTTTCAGGGTTTCGACTTCTTCCTGGTTTAGTCTTGGGATGCTGTATGTGTCCAGGAATTTATCCATTTCTTGTAGATTTTCTAGTTTATTTGCGTAGAAGTGTTTACAGTATTCTCTGATGGTAGTTTGTATTCCTGTGGATCAGTGGTGATCTCCCCTTTACCATTTTTTTTATTGTGTCTATTTGATTCTTCTCTCTTTTCTTCTTTATTAGTCTGGCTAGCAGTCTACCTATTTTGCTAATCTTTTCAAAAAACCAGCTCCTGGATTCATTGATTTTTTGAAGGGTTTTTCATGTCTCAATCTCCTTCAGTTCTGCTCTGATCTTAGTTATTTCTTGCCTTCAGCTGGCTTTTGAATTTGTTTGCTCTTGCTTCTCTAGTTCTTTTAATTGTGATATTAGGGTGTCAATTTTAGATCTTTTCCACTTTCTCCTGTGGATATTTAATGCTATAAGTTTCCCTCTAAACACTGCTTTAGCTGTGTCCTGGAGATTCTGGTACGTTGTGTCTTTGTTCTCATTGGTTTCAAAGAACTTATTTCTTTCTGCCTTAATTTCGTTATTTACCCAGTAGTCATTCAGGAGCAGTTTGTTCCGTTTCCATGTAGTTGTGTGGTTTTGAGTGAGTTTCTTAATCCTGAGTTCTAATTTGATTGCACTATGGTCTGAGAGACTGTTTGTTATGATTTCCGTTCTTCTGCATTTGCTGAGGAGTGTTTTACTTCCAATTATGTGGTCTCTTTTAGAATAAGTGCTATGTGGTGCTGAGAAGAATGTATATTCTGTTGATTTGGGGGTGGAGAGTTCTGTAGATATCTATTAGGTCAGCTTGGTCCAGAGCTGAGTTCAAGTCCTGAATATCCTTGTTAATTTTCTGTCTCATTGATTTCTCTAATATTGAAAGTGGGGTGGTAAATTCTCCCACTATTATTGTGTGGGAGTCTAAGTCTCTTTATAGGTCTCTAAGAACTTGCTTTATGAATCTGGGTGCTCCTGTATTGGGTGCATATATATATTTAGTATAGTTAGCTCTTCTTGCTGCATTGATCCCTTTACCATTATGTAATGCCCTTTTTTGTCTTTTTTGATCTTTGTTGGTTTAAAGTCTGTTTTATCAGAGACTAGGATTGCAACCCCTGCTTTTTTGTTTTGTTTTTGTTTTTGTTTTTGTTTTTTTTGCTTTCCATTTGCTTGGTAAATATTCCTCCATCCCTTTATTTTGAGCCTATGTGTGTCTTCTTACATGAGATGGGTCTCCTGAATACAGCACACTGATCGGTCTTGACTCTTTATCCAATTTGCCAGTCTGTGCCTTTTAATTGGGCCATTTAACCCATTTACATATAAGCTTAATATTGTTATGTGTGAATTTGATCCTGTCATTATGATGCTAGCTGTTTATTTTGCCCATTAGTTGATGCAGTTTCTTCATAGTGTCAATGGTCTTTACATTTTGCTTTGTTTTTGCCATGGCTGGTACTGGTTGTTCCTTTCCATATTTACTGCTTCCTTCAGAGCTCTTGTAAGGCAGGCCTGGTGGTGACAAAATCCCTCAGCATTTGATTGTCTGTAAAGGATTTTGTTTCTCCTTCATTTATCAAGCTTAGTTTGGCTGAATATGAAATTCTGGGTTGAAAATTCTTTTATTTAAGAATGTTGAATATTGGCCCATACTCTCTTCTGGCTTGTAGAGTTTCTGTAGAGAGAGCCGCTGTTAGTCTGATGGGCTTCCCTTTTTAGGTAACATGACCTTTCCCTCTGGCTGCACTTAACATTTTTTCCTGCATTCCAACCTTGGTGAATCTGATGATTATGTGTCTTGGAGTTGCTCTTCTCAAGGAGTATCTTAGTGGTGTTCTCTGTATTTCCTGAATTTGAATTTTGGCCTATCTTGCTAGGTTGAGGAAGTTCTCCTGGATAATATCCTGAAGTGTGTTTTCCAACTTGGTTCCATTCTCCCCATCACTTTCAGGTACACCAATCAAACGTAGGTTTGGTCTTTTCACATAGTCCCATATTTCTTGGATTCTTTGCTTGTTCCTCTTCATTGTTTTTTCTCTAATCTTGTCTTCATGCTTTATTTTATTAAGTTGATCTTCAATTTCTGATATACTTTCTTCTGCTTCATAGATTTGGCTACTGATACTTGTGTATGCTTCACGAAGTTCTTGTGCTGTGTTTTTCGACTTTATCAGATCATTTATGTTCTTCTCTAAACTGACTATTCTAGTTAGCAATTCCTCTAACTTTTTTTTCAAGGTTCTTAGGTTCCTTACATTGAGTTAGAACATGCTCTTTTAGCTCAGAGGAGTTTGTTTTTACCCACCTTCTGAAGCCTACTTCTGTCAATTTGTCAAACTTATTCTCCGTCTGATTTTGTTCCCTTGCTGGTGAGGAGTTGTGATCCTTTGGAGGAGAAGAAGCATTCTGGTTTTTGGAATTTTTAGCCTTTTTGTGCTGGTTTTCCCTCATCTTGGTGACTTTATCTACCTTTGGTCTTTGCTGTTGGTGACCTTCAGATGGAGTTTTTGAGTGGCCGTTCTTTTTGTTGATGTTGATGCTATTGCTTTCTGTTTGTTGGTTTTCCTTCTAACAGTCAGACCCCTCTTCTGCAGGTCTTCTGGAGTTTGCTGGGGGTCCACTCCATCCCCTGTTTGCCTGGGTATCACCAGCATTGGCTGTAGAACAGCAAAGATTGCTGTCTGCTCCTTCCTCTGGAAGCTTCGTCCCAGATGGGCACCCATCAGATGCCAGTTGGAGCCCTTCTGTATGAAGTGTCTGTTGAGCCCTGCTGGGAGGTGTCTCCCAGTCAGGAGGCACAGGGGTCAGGGACCCACTTGAGGAGGCAGTCTGTCCCTTAGCAGAGCTCGAGCACTATGCTGGGAGATCTGCTGCTCTTTTCAGAGCTGGCAGGCAGTAACGTTTAAGTCGGCGGAAGCTGCGCCCACAGCTACCCCTTCCCGTGGGTGCACTGACCCAGGGAGATGGGAGTTTTATCTATAAGCTTCTCACTGGGGCGGCTGCCTTTCTGCCAGAGATGCCTTGCCCAGAGAGGAGGAATCTAGAGAGGCAGTCTGGCTACAGTGGCTTTGCCGAGCTGTGGTGGGCTCCGCTCAGTTTGAACTTCCTGGAGGCTTTGTTTACATTATGAAGGGAAAACTGCCTACTCAAGCCTCAGTAATGGCAGATGCCCCTCCCCACACCAAGCTCGAGTGCCCCAGGTTGACTTCAGACTGCTGTGCTGGCAGCGAGAATTTCAAGCCAGTGGGTCTTAGCTTTCCAGGCTCCATGGAGGTGGGACCCGCTGAGCAAGACCACTTGGCTCCCTGGCTTCAGCCCCCTTTCCAGGGGAGTGAATGATTCTGTCTTGCTGGTGTTCCAGGCACCACTGGGGTATGGAAAAAAACTCCTGTAGCTCGCTTGGTGTCTGCCCAAACAACCACCCAGTTTTGTGGTTGAAACCCAGGGCCCTTGAGGTGTAGGCACCCTAGGGAATCTCCTGGTCTGTAGGTTGCAAAGACCTTGGGAAAAGCATAGTATCTGGGCTGGAGAGCACTGTCCCTCATGGCATGGCTCCTCATGGCCTCCTTTGGCTCCAGGAGGGAGGTCCCCGGCTCCTTGCACTTCCTGGGTCCTCACCCTGCTTCTGCTTGCCCTCAGAGGGCTGCACCCACTGTCTAACCATCCTGAATAGATGAACTGGGTACCTCAGTTGGAAATACAGAAATCACCTACCTTCTGCGTTGGTCTGGCTAGGAGCTACAGACCAGAGCTGTTCCTACTTGGCCATCTGGCCTGTCAGTAAGAATTCTTTAAGTGGTGTATTAGGCATAAAAATAAGATAGATTACTTTATTTATCTGTTTATTTATTTAGAGACAAGGTCTAACTCTGTCGCCCAGCTGGAGTGCAGTGGCGCAATCATAGCTCACTGTAACTCTCCTTCAGCCTTTCGAGTAGCTGGGAACATAAGCTCATGACACCATACCTGGGTAATTTTTTCTTTCTTTCTTTTTTTTTTCTGAGATGGAGTCTCACTCTGTCACCCAGGCTCGGCTCACTGCGATCTCGGCTCACTGCAAGCTCTGTCTCCCGGGTTCACACCATCCTCCTGCCTCAGCCTCCTGAGTAGCTGGGACTACAGGCGCCCACCACCACTCCCAGCTAATTTTTTTTATTAGTATTTTTAGTAGAGACGGGGTTTCACCATGTTAGCCAGGATGGTCTCGATCTCCTGACCTCGTGATCTGCTTGTGTCGGCCTCCCAAAGTAATATATTTTTTGTATAGACGAGGTCTAGTTATGTTGTTCAGGTTGGTCTTGAACACCTGGCCTCAAGCAGTCCTCCCCCTTGGCATCCCATAGTGCTGGGATTACTGGCAGGAGCCCCTGAGCCTGACTTATACCCCTTTTACTCTCACCTCTTGGTTCCTGGATTTGTGCATTCTCTACAGCAGAGATGACACCATATACTTGGCTGCCCAACCTATGAACAGAACTCCAACCTCTCAGGGTGTTATCTCTTGGCTTGCACCCTGGCTGAGGCTTCATCAGGACATTTCATCATTCTGTCAAACTGGTTGCTACTAGAGGGTGCAGGTGATGTGATCCATGAATTATATGTATTGAGCCCACTGTCTCACTTCCTTTGCTAAAAAATGGTTAGGAGATAGTTTTCACAGGAAACCTTGGCTATATATCAGTTGCACTATAAGTCCATGAATGATGGTGCTTGCAGAGGCACTGAAGGCAGGGAAGACATATATTGTATATGTCTATCTTTGTGAGTCCAAGAGCATCCCCTTATAATGGGAGGAATCCAGTGGAATCATTCTGCTACCACATACAGCCACCTGGTCCTCTTGCCCTGTTGGACAGTGATAGCTTTTTGGGGGCTCAGCATCAGCCTTGGCTTTTGAAGTTTGGGACTTCTTTAGTGCTGGAAAGCCAGATTCCCCCTGGTAGGAGAAGAGAATGCTGAACCTATATATATCCTCCCTCTGCACCACTCTGTGCTTTATATGTGGGTCCATTAAGCAAACATTTGGATGGTTGATGAAGGATACTGAGTGACAATCAGATTTTCTTGTTCACTTTATTACTGAAGCTATCCTCTGTGATGGCCTTTTATGAGATTTAGTGGAATAGAATTAGATTCACATTCTGTACTTATTAAAAGAGACTCTTCCATATATTCTTCACCTCCTCCTTTGTGTCCTTCTTGTCTGTCCTTATCTTTCTCCTCCTTTTAGTCCTCTTCCTGCTCCTCTTACTCATGCTTGCTCGTTTCCTTCTCCTTGTTCTCCCTGTTTTCCTTTTCCTCCTTCTCCACATGCTCCACCTTGTCCTCCTCCTAATCATCCTTCTCTTCATCCTCTTCCTCATCCTCCTTCTCATCCTCCTTATACTTGTCTTCCTCCTCCTCCTCCTCATGCTACTTCTCCCTTTCCTTGTGCTCCCTATTCCCCCAGGCCTCCTCATCCTCTACAACTTTCTCCTCCTTCCTTAAACTGTTCTGCAATAAGCCCATTTGTTTTCTCCATTTTAATTTCTAAGTACTTTTTTTGAAAAAAATTTTGTTTTTTGCCCTCCAATTTATGTTGGGATTCAACATAGTCTCCCTCTATTTTTTTAACTTTGGTGCATGATATTCTTTCTCCCCCATTCTGATAACACTACACATTGCTTTGACTTCCATCCCCATTAATAACTAAGTGAAAGGTGTTACAAGTCTTGCTGAAGATTACACGGTAATTCTTCTCACAGCCAAGCTTGAACTCAGTTTTAGATTCCAGACTTAGTGTCTTTTCACTAGGCTGAATTGCCTCATCATGGCTGAGGATAGAAATAGCCTCATATTTAGAGTAAAACTCAGACAAGAAAGCAAGCAAGTGAACAACAATAACAATAGAAAACAAAAATTTAAAAAGGAAAGAGAGAGATAGGCATATTCACTAATTTAACTACAGGAACTTGAATTTAGTGTTCTCTCTGCTCAGTGATTTAATTCTAGGTGAATTAAAAAAGAAGTTTCTGTGAAGGTTTGCTGACTTTGGTTTGTTCCAAAACTATTAAAAATGTATAACTCTTACCTGCTCAACAGTATCATTTGGGACCAAAGCATGAGGCATAATAAATAGAGTCAATAATATCTGTACTTAGAGGTATGAGAATCATTCCTGATATATTAATTTAATTTCTTCTGTAAAATTAAGGGTGTTTGTATACAGACTCTGTAGTGATATCAGGTAGTCAAGACTTGGTTTTGTAGTCTTCTTCTGAAGTCATCACAATAAGGAAATTTTAAACATGTAATTAGACAAATTAGATTGGAAGATGAAAACAACTGCTTTAATTCAAAATAATCTCATTAAGTATATCACGGCATTAAGTTTTACAAAGCCCAGGTCACTTCCTCTGTGGCTTTCCCTATGACCACCTTTGTTTCTCCTTCAGCTGTAATTGCTTCCCGCTCTGGGGCATTTTTTATGCAAACTACCCGATCCACCTGTGCTAAATTATGATTGTTTATTGTGTTGTGCGTTTAAGATACAGCTATAAAATAAAAAGCCCACATTTTAAGAAAAGATAGAATTTTTTATGCGGATAAGCTTTGTTTCTTAAAATAAAAAAGATTTGATACTTACTCAATGTTGCATCAAGCGTTCAGAAGAGTTTTCTGAGAGGTGGGGAAGTCTCCTTGCGAATTACCTTCAGATCCTATTACAGAGAAGAATTCCCATCCCCGATATGTGTGTAGTAGTAAAGCACTGTTGCCAAAAATGCCCATTCACTCTTTTTTTGTATCTCTGGGTAAGTTTACCAACCTTTTTGTGCTTTAATTTCCTCAACTATAAAATGATGGTAACAGTTGTACTTTCCTCATAGAATTGTTCCAAATGAATTCGGTATTTGAAGTGCTTAGAACAGTGCCTAGCACATTATAAATGCTATGTGCCTTTGCTGTTACTATTTCTACTACGACCACATTGGTGATGACAATGATGATGAATCCTATTACTAACAGTTTCCCATTCATTTCATATTAATTAAAAAAATATTTGCTCCAAATGCTTTTATCTGTGCCTACAAACAAACAAAAATCCAAAGGTGCAGATTTGCCACTAACGAAATAGTAAAGAGATGTATTGCAGGATCTAAGGCTGATTCTGAAAGTGTTGGTCCCCAAAGTGTTTGGAGTGGTGAAGTGATATTGGAGTAACTGTAAAACCTCTTAGATGGTTGCTCTGAAGTAAGCCCCTCTCTGTTGGATATATATTGCATGTTTTTTTTTTAATGTATCCATATATATTATGACTTGTTTCTCCAATGTAAATACACTTCTTGAAGACAGAAGCTGTGTTTTCCATTTCTGTGTATTTCCTATAGCATTCAACAGAGTGTTTTACAAATTTCAGAAGTTCAATAAATGTAATGATTAGCTGCTTAGGTAGAGGTGAGAGGAGGAGAATTAGGAATAAAATGTTCTCCAGTTAATTGCAAAGTGCTTTTGTACTTAAAAATGAATTTGCATTTTATCTTTTTCTACAACTTCTGGAAAGTGTTTTAGTTGGCATTTGTCATTTGATTTTGTACAATTTTGTAAATTTTCTGGAAATCTAAATTCCTACAAAGAGTCCATCACAGGATTTTCTATTTTTTAATTGTTTCTACATGAAAGGAAGTGTTAGTGTAAAGGCTAGCCTGTTCCATTTACACTTCATGCAATTTGTTAAGAAAATAATTAAGCTTTGGAGCTGGTAGAGACCATATTGTTACAGCCTAAACCCTCCACAGGGTACCTGGAACAGAATGGAAACTCAATAAGTTGTTGATAAATAAATGAATCATTTAGTACAATGTCTTCATTTCACAGTTGAAGGAACTCTGTGATAACTTGCTCCCTGTCACATGGTGGCATAGGAGGGGTTAGAACAAATGTTGCTGATGTCATTCATCATGCTCTAGTTGTGGATTTCACATTTAAATTGTAACATAAAAAAGACTTTAAGTTTAGTCTTTGAATAACTTCCTTCATTTTAAATCTTGTGTATAAATAAATTTCTTAGGTTAATATCTGCTACATTTTAGAAAGGCAGTAGGAAGAAGTTTATACAAGTCAAAAGAATTGTTTTAAAGGGAAAGTAAAGGAAAATATCTGTTAGTGGCTTATTCGAGGTGTGTCAGTTGATGAATTTCCTTTCTCTCAACCATAAGTTTTCTTTGCTCTGTTATATATTATTAGGGTTTCCTAGTTACTCTAAAAGACTTTCTGTTGGAACAATTTGTTTTTCTCAAGCACAACCCATCTCCAACTTGTCTGTATTTCTGAGACTTTCAAGAAATGTTGGTTATCATTTTAATTGATTTTCTGCTAGGATGGAAAAAAAGAGCCAAGTTCATGTACCTGTTTGAAGGGGCCCAAACTGTCAGAAATAGGGACGATTGCCTGGATGATAACGCTCTGCGATGCCCTCCACAATTTCATCGATGGCCTGGCGATTGGGGCTTCCTGCACCTTGTCTCTCCTTCAGGGACTCAGTACTTCCATAGCAATCCTATGTGAGGAGTTTCCCCACGAGTTAGGTAAGGAGCTCTGTTCATATTGTAAAAGTCTGCTTACTTCTTGATTTCAGTGGAATGAGACTTTTCAGGTGACATGCTCTTAAAATCCTTCTGATGCACTAAAATGAAGACCTTGTTGGACATTGATGATTATCTTTGATATCATCCAGAAATAAAAAAAAAACTATTCACTTGATATTTTCTTCTTCTTCTTCTAGGAGACTTTGTGATCCTACTCAATGCAGGGATGAGCACTCGACAAGCCTTGCTATTCAACTTCCTTTCTGCATGTTCCTGCTATGTTGGGCTAGCTTTTGGCATTTTGGTGGGCAACAATTTCGCTCCAAATATTATATTTGCACTTGCTGGAGGCATGTTCCTCTATATTTCTCTGGCAGATATGGTAAGAAGCTTAAAATTTGTATTTTCTTTTAATTTAAAATTTGGAAATGAGTATCTGGATTATAAGTTAACTAAGGGTGGCCTTCTGCTTTCCGCAGTGTGGAAGGCCTTTCTGTTGTAATTCAGAACAATCCCATTTCAACAGATCATTCTACTTGAGTAGTTTACACTAATAGTAATTTGAAACTGATCCTCACTGGTTCTTTAAAACATAATCGTATTGTTTGAAGGTGAAATGATTTGTTTTTGCTGAAATAGAGATATTTTCCTCTATCTCTATTCCCCTTGTGGTTGGTACATCTTGTCTTATGTTATAGTATGTCCCTATAGGACTTTTTCTCCTTTTTCTCCCTCTTTTGTGTCTATGCCACATTTGGAAGAGGAATAACTTATTAGAGTAAATAGCATTTTGTTATTTCAAAGTTCTAAACAGTGACAGCTTTTTGGGTTAAACTAAAACTGGTACACTAAAATTGGTAAAATTTTGACAATAGTTATTTGACATAGTATATATTTATATCTGTTCAATGTCTGTGTCTTTGTATCTGTGTGTATGTGTGTGTTTGTGCTCAAAAGAGCGTGCATGGCCGGGTGCGGTGGCTCATGCCTGTAATCCCAGCACTTTGGGAGGCCGAGGCGGGCGGATCACAAGGTCAAGAGATCTAGACCATCCTGGCCAACATGGTGAAACCCTGTCTCTACTGAAACTACAAAAATTAGCCGGGCGTGGTGGCGGGCGCCTGTAATCCCAGCTACTCGGGAGTCTGAGGCAGGAGAATTGCTTGAACCCGGGAGGCAGAGGTTGCTGTGAGCCGAGATTGTGCCACTGTACTCCAGCCTGACGACAGAACGAGACTCCATCTAAAAAAAAAAGAGTGTGCATGTGTGTGTGTAAGAGAGAGAATATCCTGTGCATTTTAAAATAAATCATGGAAATCTTTCTATAAAATGATAATATGGTAGTGTATGAAAATCAAGGACTATTTCTTTTGCATTTGGAACTGGATGTATTACATACATAATTTAATAATTTGAGTTTTTTATTTGCATTCTTACCTCCAAATTATATTTGTCTAGCTCTGTTCGTTGTTCTCTGCAGACCCTCAGAAGAGCAAGGATTTCATCTCTTAGAACCAATGCTACATTTATAACTTTTGTCACAAAATTAATGTCTCATGCTATCTTATAGTCATTTTACTTTCTGATATAAGAATGGAATCTTACTAGAGTTGTTCAGTTTAAAGAAATAATACTAAGAAATAATACTCATCCTGGAGTGAGCAAAATAGGCACAGTTCAAGGGGCTTTTCCATTCATGGGGCTTTTCCTCTAGAAAGAGGGGATCCTTAAATTAAACAACAAAAAATCACACAGATGACTAAATAATTACAAATAATAAAAAATGCTATGAAATAAGAGAGAAAGTAGAATATATGATGAGAGATGATAATAAAGGAATCTAGAATAAACTAGGATTAGCTAGCAAAAGTGTTTTAGCAAGATATAAGGTAAAACGTGAAGGATTTAGTCCACTGAAAAATTAGAGAAATACAAGTTCTGGTACAGGTGATGGTAGATGTGAAGATTTTGCTGGGTAAACTTGAGGTCATGAAAGAATGGGTTGGGTGAAGCATAGAGAGCAGGTAATGGAAAAGGAGAAAGAGAACATAAAATGAGGTAAATTCCATCCCACTGATTGATTCAGTTGGAGAAAAATACTACTTCAGTACTTTTACTCTTGTTGATGCCTGAAAGAACTAGATATTCCTATTAAGCTATCAGTACTAAAACCTTTAAACATCCAAAGTAAATGATCATACCACCCCTCCCAGCATTCTATTACAGGAGCACCTTGTTTTATTGCACATTGCTTTGATGCACTTTGTAAATGCTAGGTTTTTTGCACATTGAAAGTTTTTGGCAACCCTGCCTCAAGCAAATCTGTCAGTGCCATTTTTTGAATAGCATGGGCTTATTTCCTGTCTCTGTCACATTTTGTTAATTTTTAAACGATTTCAAACCTTTTCATTATTATTATAATATCTGTTATAGTGATTTGTGATCAGTGATCTATGATGTTACTATTATGTTTTGGGACGCCATGAACCACATTCGTATAAAATGGTGAACTTAATTGACAAATGTTGTGTGTGTTTTCTCCCTGCACCCCTGATCAGCCATCCTTCCATCTCCCTCTCCTTGGGCCTCCCTATTCCTTGACACCCAACAATGTTGAAATTACACCAATTAATAATCCTACAGTGGCCTCTAAGTGTTCAAGTGAAAGGAAGAGCTGCACATCTATCATATTAAATCAAAGGCCTGAAATGATTAGGCTTAGTGAGGAGGGCATGTTGAAACCCAAGGCAGGCCAAAAGCTAGACTTTGTTTGCCAGATAGCCCAGTTGTGACTGCAAAGAAAGGATTGATGAAGGAAATTAAAAGGGCTACTCCAATGAACACACAAATAATAAGAAAGCAAAACAGCCTTATTGCTGACATGAATAAAATTTACGTGGTATGGATAGAAAGATCAAACCAGCTACAACATTCCGTTAAGCAACAGCCTATTTCAGAGCAAGGAATAACTCTCTTCAATTCTATGATGGCTTACAGAAGTAAAGAAGCTGCAGAAGAAAAACTGGACATTAGCAGAGGTGTATTCATTAGGTTTAAGGAAAGAAGCCATCTGTATGACATAAAAGTGTCAGGTGAAGCAGCAAGTGCTGATGGGAAGCTGCAGAAAGTTATCCAGAAGATCTAACTAAGATCACTGATGAAGGTGACTACACTAAACTAATAGATTTTAAGTGTAGCTGAAACAGCCTTCTGTTAGAAGAACATGCCATCCAGGACTTTCCATACTAGAGAGAAGTCAATGCCTGGTTTCAAATCTTCAAAGGATAGGCTGACTGTCTTACTAGGGACTAATGCAGCTGGTAACTTTAAGTTGAGGTCAGTGATCATTTACCATTCCCCAAATCCTAGGGCCCTTAGGAATTATGTTGAATCCACTCTGTGCTCTAGAAATAGAACAACACAGCCTGGATGATAACACATCTGTTTACAGCATGGTTTAGTGAGTATTTTAAACCCACTGTTAGGACCCACTGCTCAGAAAAATAAAAGAAATTCCTTTCAAACATTACTGCTCATTGACAGTGCATCAAATCACCTAAGAGCTCTTATGGAGATGTACAAGGAGATGAAAGTTTTTGTGCTTGCTAACACAACATACATTCCGCAGTCCATGGATCAGTCCATGGAGTAGTTTTGACTTACAAATCATATCATTTAAGAATAATTTGTAAGTCTCTAGTTGCTGTAGATAGTGATTCCTCTGATGCATCTGGGCAAAGTAAGTTGAAAACTTTCTAGAAAGGACTTATCCTTCTAGATGATATGAAGAACATTTGTGATTTATGGAAGGAGTCAAAATATCCACATTAATTGAAATTGGAAAGAAGCTGATTTCAACCCTCATGGATGACTTTGAGGTGTTCAAGACTTCAGGGAAGGAAGTAACTGCAGAGGTAGTGGAAATGGCAAGATAACTAGAATGAGAAGTGGAGACTGAAGATGGGACTGAATTGCTGCAATCTCGTGATTAAACTAGAATGAATGAGGGGTTGCTTCTTACGGAGGAACAAACAGTGATTTCTTGAGACAGAATCTATTCCTGGTGAACATTGCTGAAATGACAACAAAGGATTTAGAATATTCTATAAACATAGTTCATAAAGCAGGGACAGAGTTTGAGAGGATTGCCTCCACTTTGGAAATAATTTCTACTGTGGGTAAAATGCTGTCAAACAGCATTGCACACTACAGAGAAATCTTTCATGAAAGAAATAAATTGATGTTGCAAATGTCATTGTTGTCTTATTTTAAGAAATTTCCACAGCCACTCCCATCTTTAGCAACCACTACTCTAATCAGTCAGCAGCCATCAAGATGGAATCAAGACTCCACCAGCAAAAAGATTACAACTCACCCAAAGCTCGAATGATTGGTAGCATTTTTTAGCAATAAAGTATTTTTTTAAATTATGGTATATACATTGCCTTTTTAGATATTATGCTATTGCACACTTAATAGTCTACAGTATAATGCAAATATATCTATTATATGCACTGGGAAACCTGGGAATTCATGTAACTTGCTTTATTGAGATGTTTGCTTTATCACACTGGTCTGGAACCAAACCCACACTGTCTCCAAGGTATGCCTCTAAGTGACTGTTTTGTGGTTTGCCACAAGATGGCAACAGTTATCTAACAATATATCTGTCTTCTAGTTTCCAGAGATGAATGATATGCTGAGAGAAAAGGTAACTGGAAGAAAAACCGATTTCACCTTCTTCATGATTCAGAATGCTGGAATGTTAACTGGATTCACAGCCATTCTACTCATTACCTTGTATGCAGGAGAAATCGAATTGGAGTAATAGAAAATGGAAGATGGTGTTGTTAATAAAGGCATTTAATAGATAAAAACATCTCCAAAAAGGATTTTGAAGCTGATCCTATTTAGTTAAAAAGATAATTTTGCTTTCAACTGTAGGTCCAGAAAACTAATTATTGGCATCAGTCTGTGAAATAGTCCATTATTTGTTGTTAAAAATGCTTCAAAAGGTTTTCAGTGTCAGTCTGAGATGCCTGGTATATAGGAGCCTTTGGGAAATACCTATTTTTCAGTATTCCATGCATATTAGATATCACCATGAAGCAAGAGACATGCATTCTATAATCATGTAGACACTCAGACTCAGGGGAAAATACAAGTTATATCCTGAAAGCCTTTAAAACTCTATGGTAGGATCAAAGATTCAAATGGTTTCAGAGAGGTTTTATTTCAATTAATTTGTTCTAGTGCTTTCAAGAGCAAGTACATCAAAATGTAGAAGGTAAAATGTATGCAACACTAATATAAATTATTCCAAGTCTTTAAGGAGCCAAAGAAAAAAAAGATTTCTCACAGCTTTTTGTTCTGTTTTGTATTTCAATTAGGAACTTGCAGTATTATTTTGAAAACCATTCTAAAATAATAGGAGTTAGGAAATAAATAAAGTTTTGCTAGCCCTGCTAAGTTCAGGCTTAGAGGCTTATCGCTAAGTATAAACTTCACCAGATTCCACGAAAAGCTGGATAGCTTTTTTTCTGACTTATGTTGTGGTTGCACCCCTCACAAATGGCAGAACAGTATGTAAAGCTGGTAACACCTCGGTTTCAGTGCACCATGTGTTTGCTTTGTGAAGGTGAAGAATATGTTGGTTTAGAGAAAGAAATTGGATGTAATTTTATGCAATTTACTTTTAAAGACAAACATAACTATTTAGCAGAGAATATTTTAATAAATGCAAAACAACAGCTGGACTGCTGTACATCAAGGACAGATTAACTGGAAAACATATGTTCCTTATGTGTGATCGAGAGCCATTCAGAAAAGACTTCCTTTGTGTTCAGCCTATACTTTTCCATATGGTATACCTTGAAAAAAATTAGCACACCATGGTTATTTTTCTACCTTTTATAAAAGACAGAGCCTGTTTACTCATTTAGAAGATAGAGAAAATTGGTCTAAAATTGAACATCCTAGATTCACACTCCCAAGTCACTTAAGGTGATTTGATGGTGAGGAAAATGATTGACAAAGCCCAACAATGATCTCAGGAATTACATTTTCCAACAGACCAAAAAATGTTTTCATGTAGCAGCAATGCAGATTTGGTGAATATTTAATATATATTTTAGTATGTATTTCACTTTATGACTGACAATTAAAAAATATTGTTTGGCCAAATAGTAAACACCCTTTTGAAACCATGTATTGTGTCATTTGTTATTTAATATTTGTCCTGTTGAGTGACTACCATGTATCTGGTATTATGGGGGAGAGATATAAATAGGAAATCAGTGATGTGCTCAAACTGTAAATCTAACCCCGCCATGGCTTATTTCTATACCAGTTGCTTAGCATGGCCAACCCAAGAGTCGACGATTTTAATAGTCTCTGAATAGTATTATGATGATCTCTCGTTACTTAGTAGGGCCCTACCTAGTAGACTGTTTCGCTTTACCACATCTAAAAGGGTTTCTTTAATGAGGTGCTTAAATTTTTAAAAAGTGAACTAGTTGAGAAGAGCCAAAACAGCACCACGAGTTTACCAGACAATTAACATAGGCATATCAACAGCTGATTACTGATGGCCTGTGCCAGGGGAAAACTTCCAGTCTGTCCTCCATGCTCTGGTTGGCATCATCTTCCTTTAGGTCTCACTTTGGAGACCAGACTTCTGTGCTCATTTAAGGTCCATTACGGTACAAGAGGTTAACCCTATAATAAATAAAGATTCTCCAACACTGATGTTACTACAGCTTCTTTCTCACTGATACTTTGCCTTCCATACAACTGTGGGTGGCAATGTCTGTGTTGGATTGCTTTTCCTTAGCTTCCTTTCTGTGCCAGGTATGCACAAGGCATTCTCTCATGGCCATTTCTCTTCCACATTGGGAATTTCCAGCTTCTGGATGGTCCCAGAATCAGTGAGTTTACTAGTAAGATTTCAGGCAAGCTAAGGCAGCTGGATAAACTGAAGACTCTAAATACCTGTTTCATTAATTCTAAGACATGCATTTCCCCAAATGGTATGCTGTAATCACTGACAGCTGGGTAGCATTGTGGAGGTAGTTATACTTGCCTGAAAATGAAAATCATCTGTTGCAATCTGGTAAGGCTAAGAAAATGCCAGTAGCACTGTGTTTAGGATTTGATGGTGTATAGTAACAGGATTATCTATGTTAGGTTTACTTTCCTTCTTATAAAACAAGTGTGGAAGGAGCAGTGCAGGGTTGGCATGGCAGTCCCATGGTGGCTGGGAACCCAGACTCCTTTAATCCATTAGCTCTGCCATCTTTAACTTGTGACTCCCACCTTCAAGATTGCTTCATGCTCTAAGATGGTTGCTACAGATTCAGCCTTAAGGTCTAAATTCTACATAGAAGGAGGAATGGGTAGAAAGGCAAAAAGTTCAAACTCAGCTCTTCCTCCCTCTTTAAAGAGCCTTTTCAGAAGTAATAGCCAATAATCTCCACTTGTATTCAATGACCAGAATTAGTCACATGGCCATACCAATCTTCAGGAGAAGCTGAGAAACATTGCTTTTAGCTGGATACATTACCAGCAATAAAATCAGAATTCTCTTACTGAAAAGAAGCCCAGACTGGATATCGGCTGTCTCAGGTACAGACAGGCTTGTATCAGTTTAATTCGTAAGCTTATTACTCCAGATGGTTCTTATGCAGCCAGTTTAGGGAACTGCTTTTTGTAGGGATTCTCATGACTTGTTTCAGATCAATCCCTTGTCACTTTAACTATTTTAATTATACTGGCCCATCTGAGCAGTCTTTCCTAATAACCAGTATTTTTCTTTACACACTTGAACTACTTGTCATTATAGTTTCTCTGCCTTAGCCTCCTGTGAGTACTATTTATTTACCTTGAAGAAATCCTATGTTTTTCACAGGATGATCTATATTCTAAGGAAACGGAAACAAAACTCTTTTCTATGGACTTTGATCTTTCTGTTTAAAGCTCTTCTGATTACTGGAGCCACATCCAGAATTATGAAACTAAGTACTATTAACACATACTGGCAAAAGTAAATTTAAAAAACCACTTATTTCTCCCCCTGCCCCATATGGGTTATTACAGCCAGTCAGTGCAAGAAAAGTTGGATCTGACATCCAAATGTGGTAAAGCAGAAACAGTCTGCTAGGTAGGGCCCTACTAAGTAACCAGAGATCATCATAATACTATTCAGGGACTATTAAAATCGTTGACTTTCGGGTTGGCCATGCTAAGCAACTGGTATAGAAATAAGCCATGGCGGGGCTAGATTTACAGTTTGAGCACATCACTGATTTCCTATTTATATCTCTCCCCCATAATACCAGTTTGTTATCTGATTCTTGTAGATAATCAAATGGGCTACTGATGACATCAAATCTCAACTTCATTTACTTTGGATATATACGGTAAGAATAACAAGGAACAATTTTAATGGGTGGGCTTGCATGTTTTAAAGTTTATACAATGGCTTAATTCCTTCTGCAGTGACTGTGCATGTTATTCCCACAACAGTATAGACCAACTGGTAGTAAAACCCCAGTGAGGCAACACGTGGATAATTTATTGCCAAGCTTATGGTCACCAACAGGATGTTTGCTTAGGGGTCATAGGAAAGAAAAATAAAGATGAAAAGTTATGAGTACAGGGGGAAATCTCCTTGGAAGAATTCAAATGGGAAATTCTTCCCTCTCTCAAAAAGCTGAGGAAGTTTATAAAACTTGTTTCAGTCTGTATTTTGTGGCAAGCTCCATTAGCAGACCTCACAGACACTGCGGGTGGTGTCTGTAGAGAGGCTCAGAGGAGGTCTGGCAAGTGCTTTTGCAGGTGAAGTGAGGAGAGTTGTTGCTACCCCAGCTTGACCTTCAGTCGTAGAGTTTGTTGGGATAAAAGGTAGACGAATATTCCCATGGTCTAGTGTGAGCCGAGTGGTGTGTAAGTTCTGGTTTGGAACAATTTAAAATCTTGTGTAAGAGGGGTACTATCTTGAAAATAGAAGAAGGTCAGTACTGAGTGAACTTCTGGAAAACCAAGGACTAAGTCATGTGGGGCAATTGGAGAACTAGAATACATCACTTGGCAGGAACCCCTCTGAAGAATCCCAAAAGTGTCTATAAAAGAAAGGTTAGTCTTAAGCATCTGTCAGACAGACAGCATTAAGCAACATTTTGACAGTATCTGTCAAGTATGAACTTTTTTATCCCCTTTTCTTTCCTTCATCTGAGCACTTAACCCTGGAAGGGCCAAAAGCCAATTAGTGAACAGTGGGGAGTAAGGAAATAAAAGAGAAGGATTCCTTCCCAGAAGTCTTACCTTTGAATACAAATTGAATTACTGATTGATGCATTGGATTGGACATTTTCAATAACTGACTTGAGACTATGTTTGTGTCTTGAAGTAATTGTAGGATTTTATATTCCCTCCAAAGTCCTGTGTGAGAACAGCCATTGTGCCACCCCAAGTTTCATCCAGGGGTAGGAGAAGGGCTAGCCAGTCCTTCACTCCCAAGCAGACAGTGAGGAATAAAATTAAAAGTTGTTTTTAGTTACCCCTGTGAGAACTGCATGTTAATATACTGATTATATCTGCCCTTTAAAAATTAGTACTTACACACACCTGTAGTCCCAGCTACTCGGGAGGCTGAGGCAGGAGAATGGTGTTAATCAGGGAGGCGGAGCTTGCAGTGAGCCGAGATCGCGCCACTGCACTCCAGCCTGGGTGACAAAGCAAGACTCCGTCTCAAAAAAAAAAACAAAAAACAAAAAACACTTACTTACAACAAACCTGTGTAATGGGTTCTATTTTTAATGCTAGGCCAGGCTGCAGCTGAGAAGTTGCAAAGGAACCCCATGCTCAGGGATGCAGCCAGGGAAGAGCATGACAAAAGCCCTCCCACCCACACTGCTGACCTCTTGCAGCAGCTGCAAACAGCAGGAGAGCCCTTTCCTGTTGCAGTATCCCTCCAGCGCCCTCTACTGAGACAGCTCAATATCATGCTCACTGTAAAGGATGGGTGCTAAAGGAATTCTGTTCATTATGACAGAGCATGTATTTAGAGTGAATTTGGAGTTCAGTGTTAGTAAGTTGGTAAGTGGCACAGGGAGACATTACTCCGTGACTAAATGACATCACTCTGTGGTGATGGGACTTCGTGCATTTGCAATGTTGGGGACATAGACTTTTCAACTGTACAGGATGGGGATCCACTCTCCACCCTTCTGTATCCTGCTTTTTGCCTCCAGAGACTGACCCACATGGACCTCAGTGGGTATAGCCAAATGGAGAACTTCGACAAGAGACTGGAGGAAGTGAAGAGAGGAAGGATAGAGTATCAATTTCCTTGACTATCCTCCTACTGGGTATCCTTGGGCTGCCTGTTTTGCCCAAGAAGGCCTTCTCTACAGAAAAGCTTCTTACAATATCTGTGGCTAAGGCCCAGCTTGTTTTCCTTATTTCCAATTTATCAATAGCTGGCACTTCTGTAAATAGATAGAATTCAAAGAAATTACTAGAAAAATGAAATACAATTAAAAATAAATAAATAAATTAGCTGGGGGTGGTGGCGGACACCTGTAATCCCAGTTATTCAGGAGGCTGAGGCAGGAGAATTGAACCCGGGAGGCAGAGGTTGCAGTGAGCCGAGATAATGCCACTGCACTCTAGCATGGGTAACAGAGCAAGACTCCATCTTGGAAAAAAAAAAAAAGACATAGAAAATCCAACCCCATTTTTATTATTAGATAAACCTCATTTTTTATTAGACACAATTATTCTTTGGGATTACTGTTGAAGTTTATAAATGCTTATTCTCAATTTCCGTACCTAGTTCATCTAAAAAACTGTTGCTGGGCCAGCACCTGCCTGTAGATTCCCCTCCTTTGGTTTTGGTGCCCACTATCTCTCTGTCCCTTTGGCCTAGGGGTAGTAACAGCTCTACTGTCTTCAGCCCTGCGTTCATGTAGCATCACCTGTGGTTTCCCTGCACCCCACTTGCATGTTTGTAATCAGTCCCTTTGTAAATTAATGGACCTGCCTCACCTTACCCTCATTTGAGCATGGCAGTTCTTTGTTTCCCCTGTGGCTGTGATTATCAGCAGTAAACGTCTTATCCTGGAAGAGGAGGTGACTGTGTGAATTTGGCAGGAGAAGGAATACACAACAAGTGCGTATATGGGAGTGAAGTTGCTGCTCACTGAAAGCAAGGAGAAAATTTATGGGGATGAAAGATGATAAGCCATTATCATTAAACATTTTAGGGTAACAAGATGGCATTAGGTTAGATTAATTTGTATGATTAACTATGCATACAGAGAAAAATATCTAGGATGTTTTGAGAGACTAGTTATAAGTGGACTTATCACATTTCTGGCAGATAAGAATCTTTTGACTAGATAAAAGACTGTAACCAACTGTCCAACAACACGTCCTTAAGCATGAATCATCACGTATTTTTAAATAAAGACATAGATTTCTAGATAGGGAAGAATGAATATATTTTTATGATTGTTTATTGAACAGTTTATGCCTTATGGGAATCCTTCTCGTGTAGATGTATCTATAGGTCACATTCCCTCACTTAAAGCATACTATGAAGTGCTACGTGGAATATCTGAGTGAGAACACCGGGACTGCTGCTTGTGACTGTATTGCTGAGACGTTCCACCCATTCACAGCAATGCTTATAAATAGACAATGTTTTTTCTTTGGGAGTCATTGTATGTGCTAACCTTAATGGTGTTACTCTAATAATTATGTACGAGCTTGTTAATGAACTGGGAAACATTGATTTTAGAAGCTTAGAAACTGTGGAGGAAGGTGCTTCATATGGATCTTTCTACTTTTTGTATCTTTTGTGTTTCCATGAAAAAATCTTTTAATTTGTGAAAAGTAAGCCTCAGAATTCATGTCTAAGCATTTCGTAGAAGGATGCACGTGAGAAAAAGCACCTGCGCTGTCATAGCGATCCTTTGGTGTTTTAAGATGAAAAAGTTCAAAGCATTTTAGAATAGTCATAAAGATGACATTGTATAAGTTAGGAGCTGGGTTGTCCTGTCACTTTGTGGTGACAAAACTGGTGAAAGTGGTATTAAAATCATTGCTGGATATGTTTGGAGTAATGCACTTCTGTTGATTGTTTCTGCATACCTTGACTTCTGCCCTTGTCCATGTAAAAGCTTCACTCTTCCTTTTAGAAACTGGTTTCTCCCAACCCCTACTGGAGATTGTCAACCAATGCACTTAACCTCACCCATTTGCCACAAGCTGGGCAAGTCACCCAGTCTGGGTCAATTGTAATCTTTACACAGAAACTTCTAAGGATGTGGAGAGCCAAAACTCTTGCCTCTTGTATTTGACCCCAGAGCTTCTGGTGGTCATGTTCCTGGCACAAGGAGAAACCCGGGAAAATGAGATGGATGCTGAGAAAACAGTAGAAGCTATGGGGACTGATTGGAGAGAGTTGTGTTGTCTTTGGTTCTAGTTCCTGACATCCTTAGTACTTTTCAGTTATTTTTCTTTAGTTCCTTCAATTTTGTAAGTTACCCAAGTTATTCTAGTATCTCAGTATGTCCTTTTTGGCTTTAACTAATTTGATTTGGGTTTCTGTTTCTTGCAATACAATTTTTCTAATTAATACAGCAGTTAAATATTGAGATATTTATTTCAAACAAAATTCCCAGCTCTTGAATTTAGCAAAGTTCCTCAGCACTTTCTGGAACTTCACTATCAATGTCAGGAGTCAACTTCCTAGGCAGAGTATAGTAAAATCTCTATTATGTTCCAGTAGTGGTGAGCAAAAATCTTTCAAAACTCATGGATAATTTCTATTTATTTTTATTTCACTTTGGAATACATAGAAACATTGTACATATTTTACTTTTTTTCACTTAGCACAATTAATACATCAAAAGTGAAGGTTGTTCCTCAGTGACAACTATGAGAGGGTAACTAACATTTGATGCCACTGAAAAGTTTTGGAGCCAAAAGGGGCCTCAATCTATAACCTAAACAACCTTGAGTTCAGAACAAATAATGGTGTTGAAATAATATTCTATGTATAGAACCATATGATTTTTAAGAGCAGGAGCAGGATAACTGAGGGAATAACTTATATACCTTGACAAGCCATGCAAAATCAGACTTCATAGATAACTCCAAGGAAGATGTTTAATGTAGGATATGAATCTAGGCTACACTTCATACATCATGTTTTCACAGAAAAATGCAGTTTCCTAGCAACCATCACCTGGTTGTCAAGTTATTATTTGATTTTTACAGACATCTGGCTTTTTAAGGCACATGCCTCACTGATATGTAAGCATAATATCTAGGTTAGTGTTGAAATAATTATATTTCACTTTCTTCCAAATAATACTTAAAAATTAATTGTTCAAACTTTGCCTCTTTTTGAAATTATGATAAACCATTGTAGGGAACTATGGTAGAGAATAAGGAAAAAAATTCTGAGCTTGTTCTTCTGTGAATGAATGAATGAATTCATTTGTTCAATAAAACACATATTCAATGTCTACTGATGCTAGGCCTGGAGATATAAAGATAGATCAGAGCTCATCTCTGCTCTCAAGGGTATCATGGCATGTGGAAAACCAATGATATCACAAATCAGAGTGTTATGTTAGAGAACATGGACAGTCAGCTCAATAGTAATTGTGCACAAATGGGAGAATTCTCCTTAGGTTGGAGGAGGAGTCAGTGAAAAATACTTCACAAAGGAGGAAACATTTGACTGTTTGACTTGGGTTTAATGAATAACGTCGAATTCATTTCTGATCAGACCTCTTCTCTCCTCCCATGACTGGAACCAAGAGCCTTTTCCTGTGGTTTAACTTGAGCTGGAACTCTTTTGCAATTAATGATACCAAAAGAGAACTGTAGAGTGTAAATATGTGTTGGGGGTAAGGTGTTCCAGATAGTTGTGATTAATAACATTACCACAAGCAGAAAGGAAATGCAAACAATCAAATTAATACTAACTGAAGAAAGGCAGGCTACTCAGCGGTACGCACACTATAGCCACACTTTTTGTTATATATGTATGTATGTATATATAACATATACATATGGGAAAATATTTTCTAGTACATTAGTAGGGGATATCTCGATGGGATTATGAATCATTTTAAATTGGTTCTTTGTAAAATGTTAATATTGTCTCAATTTTTTTCAATAAACACGTACTTACCGGTAAATTAGAAGGGAAATTAGAAGAAGTCTTGGTGGGATTTTTGAATTATTCAAAATATATTATTTTTAATGCTTTCCAATTTTCTTCAATGAACATGTATTCTAAAAAAGCTAATAGATGTGATTAGGAAAAAGGAGAAAAGCTAACAACTTAGAGGACTGAAAGATTACGGAAACATGGTAACTCACATGCTTAAAACTTTACTATGTTCCTTCTCTTTGTCTGTCAGGCAAGGTAGTAATTTCATTATCTGGAGTATTTCACCTCCACATCTCTGCAATACCAGCACCTTCAACAGTGATTGGTTAGAGGTTGGCATATGACATAGTTATGACCATTGAGACGTGATGCTGTGTGTGCTGTGAAGTTTCTCAAAAGGAGTAAGGAAGATACAGCCTCTTCTTTCTAGGGACTTTGTTTGTAGGTGTGACACCTGGAGCAGCCATTTTGCTACTGTTTTGTTTCTAATTGTGTTCCCCGCCGCCCTCCCCGCTCGCCCCGAAAAACGACATGTTTGAGTTCTAATCCCCAGTATTTCAGAATGTGACCTTATTTGGAAATAGAGTCATTGCAAATGTAATTTGTTAAGATGAGCTCATACTGGAGTAGAGTGGGTTCCTGATCTAGTATGACTGGTATTCTTATTAAAAAGAGAAATTTGAATACTAGCTACACCATGTAAAGATGAAGGCAGAGATCGTGGTGATGCATCTACAATGTCAACAATTGCCAGCAAATCATCAGAATCTGGGAGAGAGGTATGGAATGAATTCTCTCTCGCAGCCCTAAGAAGGAACCAATCCTGTGCACACCTGAATCTTGGACTTCCAGCCTCCACAACTGTGAGACAATACATTTTTGTTATTTAAGCTACCCAGTTGTGGCACTTTATTACTGCAGTTCTAGCCGACTAATACAGCTACCTTGAGAGGAAATAGCATGGGGATGAAGGTGATGTGCTGAAGAAGCACAGCAGAAAGTGGAAAGATGGTCCATGAGGACATCCTTAGCCACTGAATTGACAAGCCTCTTCCCTGGAGTCCCTCTTCCTTGGGATTTTTTTTGGTGTGTGTAATAATCACTTTTCCTAATGGTGCAAACCATTGTGAGTTGCTCTTTGACTGCTAGTAATTAAAGCAAACTAACCAAGTCAGCCCTCCCCAGTGTTCCTTTTTGCAATCTAAATTCTGATGTCCAACTCCTCCCTGGGCCACTCCCTGTCCCCAGATGTCTCTTTGTATATCTAAAGAAGAAAAAGAAGGATAAATCCTTTTTCTCCCAAGAGATCTCCCTGCTTTTGTGAAAAGCACAAAGAAGGGCATTATCTAACTTTTCTCATCATTAGAAGTCAAGCCTGGCCGTGACTCCCGTTATGACATTTTGATGGCCACATTTTATGAGAAAAGCCCAAACAGACAGACCTGTCTGTAAATTCTTTCATCCTTTGCATTCTTTCTTTGACTGTACCTTAGAGAGTGTTTGATTATTGCAGGGGAGATGGAAAAGAAGCAGGTTCTGGCCTATGCTCTAGTTCCTCACTTTCTGGAGTTATCTTTTGGGCCTGGAGTCTCTTGGAGTGAGGAAAGGAAGCCATTTTTATACTTTACTTATGGTAGAGTTAAACTTCGTACTCTTAGGAGGCTACATGCAATCTCCAAGAGGAAGAGAGTGAAGAGGTTAAGAATTATGCCATCAAAATGTGCTGCTCTGGCATATTGACTATTTGAATTACAGATATTTTAAAAACATCAGATATGAAGAGGTCACTCTGATCTTAATTCTGTGTCTTAACAGCAGGAGATGAAATTCCCACATGGGAGATGGCCTCCCTGTCACAGAAGGAATACCATTCTCCCTATCAATGATGAGAAATTGGAACTGAGAGAATTCTGTATAGACCTTGTTCAAGTAATTCTTCTATTTTAAACCTCCCCACATAATTTAGCTGCCTTTTCAAAACTACTGTCCTTTGTGCAACCAGTATAGAAGCGATTGACTCTCACTGCATCCTTGGGTCTTCTTTTCCCTATATGGGCTCTTTTCCCATATGGGCTCTTATGTCCTGTAAAACATGTATTAAATAAATTTGTATGCTTTTCTCCCGTTAACCTGTCTTACATCAATTTAATTCTTGGGCCCAGGTAGGACCCTAAGAGGACAGAGGTCGAGTTTTGCCACCTCTGCAAGAGAAAAGAGAGATGCCCAGACCACCAGGCCTGGGAAATCTTTGATTTCCCAGGCTTTGAAGTGGGCACTGTGTCTGAACCTGGCCCTCTGAAACTTCCTGTTCCTGGACATCCCAGCTGCTAATGTGAGTTGCCCTTGCACTGGCTCAGGGCTGGGACATTAAAGGAATTTCCCTTTTGTTGACATAACAGTAGGATGGCTATAGCTAACAATAATATATTATTTAGTTTCAAGTAGCTAGAAGGAACATATGAATGTTCCCAACACAAAGAAATGACAACTATTTGAGATGATGGATATGCTAATAACCTTAATCTGATTCCTATACATTATATGCATCACATATACATACATTATATGTATAACATCACTATGTACCCCATAAATATGTGCAATTATTGTCAATTAAACAAATAAATTTAAACAAACATTCCTATGCTTTTCTCATTTTCATGTGGCTTCCCTGTGTCTTTTCAGGGGCTAAAGTAACTCACGCTTCCACAGAGGAAATGGATTTGTGGGGAGAGAATAATTATTTGTACTCACATGAACTCTCCAGCCCCTGATCACCAGGCAGAACTCCTAACTGGTATTCTCCTTCCATTTGTGTTGCAGGTCATGGTGAGAGGTGACAGTGTGCTGGCAGCCCTCGCAGCCCTGGCTCGCTCTGGGTGCCTCCTCGGCCTCGGCGCCCACTGTGGCCGTGCTTGAGGCGCCCTTCAGCCTGCTGCTGCACTGTGGGAGCCCCTTTCTGGGCTGGCCGAGGCCGGAGCCAGCTCCCTCAGCTTGCGGGGAGGTGTGGAGGCAGAGGCGCGGGTGGGAACCAGGTCTGCGTGGTGCTTGCGGGGCCAGCCGAGTTCCCGGTGGGCGTGGGCTCGGCGGGCCCCTCACTCAGAGTGGCCGGCCAGCCACACTGGCCCTGGGCAGTCAGGAGCTTAGCACCTGGGCCAGCAGCTGCAGAGGGTGCGCCGGGTACCCCAGCAGTGCCGGCCCACCCGCGCGGGGCTCAATTTCTTGCCAGGCCTTAGCTGCCTCCCTGCCGGGCAGGAGGACCTGCAGCCCGCCATACTTCAGCCTCCCCGCAGCCGCGGGCTCCTGCGCTGCACTAGCCTCCCCAATGATTGCCGCCCCCTGCTCCATGGCACCAGTCCCATCACCGCCCAAGGGCTGAGGATTGTGGGCACAAGGCTCAGGACTGGCAGGCAGCTCCACCTGCGCCCCGGTGCAGGATCCACTGGGTGAAGCCACCTGGGCTCCTGAGTCTAGTGGGGACTTGGAGAACCTTTATGTCTAGCTAAGGGATTGTAAATACATCAATCAGCACTCTGTATATAGCTCAAGGTTTGTAAACACACCAATCTGCACCCTGTGTCTAGCTCAAGGTTTGTAAATGCACCAATCAGCACTCTGTGTCTAGCTGATCTGGTGGGGACTTGGAGAACCTTTATGTCTAGCTAAGGGATTGTGAATACACCAGTACACCAATCAGCACTCTGTGTCTAGCTCAAGATTTGTAAATGCACTAATCAGCACTCTGTGTCTAGCTCAGGGTTTGTAAATACACCATTCAGCACTCTATATCTAGCTAATCTAGTGGGGACCAGGAGAACTTTTGTGTCTAGCTCAGGGATTGTAAATGCACCAATCAGCACCCTGTCAAAACGGACCAATCAGCTCTCTGTAAAATGGACCAATCTGCTCTCTGTAAAATGGACCAATCAGCAGGATGTGGGTGGGGCCAGATAAGGGAATAAAAGCAGGCTGCCGAAGGCAGCAGTGGTAACCTGCTGTTGTCTCCTTCTGTGTTGTGGAAGCTTTGTTCTTCGCTCTTTGCAATACAGCTTGCTGCTGCTCACTCTTCGGGTCTGCACTGCCTTTATGAGCTGTAACACTCACTGCGAAGGTCTGCAGCTTCACTCCTGAAGCCAGCGAGAGCAGGAACCCACCAGAAGGAAGAAACTCCGAACACATCCGAACATCAGAAGGAACAAACTCTGGACACACCACCTTTAAAAACTGCAACACTCACTGTGAGGGTCCACGGTTTCATTCTTGAAGTCAATGAGACCAAGAACCCACCAATTCTGGACATAATGGGTTTGAGGGATCTCCTGAAAAAACTTTGGAGCTTTTACCCAGGAATGCTGGTCTGGGTTCTCATCTTATTTACTCATTCATTTAAGAAATGGTGATGAATGGCCGGGCGCGGTGGCCTGCACCTGTAATCCCAGCACTTTGGGAGGCCAAGGCGGGTGGATCATGAGGTCAGGAGATCGAGACCATGGTGAAACCCCATCTCTATTAATCTATTAAAAAATAAAAGAAAATTAGCTGGGCGCGGTGGCGGGTGCCTGTAGTCCCAGCTACTTGGGAGGCTGAGGCCGGAGGATGGAGTGAACCTGGTAGGTGGAGCTTGTAGTGAGCCGAGATCGCGCTACTGCACTCCAGTCTGGGCTACAGAGCAAGACTCCGTCTCAAAAAAAAAAAAAAGGGTGATGGATTGGCCAGGTGCAGTGGCTCACGCCTGTAATCCCAGCACTTTGGGAGGCCAAGGCTGGTGGATCACAAGGTCAGGAGATCGAGACCATCCTGGCTAACATGGTGAAACCCCGTCTCTACTAATAATACAAAAAAAAATTAGTCGGGCATGGTGGCGGGCTCTTGTAGTCCCAGTTACTTGGGAGGCTGAGACAGGAGAATGACGTGAACCCAGGAGGCGGAGCTTGCGGTGAGCCGCGATAGCGCTACTGCACTCCAGCTGGGGCGACAGAGCGAGACTCTGTCTCAAAAAAAAAAAAAAAAGAAATGGTGATGGATTGATATTCAGAGAAAGGTATTTTTGAAGCTGGTGTTTCTCTGCTGATGAATAAAGAGTGGGAAATATCTTCCTTGAATGCTGTGGTTATCAAAGTTGAAATTAATGATTGTGAAGTATCCTTACAAAACTTGTGAGAGTAAAAATGTTTCTTAAAAGTATGCAAAGAAACTAGGTCATTCCTCAGCCCAGTTATAACATACAGAACTTGCTATTTCCAGATGAGTATAAAAATAGGTAATATTGATCAGAGAACATTTTATTAAATATAACACATGCTTTTTAGTGCTGACTTATTGTCAATCAATAAGTATTAGCCACTAAGTGCTTCTTCTATTTAAATTATATTATTTATTTCATTTACCACTTATACTGTCACTTACTAAGTAAGTATTACTTCTGTTAAAAGTAATTTTCCAGGCTGGGTGTGATGACTCATGCCTGTAATCCCAGCACTTTGGGAGGCAGAGGTGGGAGGATCACTTGAGGCCAGGAGTTCAAAGAAGCCTGGGCAACATAGCAAGGGCCTGTCTGTACAAAAAATTTTTTAAAAACTTGGCCGAGTGTGGTGGTGCTCACCTGTAGTCTCAGCTACTCAGGAGGCTGAGATGAGAGGATCACCTGAGTCCAGGTTCTAGGCTGCAGTGAGCTATGATAGCACCACTGCACTCCACCTGGGAGACAGAGAGAGACTCTGTCTCTAAAGAAAAAAACCTAATTTTCTTTTTGAAATTTCTTCTATGTATATAATTATAAAAATACATTTCTGGGATGATCATAGAAATATTTTCCTACTTAAAATTATTTTCAGTTATTAAATGTAAATTTATTTTCAGTTATTTAAACTTTTACATTGGATCTTACATCACTGAAAACAGTTCTTTACAGTTTGTTTATTTATTTATTTGAAATTGGAGTAACAGCAGATGTGTTGAAAAGTGTTTTGGAATCAGAGAGACCAGACATTAAATTCTACCTCTGATGACTACTTGCTGTGTGAACTGGATCACATCTCTCTGGACCTCAGTTTCCTCATGTGTAACATAAGGATAATAATTTCTGTCTCACTGAATTAAATGTGACCATGGATGAGACACCTGGTATGTAGTAAACACTCAACTTTTAAAACCCCTATATTCTCGAATATAGGCACTTAGGAAGTGTGAATGGTTGATATTTCGTGGTTATAAGGCCATAGAGCTATTAACAATTATAAACAATATTAATTGATGCTATTTTTACAGTGCCACCACTACCCTAGATTTGTTTCCTTTTAACGTATGTGTGTGTGTATAGTAGGAATATTACTAATACACTGAAATGCCATTTTCACTGAAAATGTTGGTGTCCACAAGTATGTAAGATCAGTAGGATTCCTGCCTGGAGTCAGATGGATTCATTACATGACTTGTCATCTTGAGCTTTTCCAACAGAGAGATTTGTTTTGATTTTAGTTCTCCTTCTTTGATGACTTCCAATTTCTTTGTAGTTTGTGGTTTTAAAGCACACATTACTAATCTCCAAATGCCACAGATGTTTTTCCTTTCCTATATTGCATCTGTTGGAGAAAATATGATTTAATGTTACTGTAGCAATAATAATTCTAATATTTGCATAGCACTTGGAGCTAAGCATCTCTTTATCTCATGTAATTTCATATTCATATTAACTCTGCATGGTACATAAGACAAAGAATATCGTCTTCATAATTTAGATGAGGGAACCAAGCTCCAGAGAAGCTGAGATTTGTCTGAAATTAAAAGCAGGTTCTGGAATTCAGTGTTAATATTACCTTTGCAAGATTATTTTTTACTGTGTAAGGAACAGTTGGTTCTTAAGCTTGTTTGGACCCTGAAATTATTTCAATCTCTGATGAATGTGATGGTGTCTTCCTCCATGTAACAGCAGAAATAAAAATATCTACACACATTTGTCTACTGTTCATCCTACCTTCCCAACTCAGCTAGTAAAGTGAACTTCAGTTTAGTAGCCCTGCTATGGATGACATTGCAATTCGCCTAACAAGACAACCTGGTTTTGCTGGTTTATGACACTGTTCTAGCTGTAAGTGTGAACACCCGAGGCAAACCCTTCTGTCAGCAATGCACTCTGATAATTTTCACCGCAGATTGAGTAATTCATTCAAACTGTGTTACATGAAAAACGAATAATCTACAAATGTTACCATCTTTAAGAAAAAAGAATATTGTGTTCAAACAAGATTAGGGAATGTTGCATATCATAGTCTCCTCATAGAGGTTCACTTTAGCATATGAAAGACTCTAGAAGTCCTGCATTGACAAAAATTGTGTAACTCTTTTTGACCCAGCTTCTCCCCATATCATCAAACCACATAGCCATATACCCCCTCCTATTTGGGGTATTCTTATTAGCATCACCTAGAATACAATTTTGGAAATGATGACCACTTTCATTCAATCTTGTGATCCTTAACATCTGCCATTCTTCTTGCAACCAGCTGACAATGTTGTGGTTGCATCACTGTGTCTGGAATTGGTGGGTTCTTGGTCTTGCTGATTTCAAGAATGAAGCCGCGGACCCTCACCGTGAGTGTTACAATCCTTAAAGATGGTGTGTCTGGAGTTTGTTCCTTCAGATGTTCAGATGTGTCCAGAGTTTCTTCCTTCTGGTGGGTTCTTGGTCTCGCTGACTTCAGGAGTGAAGCTGCAGACCTTCGTGGTGAGTGTTACAGCTCTTAAAGGCGGTGCATCTGGAATTGTTCATTCCTTCCAGTGGGTTCATTGTCTCGCTGGCCTCAGGAGTGAAGCTGCAGACCTTTGCAGTGAGTGTTACAGCTCATAAAGGCAGTGCAGACCCAAAGAGTGAGCAGCAGCAAGATTTATTGCAAAGAGCGAAAGAACAAAGCTTCCACAGTGTGGAAGGGGACCCGAGCGGGTTGCCACTGCTGGCTCGGGTGGCCTGCTTTTATTCCCTTATCTGACCCCACCCACATCCTGCTGATTGGCCCATTTTACAGAGAGCTAATTGGTCCATTTTACAGAGAGCTGATTGGTCCATTTTGACAGGGTGCTGATTGGTGCATTTACAATCCCTGAGCTAGACCCAGAGTGCTGACTGGTGCATATACAATCCTCCAGCTAGACATAAAAGTTCTGCAAGTCCCCACTAGACTCAGGAGCCCAGCTGGCTTCACCTAGCAGATCGCGTGCCAGGGTCGTGGGCAGAGCTTCCCACCAGTCTCGTGCTGTGTGCCTGCACTCCTCAGCCCTTGGGCGGTCGATGGGACCTGGTGCCACAGAGCAGGGGGCAGCACCTGTTGGGGAGGCCTGGGCTGTGTGGGAGTCCACCGGGGGTGGGTCTCGGGCATGGCAGGCTGCAGGTCCCGAGCCCTTCCTTGCAGGGAGGCAGCTGAGGCCTGGTGAGAATTCGAGTGTGGTATGGGTGGGCCAGCAGTGCTGGGGGACCTGGAGCACCCTCTGCACCTGCTGGCCTGGGTGCTAAGCCCCTCACGGCCCAGGGCCAGCGGTGCCAGCCGGCCGTTCTGAGTACATGCCCACTGAGCCCGTGCCCACCCGGAACTCACGCTGGCCTGTGAGCAACGCGTGCAGCCCCAGTTCCCACCCATGCCTCTCCCTCCACGCCTCCCCACAAGCAAAGGGAACTGGCTCCGGCCTCAGCCAGCCCAGAGAGGGGCTCCCATAGTGCAGTGGTGGGCTGAAGGGCTCCTCAAGCATGGCCAGTGCAGACGCCGAGGCTGAGGAGGTGCTGAGAGCAAGCAAGGGCTGCTAGCACATTGTCACCTCTCAATCCCCCCTCTAAACAGGACACCCCAACTGCTGTTGGGAGTTTGGCCGATGACCACTCTAGCTACTTCCTAGGGGTGATGAAGGGGCCCTGCAGTTGTAGTGTTCTCCAGAGAGGAGCTCTCTAGGCCGGTGAAAGTGCCAGCAGGTTGGTCCAGGGGTGGTCAGTAGAAGTTGTTAGTTGAACTCATTTGGGGTTCCATTTGTAAGACCATCTGTAGCTTGATGGCCTCGATTCTAGAGGAAACAAAATTTGACAAGGAGGTTAAAAATACAGGGCCTAAAGGCAAGTAACAGCAAGATGGCTGCCACGGGACCTAGAAAGGGGAGAAGCCAAGTTGCCCAACTCCAGAGGTTGGTATAAGAGTTTGAAAGGCGTTGTCTGATTTCAGAAGCCTTTTCCTGTAAATGCTGGGTGGCATCTCGTACTATCCCTGACTGGTTAGTGTAAAAACAACACTCTTCCCTAAGAAGGTATAGAGTCCTCCTTTCTCAGCAGTGAGGACGTCTAGGCCTCGGCGGTTTTGGAGAGTCACTGCTGCCAGAAAGTCTATTCGGGATTGTAAAGTAAGGATAGATTTCATTATTTCTTGCAAACTGTCTGAGAAATCCTTTGAGAGTGTGTGGTAGTAGGATAATGAAGTAGATAAACCAGCTATTCTCGTTCCTGTAGCAGTAGCCATTCCTGACCCTATAAGTAGGGGTATTAGTTGTATGGCTCTGCGCTGATGGACTTGAGCTTTGAGGAGTACTGATAAGGTCTGATTTCCTGGGGCAATGTTAATGTTGGGACTTAGAAAGACTAAGGTGCAGGTGCCTGTCCAGTTAGTGGGGAGGCAGATATAGGTCGATGTTCCACATAAGAAGAATATACCTTGGCTGGGTAGACAGAACTGGTTATGCATGTTAAAAAGGTGTGTGAGTTTGTTGTTTTCATTTTCCCATACTCCTAGAGTACTTGCCAAGATAGCTCCAGTGGGCGACTGGAAAGGGGTGTTGGGAGCAAACTGTGTGGCTCCCTGTGTTCTATTTTCCCATTGTAGAAAAAAACATTTTGTATCCACTAGGAACCATTCGAGAGAGTGATTGAAAGAGGGGATGAGGAGGCATTCACTAGTGGTGGGGGCGCTGCTGCAGGGGGTCTGGGGTGAATGGTCATGCAGGGAGTATGTTTGCCATTACAAAACCTGGACTTTTTGTTAAGCAGGGAGGAGGTGATGATTTTGGGGGGCCCTGAGAAGTGGACAAGCCATCTGAATGGAGCTGTTTGGGTGACTCGGAAGTTACTATGATCAGCTGGGGCTTGAAGTTGTAGGGTGTAATTACACTGATGTGGTAGTAGGTGCCCCAGGGGCAAGCCTGATAACAGGTTGTGCTGGATGCATAAAGGGGCTTGGAAAGTTAAGATAGTATTCGTGGTTACAGGGCCTTGTATGGGCTTTTCATTGCTTGTGTAATAGATGAGGTTGGAAATGTAAGAATGTAAAAGTTAGATTGCACGTCCTGGGGGTATTCTTGGTCCTATCAGATATGGGGAAGTCGGCTAATGATTGCATATTTAGAAATCGGAAAGGGTCTTTTCCTTCATAATGAGGGTGGTAGGTTAAGTTGGTAAAGTCCCAGTTTTTCTGCGGGAATGGGAGTGGCAACGTAGGCAGAGGTTGGTAGAGAGATACAAAGCCAACAGTCATTTGCCAGGGAAGGATTGGACTGGTTCAACAGAGAGTGAGTTAAGTTGAGAGTCTTGTAGAGGTAATTAGGACCTAGTGGAAGGGGAGGGGTGATTGTATGAGGTATCCAAGGAAGCAGGAGGGATACATAGGCAAAGCGGAAATAGGAAGGTAAAGAGGGTGCTCTGGAAAACGAGATCATTTTATCTAGTCTGAATTAAAGGTAGGAGTAAATTGCTGTCAAAAGGAAGGAAGATAGAAAAAAGGTTGATGTGATTAGGATTTTTGTCCTGGCAGGAGCTAGAGTATATAGTCCTATCACAAAGAGTATGGTTAGTACGTTGTTTTCACTTATCTTTTTTAAGGAGGAAGGGATCTTTCCTCAGGATCAGTGGTAGGGACCCTTTTAGTCTGGGAGGTTTCCTTCCAAAATAGGAAGTGCAAGTCCTCCAGTGGTTCGCAGGTGTATCGAGGCTGGTCTGGCTGATCTTGGGACTCCTGAGCTGATGGTCCTGCAGGTTCCTCAGGGGATGTCCAAAGTTTAACTCTGGTTTGGTGAATCTGAGATTCCACTCCTGCCACCTTAACTGCAGTGGGAGTAGAGAGGATTACCGAGTATGTTCCTTCCTACAAAGAGTCCATAGATGGGGAGGTAGAGGGGAGAGAATTGACCAACACTAGATCTCTTGGTTGAAACAACTCTGTTCCCTTTTCTCTGTGACATCCTTCCAGTAGGTTTTTAAGCTTTTTTGATATTTTGCCAAAGAAGTTGTATCTTTGACCAATTTGGCCGTTTCCTGATGAAGTAGGAGGTGATTTGTGAGAAAATGTTGTCCATACAGCATTTCATATGGACTGAGCCCTATTTTGTGAGGAGAATTTTGGATTCTCAACAGGGCCATGGGCAAAAGAGTAGGCCATGGGAGATGAGTTTCTTGTGTTAGTTTCCTTAAGTGCCTCTTGAGTGTTTCATTTGCCTTCTCAACCTTCCCTGAGGATTGTGGCCTCCAGGAGCAGTGAAGGTGACATTGTATCCCTAGCGCCCTGGAAATTCCCTGAGTTATTGTGGCTTTAAAGCCAGATGATTGTCACTCTGTAAGCTTTGGGGAAGCCCAAATCTAGGAATTATTTCATGAATTAGGACTTTAATCACTTCCTGAGTCTTCTCTGTCCTGCAGGGGAAAGCTTCTATCCAATTTGTAAAGGATACAGACCAACAAGTATTGAAATCCCTTTGACTTAGGCATATGGGTGAAGTCTAACTGCCAGTCCTCTCCAGGATAGTGACCTATTCTTTGTTTCTCCAAAGGGGACTTCAGATGAACCAAGGGATTACTCTTTTGGCACACCTCACAGGTTTTGACTACCTGTCGGATGGTACGGAGGAGATTTGGCCCTGTAAATAGGGATTTGGCCATTTGATTAGTGTTTTCAATACCCATATGAAAAGTTTGGTGGAGGGTTTTAAGTATTTTCCACTGGCTGGCTTCGGGTATAAGTACCTTTCCTTCTTCTGTCACCAACCACCCCAAGGGGAGAAAACTATGCCCCCGTGAAAGTCCCCACTCTGCTTCGGTTTGGGAATACTGGG
This sequence comes from Homo sapiens, assembly GCF_000001405.40. Lineage (NCBI taxonomy): Eukaryota > Metazoa > Chordata > Mammalia > Primates > Hominidae > Homo > Homo sapiens. The sequence goes on along the minus strand of NC_000004.12, from coordinate 102,241,611 downwards.
GCTTAATCTCTTGGAGGGGGTTGTTCCATACCAAGGGTCCTTCCGTAGGTATTTCTAATGGAGGGTTCCGCCTCACAGCAATTTTGGCCTCAGCATCTGCCCGGCAGTTTCCTTCTGACTTTTCTCCTTCACCTTTCTGATGGCCTTGGCAGTGTAAGACTGCCACCTCCTTGGGTTTTTGCACTGCATGCAATAACTGTATAATTTCCTTGTGGTATTTAATGGGGGTTCCCCCAGAGGTTAGGAACTCCCTTTCTTTCCATATTGCAGCATGGGCATGTAGGATTAGATAAGCATATGTGCTATCTGCATACCAGCTTATTCTTTTTCCCTTTCCCAGTTCTAAGGCTCAGGTAAGTGCCACTAGTTCTGCTAACTGGGCACTGGTCCCTGGGGGAAGAGGCTTACTTTCAAGTATGGTTACATCACTAACTATGGCGTAACCTGCCCTTCGTATGCCATTCTCCACAAATGAACTCCCGTCGGTATATAGGTTAAGGTCAGGTTTAGCTAAGGGGACTTCTAAGAAATCATCTCGGGGGGCATAAGTCTGGACTGTAATTTGTTGGCAGTTATGCTCGATTGGTTCCCCCTCCTCTGGGAGAAAAGTGGCAGGGTTGAGGGCCATGCACATGCATATGTGAAGTACTGGTTGGTCCCTCAAGGAGTAGTGCCTAGTTTCTAAGTAGGCGGTTGTCTGATAGCCATAAACTTCCTTTGGCACCTAGTATGCCATTTACATCATGAGTAGTCCAGACAGTGAGATCCTTTCCTTGTATTATCTTGATAGCCTCTGACACTAAGATGGCCACCACTGCAACTGCCCTTAAACAATGAGGCCAGCCTTTTGCTACTACATCAATTTTCTTACTTAGGTATGCCACTGGTTGTGGGGTTGTACCATGAGTCTGAGTAAGGACTCCAAGAGCTATCCCTGCTCTCTCTGTGATGTACAAAGAGAAGTTTTGTCCTGTCAGAAGGCTTAAAGCTGGAGCTTGCATCATCACTGGCCATCAGAGAAATGCAAATCAAAGCCACAATGAGATATTATCTCACACCATTTAGAATGGCAATCATTAAAAAGTCAGGAAACAACAGGTGCTGGAGAGGATGTGGAGAAATAGGAACACTTTTACACTGTTGGTGGGACTGTAAACTAGTTCAACCATTGTGGAAGACAGTGTGGCGATTCCTCGGGGATCTAGAACTAGAAATACCATTTGACCCAGCCATCCCATTACTGGGTATATACCCAAAGGATTATAAATCATGCTGCTATAAAGACACATGCACACATATGTTTATTGCAGCACTTTCACAGTAGCAAAGACTTGGAACCAACCCAAATGTCCATCAATGATAGCCTGGATTAAGAAAATGTGGCACATAAACACCATGGAATACTATGCAGCCATAAAAAAGGATGAGTTCATGTCCTTTTTAGGGACATGGATGAAGCTGGAAACCATCATTCTCAGCAAACTATTGCAAGGATGAAAAACCAAACACCGCATGTTCTCACTCATAGGTGGGAATTCATCAATGAGAACACTTGGACACAGGAAGGGGAACATCACACCCCAGGGCCTGTTGTGGGGTGGGGGTAGGGGGGAGGGATAGCATTAGGAGACATACCTAATGTAAATGATGAGTTAATGGGTGCAGCACACCAACATGCCACATGTACATATGTAACAAACCTGCACATTGTGCACATGTACCCTAGAACGTAAAGTATAATTAAAAAAAAACAAAAAGAAAAATAATAAGCTCGAGCTTGTACTAGGGCCTGCTTTAAGGTTTTGAAGGCTGTTTCTGCCTCAGATTCCCATTCTACTAGATGAGTATTTGCACTCTAAGTTTCCTTGATTAGAGTACAGAGGGGCCTGGCTATCTCACTGTATCTGGGGATCCACAGTCGGCAAAAGCTGGTAATTCCAAGAAACGCCCACAACTGTTTTAATATCTTACAGTGAGGATAAGCCAGTATAGATTGTGTTCATTCCTTGCTGAGGGTCCTGGTCCCTCTGGCTAAGATTAGGTCTAGATATTTGACCTGCTGTAGGCAAAGCTGGGCCTTAGACCTAGACATTTTGTACCCTTGATTAGCTAGAAAGTTCAAGAGATCTAGAGTAGCCTCCTGGAATGAGGCTTCTGAACTGGTAGCCAAAAGCAAATCATCCACATGCTGAAGAACCAGAGTGCCTGGACTTGAGAAGTGGCCTAGATCTTGGGCCAGTGCCTGACCAAACAGGTGAGGGCTATCCCTAAACCCTTGGGGCAAGACCATCCCCGTAAGTTGGGATGAGTGGTCTGTGGGATCCTCAAAGGCAAAGAGAAACTGGGAGTCAGAGTGCAGGGGAATACAGAAGAAGGCATCCTTGAGGTCCAGAACTGTGAACCATTCTGCTTCCTCTTGTATTTGAGAGAGCAGGGTATAGGGGTTGGGTACAACTGGATATAGAGGAATATCTGCCTCATTGATGAGTCTAAGATCTTGCAGTAGTCTCCACTGACCATTAGGTTTTTGTACTCCTAGAATTGGAGTGTTGCAGGGACTGCTGCAATTCCTTACTAAGGCTTGAGCTTTTAAATATTTAACAATATCCTGTAATCCTTTATGAGCTTCAGGCCTTAAGAGATATTGCCTTTGAAAAGGAAAAGTGGTGGGATCTTTTAACCTGATTTGGACTGGGTGGGCTTTTTTGCCCTTCCGAATTGTCCTTCCAATGCCCAGACTTCAGGGTTGATTCCCTCCTCAAGTAGGGGAAAATAAATGGGTAACTTGTTCCCCATATTCATGTAGATAATAGCTCCAGCCTTGGCTAATATATGCCTCCCTAATAAGGGTGTGGGACTCTTAGGCATAACAAGAAGGGCATGTGAAAAGAGCAAAGTCTCCCAATTACAACTGAGGAGGTGGGAGAAATACCTGGTTACAGGCTGTCCCAGGATTCCTCGAATGGTAACGGACCTTGCGGACAGTTGTCCAGGACAGGAGATTAACACTGAGAAGGCCACGCTAGTGTCCAGGAGGAAGTCAATTTCCTAGCCCTCAATGGTTAAACTTACACAGGGCTCAGTGAGGGTGATGACATGAGCTAGCACTTGCCCCAGGAACCCTCAGTCCTGTTGTTGGATCATCTGGTTGGGGGCTTCTGACCCAGAGAAACTTCATCCTCTGGGGCAGTGCACCTTCCAGTGATTGCCTTGGCACAGTGGACATGGATGAGGGGGCAGCTTGTTTCTCATTGTACAATCTTTTTTAAAGTGTCCTAGTAAACCACACTGATAACAAGCCCTACTGCGTGATTGGCCTGCTCCATTTTCTGTCCTTTCTGAACCACCAAGGTTTGTTTGTCTGAAGGCCATGACTAAGGCTGTGGCCTTTCTCTGATCTCGCTTTTCCTTTTGGGCCTGTTCCTCTTGGTCCCTATTATAGAACACTGAGGTTGCCAAGTTTAATAATGCCTCCAGATTTTGTTCAGGGCCCAGGGCTTGCTTTTGGAGCTTTCTCCTGATATCTGCAGCTGATTGGGTAATAAACTTATCTTTTAGAATCAATTGACCCTTGAGTGATTCGGGTGACAAGGGAGTATATTTTCTTAAGGCCTCTCGTAGCCACTCGAGGAAGGCAGAAGGATTTTCTTCATTTCTCTGAGTTGTGGTGGACATCATTGAATAATTTATGGGCTTTTTCCTAATTCTCCTTAGTCCTTCTAGATCACAGATCAACAGATGTTTACGACTCCAGTCCCCATGATGTGAGTCAAGGTTACAGTGGGGATCCATACTGGGGATGGCTTGCTGACTGGTAGAGAATTTGTCCCTTCCTTCGGCTGTCATTCTATCATTTACTTGATGAAGATACCATGTATCTCCAAACTCTCGGGCTGCAGCTAAAGCTGCATTCTTTTCATTAAAGGCCAGGGTTTGATCTAAGAGTAGCACGACATCTCTCCAAGTGAGGTCAAAGGTTTGCCCTCTACCCTGTAGGACATCTATGTATCTATCAGGATCATCTGAAAACTTCCCCAGGTCTGCCTTGATCTACTTTAAATCAGTGAGGGAGAAGGGGACATGTACCTGGGTTGGGCCAAATTCCCCTCCCCCTACAGCTTGAAGGGGACATAGCCTGAGGGGTTTTGGTGCTTTGGAGATTTCTTTGCTTATTTCCTCTGGGCCGGGGAGATTAGAGGAGGATTATCATTAATAGGAAGGGGAGCTATAGGGAGGCTAGGATATGGGGGTAAGCTGAGAGGTCCTCCTGTGGGATGTAAATTGCAAGCTTTTCATAGTTGTGTGTTCTCCTTCAATAAAAAGAAAGCTTGGACATAAGGTATTTCACTCCATTTGCCTTCCCTCTTACAGAAAAGGTCAAGCTGCTGGATAGTATTATAATTTGTACTTCCCTCAGGTGGCCATTTTTCCCCATCAGAGAGAGAATACTGGGGCCAAGCTGCAGTGCAGAAAAAAATGAGCTGCTTCTTTTTCAGGGTTTGTGGGTCAAATTGGTCCCAATGGCTTGGGATGCATTTCAAGGGTGAGCCTGTTGATGCCTGAGTGTTTCCCATCTGAAAGACAAAACCATCCGCAGTTTTGGTTTGTTTTGTTTCTCCCCTTGCCCAAGAACCCGTGACAGTCCCTGGACCCTGCTGATTAGAACAGTTGTGCTCACTGATGTAGCAGCAGAAACAACCCCTGCCAGGAACCTGCAATGATACCTGGACCCTGCTGATCGGAATAGTTGTGCTCACCGACGCAGCAGCAGAAACGCTAGTTTTCCTCCCAGACCACAAGGAGAACCAAGGAAGGTCGGATTTAGTGGCCCTTACCAATGCATTGTCAAAAACATGCACCCTTGCCTGCCCTCCTAGACCACAAAGAGGACTGAGAAAAATCCGAGTTAGTGGCTCTTACCAACGCATTCTTGAAAATCTGTTAGAGTCCTAAGCATTCTCCTGTTAGTATTGGGACCTTACCCATGTCCTGTAAAGATGTCATGCACCAAAAATGAAGTGGAGGGCCATACCCTGAGGGAGGGAAGGGATATCCAGGGTTGGAAGAGTGACACGTTTTGTCCTCACTTATATGAATAGGAGGATACAATTTCTGAGGCTCCCCATATCCTAGCTTCAGGAATAGTTTTTGTTAGGCCTGCTTGTCTGAGGAGGGATCTTAAAATTCCAGATAGTACCCCCTACATCAGGGCTTTGGGCAAAAATTATGTCTTTCTGATTGGCGAGCCCAGGTGCCTAAATTACATAACAGAGTCCTGGAGTTTATACCAGAAATTATTCTTATAGGAGAAATTAGAAAAGCACCAGAGACAGGGAGCGATTTTTAGAAGCAAGACTAGCCTTGGAGAAGAGGGGCGAGAGGAAGTTTGTCTGGCAGACTTTAGGACCCAGGGGACAAGGGTCAGGATAGAGAGAATAGATGGGCACGTCTCGCTTGGGCAACATGCCTTTGAGAGTTCCACTCATGGCCTCAGGGTCAACCAACTTGTTGGGACCCCAGAGCTGAATGGCTTTCCTCTCTGTCGACCCTCGGCTCAGCCCAGAAGCACAGGAAAAGTGGAAGCTGGTTCCAGGCAAACCAACGCCCCCAACTCCAAAGAGTTGGGGGTTGTTAGAGAGCCCTTTTCCAGAAAGCCTGACACCCATGTCTTTAGTCCAGCGGCCACGCTAGTTGCTTTTAACTGGCTGACAGGTGCCTGGTATTTAGCCCCAGAATTCTAAGGAAAAATAGGACAGAATAGCAAGTGAAAGGTGTCCGATGGTACTCACTGCTTGGCGATAGGCGATAGTCTTACTGCTTGCTGATAAGCAATAGTCCCATCTGGGTCACCAAAATGTGTCCTGATTTGGTGGGTTATTGGTCTCACTGACTTCAAGAATGAAGCCATGGGCCCACGTGGTGAGTGTTACAGCTCTTGAGGATGGTGTGTCTGGAGTTTTTTCCTTCTGATGTTCGGATGTGTTCACAGTTTCTTCCTTCTGGTGGGTTGGTGGTCTCGCTGGCTTCAGGAGTGAAGCTGCAGACCTTCGCAGTGAGTGTTACAGCTCTTAAGGCGGCGTATCTGGAGTTGTTCATTCCTCCCGTCTGGAGTTGTTCATTCCTCCTGGTGGATTCGTGGTCTTGCTGGCCTCAGGAGTGAAGCTGCAGACCTTTGCGTTGAGTGTTACAGCTCATAAAGGCAGTGTGGACCCAAAGAGTGAGCAGTGGCGAGATTTATTGCAAACAGCAAAAGAACAAAGCTTCCACAATGTGGAAGGGGAGCCGAGCAGGTTGCCACTGCTGGCTCGGGCAGCCTACTTTTATTCCCTTATCTGGCTCCACCCACATCCTGCGGATTGGTCCATTTTACAGAGAGCTGATGGGTGCATTTTACAGAGAGCTGATTGGTCTGTTTTGACAGGGTGCTGATTGGTGCGTTTACAATCCCTGAGCTAGACACAGAGTGCTGATTGGTGCATTTACAATCCTCTAGCTAGACATAAAAGTTCTCCAAGTCCCCACTAGATTAGTTAGACACAGAGCACTGATTGGTGCATTTACAAACTTTTAGCTAGACACAGAGTGCTGATTGGTGCATTTACAATCCCTGAGCTAGACATAAAAGTTCTCCAAGTCCCCACTAGATTAGCTAGACACAGAGCACTGATTGGTGCATTTACAAACCTTGAGCTAGACACAGGTTGATGATTGGTGCATTTACAAACCTTGAGCTAGACACAAAGTGCTGATTGGTGCATTTACAAACCTTTAGCTAGACATAAAAGCTCTCCAAGTCCTCACCTGACTCAGGATCCCAGCTGGCTTCGCCTAGTGGATCCCATGCAGGGGCAGCAGGTGGAACTGCCCACCAGTCCTGCACCACGTGCCCGCGCTCCTCATCCCTTAGGCAGTTGATGGTACTGGGTGTTGTGGAGCAGGGGGCAGTACCCGTCTGGGAGGCTCAGGCCATGCAGGAGCCCATGGGGGGTTGGGGGATGCTCAGCCATGGCAGGCTACAGGTCCCCAGCCCTGCCTCATGGGGAGGCAGCTGAGGCCCAGTGAGAATTTAAGCGTGGCATAGGTGGGCTGGCAGGCTGGGGGACCCTGCGCACCCTCCGCAGCTGCTGGCCTGGGTGCTAAGGCCCTCACTGCCTGGGGTTGGTGGCGCAGGCCAGCCACTCTGAGTGCAGGGCCTGCTGAGCCCTTGCCCACCCGGAACTCACACTTGCCCGCAAGCTCCGTGTGCAGCCCCAGTTCCCACCTGCGCCCCTCCCTCCAACCTCGCCACAAGCAGAGGGAGCCAGCTCTGGCCTCGACCAGCCCAGAGAGGGGCTCCCACAGTGCAGAGGTGGGCTGAAGTGCTCCTCAAGTGTGGCCAGAGTGGGCGCCAAGGCTGAGGGGCGCCGAGAGCAAGCAAGGGCTGCCAGCACACTGTCACCTCTCAGCGTGATCTCAGCTCACTGCAACCTCTGCCTCCCAGGTTCAAATGATTCTCCTGTCTCAGCATCCCGAGTAGCTGGGATTACAGGTTTGTGCCACCACGCCTGGCCAATTTTTGTATTTTTAGTAGAGACGGGGTTTCATCATATTGGTCAGGCTGGTCTCGAACCCCTTTTTTCTTAAAACCGTGTTATTCACTATTTCCATGATGGTTGAATAGAGATTATCCTGCTAGAATATTCCCACATTCCATCATCAGGCAGGTTTGAGAGGGAGAAGTGGCTCTGTGACCAAGAGCCCTAGGTCAAGTCCCAGGTCCACTGTGTACTGAACCAGCTCCTTGAGCATGGCAGTCCACTAAGCTTCATCTATAAAATGTGGGTAATAATGGTGCCTACCTCATAGGTGCCATTGACCTGAGGCAGTGAATACATATCATGGAATTAGAAGAGGGCTTGGTTGATAATAAATGAGTGTTATAACTATTGAAAGCCAGTTTGATCCTCATGACTTACTGGCCTTGCTACACAGCAAGCACCCAAATGTTAGCTATTGCTGTCATCACTATTACTCTTTCAGTAATTCTATTGATTATATTCTCATTGTCTTGAGCTACCTGATTCCAGAATGAGAATAATTTTAGTATTAACTGTTTCTAGAAATTTTAATTCTAGTGTCCAAAGTTTCTGTTATGGAATTGATCTATTATTTTGTTGATTTTGAATAGCATATACCCAGTAAATAACAGACTATTTTCTTTCCTGCTGATTTGAAAGAATTTCCCTGCCAAACTGAACCTTAGGTTAGAAGAGCTATGTGTGTGGGAATGTGTCAGGATGTATCTAAACGAGCTTCAGGAAGGGAGAAGAGGCAATTATGTTTAACCTTCTGGAAATGCACAATCATCAAGAAAGCCACAGTTAATGGAAAAACAACCAAGTCCTATTTCTGTGTTTATTTTTTTGCTCCTAACCATTTCATTACATGGCTACAGAGTCAAGGGATAGCTTCATTTTAAGTTTGCTCTGACAACCTGAATAAATGGCTCAGAAAAACAAAGGAAAGTAAGGCTTACGTTTTTGGTTCTATGCTTATTTGTTCCTTTCAGATTCTAGTGTTCCTCCCTTACTGTGGAAATACTTGTTCAACCATTTTAAGTGTGAAATAGTTTGTATGAATCAAGGTTATATTTCTCTTGAAAGACGAAAACATTACCTATACCAATTTAGATTTATTAAAATTGGTCTTTAGCCATGTTTCATCTGTTAGAACTATGACCCTTAAAAAAGTAGGTCAGTTTGATTTGAAAGCAGGTGGGCTGGTAACTATTGTGAACTCTACTATTGACAGGCACTGGTTGAAGACATGTAGAAGAAGCCCTGGCCTAAGCAATGCCCTGTTACACATTAGCAAGCAGTTTTCAGACACTTTCTAAAATTGTGGGGCAAATTATTTACATGAAATCTTATTTGGAACCCAAATCTAAAACAAGAGGCAATAAAAATGGTTGAAGTGTGAAGATTTGTTGACTTTTGTTTGCCCTCATTTTTCTCCCAAAATTATCTCTGGGGAAACTGAGAACTTCAGGTTTGAAAATCACTGAGATGTGGAATAAAGGGCGATCCTTGTAAGTTTGTTACTCTAGTATCTTAGGTGAAATACTTTAAAATATTTTAAAATTTTTATGTTTTTAATTAATACTTTTGAAGAGGGTTTGGCAAATTGTGTTTTTCTGTAAACAGATGTAAATGTTTTAGCCTTTGTAGGTCAAGATGCAAAATCGAGAATATTACGTAGATACTTATTATAACAAGGGAGAAAACAAATTTTCATAACATTCTTTGACAAAATTTAAAGTAAATCATAATCATCGAGTTCAAGATTTTGTACTACAGGCTAGCTAATGAGAAAAATTGAATTCTTATTTTAAAAATAACATATTAATTAATTGGGGTACAAATTAGTGTTTCCGATGATCAAATATATTGCAAATGTTCATCTGTAAAAACAATTCTGAACTTGTAAGACGTACAAAACCAGATGGCAGGGGAGATTTGACCAATGGGCCATAGTTTGTGGACTCCTGCTCTAGAATAAACTTCAACTGGAAAACAGCAATTAGATTTCAATGATCCTTTAATGTGCTTTCATTTCACAATGACAGCAATGAAGCACTTTGGCAACTTTTTTTTTTTTTCCTCTTTGACAGGGAAATTCTAATACCCAATGTGGATAAAGTTCCTGTAAAAGAGAATCTCACAACTTCTCTGTGGGAGTCTTTTCTGGAAGGGAATTTGTCAAAATGTGTCAAGAAATCTAAAAAAAAGTGCACATATACTTTGTTTAACCCAGTGATTTCACTTGCAGGAATTTAACCAAATGAGAATTTATATCAAAGTGTTTATGTGCAGAGTTTTTCATTCCATTGTTCCTCCCTTACTGTGGGAGGCGTTGTTTATCATAGAAAAAAATGTACGCACATCCTAAATGGTCAGCTATAAGGGGATCAGTAAAATACATTATTGTAAAGGCATAAAAAAGATGACAGTGTAGCCATTGCCAATTGATTATGACACTTTCTTTATTGTCAAGATGGTCACAATATATTATTAACTGCTTAAAAAAAGCTACAGACATTATGCATAGTACAATCACTTTATTGTATTAAAAATACATGCAAATATACTTAGAGAAAACAAAATGAAAGACTACATGCTAAAATGTTAACAGCACTTATTTGTGAGATGTGAATATAGATCATTATTATTAGTAGCATAATAATAGGTACTATTTCTTGAATGTTTAGTAACTTCAGGCACTCTGGGAAGTGCTTTACATAAATAATCTCATATAATCTTTAAATCAATGCTATGAAATAAACATTCTTATCTCTTCTAATGACAGGGACACTGAGGCTTAGAGAAGTTAAATAGCTTGTCCAGTTGGCACAGTTAGAAATGGAGGGTCTGGGTTTTGGACTCAGATGTGTCTGACTCCAGAATTTGTACTGCTGTCTTTCACACCACACTAATTCTCTTACATTTTTCAGGCTAATTTGTATTTCTAATCTTGCTGTCAAGTATTAATTCATGTTTCTTTAAAAGTTGAAAATGAGAATATTGGGTGTAAGTATATTAAAAGCACTGAATTACCATGTAGAAGATTTAACTATTTCTTGTTCCTTTACTGCTGTTTCTAGGAACACTCATTTATTTACCCTTTATACTAGCCCAAGAGGCTTCCACAGAGATTTGGAAAGGCAGAAATCATTACTCAGCCTTCTGTGAAGAGTTGGGTATTCTAGTTGTTTCTAAGCCTATAATCTAGCCAAAAACATTTTGGCTTTTTCCAAGATGAGCAATCTTCCATACTTTTTTAAGGTAAATTTCTTTGCTCCCAGAGACAATCTGACTCACTTTTTAGAGTCAGTGCAGGAAGCGAGAGCGGAGCAGAAACTTCCTCACCCTTCACCACCATCTCCACCACTCCTTGTTCCTTACCACATTCCCTCAAAAGAGAATAGGGATATTGGTCCAGCAAGGGAGGGTTAACTTGTTCAAATTAAAACTTTATGTGCTTACATAATGATGTGTCTACCACAAATAAATTATTACCTAGATTTAAACTTCATGAGTTTTTTTTCTCTGCATGCAAGTCTACAGATGGTATAAAAATGACAACTCTTAAACTCCAACATTTTCCATTCACTGAACAAGATGAATTGCTCACTCCTGCTAAATTGCTCTTTAAGATAATGAGGCCTGTCACCAAAAGACTGTGATCATCTTGCCACTTAGATTTGTGTGATTACTGGATTACAGTGCATAGTCAACATGATCAATTTTTTTTTTCTGGCCTGTTTTGTCACATCTTCTGTTCCTACCTCCTTAAAAACAAAATGGGGGTAAATTCTTCTTTCTTAGGAGTTGTGAAGAGCCATAGTTTTACTTACTGAATGCAGTTAAAGTGGTCTGTTGTGAAATGATGGCACATCACAGGTAGATAAGGTCATACAAGGTGATTATAGGAGACACATGAAAAATTTTGAAATACTGGAAGATTAAAAGTGATTATAAATAAAATCTAGATATTGAATTGGAAATTTAATGGTAATTATTGGTTCTGAATCATCTTGGAGCAGGCAAAAATCATATTGTACCATGAAGGATAATAAATAGTTATGTATAGTAATCAGGGGTGGGGGGGGGTGGAACCTAGTATACACTGTTATCTTTTTAGTTCCCAGTCATTCATGCATTCATTTAGCAAATATTTATTAAGCTCCACAGGCAATGAAGATAGAGAGCTGAACAAAGCAGACCCAATTTCCATTCTCATGGAACCTAGAGTTTCCTGGTTGGATGCTGAGTATCTTGTAGTGTCATCTGACTTGGCAATTTTCATAAGGCATGATGATGTATAACTCTCCCACCCCTTAACTACATAGACAGGTAATTATGGTACCACAAAAATGAAAGAGAGAGGGCAGTATAAAGGGTTGACATTTCTGACTATACAAAACTTAGATTGATTGATATTTTAAAAATACTCCAGTGTCACTGATATAGACCAAAGGGAGAACACTGCTCTCATAATTGTTCTTTTCACAATATCTTTAGGGTTTTCATTCTCAAGAGGTGACGTCAAATGCTGACAATAGCAGAGCTATCCTTTCTGCCGGTTTTGCCTGTGCCCATAGGTAGTGGCTTACTGCTAGATCCTCTTTGTTTAAGCAGTCAATTTTTCAAGTTCAGTGTATTTGTGTAATGTAAAATACCATTAAACAAAACAAAAGATTAATTTTGAAAAATAATGTTTTTTAAAAGAACTGAGAAAAACTTGTCTTTCCCACTAATATAAACATTTTCTTTATTGAATCTTCAAGAATTCTGGTCTGGAATTATAAGTGTCCCCCAGTAATTTGTCCTTGACCTTCATCTAGTTGACTGTCAAAGTAATGTATGCTGTTTGTTATTTAGCAGTTCTTTAAATTATTTTCTGTATTAGTAAACTGACCCAATAGTCCCGTAAGTAGTTTTTTTTTAAACAACAACAACAGCAACACACGCACACAGAAATGGACACTTTTGGTCTTAAAGCTTGAAATTTACATTTGTTTATCTGAGTTTCTTCCTTAGGAAAGGACCTCTAGGCCTCCCAAAAAGTATCGAAGAACTGAAACTCATTAGATCATGGCATCCAGACAATGAAACTCTAGGTCCCTCATTAATCATGATTACTTCCTTACTCTTCTCGAGTTCCTGTTTTCCCACAGGTAGTTACATTTCTTCCCTGCTATATAAACCCCTAATTTTAGCCAGTCAAAAAGATGGATTTGACACTGATCTCCCATATCTTTGGCTATAGCACCCAATTAAAGCCTTCTTCTCTGGCAATAGCGGTTGTCTCGGTGACTGGCTCTCTGTGTGGTGAGCAGCAGGACCTACACCAAACCCCTGGCATTTTGATAACATTAGGAACAGTTAGTATTTGGTTTTAGAACCTTTATTCTTGCAAGGGAGACAAAATTTTATTTCTACCCTCTTAGTGTCACCAGCTGGGCCTGAGAATTAAACTGGCATAAGATAGATTAACAGGAGAAAAGCATATAGATTTTGCATATAACTGGGAGCCCCTACAGGAAAAACAAGACTCAAAGAAGTGTCTAAGTCTATATGCTTACATAGTAGGGTGAAGAAAGTGTGAAAGTTACGGAAAAGTAACGAAAATGCATGGAGAAGCTAAGGAAGATAAGAATTATTTTAAACAAATTGTTTATATAGATTTTTCTCTGCCTCAACTCCCCATCTCTGGTGACAAGAATGTTTCTTTTTTGCTGATACTAGGAGAAAAGGGGAGGTCAGAGTGTCTCTTGTATCATCTGTTTCTCAAGTGCCTTTAGTGCAAAAGAATCCTTATGCCAAGGTAGCATATTTTGGGGTAGCATATTTTACCATACTTCCTTTTTTTCATTCATTCATAGTCTCAGGAAAAAAGGAATTTGTTTTGAAGGACAAGATGGCTGCAGAAGCCCCAAGAATCATATCCTAATATCCTGAGATTTGGAAAAAACTATCCCTTTCCTGTATTCCGTTTCCAGAGCTCTTTGAAGACTCTCCTTATGATTCACTGAGCTGCACCTAAGCCAATCCCTGGCAAAGGGGAATGGAATGACTGAGGTCAATCGTGATTCTTCTACAGGGTCTGGAGAGCCTCAAGCTCCCCTTTGGCCAATGTCTTCTTGCAAAAGGATGGGCACAATTTGGTTACTACTGGCACAAAGGAAGAGCGAATGACTGTTGGATAGGCAAGCTATGATGTTTGCCAAAGTTGCTTTTTGCAAGTTAATGTTATCAATTTTGGTTAAAGATTTTTTCCTCTTACGTTAGTTAAGATTTTTTTTCTTACCTCACAGTATTCTGATTCTTTTTCACATTATTAATTTTCTCATAAAACTCATTGTTCTATGTTTTAAAATATTACGTATTTTAAAATAAATGAAATACAATATTTTAAAATATTTTAAGTTTAAATATTTAAATTATTAAATATTTTATTTAAATTTAAATATTCAAACTATTAAATATTTTATTTAAATTTAAATATTTAAATTATTAAATATTTTAATAACATTTTAAAATATTTTAATTTTTAAAAATTTTACTTTAAGTTCTGGAATACATGTGCAGAACATGTAGGTTTGTTACATAGGTATACATGTGCCATGGTGGTTTGCTGCACCTACAATCCTGTCATCTAGGTTTTAAGTCATGCATGCATTAGGTATTTGCCCTAATGCTCTCTCTCCCCTTCCCCCCAACCCCCTGACAGGACCCAGTGTGTGATGTTCCCCTCCCTGTGTCCATGTGTTCTCACTGTTCAAATCCCACTTATGAGTAAGAACATGCAGTGTTTGGTTTTCTGTTCCTGTGTTAGTTTGCTGAGGATGATGGTTTCCAACTTCATCCATAGCCCTGCAAAGGACATGAACTTATTCTTTTTTATGGCTGCATAGTATTCCATGGTGTATATATGTGCCACACTTTCTTTATTCAGTCTATCATTGATGGGCATTTGGGTTGGTTCCAAGTCTTTGCTATTGTAAATAGTGCTGCAATAAACATACATGTGCATGTGTCTTTATAATACAATGATTTATAATTCTTTGGGTATATTCCCAGTAATAGGATCGCTGGGTGAAATGGTATTTCTGGTTCTAGATCCTTGAGGAATCACCACACTGTCTTCCACAATGGTTGAACTAATTTACACTCCCACCAACAGTGTAAAAGCATTCCTATTTCTCCACAGCCTCGCCAACATCTGTTGTTTCCTGACTTTTTAATAATTGCCATTCTAACACGCATGAGATGGTATCTCACTGTGGTTTTGGTTTGCATTTCTCTAATGACCAGTGATGATGAGCTTGTTTTCATGTTTGTTGACTGCATGAATGTCTTCTTTTGAGAAGTATCTCTTCATATCCTTTGCCCACATTTCGATGGGTTTTTTTTTTTTTCTTGCAAATTTGTTTAAGTTCCTTGTGAATTCTGGATATTAGAGCTTTGTCAGATGGATAGATTGCCAAAATTTTCTCCCATTCTGTAGATTGCCTGTTCACTCTGATGATAGTTTCTTTTGTTTGAAGAAGCTCTTTCTTTCTATAAACCAATAATAGACAAGCAGAGAGCCAAATTATGAGTGAACTCCCTTTCACAATTGCTACAAAGAGAATAAAATATGTAGGAATACAACTTACAAGAAATGTGAAGGACCTCTTCAAGGAGAACTACAAACCACTGCTCAAGGAAATAAGAGAGGACACAAACAAATGGAAAAACATTCCATGCTCATGGATAGGAAGAATCAATAGCATGAAAATGGCCATACTGCCCAAAGTAATTTGTGGACTCAATGCTATTCCCATCAAGCTACTATTGACTTTTTTCACAGAATTAGAAAAAATTTAAAATATTTCATATGGAACCAAAAAAGAGTCTGTATAGCCAAGACAATCCTAAGCAAAAAGAATGAAGCTGGAGGCATCATGCTACCTGACTTTAAACTATACTACAAGGCTACAGTAACCAAAACAGCATGGTACTGGTACCAAAACAGATATATAGACCAATAGAATGGAACGGAGGCCTCAGAAATAACACCACACATCTACAACCATCTGATCTTCGACAAACCTGACAAAAACAAGCAATGGGGAAAGGATCCCCTATTTAATAAATGGTGCTGGGAAAACTGGTTAACCGTGTGCAGAAAACAGTAACTGGACTCATTCCTTACACTTTATACAAAAGTTAACTCAAGGTGGATTAAAGACTTAAATGTAAAACCTAAAACCATAAAAACCCCAGAAGAAAACCTAGGATACTATTCAGGATATAGGCATGGGCAAAGACTTCATGACTAAAACACCAAAAGCATTTGCAACAAAAGCCAAAATTCACAAATGGAGTATTTTAATTTTTAAAATATTTAACATTTTAAAATATTAAGATATTTTAAAATAAATACTCTTGATATGTAATTTTTATTGTAATGACATTTTATTAAAGTGGATGTATTTTTGGAATCACTATCTGGAAAATTCAGTACCTACAAATGAAGCAGGGGAAAGGTAAGAAAAGTTAACAGTGTATTGAAGGGAAAAGGAAGTATTTATATACAAACTTCTACACTTCTTCAGGTTATGGTACCTAGAGCATTGAAATACCTATTTCTTTAGATGCATTTTTCAAGGTAGTTGGATTATGTGAAATGAAAAGGAACAAGAAAGCTGAAGTGTAGTGCTAAGGGCCAATGTGTGTCACCTAAAAATGCTGAAGCCTTAACTTCCAAGACCTCAGAATGTGACTATGTTTGAAGATAGGGCCTTTAAAGAGATAATTAAGTTTAAAATGAGGCCCTTAGGGCAGGCTCAAATTCAATCTGACTGGTGTTCTTATAAGAAGAGAATAGTACACACTGAGAGACCTCAGGGATGCACACTGAGGAAAAACCATGTGAGGATATAGTGAGAACGCGGCCATCTGCAAGCCAAGGAGAGAGGCCTCAGAAGAAACTAAACCTGCTGACATCTTGATCTTGGACTTCTCGCCTCCAAAACTAAGAGAAAATAAATTTCTGTTGTTTAAGTCATTCACTCTGTGGTATTTTGTTTTGGTGGCCTCCAAACTAATGCAGATAGTAATTATGTAATTTTTTTTTTTTTTTTTTTGAGACAGAGTCTCTCTGCCTCCTGGGTTCATGCCATTCTCCTGCCTCAGCCTCCAGAGTAGCTGGGACTATAAGCGCCCACCACCACACCTGGCTAATTTTTTGTATTTTTAGTAGAGATGGGGTTTCACCGTGTTAGCCAGGATGGTCTCTATCTCCTGACCTCGTGATCTGCCCACCTCGGCCTAATGCAGTGTCAGAGATGTGTTAGAAGTTCTTTATGAACCGCCCCCCGGAGGTGGAAATTATCTTTTTAAAAACAGAAACTGAGTCTCAGAGAGGTTAAATAACATGGAATAGAAGAATTGAGAATCAATGCACTCTAAATACTATGCAGCCTGGATAAAGTATGTTTCTGACATATGATACATTTAGTAAAAACTAATCTAATTGAATTTTTCCTATTTGTCAGGAGTTGTGTGCTAAACATCTTACACGAATTAGTGTGTTCAACCTCACAATGACATTCAGACATATGTACTATTATTATTCTCTATATTACAGACAAGGTTTGCAGACTTTAAGTTGACTCCCCAAAATCACACAGGTACCAGTGTGGACTGAAGCCTGGATAATCTGACTCTAGAGAGTTCTCTTTTATCCATCATCTAGACTACTTTCTACTTGAATGAATCAAAAGGAGGAAAGGTTTATGATGTAAAGCACAGGTCAAAATTACATGGAGCACCCATAGTAGATCAGAAATGTAAATTCAATGATGTATTAATTGGTGAATGGATCTTGAAGGGATTTTTAAATGGAAAATATGAAATAATATTTATGATACTAGCAATTGGAATTATTTGTTTTCTGTTAGAGCTTATAGACTAGTCTTTTAATCAGTTAGTCAATCAAAGGGTCAACAAAAGAGAAAGAGGCAGTGGCTGAAATGGCACCATGTGAACAGAGTGGTGAATTCTCTCTTTCCATAGGAACATGCTATAATTAGAGCTCTGGCAGCAAGAACTCATTATCAAATACTCACACATGTGACCAAAGTATGCCACAAAACAGAGACAGATCCCTTTGCATATAAACATGTAAGGTATCTTAAAATGAAAAAAACCACAATGTATTTAAGTCCCATAAAATGGGAACTGATATAATGCCCCTCACCTTTCTCGCCAGCTTTAACACACTCTAAAGTTTCAAAAAAAAGTGATAATAGGCATCTGATGTGTGACTGATGTGTGACTATGTGTGACTATGGAAAAGATGAGGGAGAAGAAATCATTCCTGGTGATGGCAGGTGGGTGGTGTCTATGAAATCACAATGCAGCTATAAATCTCAATTTTTTTTCTTTCTAAATGTCAGTGATACCTCTTTCTCATAGCTTACTTGAGTCACTGCCCAGAAACCAATGGATAAATGGAAAATGCAGTAAGGTGTGAAGTGAAGTGTTAATTAGTTAGCAATGAATGAAAACTCATGATATGTGAAGAACTCAGAAGCAGGACTGGCTATAAGAATTCCTGGGATTTATATAAAATATCCTAATTTTTTTGAACTACAAAATCCTTTGTTAATTAATTTTGAATATTATCTCTAATGACATTGATAAATGATATGTAATATGCCATGTGGCTTTGAACTAATGTTATTTCTGTTTTGAGAAATTTTATATCAGTCTCTGGTACAAATACCCACGACCTCAAAAGCTCATGACTGAGAATTATTTCCTGTGAGTAGAATTTACCATATTGTTGGAATGAATAAACTTAGAAAGCATTTCAGCATAAATTATGCCACAGAGATTTTTATGCCAGAGAGTACAGTATGAGGTTTGGAAATAGTGGGGTATTTAAAAAATTTACCTCCCTTTTTATAAAGTGAAAGCCCAGTAGGTTCAGTAACTAACCCTCTAAAATTTACCTCTAACAGGCAGGGGTAATAATCATGACTCAGCACTCTTAAGAGAGACTGAGAAATACTCAGACTGATCTTTGACAAAATTAAGAGGAAAAATTTCTTAAGTGAATTGGAAAACTTTTTATGGTGACTAAATTGAGATTTTTTTGCTTTGATTAAAAATTATACTTTTCCTTAGACATTTAGGCCAGAATTTCTGCACTAGTCTCACCTTATATTCATGAAGATGACCCATTAATGCTGCTGGCAAACATACCGCATTTCCCAAGTCCATTCACTGCCCAGTCTTCTGGATCACGACATAGTTCTTACCGTCATCTCCTTCAAACTTCCAAAACCTTTTCACCATTCCTCCTCTTGTTAATGAATTTGTTTCTCATTTCAATGAGAAAAAAAGCAAATAGAAGAGGAAGGACTTTTATAAGCTGCCACCATGACTTCTATACAGCTGTACGCAACTGCTTTCTCCCCTGATGTTATAGATTAACAATTTATTGCTAAAGGAAAAAAACATTCTGAGACTACTCCCTCCACATGTCTTCTGCTAGCTCCCATCACTTCTCCTTTATTCAAGGGCATTGGCTCAACAATTTTTCCCTCTAGTCTTTGTAATCAAAGCACCTCTTCCTACTTGAATATTCTTTTAGATTTCAAGCATTCTTTAGATTCTCATATTTTGAAAAAAGAAGAATAAAAAAACAGGAAGGAAAAAAGGGAAAAGAAAAAAAGATAAAAGAAAAGAAAACCTGACTTCTCTCGACCTCATCATTTTTCTTCATTATCACCCATTTCTCACCTCCTCTTTAGTGTTGAGATCTTGAATGAATTTTTTAATACTGGCTTTCTCCAATTTCTCTTATATTCCTTCATTAATCCAATTAAATCAGAATTCTGATACCACCAGTACATCTAACTGCTCTAATGAAGATTGTCATTCACCTCCAGTTGCTAAATCCAATGGTCACTTCCTAGTCTTCATCTTATGGACCTTCAAGCATTTGACATTGTTGATCACTCCAATCTCTTTGAAACATGCTGATTTAATGTGTAGGATATTCCACTTTAGTGCTTTTTCCTCCTACCTCACTGGCTTCTCCATCTCAGTTCCTCTGATAGCTTCTATTCATCTCTTGGACCTTTAAATGTTGAAGTACCCCAGCACTTAGACATTGAACTTTTTCTCTTTCCATTTACACTAACTCCCTTGGAAATAACGTCGAGGCTGGTGATTCACTGATTCATACATCCAGACCAGATATCTTTCCTGAATTTCAGATTCATGGATCCAACTGTCTACTTGACGTTGCTACCTGGATGTCTAACAGATATTTTAATCTTTTTTTTTCTTTTTTTCTTTTTTTTTTATTATACTTTAAGTTTTAGGGTACATGTGCACATTGTGCAGGTTAGTTACATATGTATACATGTGTCATGCTGGTGCGCTGCACCCACTAACTCGTCATCTAGCCTTAGGTATATCTCCCAATGCTATCCCTCCCCGCTCCCCCCACCCCACCACAGTCCCCAGAGTGTGATATTCCCCTTCATGTGTCCATGTGATCTCATTGTTCAATTCCCACCTATGAGTGAGAATATGCGGTGTTTGGTTTTTTGTTCTTGCGATAGTTTACTGAGAATGATGGTTTCCAATTTCATCCATGTCCCTACAAAGGACATGAACTCATCATTTTTTATGGCTGCATAGTATTCCATGGTGTATATGTGCCACATTTTCTTAATCCAGTCTATCATTGTTGGACATTTGGGTTGGTTCCAAGTCTTTGCTATTGTGAATAATGCCGCAGTAAACACACGTGTGCATGTGTCTTTATAGCAGCATGATTTATAGTCATTTGGGTATATACCCAGTAATGGGATGGCTGGGTCAAATGGTATTTCTAGTTCTAGATCCCTGAGGAATCGCCACACTGACTTCCACAATGGTTGAACTAGTTTACAGTCCCACCAACAGTGTAAAAGTGTTCCTATTTCTCCACATCCTCTTGAGCACCTGTTGTTTCCTGACTTTTTAATGATTGCCATTCTAACTGGTGTGAGATGATATCTCATAGTGGTTTTGATTTGCATTTCTCTGATGGCCAGTGATGATGAGCATGTTTTCATGTGTTTTTT
Organism: Homo sapiens; assembly: GCF_000001405.40. NCBI lineage: Eukaryota > Metazoa > Chordata > Mammalia > Primates > Hominidae > Homo > Homo sapiens. The sequence goes on along the minus strand of NC_000004.12, from coordinate 102,220,937 downwards.
GGCTGCATAAATGTCTTCTTTTGAGAAGTGTCTGTTCATGTCCCTAGCCCACTTTTTGATGGGGTTGTTTGTTTTTTTCTTGTAAATTTGTTTGAGTTCATTGTAGATTCTGGATATTAGCCCTTTGTCAGATGAGTAGGTTGCGAAAATTTTCTCCCATGTTGTAGGTTGCCTGTTCACTCTGATGGTAGTTTCTTTTGCTGTGCAGAAGCTCTTTAGTTTAATTAGATCCCATTTGTCAATTTTGTCTTTTAATCTTAACACATTTAGAACGCTGCTTTGCCCACACTCTTTCATATCTAGGAAAAGGCAGCTCCATCTTTCCACTTCCTCAGATAAAAAACATGATTCCTCTCTTTCTTGATCCAACATTCAATTCGTCAATAAATCTCTTTGACTCTGCCTTCAAAACTTTTTTAGACTCTTAACATTTCTTGCTACTACAAAAGCTGACAATATAGTCTTATTCAACATCTAAAGTACTAGAATGCCATTTTATTGGTCTCCCTTTCTCTGTCCTTGTCTATTCTCAACTCAGGTGCAGACTGATCCTTTTAAATGTAAGTAAGTTCCTATAATTTCTCAGTTCAAAATCTTCCTATGGCTTCTTCTGGTCTTATTTGGAATGAAAGTCAAAGGTCACAATATGTCCCACCTTCTCCCACCAGGAGTGTTATATTTCACCTTATCTACTACTTTGTACCTCATTTACTCTGTTCTGGCCACACTACTCTCTGGGATGTTCTGCCTCAGGCCTTCTGCACTTGATATTTCCTCTGCCTTGAACATTCTTTCACCAGATACTTGTAATATTTGTTCCCTTATCATATTCAGGTTTTACTCAAATGCCATTTCCTTTTGAGGTCTTCCCATAACAGTTATTTAAAACTGCAACCACCTCATCCCTTGCTTTATATTTTTCTATAGTGCTTTTCGCCATCTGACACAGCAGGTATTTTACTTAGTTGTTTATTGTTTATTCCTTCCTAGAATGCACTCTGTGGTAGTGGGGGCTTTTGGCTTCTTTAAGTCCAGCACATAGCAGATGCTCAGTAAACATTTGAATATGTGAATATATGAATAAAATCAGATGCCATCTAAATACAGCTTATATAATTTTTCAGGAGCTATGAAATAGATTAGTAATTTATAGCATTAGGTTTCTGTCCTTTAACATAGGAATTCTCTCTTATAAAAAGTAAAAGGAACTCTGTATGATAATTATACAGACATTATAACTGGTGAGACAATATAGGCAAATAAAATTAGTCAAGCAATAGGTTATACTTTTCATTGTTAATTTATACTTGTTTTCCTAAACATAGATGTTTTTTCCTTTCACTTCAGTAGTTCTAAATGCTTCCCTATATATTTTTTTTGGTCTCAAAAATTGATTATCTCCATAGGTCATCTGTAGAAAAGAAGAATCTGTCACATTCATAAATGATCTGAATGCCAACATAAATTGCAGAGTGGAGGGAGTAACTCTCACGTTCTAAGTGAGTGGTTTCAAACTATAGGGTGCATAAGAACCCCCTGGAGCTGCTTGTTAAATACAACTTCCTTGGCTGCATTCCAGGTTTGCTCTATTAGAATCTACCGAAGATGAACCCTGGGAATGCGCATTTAACAATGCCCCCAGGGATCCTGATGCAGGAGCTCCGTGGTTCTTGCTTTGAGAAGCATTGCTCTAATGTTTCAAAAAATGTTCAATATCTTTCCTAGAAATCAGGTAAAGGCATAAGGTAAGGAGAAAAATATCACAAATTTCATTTCTGTGGAGACCAATTATCTTGCAGCTTGGCAGCAAACTGCCCACTATCCCCAGGGTGCCATCTTGCTTATGTGCTGTCGCTTACAAGGGGGTAATGAGCAATTTTGACTAAGCTCTGCTTGATCAATGTTAACCTATCACTCCTACTGAAAATATAATTCTAAGGGAATGTCACATAAGTAGAGGTAGTTAGAATCACCTCTGGGCTGCATTTGCTGGCTTGTCATCATCGGCTCCAAGAATGGCTACTTTTTTTGTCTTAAGGTTTTTGTCTCCTTGCTCCTTTCATTATCCTGAGAGGATCAGGTGATTAAAGGGGTCAGAATATGGGACACTGTTACCATGGAGACCAGAAGCTACTCGGCTCCTGTGCTGGTTGCTTTTTTCCCCCTCTCTGGCCAGATGTTATTCTATCAGAATAAGGATTTTTACCAAGTGAAAAATATTAAACTTTAAAAATGTTCCCTTTAGTTTTAGTACGTGTGAGAGAGGAAAGCTACCAAACAGTTTTCATTATTTTAAGACAAAGTGCTAAGAAAGTGGTGGGCTTTGGGTGGTGAAATTTCCTGCCACTGTGATGTTTGGTTTTGGGGCTTGTAGTTATTTTATGTTAAGCTTTTGGTTAGCATTTTATAATCATGAGTGGGAAGGCACAGAGTGCTTATAATACATTCCCTTCCTGCTATGAGAGAAAAAATGGATATGTTAGTAAATTGCAAATAATTTGAAAAAATTCTATTGACTCCTTTAAATACTTACTATGTTCAGATGCTCTTCTGAGTGCTTTACATCTAATTATCTAATTTAACCCAACAGCAAACTATAAGGTAGATTCTATTATGTCCATTTTACAGATGAGGAAACTGAAACACATTGTATTTAAGTGACTTGTGCACTTAGACTTACCATGATGAAACTCAGAGTAGAACTAAGCAGTCTTGCCCCAGAGCCCACACTTGGACTATGATTACTACTCCAGACACACAGATGAATCAACTGTGTGTCTTGTGACAGTGCTGCTCTGTAGCCAGAATTAAGGTTACGTTCATGTCACATGTGACTGTGCAAGTCACAAGGCTGAACTAATAATTATTTCAGCAAGCTGTAAAATATCTTAGAAGTAGGGTGAGGCAGACACCCCTGGTGCCTGCACCACAGTCACTGGGTCCAGCTTCAATTTCAGCAGCAGCTATAGTGGACAGTTACCTGATGATTCAGTCTTAGCTCAACACAGCTAATGTTCCACTTGGAGCCCAGTTATGGGTCTTTCTGTGATTTAGCCCAAGGTCTTCTCTGGTGTCCTGGTAGCTCCTTATCCTGTGCACAAGAACAGCCAGAAAGTGTGGGGGTGTTAAAAATGCCCAGGAATAACACTCATCCAAAGGGGTTACGGGTGAGACTAGCACATAAATACTCCAGTCTTCCATTGCCACCTGGATAATCCTAGAAGACATCCTATATATTCCTCAGAGGTTTAAAGTAGAACCCAGAATCCATCCATCAGTAACCTTTATAACACACCGAATAACAGTTTTTCCTCTTTCTTGTCTTGCTCTCTCCACTTACTTCCTCCTGCTTTCTGGGATCAGCTCCAAAATACACTGCCTGCACCCGAGTCTTTGCCTCAGGCTCTGTTTTCTAAGGAAATCCAAACTAAGAACCAGAGTTATTTACCAACATTCAGAAGTATGATGATTATGCTGTACTGAGAGTACAACCACCAATGGTGTGGTCACGTTCACATGGTCAAGACACACTTATGTATGTGTTTGGATCCTGGCTCTGTCACTTATATACCTTACAGCACTGCCACTTAGTCAAATATTTTAAACCTAAATAACCTGGGAAAAATACTACCTTATGGGGTTGTTGTGAGCCTGCTTGGAACCTTGACATACAAGTCTTGGTGAAGAAGGTAAACTAAAGGTTGGCTAGAGGTCTTTGTTCATGCAAATGTGGGAGAGGATGTGCTGGGCAATGTTTTCTCAATATTATTACAAGGAATTTTATTAAAGAAGCATCTGCTTTCATCCACCTCCCTTAAAGGAAAGAGCTATGAGTCTACTATAACTATGGGTAACATGTAGAGAACTCTGGGACCTCCAAAAAAAAAACCCCAAAACTTCAATTTAAATTATACTTCCATTTGTTAAAATCCTTCTACCTTATGTCTCTTGATGTTAAAGTGATGTTATAGCAAATGGGAGCAGAAAGTCAGTGAGTGTGGAATCGATCTAAAGTTGCTACGGAAACAGTAGGTGCAACCAATCAGTCGAGAGAGTGTTCATCCAGGAAGTCTTCAAATTGCCCCCAAAGGCCCTCTGACTGTATAATTGAACTGCATTACCATAGCTGGTGCACTGTGCCCACTGTGAAACCCCAAATAAAAGTGAGAGTAAGAGAAAAGTTACCTTGCATACCCAGCTATGTGGCCCTGAGGATAGCAGAACTCATCTAAGCTGCAGTTCTTTCCTCTGCTTTTGCAAATAGCAGGACAAACGGTGGGGATGGTAATAATACTTACATGTTTATAGCTCTTACATTCTTACATTTTCAAGGCATTTTATATTAATTGGCCAATTTGATCCTGTAAGAAAGACAGCCTTGGCCTTATACTATCCCAGTATCACAGAGGAGAATACTGAGGCACAGAGGGATTTGTTCAAGGACCCACAAATAGTAAGTAATTAAACTGGGACTAGATTCCTGGAATGTTTGCAAAACCTTTCCCATTCTGCTAAGTCACAGCCCAGAGATATCCTGGAGGGGATAAAGAAGCTGGGTGTCAGCTTCTCTCGAACCTGAAAGAAATCCTGATGGTGCTATTGAGAGCTCAGATGCTCAGGTGCTGTACACGGATCCACTCCCCTCTACCGTGTCTTTTACTTCTGTCTTTATCTAAACCTCAAATTCTTTTTCTGCAGGACAATCCCTCCATGAAATCTTTCAGAAGATACCTATACCCACAAATATGTCTTTCTTGAATTCTCACATCATTTAGTTCTCAGAGCAACCCACATGGTACTTAAATAACTCTTTTTGTACTACTTCATGTATGAGAATCTTTCCTCTTCAGCTATTAATAGATTATAACTTCTGTGAAGGTGAAATTTATAAATGTATGTTATGAGTCCTTTGTTTCTTCCTAATTTCTGGCAATGTTGGACACAAACTAAGTGTTTAGATATATCAGTTGATAATATGTAGCACCTCCTGTAGATAGATTTGTAGCCCCTCTTATCCCAGAGCTGTGGTTGCTACTGTTTGCTTGGTTTTATTCAGTGTGTGTGTAAAATGTGATATTAAATTTTATGAGATCATATCCTTTTTATGACTCACCTAAAATTTTGACAGAGTCAAGTAAACAAATTATTAATCGTACCAGAGTCTCCTTTCAATTGTTATAGGCTTGCTGATGTTCTATGCTAATGTTGTGAATTCAGAAAGGAGTTTAGCTGCTAGAATCTTAGGATAGTTTACTGACCTTAACATGTTTTCCTACATTATGAGATGAGCTGTGTTGTTATAAGCCTAACTCAAAGAAGTTAACAAACAACAACAATAATAACAACCATTTATACAGGTGAAGCATCTATTCACATTGTAACATACTTCCCTATTCTTCCCTAATTGAGTCTTTCTCTATAGTTAGGGTCCAACTGCTGTCGTAAATACACTTCCAAATGAATAATGGCTTAAATACAATAAAACAGTGTTACTGATTCATGTAATAGTCCTTAGAGAGTTGACAGATCAGAGACACAGCCACCTACTCATCCTCAGACTTGAGGTGATGGATGCCCTACTTTCCTTAAAGAGTGGCTTCCAAGTTCACTGAGAGTGTCTCCATTTGAGTGAGGAGGGGAGTGAGAAGTGAGGAGGACTGCTTAGTGGGTTTTTATGGGGCACGCCTGGATAACATGCGTTCACATTCAGTGCCCTCTCCTAACTGGAATGGGGTTGGGAAGTCTGGTCTGTGTATCCAGGAAGAAGAATAATATCTGACACCTCTCCGGCTCCAACAACAAATTTATGTTTCATAATAAATACTCAGACTTGGAGTGTTATCTGGAGATGCCAAAAAGAGTGAAGAAGGGCAAATTTATGAATATTTCCTTCATGTTCAAATACAAGTTTATCTTTGGAGGTATCAGTTACTGATCTTGTAGTCTTTTAATTCCTTTTAGCTAAGATTAACAGGGTTTCAAAATGTCCTTGGAGAATAAATTAACTGTCACAAAGGCTCTGCCTAAAGACAAATGAAAAGGGAGAGGAATACTGGTTGGTCAAGCAGGGTTTGTTATATACAACATTTTTGAACTTGGGTGCCCAGTACATCTTACCTTTATTTGGAATATTTATTCTTCCTTTAAAATCTCACACACATCAGTATCCTCCTTCCTTGGAAAGACTAGCTTTAGTGACTGGTTATAAGGGAGAAACCTAAGTGGGGCGCAGTGGCTCACGCCTGTAATCCCAGCACTTCGGGAGGCTGAGACAGGTGAATCACCTGAGGTCAGGAGTTTGAGACCAGCCTGACCAATATGGTGAATCCCTGTCTCTACTAAAAATACACAAAATTAGCCAGACTTGGTGGTGTGCACCTGTAGTCCTGGCTACTAGGGAGGCTGAGACAGGAGAATTGCTTGAACCTGGGAGGCGGAGTTTGCAGTGAGCCAAGATCATGCCACTGCACTCCAGCCTGGGTGATAGAGTGAGACTCCGTCTCAAAAAAAAAAAAAAAAAAGAAAAAAAAAGGAAAAGGAAAAAAGGGGAGAAGCCTGAGAATTTGTGACTGAGAGGAAGAGGCACTAGGGCTGTTGTAAAGCTGTGGGAAAGGAGGTGTGCTCAGGACCCGGTGCAGAGTGGGAGTTTTCTGAGTTGCCCTCTAGGAAGTGACTTGGTGACTTGTCAGATTTTCATGAAATGAGTGGTGCTGGGTAGCCCCAAAATGTTCCTGTACCTCTTCGTCAAGGTGAACAGCATCACTGCCTTTGTGCATTGTGTGGAGTTTTGTTTTAATTTTTGGTTCTGTCACACAAATCAGCTCCTTGCAAACAGCTCTAGATCATCTCCCCTTTTCATGACCCTTCTACCAGAAATACCCCCTACTATTTTCTGCAGAGTCATGTGTATAGTTTTCTTATATTAAGAAACCATAATCTGGAAGGTAAATAGTGGAGACCATCAGTATAAAAATATAAACACAGGTAACTTGGTAAAAACTGTAATCAAATATATATGTTTGGAGAAATGCAATGAATTCTTAACTGTGAAATGGGGATGTGAAAATTACGTGTTATTCCTTTTATATTTACAGCAATGCTATGAAGCAGATGCTATTATCCTATTTTTGTTTAATAGAAGGGAAAATGAGGCATAAAAATTATTTAGTCATCTTTCCAAGGTCAAATAGTTGGTGTTATAGAAAGGCATTGAACTTGGTTTTAATTCTAAATGCTGTGTATTTAATCATTATACCAGTTTACTTCATCCTTGGAATTCATATTTGAAAACACTTTCTTTGTTCTTAGCTACTGCTTGAACATATAAAGTAGGAAGTGGGGTTGTTTGGGCAAAGTGACTGAAAATGATCATCACCAAGTAACGTCTTAAGTTCATATCTGTGCATTGTGTTGAAATAAGTGTTAGGAAAAAATTCCACCTCTAGAAGTTTATGCTTGAAAACACCAGCATATCTTAGTATTTCTTGTATCCTTTGTGTGCCCCTGTGTCTTCTTTGAATGTCAGGGCTCACATTTAATTGCTGACATCTGACTTATTGCATAAGATTTACTTTGACTACCACCACTTTTAAGAATTTTTTCTAGATCTGCTCAAAAGAAAATTTATTTCTTTCATATACTTACAATATTTTGTCAACATTCTACAAATGCAATGAAATTTTTACCCATGACTTGCCTCTCTCACACAAGGGTTTCTGGAAGGCATGGCCAAATGTTGTACATATTTTACTCTTGCTGATGTCCTGACTGGAGCCTTACACATAAGGGTACTGTAGACAGCTGTCAAAATGAGATCATATGCCTTCCTTTAGGTTGAATATGACCATTTTTTAGCTTTGGCTTTTAATAGAGAAAGTTCTATCCTGAATTATAGGTTTTGCTTCAAAATAAAAGCGATATATAAGGAAAGAACTTGATTGATTAGATAATTTAATCCTCTCAGACTTTTCCAAATTTGTCCCAAAATTTGTGTTATTGACTATTTTTTTGCTTTAATAATAGATTGGACCAAATATTTACTAAAATATTTAAGTTCCAGCATTTGTGTTTCATTCATGTAGAAGATACAGGCATGCAGTGTTACTACAAGAGTGTATAAACAATGAGGAAAATATTGATCATCACAATACTAGTGGGCTAAAAAATTGTTTTAAAAACTTCTTTACTTTGTACTAGAATTGAAATTAATATTTCTTTGTTCACATATTCATTACAATTTTTTCTTTATGTATTCCCTGCCTTTTTGTTTTAAGGGAAATTTGAATTTCTATGGTAGCTTCTCTTCCAAATTGCCCAGAATCAACTCAACTCAGTGTTTTAAGAAACAATTGATTTCTATTATATAGATCTTTTGGTTAATCATTTCTCTGAAGCCTTTGTTTTGAAAGGAGAACTGCAATGATATTCCCTCCATTTAAAGAAAACATACTCTTTGTTGTAATTGCAATGAAGTATACTATCTATAAAATAGTTTATATTTTATAAAACTTTTACTTATAAACTATTTGGTTTTCTGTTTCTGAGTAATTCACTTAGGATAATGGCCTCCAGCCACATCTATGTTGCTGCAAAACTACAGCTATGTGTCAGGCTCAAGTTATCACATGTTAACAGAATGGTTGTAAATTTGAACAATTTATAATAACGCTAATATTTATTATTTTGTAATTAAAACTGATGATAATATGGTATGTTTTCTAAGAAAAAGTGCTTGAGTTCATCTTGTAGGACCTTTGAGTCCTCTTAAGTTTTTACTATTGTAAGGTGTCTCCTACATTTCAAATGCAAGGCTTTGTTCTATTACCCATCAATCGATCATCCTCATTATTGGCATTCTCACAGAATTAGAGCTGAACTGTGATAACCCAGTGTGTTTTGTGTTGCACTCTGAAAAGCACCAAGGAAGGAGGAAGCATAAAGTAGATCAAAGTAACTTCGATAGACGCACCCAGCAGGGCAAATGGGGACAAGACAGAACCTCATTTTACCAGTAAGTCCGTACAACTTCAATGATTTATTGAAAATGACACGTCTTGGCCTGGCGCGATGGCTCAAGCCTGTAATCCCAGTACTTTGGGAGGCTGAGGCAGGCAAATCACGATGTGAGGAGTTTAAGACCAGCCTGGCCAACATGATGAAACCCTGTCTCTACTAAAAATACAAAAAATTAGCTCACCATGGTGATGGGTGTCTGTAATTCCAGCTACTCAGAAGGCTGAGGCAGGAGAATTGCTTGAACCCAGGAGGTGGAGGTTGCAGTGAGCCTAGATCGTGCCACTGCACTCCAGCCTGGGCAACTGCGAGACTCTGTCTCAAAAAAAAAAAAAAAATAGAAAAAGAAAATTACACATCCTACACATAAGTTCTTATGAGAGAGTGTGTCCAAACAGGTTTTTAACAGTGGGTTAAAGAGAAAAAGAAATAATTTTATGGAGCCCATGGGAGAACTAAGTGGAAAGGAGTACAAAATCATTAAATATCATTTAATCACATATATACTTAAACCTGAAAACAGTGTCTCAGCTCAGAATGAAATGTGTCCCCATTTCTCTCTCAGATGTCTGAAAAACTAAAGCATTGCATTTTTGGAGAATGTGCTCATTGACTTCCTCTTGGCTTCCCCTCCCATCTCTTTGCTGCCTGTCTCTCCTGCTTAGTCTCCAGGATGATGGGAGGGCTGAGAAGAGAAAGGAAGTCCAGCAGTGAGCTTCCTGATGGTTTTGAACCCCTGCTCAAAGCATGAGGGAGTTAGCTTCTGTCTTCTTTCAGTCTGTGATATGGTTTGGCTCTGTGTCCCCACCCAAATCTCATATTGAGTTGTAACTCCCAAAATTCCCAAGTGTTGTGGGAGGAACCTGGTGGGAAGTAATTGAATCATGGGGGTGGGTCTTTCTCTTGCTGTTCTCATGATAGTGAATAAGTCTCATGAGATCTGATGGTTTTAAAAATGGGAGTTTCCGGGGGAGGAGCCAAGATGGCCGAATAGGAACAGCTCCGGTCTACAGCTCCCAGCGTGAGCGACACAGAAGACGGGTGATTTCTGCATTTCCATCTGAGGTACTGGGTTCATCTCACTAGGGAGTGCCAGACAGTGGGCTCAGGCCAGTGGGTGCACGCACCATGCACGAGCCGAAGCAGGGCGAGGCATTGCCTCACCTGGGAAGCCCAAGGGGTCAGGGAGTTCCCTTTCCGAGTCAAAGAAAGGGGTGATGGACGCACCTGGAAAATCGGGTCACTCCCACCCGAATATTGTGCTTTTCAGACCGGTTTAAAAAGCGGCGCACCACGAGACTATATCCCACACCTGGCTCGGAGGGTCCTACGCCCACGGAATCTCGCTGATTGCTAGCACAGCAGTCTGAGATCAAACTGCAAGGCGGCAGCGAGGCTGGGGGAGGGGCGCCCGCCATTGTCCAGGCTTGCTTAGGTAAACAAAGCAGCCGGGAAGCTCGAACTGGGTGGAGCCCACCACAGCTCAAGGAGGCCTGCCTGCCTCTGTAGGCTCCACCTCTGGGGGCAGGGCACAGACAAACAAAAAGACAGCAGTAACCTCTGCAGACTTAAATGTCCCTGTCTGACAGCTTTGAAGAGAGCAGTGGTTCTCCCAGCACGCAGCTGGAGATCTGAGAATGGGCAGACTGCCTCCTCAAGTGGGTCCCTGACCCCTGACCCCCGAGCAGCCTAACTGGGAGGCACCCCCCAGCAGGGGCACACTGACACCTCACACGGCAGGGTATTCCAACAGACCTGCAGCTGAGGGTCCTGTCTGTTAGAAGGAAAACTAACAAACAGAAAGGACATCCACACCGAAAACCCATCTGTACATTACCATCATCAAAGACCAAAAGTAAATAAAACCACAAAGATGGGGAAAAAACAGAACAGAAAAACTGGAAACTCTAAAACGCAGAGCGCCTCTCCTCCTCCAAAGGAACGCAGTTCCTCACCAGCAACGGAACAAAGCTGGATGGAGAATGATTTTGACGAGCTGAGAGAGGAAGGCTTCAGACGATCAAATTACTCTGAGCTACGGGAGGACATTCAAACCAAAGGCAAAGAAGTTGAAAACTTTGAAAAAAATTTAGAAGAATGTATAACTAGAATAACCAATACAGAGAAGTGCTTAAAGGAGCTGATGGAGCTGAAAACCAAGGCTCGAGAACTACGTGAAGAATGCAGAAGCCTCAGGAGCTGATGCGATCAACTGGAAGAAAGGGTATCAGCAATGGAAGATGAAATGAATGAAATGAAGTGAGAAGGGAAGTTTAGAGAAAAAAGAATAAAAAGAAATGAGCAAAGCCTCCAAGAAATATGGGACTATGTGAAAAGACAAAATCTACGTCTGATTGGTGTACCTGAAAGTGATGCGGAGAATGGAACCAAGTTGGAAAACACTCTGCAGGATATTATCCAGGAGAACTTCCCCAATCTAGCAAGGCAGGCCAACGTTCAGATTCAGGAAATACAGAGAACGCCACAAAGATACTCCTCGAGAAGAGCAACTCCAAGACACATAATTGTCAGATTCACCAAAGTTGAAATGAAGGAAAAAATGTTAAGGGCAGCCAGAGAGAAAGGTCGAGTTACCCTCAAAGGGAAGCCCATCAGACTAACAGCGGATCTCTCGGCAGAAACCCTACAAGCCAGAAGAGAGTGGGGGCCAATATTCAACATTCTTAAAGAAAAGAATTTTCAACCCAGGATTTCATATCCAGCCAAACTAAGCTTCATAAGTGAAGGAGAAATAAAATACTTTACAGACAAGCAAATGCTGAGAGATTTTGTCACCACCAGGCCTGCCCTAAAAGAGCTCCTGAAGGAAGCGCTAAACATGGAAAGGAACAACCGGTACCAGCCACTGCAAAATCATGCCAAAATGTAAAGACCATCGAGACTAGGAAGAAACTGCATCAACTAACGAGCAAAATCACCAGCTAACATCATAATGACAGGATCAAATTCACACATAACAATATTAACTTTAAATGTAAATGGACTAAATGCTCCAATTAAAAGACACAGACTGGCAAGTTGGATAAAGAGTCAAGACCCATCAGTGTGCTGTATTCAGGAAACCCATCTCACGTGCAGAGACACACATAGGCTCAAAATAAAAGGATGGAGGAAGATCTACCAAGCCAATGGAAAACAAAAAAAGGCAGGGGTTGCAATCCTAGTCTCTGATAAAACAGACTTTAAACCAACAAAGATCAAAAAAGACAAAGAAGGCCATTACATAATGGTAAAGGGATCAATTCAACAAGAGGAGCTAACTATCCTAAGTATATATGCACCCAATACAGGAGCACCCAGATTCATAAAGCAAGTCCTGAGTGACCTACAAAGAGACTTAGACTCCCACACATTAATAATGGGAGACTTTAACACCCCACTGTCAACATTAGACAGATCAACGAGACAGAAAGTCAACAAGGATACCCAGGAATTGAACTCAACTCTGCACCAAGCGGACCTAATAGGCATCTACAGAACTCTCCACCCCAAATCAACAGAATATACATTTTTTTCAGCACCACACCACACCTATTTCAAAATTGACCACATACTTGGAAGTAAAGCTCTCCTCAGCAAATGTAAAAGAACAGAAATTATAACAAACTATCTCTCAGACCACAGTGCAATCAAACTAGAACTCAGGATTAAGAATCTCACTCAAAGCCACTCAACTACATGGAAACTGAACAACCTGCTCCTGAATGACTACTGGGTACATAACGAAATGAAGGCAGAAATAAAGATGTTCTTTGAAACCAACGAGAACAAAGACACAACTTACCAGAATCTCTGGGACGCATTCAAAGCAGTGTGTAGAGGGAAATTTATAGCACTAAATGCGTACAAGAGAAAGCAGGAAAGATCCAAAATTGACACCCTAACATCACAATTAAAAGAACTAGAAAAGCAAGAGCAAACACATTCAAAAGCTAGCAGAAGGCAAGAAATAACTAAAATCAGAGCAGAACTGAAGGAAATAGAGACACAAAAAACCCTTCAAAAAATCAATGAATCCAGGAGCTGGTTTTTTGAAAGGATCAACAAAATTGATAGACCGCTAGCAAGACTAATAAAGAAAAAAAGAGAGAAGAATCAAATAGACACAATAAAAAATGATAAAGGGGATATCACCACCGATCCCACAAAAATACAAACTACCATCAGAGAATACTACAAACACCTCTATGCAAATAAACTAGAAAATCTAGAAGAAATGGATACATTCCTCGACACATACACTCTCCCAAGACTAAACCAGGAAGAAGTTGAATCTCTGAATAGACCAATAACAGGAGCTGAAATTGTGGCAATAATCAATAGTTTACCAACCAAAAAGAGTCCAGGACCAGATGGATTCACAGCCGAATTCTACCAGAGGTACAAGGAGGAACTGGTACCATTCCTTCTGAAACTATTCCAATCAATAGAAAAAGAGGGAATCCTCCCTAACTCATTTTATGAGGCCAGCATCATTCTGATATCAAAGCTGGGCAGAGACACAACCAAAAAAGAGAATTTTAGACCAATATCCTTGATGAACATTGATGCAAAAATCCTCAATAAAATACTGGCAAACCGAATCCAGCAGCACATCAAAAAGCTTATCCACCATGATCAAGTGGGCTTCATCCCTGGGATGCAAAGCTGGTTCAATATACGCAAATCAATAAATGTAATCCAGCATATAAACAGAGCCAAAGACAAAAACCACATGATTATCTCAATAGATGCAGAAAAGGCCTTTGACAAAATTGAACAACCCTTCATGCTAAAAACTCTCAATAAATTAGGTATTGATGGGACGTATCTCAAAATAATAAGAGCTATCTATGACAAACCCACAGCCAATATCATACTGATTGGGCAAAAACTGGAAGCATTCCCTTTGAAAACTGGCACAAGACAGGGATGCCCTCTCTCACCGCTCCTATTCAACATAGTGTTGGAAGTTCTGGCCAGGGCAATCAGGCAGGAGAAGGAAATAAAGGGTATTCAATTAGGAAAAGAGGAAGTCAAATTGTCCCTGTTTGCAGACGACATGATTGTTTATCTAGAAAACCCCATTGTCTCAGCCCAAAATCTCTTTAAACTGATAAGCAACTTCAGCAAAGTCTCAGGATACAAAATCAATGTAGAAAAATCACAAGCATTCCTATACACCAACAACACACAAACAGAGAGCCAAATCATGAGTGAACTCCCATTCACAATTGCTTCAAAGAGAATAAAATACCTAGGAATCCAACTTACAAGGGATGTGAAGGACCTCTTCAAGGAGAACTACAAACCACTGCTCAAGGAAATAAAAGAGGATACAAACAAATGGAAGAACATTCCATGCTCATGGGTAGGAAGAATCAATATTGTGAAAATGGCCATACTGCCCAAGGTAATTTATAGATTCAATGCCATCCCCATCAAGCTACCAATGACTTTCTTCACAGAATTGGAAAAAACTACTTTAAAGTTCATATGGAACCAAAAAAGAGCCCGCATTGCCAAGTCAATCCTAAGCCAAAAGAACAAAGCTGGAGGCATCACACTACCTGACTTCAAACTATACTACAAAGCTACAGTAACCAAAACAGCATGGTACTGGTACCAAAACAGAGATATAGATCAATGGAACAGAACAGAGCCCTCAGAAATAATGCCGCATACCTACAACTATCTGATCTTTGACGAACCTGAGAAAAACAAGCAATGGGGAAAGGATTCCCTATTTAATAAATGGTGCTGGGAAAACTGGCTAGCCATATGTAGAAAGCTGAAACTGGATCCCTTCCTTACACCTTATACAAAAATCAATTCAAGATGGATTAAAGATTTAAACGTTAGACCTAAAACCATAAAAACCCTAGAAGAAAACCTAGGCATTACCATTCAGGACATAGGCGTGGGCAAGGACTTCATGTCCAAAACACCAAAAGCAATGGCAACCAAAGCCAAAATTGACAAATGGGATCTAATTAAACTAAAGAGCTTCTGCACAGCAAAAGAAACTACCATCAGAGTGAACAGGCAACCTACAACATGGGAGAAAATTTTCGCAACCTACTCATCTGACAAAGGGCTAATATCCAGAATCTACAATGAACTCAAACAAATTTACAAGAAAAAAACAAACAACCCCATCAAAAAGTGGGCGAGGGACATGAACAGACACTTCTCAAAAGAAGACATTTATGCAGCCAAAAAACACATGAAAACATGCTCATCATCACTGGCCATCAGAGAAATGCAAATCAAAACCACTATGAGATATCATCTCATACCAGCTAGAATGGCAATCATTAAAAAGTCAGGAAACAACAGGTGCTGGAGAGGATGTAGAGAAATAGGAACATTTTTACACTGTTGGTGGGACTGTAAACTAGTTCAACCATTGTGGAAGTCAGTGTGGCGATTCCTCAGGGATCTAGAACTAGAAATACCATTTGACCCAGCCATCCCATTACTGGGTATATACCCAAATGACTATAAATCATGCTGCTATAAAGACACATGCACACGTGTGTTTATTGCGGCATTATTCACAATAGCAAAGACTTGGAACCAACCCAAATGTCCAACAATGATAGACTGGATTAAGAAAATGTGGCACATATACACCATGGAATACTATGCAGCCATAAAAAATGATGAGTTCATGTCCTTTGTAGGGACATGGATGAAATTGGAAACCATCATTCTCAGTAAACTATCGCAAGAACAAAAAACCAAACACCGCATATTCTCACTCATAGGTGGGAATTGAACAATGAGATCACATGGACACATGAAGGGGAATATCACACTCTGGGGACTGTGGTGGGGAGGGGGGAGGGGGGAGGGATAGCATTGGGAGATATACCTAAGGCTAGATGACGAGTTAGTGGGTGCAGCGCACCAGCATGGCACATGTATACATATGTAACTAACCTGCACAATGTGCACATGTACCCTAAAACTTAAAGTATAATAAAAAAAAATAATAACAATAGTAATAATAAAATAAATAAATAAATAAGTAATAAAAAAAAATAAAAATGGGAGTTTCCCTGCACAAGCTTTCTCTCTCTTTGCCTGCTGCCATCCATGTAAGACGTGACTTGCTTCTCTTTGCCTTCTGCCATGATTGTGAGGCATCCCTAGCCTGTGGAACTGTAAGACCATTAAACCTCTTTTTCTTCTCAGTCTCGGGTATGTCTTTATCAGCAGCATGAAAATGGTCTAATACAGTCTGGGTTTTCTGAGCATCTGGGAATTCCTTCCAAGTAGCCTGTATGAGACCAGATATGACATTGAGGATGGCTTGTGACAGGAATTTTAGCCACCTTGATTCAAACAGCAGCCAGCCAGAGAAGCAACAGGTGTCAGGCTCAAGTTGTCACATGTAAATAGAGTGACTGTATATTTGGCAAATATAATTTGTGTCCAAATTGTGATGTATTTGAGAGTGAAAAGAGAAACTATTAATAATTAAATGTAAAACCATAAATAATTAAATCAAGTTAACAGGCTTAAACAGGTTTGCCACAGGCAAACCAGGATATATGATAATCTTACATATAAATCAGATTTTTTCTCATTGTAATGTCATTCTTTGCCTGGGGTACAAATCCCTCTACTTCCTCCCCAGATTTTCCACTAAAAGATTGCTAACTAGACTGCATCACACTGAGCACCTATTTACTGATTGCTACATTTGCTTGTGGCTTTTTTCATTATAATGCCATAGTAAGAAGTTGAGGTTTCCTATTGTTAGAAAAAGTAGAAATGGAATGTGTGCAATGCAGTCTTGACTAAGACCATTAATTTGGTCAGATTTCTTCCGTGTTCTTGTCCTTTATCACTCTCAGTCATAAAAGAATATGAGAATATAAACTATTTCACAGTTTTACAAGTTTTCTCTTCATAGTATTGATCTTCCAGTCCAAATTATGGCTGGCCAGCTTAGTTACTGATTTAACTTATTCTGTTCCTAAAGTTGATGCTTTTCCCCTTCCCCTATAGTGAAGTTTCCCTTTCTTTAAAATTTTTTAAAAATTTTAGATTCAGGGAGTATATGTGCAAGTATATTATATGGATATATTGCATAATGCTGAGGTTTGGGTTTCAATTAAACCCATCGCCCAAATAGTAAACATAGTACCCAATAGGTAGTTTTTCAGCTCTTGCACCTTTCCCACCCTAGCCTCTTTTGGAGTCCCCAGTGTCTATTGTTACCATCTTTATGTCCATGTGTACCCAATTTTGCTTCCACTTTTAAGTGAGAACATGTAGTGTTTGGTTTTCTGTTTCTGCATTAATTTTCTTAGGACAGTGGTCTTCAGTTGCATCCATGTTGCTGCAAAGGACTTGATTTTGTTCTTTTTTATGACTGTGTAGTATTTCATGGTGTGCATGTACCACATTTTCTTTATTCAGTCCACTGTTGGTGGGTATCTAGGTTGATTCTATGTCTTTGCTATTGTGGATGGTGCTGTGATAAATACACTAGTGTGGGTGTCTTTTTGTAGAATGATTTATTTTCTTTTGGGTACATACTCAGTAATGGAATTGCTGGGTGAAAAAGTAGTTCTGTTTTTAGTTCTTCAAGATATCTCCAAACTGCTTTTCACAGGAGCTGAACTAATTTACAATTCCACCAACAGTGTACATGAGTGTTCCCTTTTGTTTACAACCTTGCCCACATCTGTTATTTTTTGACTTTTTAGTCATTTCATAGCCATTCTGACTAGCGTAAGGTGGTATCTCATTGTGGTTTTGATTTGCATTTCTCTGATAATTAGTGATGTTGAGCATTTTTTAATATGTTAGTTAGCTGGTTGTACATCTTCTTTTGAGAAGTATCTGTTCATATCCTTTGTGTAGTTTTAATGGGGTTATTTTATTTTATTTTGAGACAAGGTCTGGCTCTATCACCCAGGGTGGAGTGCAGTGGCACAATCTCAGCTCGACTGCAACCTCCGCCTCCAGGGCTCAAGACATCCTCTCACCTCAGCCTCCTGATATATATATTTTTTTCTCCATGATTTATTTAAGTTCCTCTCTGGACACTGGACTACATTGAGAATTTATGACTAAGTCCTCAAAAACAAAGGCAACAAAAACAATTGACAATTGGGACCTAATTAAACTAAGGATCTTCTGCATAACAAAAGAAACTATAAACAGAGTAAACAGACAACCTACAGAATGGGAGAAAAATATTTGCCAACTATGCATCTGACAAAGTTCTAATACCCAGAATCTATAAGGAAGATTTCCCTTTCTGATTAACACTTACCATTCAAATATATTTTTCAGAAAACTTGTTGCGTATTAGTTGTATTGTTCTTAGTTTTTCTATTTCATGTATTCAAAATACAAATTCATCTGATTTTCTGTAGTTTACTCACTTTTAAGTGTCTAAAATATTTTAACAATTTAATAATACTTGGATTCACAAAAGTGTAATAAGAACTAACAAATATCCTACTTTTTTGGCTACAGATTAATATTAACAGTAATATTTTAGAAAAAATTTCATACCCCTTTAGGGTAAAAGTAAAGGGCTTTATAAAAATGTACTTCAATATAAATCATATTAAATATTTAGAATTAAATATAAAATTTGTTTTTGCTTCAAAGATACAATAATTTTGAATAAAATCTGAATAATTCTAAAATTCCTTGTATGTTAGTAAAACCAAAGTGAAAGGTTCTAAGGAAACTAAAATCAAAAGATGACTGTTGCACCCTAGATTATGTATTCATTCATGAAGGTTTTCTTCTTTGCTTCTTTTTTAATGCTTACTGTTGAACATAGTTGAAATTATTTTATCTTAACCTTTTCAAATTGTAATGCTAATAATCTTTGACTTGAAGAAAAATAGGTTACCGGGAACACCTACATTTGTTTTTATATAAAGAAATTCAGAATATGATGTACTGAGAAGCACTTCCAGAAAGATGGAGCAAAGACCTCCAAAAACCTATTTTTCCATAAAAACAACAATACTGGCAAAAAATATCAAAATCAACTTTTTCCAAACATTGAACATTAACTAAAAGCTTGCAACAATCCGAGGAGTAGTTTTATTCAGCATTTACTCAACTGAAACTTGGTAAGAACACTCAACTTTCTGGGTTTTTAAATTTGCCCTGTTCATTACTTTTTCTTTAGCTTCCCAGTTGTGTGATTGTTGGTTTTCCAACAATTCCAGAGAATTGTCACAACTTGACCTGCCTGTTGGGTTGCTAACCTGCTTCCAGTGCAGCATTGGCGATGAGTAGTTGGAGAACATCAAGCCTAGCTGCAATAAGGAGAAGCAATTTCTGCTAAGACAAAGTACTTAAACAAGAAAAGACATTCATGCAGGATACTTTGAGATAAGGGAAATTAGGACGAGTAAGTAACTTAATCAAGCTTACAGTTTAAATAATAAAGGACCAAAACAAGTTAAAATACATACGGAATAAAAAGAATTATTTTATGTGATGACCACACAAGTGGGAGGAGAGACCAAAGAGGTGAGTTTATGCTTGAGTACTGCATACTACTGCATATGCTGAACAAGAGTGTCACATCTGAGATAGACACATCTTAAAGAGCTAAGTGGGGCCTTCGTTTCTGCCCCTCACATTACTGCCTTACTTGTGGAATGGGGCGAGGGTGAAGCATGGTCTGCTGTGTGCTGCCTGAGCTGCTGAGATGCTAGCAAGTGTGGACACGTTAGCTAGGTAAGGCTATTGCCTGCCAGGGCTCTGGAAAACCCTCTAGACAATTTTTAAATGATTATTTTCTTGAGGAAGGGTTGCCTTTTTCTAATCAACAGAAATTTACCCTCTCAGCTAGCAGCTATCATTTTTTAAAAAGCACAGTTTAGCTATGGATAGGCTTTAAAATGGTAAGGAAAAGTAAACAGATGTGTACTATCAATAAGCTAGTGGTAACTACTGGAAGAATATAAACAGAGCAGCAGCAGAATAGTCTCTCCAGTGGAATATAGAAAAGGAGAGGGGGGAAATAATCAGAAAATGTGGTAAATAGAAATATAAAATAGTCTGTCAGAAATAAATCCAAAGGTACCAGTAATTATAATAAATATAAATGCATAAATCTGATTGATCCAAAGACAGATGCTCAGATTAGACTTTAAAACGGTGACTGTTAGGCAAAGGAATTAAATGACTGTATCTCTATGGAAACATAGACATGACATGGTAGTTGTCAAGTGATAGTTATTACTGTGCTTTTTTTTCTGTATTGAGCTAATTATTCAGAATCATAGTAATGTCCAACATCCTGGAATCAGAGGTGGGCATGCTAAGGTTTTACCTTCTATTTAATGATCTGTTCCAGCAGCGACTTTGCTTAGCAAATTGTTAATATGATTTAGTGAATGAAATAAAACTCTTGGGATAATTTTTAAAAGAGTCTTTTATATTCTCTTACATGGAAAAAATTTCTGCCTTACTAAAAATAAGACTTAATGCAACAATACTAAATATTAATGATTTTGGAAATGGAATTTTGATTAACTTTTTCAGAACAAAATTTGTCATAAAAGAGCTGTCAGCTGTGATACAAAGATGATGACAATGTATGTAGAGTCACAGAGAAATTCAGTCTCATATTTTGCATATAAGTTGACTAGTTAATTAGGAAGCACAGAGAAGCTATAATCCAATAAGTCCTTTATTGCATGACTGCTTATATAAAGTATTGGTAGATTTCTTTCCTAAAGTTTATTCTGTTCTACTTGACTTTTTGTCATTAGGTTGAAAACTACTGGGTATGATGTACAATAGTTTTGAACCAGACCATAAGAACTAAACACTTTCCCTGTTTTTATGATTAAAAACCATAATACACAATGGGCACTATGTGGTTGGAGAATAATTACTAATTTCCGGTAACAATAAGATCTACTTCCAATAATGTATCTTAGTGCTAAAATGTAAAGTCATATAGGGGGCACATTTCTGTTTGTTGGAGCTTGTGAAACAAAAGCCATTCTAAATGGTATTTACTGAGACTGATCACCACTTTGGCCCTTCACAGTGTTGTTTAATGTCTGAGAATGTTTACATTGTAGAACTGCAAAATTTCCACCACTCTGCTGCATTTGTACTGGTAATGCAAGAACAAGATAACATTCAGAGAATAGTCAAATTATAATAGTAACCATTTCAGTATCTCGTTTATCTGCAAATGGTTTCCACAATCAAATAATTAAACCTCCAAATACTTTAATGTCATGAAAATGTACAGCTAGGGAATTAGGGGAAATCTGGTTTTGTAACTTTCCAAAGAATATTTAGCTAGAAATCAGGTCAAGCTCTTCCTATTGGTTAACATAGTAAAAATGGCAAAAGAAAATATACTTTGTATATTTCTTAGAAGAATTCGGAAGCCAAATCTATGTTAGGCTCAGCTATATAGTCAGCATCAATAATGAGTTAGATTCAACCTAGGGAAATGGTAGGCTAGGAGAGAAGAAATAGAAGGTGGGCTGGGGGAGGGAAAAGCATCTGCTGTGTTAAACCTACACAGTAGAGGAAGAGGGGAGAAATAACGAGGCCCTCTTTTTTACATGACTAACATTTTAGCACTGCTTCCTGAAGGAAAAGCAGGAAATCTTGTGATTATTCGTTAATATTGCTGAGGCTCATTTGAAGAAAGGTAACTTTAAGTGTTGCACATCTACTTGGCATTCCGCTGAGGATAAAAAGCTATAAAATTTATTAGTGTTGGTTTCTTAAGCGAAACTTTACTTACCTCATTGCTATATACTGAATGTTTGTGTCCCCACCAACACCCCACCAAAATCCATATGTGGAAATATTAATCCCCTGTGTGATGGTATTAGGAGGTGTGGCATTTGGAAAGTAATTAGATTGGGAAGGCAAAGCCCTCATGAATGGGATGAGTGCCCTTATGAAAGAGACCACAGAGAACTTCCTTATCCCTTCTGCCATGTGAGGACACAGTGAGAAGACAGCCGTCTATGAACCAGGAAGTGAATCCCCACCAGACATCTCTGCTGGCAACTTGTTCCAGGACTTCCCAGCCTCTAGAATTGAGAGGAATAAATTCTGTTATTCGTAAGCCATGCAGTTTATGACATTTTGCTATAACAGGCCAAATACACTAAGACATTCATTCTAGAAAATGTCAGCATCTAGTCAGAGTTGGAAACAATTAGTGAGATTTACACTCTCTTCTTTTTCTTCTTCTTTTTTTTATAAATATGTTATACATTTTTTACTTGTTGTTTGAAAAATCTTTATTGAGAGCCTACTATGTATGAGGCATTTTGCATGGTGTAATAGTTCATTTACTGTTCAGGATCAAGTTACTGCCTTATAAGGAATTAACATTTTAGTAGTGGAGACAGGGAAATAAATAGGCAATTACAAAATAGTATATGGTTATGGGATGTTATGGGAGCCCATGAGTGTCACTTGACTTAAATTTGGTGATCAAGGAAGAATTCTCAGACAAAGTGGTATTTTTAGCTAAGATCTGAAGCATGCATAAGATTAGCCAGGTGAAGGCCCACAAGGACAGACAGAGGGAGCATTCCAGGCAAAGAAAACTGCCTGTGCCAGGCTCAGTGGCTAGAAAAATTGTGATGCATCTAGAGAGCTGTAAGAAGTTTATTACAGGCTGGGTGCGGTGGCTCACGCCTGTAATCCCAGCACTTTGGGAGGCCGAGGCAGGTGGATCACAAGGTAGGAGATCGAGACCATCCTGGCTAATATGGTGAAACCCCATCTCTACTAAAAACCCAAAAATTAGCCGGGCGTGGTGGCGGACGCCTGTAGTCCCAGCTACTCGGGAGGCTGAGGCAGGAGAATGTCGTGAACCCGGGAGGCGGAGCTTGCAGTGAGCTGAGATCATGCCACTGCACTCCAGCCTGGGCGACAGAGCAAGACTCCACCTAAAAAAAAAAAAAAAGTTTATTATAATTGAATAAAATACTGGGTTGGAGGAAGGAGAGAAAGAGGTTAGATTATTAAGAGTTACTTTATAATCCATACTAAGGAGTTTAAATTTCATGACAAAGGCCTGGGATGACACTGGAGGATTTAACTAGGGATATATGATTTGATTTGTGCTTTAAAATGATCACCTTGGAAGAGGTTTGAAGAATGGAACATGGAAAGGAGACGACCAGGAACCAGGAGAGAAGTTGGGAAGCTTTACAATAAATCAGGTAAATTGTGGTGGTGGCCCAAACTAGATACACAGCTGGGAGGATAGAGAGATTTTAGGGCATTGGAGGGATGGGAGTTGATGACAAAGGAAGAAGGAGAAATTGAAGCTGATGCCAGCATTTGTTATTTGGGCAAGCTGTGGGTGATGATGATATTCTCTGAGACAGGGAGAAGTGAAGGGAGATTATGGTCTCACAGACGTTTTTAAATAGAATTATATGCTTGTCATTGTGCTTGCATTGCCTTCTGTTTCACGGACTCATTCTTTCTCCCTCATACTCCACAGTTTGGATCATATTTTAAGACCTCCTGCCATTATTTTCCTATACTTTGTCTCCTTCTGATTTTTGTTATTGTTGTTGTTTGTTTGTTTGTTTTTTGAGACGGAGTCTCACTCTATCGCCCAGGCTGGAGTGCAATGGCATGATCTCAGCTCACTGCAACCTCCGCCTCCTGGGTTCAAGCAATTCTCCTGCTTCAGCCTCCCAAGTAGCTGGGACTACAGGCGCATGCCACCATGCCCGGCTAATTTTTGTATTTTTAGTAGAGATGGGGTTTCACCATATTGGCCAGGCTGGTCTTGAACTACTGACCTCGTGATCTGCCTGCCTCGGCCTCCCAAAGTGCTGGGATTACAGGCATGAGCCACTGCGCCCAGCCGATGTGTTTTGTTTTTATTCTACTGAAGAATATTGCTTGTCAAAACATTTTCTGTTGTTACTTTTAATCATTTTAACTTTTCATATGCCCTATGAACATGGAAAAACTATTATTAACTGCTCTCTCAAATCTCTGTTTTGAATTTACATTTCTTATCCATTTTGGACTTTGAAATGTGTAGCAATAATTATTTCATGTTGAGTTTTTATTGTTATTATGTATCTGTTGCTTAGTTTTTGTAACTTATTTTTACATTGATTATGAAAGAGTAGCCTCAGCAACATTAAACCACAAATGTATTTACAATTGAACTGTGAAAGTCATAAGACCTTAAAGACTAAAAATTAAGGCAAGTACGTGATACAATGAACATCTTATTGTCGTTCTCTATTGCTACTATAACAAATTACCATATCCTTGGTAGCTTAAAATAATATGAACTTATTATTTTATAGGAATATAGGTCAGAAGTAGGATAAGGGTCTTAATTAGGCTAAAATCAAGGTGTTGGCAGGGTTGTGTACTTTTCTAAAAGGCTCTAGAGAAGAATTAATCTCCCTGCCTTCTCCAGCTGCCAAAGGCTGCTCACATTCTGTGACTCATGGCCCACTTCCTCCATTCAAAACCATCAATGGCATGTTACATCCCTCTCACACTACATCACTCTGACCTCGTTTTCCACCTTCCTTTTCCACTTTTAGGCACGCTCGTGGCTACACTGGCTCACTTGGATAATCCAGGATAATCTCTCCTTTTAAGGTTAGCTGATTAGAATCCATCTACAACTTTAATTCCCCTTGGCTGTGTTATATAACATAT
Organism: Homo sapiens; assembly: GCF_000001405.40. NCBI lineage: Eukaryota > Metazoa > Chordata > Mammalia > Primates > Hominidae > Homo > Homo sapiens. The sequence continues at coordinate 102,196,232 of NC_000004.12, read as the reverse complement.
TTATAGGTTCTGGGGATTAGAACATGGACATCTTTGAAAGCCTGTTTTTCTGCCTACCACAACTAGTCAGCATTTTAAATGTTAAACGTTTTCTTCTGCTTTTCCAACTTAATCAATGTCATCAATAACTTCCACATTTCGAGGTACAATGTATAGTTCTCTATCCTCCAACTCCCTTCTCCATAATACTCATTCTTCAGCTGGCTTCCAAGAGTTCTCACTCTCCTGGCTTTCCCTATCTCACATACTGTGCCTTCTCATTCTCATTGCTGAGTGCTTCTGGTTTTCCTGAGCACTTCATGTTAGAGTGTTTCATGGTTCAGTTTTTTGTTCTTTTCTTTTCAACATCTCTGTTCACTTCCTTGGTAACTTCACATATTCTCATAGCTTTAAATATCCTTCGTTCATATGCCAACAAGTTTCTAAGTTTTATTTCCATTCCTAGACGTCTTAAATTCCACACCTGTATGTTCAACTGTCTCCTCCACATCTCCACTTGAATGTCAAACAAACATTTCAAAGTCAACATATTCAAAACTGAACTCCAGCTCTTCCCATTGAAACCAGTTCCATTTGTGGCTTTCCCTATCTCTGTTGATGTCAGCTCCATCCTTCTAGGATCTTAGGACAAAAATCTTATAGTGATTTTGAGTCTTTTCTTGTCTTTACATCTCATATTCCTTCTGTTAGGAAATACTGTGGCTTTGTCTTTAAAATATATCTAGAATTTGTTGCTTCTCAATACTTTCACTGCCATCAACTTGGTCTGGAATCTATTTTCAGGACCTCACAATCCAGACAACATTGCTGAAAGTTGTTTTGCAATAAGGAACACTCAGAACTATTGCATATAAAAATTAAAGAATTCGCTATTTTTCATAGAGGCAAAGTCCTAATACTTTTATGCTATCCTTTACACATCTTATGTCTTACAAATGTACCATAAAGTACAAACTTTCTTCAGTTCTAATTTCTAAGATGTTTCACTCTTTAAGTAGAAATGAAAGTCATCTGACTGAAAATTATAGCAGTATCTAATTGTTTTTCATAACTAGCCAAATTCAGAAATGTCCTGGATATATTTCTGGACAATGTAGATGCTGATATCCTTGGATTTAGGTTATACTGACTTTTATCTTTACCAAACCATATTAACATTTGCATTTTATAGTTGGAATGAGAAATTTAGAGTAAGAGATCTGGATTATGCAGGCAGGCAAGCATCAACCAACAATACTTTTATGTACTCCTGTGTATACCTCCTGGGTATATAACTGAATAATTCTTGACCAGAGTTATAGCATTAGGCTAAATGTGATACACTGACATTATTTTGAATTATAGAGAAATCTGCTTTTGATTTCAATGTCAATTTGATCTCCTGTGAAGATGAAGGTAAAAAGTGAAGTTTGCAGCCCAGGTAGAGATTATTTCATGTCAAACTTCCTGCTTCAATTCATGTGATTTTGCATTAAATTCTATCTTGTGGTTTTCTTTACAACCAAAAAGGTTTATATTTCTAGTTACTGGTTCTGGTTAAACTCTTCCTTCCTACTACATCCTCCTGGGGATGTTCGTTTGAGATAAATATTCTAGAAAATTTTTTCTTTGCTATTTTTGTATTCATCTTCCATAAAGCTTTCTTTGTGATTTTTAAGAGACATATTTAAAAATAATTATTATAGCAGCTTGTACAGTGGAACTTCCCATAGCTGCCCTAATATTTTTCAGAATTTTGATGAGAATGCATTGTGTGTCCCCAACAATAGCGCTAAACTATTTTTTTTTGGTCTCTTCTCCAAAGAGATCCATCAAAGGAGAAAAAGAAGACATCTTGGGTGCTCCAAAATAAGACACCATTTTGAAAACCTTTAGGAATAAAAACAACAATAAATAAATACAAATGAAGAAGAAAATATCATAATATTCAGGAAGATGAATTTGGAAGCACAATTAAAAAGGAGAGAAAGATGAGTCTTCCTGGACGCATCAATTACTATTCCTTATTTTTAGATATCCCATGCATTTAACAATATAGGTCTGATGGACTCCCACAAAAGGCAGGAATTATGATCTCTGCTCCTATGTTTGTGCATTCCACTGGCTATCCTGCTTACTCAGCATGGGCTACTAGATCTCTGTTTCACTTGGGATCTGATTCTCTATTTCAAGAGCATCTTTGGTATCCTACTGGGAATCAGAGACAGAGCAATTGTTCAGGCAGGTTCAGCATCTGCACAAAATAAGTGATTTCCTAGATATTTGAGTAAAGTGGCACATAGTGTTTCTAAAAGAGGCTTTCCATAGCTACTCTCATCTTTTAAAATAGCGAAAGTGCAAGTCCTAGTTAGCCACTGGCACGCATTACTCACATAGGCACAACTGGGGTGGACATGTGGGACACCTATTACTTAGGGGTAAGGGTGGTATCCCTGGAGCCAAACTACCTGGGTTTACCTCTAGGGTCACCAGTTTTCAGTTGTGTAATCTTAGACACATTAGATAAGTTCTTTGATTCACAATTTTCTTATTTATAATATGGTAATGAGGATGGTAATAATAAGCTGCTTCATAAGGTTGTTGAGAAGATTAAATTAGGACTCTGAAATAAATGTTGACCATTATCATTGGGATAAGTGGTTCAAATTTTAGCAACACACATTTTAAAGAAAGGTTTAAGACCATTATCTACTCCAAAATAAGAACAAGACATTGTGAAGGATATCAGTCTACTTTAATCTCAGAGTTCTGAAAAATACTGGATTGAGAAATTTTACCAACATTGAAAGAAAGTACATTGTGAGAAAAGACCCCGATGATCAGAAATAGATGCCTAAGAGTTTGGTGGAGTGCTCACCCTGTTTTCACATGAAAGAGGAAGTTCTGAAGCACATGCTGACAGCAGCAAAATTAGTTTTGTATAAGCTTATATAATAATGATGTCTCTTGGTCATGTGCTTTATCTGATTCTGAGTTTCACTGGTGAAATTCTCTCAGGACAAAAACAAAAAGCAGAAATCTTCTTGTTTTAATTCTTAGAGGATTTCACTACTGAAACTTGGAATCAGGTAAAGCACATGATCAAAGACTTGGAATTTTTAATTGCTAGGAACAATCACAAAAGCAGATGATGGGCTGGGTGCAATGGCTCATGGCTATAATCCCAGCACTTTGGAAGGTTGATGCAGGAGGATCATTATAGCCTAGGAGTTCAAGGCCAGCCTGGACAAAAATGGTGAAACCCCATGTCTACGAAATATATATGTATTATCTGGGCATAGTGGCCTGTGCCTATAGTGCCATCTACTCAGGAGGCTGAGGCAGCAGAATCATTTGAGCCCGGGAGACAAATGTTGCAGTGAGCCAAGATCGTGCCATTGCACTCCAGCTTGGGCAACAGAACAAAACCCTGTCTCAAAAAAAAAAAAAAAAAAAAAAAAAAAAAAAAAGCAGAGGATATTGTGTCCTGTTTATGCTGCAATTGCTAATATGTTCCTGAGACAGCCTTCAACAAACACTCAAGGTAACATTAATTGACTGTTTGATTGTTCACAGCAATTAAAAAACTCCAAGCCCTGGGCTGTCTTCCCATGTCTCCCTACTCTGTTTCTTGTCTACTCTCACCTCAATGCCCAGGAAGTGTGTGTTCAAGGAGACTATACTATAGTTCAGTCAGGTTCAGCTCAACTCAAATGATTTTTAGGCACCTATTATGTGCAAAAGACAGTATCAGATGCTAAGGACTAAGAAGAAAAAATCGAAGAACACAAATACAGAGGCAAATATAATCATTGTGGAAGTTCATTTCCTGATGGTTTCTAATTGCTTATTAAAATGACAAGCAAGGCCATTACTTGAGAATGAAGAAAATTGAAATGGTATTAGAAATGTGAGGAGAATAAAAGTATAAAATAATCGACTAGGACAGTAGGAGAGTGAATTAAGAAGGGAAATAAAATTGGATTGCTAGAAAGTTCTAAGGACTCACTTGTTGTTAGCGGTCAAGGATTTAAAGAGAGACAAACATAGTTGTGTTTTTCTCCAGCCACACGAGATACAGGTCAACGCGGGAACTTAAAGATTTATCCATTATTGTGGTTTTGTAAGGCATAAACAAGGGAAGGTGAGACAGAGAAGAGAGTTATGGTTTATACAGAAGAGTGATTATTATTCTGGGCAGTGAAGACATGAGGAGGGGAGTTTTGGCTTAAAGGTGGTGGCCAATGGAGTGCCAAAGTAGGCCCTAAGAATTTTGGAAAAAGATCTAGTAAAGGAAGTCGAGTGCTTAAAATTGACATTATGGAGGACTGCAGATAATGCTAAGCTCTATTGTATTAGGTTGGTGCAAAAGTAATTGCGGTTTTTGCCATTAAAAGACCACAATTACTTTTGCACCAACCTAAAATAACCATGGGAGTGGACGAATGAAGTAAGTAAAGTATGTGATATCTGGAGCATGGAAGATTAGGAATAAGGAATCCAGTGTAGAGAGAATTATCTGCCTCAGCAATTCTCAATCCTGCCTGCTCATTAAAATTACCTGGAGAGCTTTTCATAAAAAGATACCAGAGTCTAGTCACCATCTCAGACAAATTAAAACAGAATTTCTGAGAGTGGGACCTATAATCACTTTTTTTTTTTTTTTTGAGACGGAGTCTCGCTCTGTCGCCCAGGCTGGAGTGCAGGGGTGCTATCGCGGCTCACTGCAACCTCCGCCTCCCGGATTCACGCCTTTCTCCTGCCTCAGTCTCCTGAGTAGCTGGGATTACAGGCGCCAGCCACCACACCTGGCTAATTTTTTTGTATTTTTAGTAGAGACGGGGTTTCACCATGTTAGCCAGGATGGTGTCGATCTCCTGACCTCGTGATCCGGGGGCCTCCGCCTCCCAAAGTGCTGGGATTACAGGCGTGAGCCACCGTGCCCAGCCTATAATCACTTTTTAAAAGCTCCTTATGAGATTCAGTTTGCAGTGAAGGTTGATAACCACTGATAGATATGGATAGAAAATCATGATGGGGAAAGAGAAAGTGAACCAGGAGCTAAATAATCTTTAAAAAATGGGGTAGGGGAGGTGGTTACTAGGATGTCTGTAAATGAGACCGTTGCATTCATTTGTAAAATAGTAATAAGACATAGATGTGAAGCGTCTTGATTTGGTCTGCTTGAATGCTTGAGGAGTGTTTAGATTCTCAGGCCCCTGGAAATATCTAGTTTTTGAAATGAAGAGAGTGTCTGCATCCTAGGTTTGTCTTACAGAATCTTTCTGGTACTTTGGTATTTCTTTTGCAAGTATAATCTATGAAAATTCTTCATTGTATGGCTTCAGACACCAATGTTTTCTATAAAACATAGTAAAAAGGAAAGAACAGTGAAAATTAAAATAAATAGATATTTCTAATAGAGGATATAAATGTTCAGTAAGGCCCTCGCTTCCAACAAAACCCAGATTCATTTACATTAAAAACAGATCCAGTAGTTAACACTCACCTTGAATACTCGACTTTAATTATGCAGAATGTTCAGCTGGTGTTATGGCCTGCTGAGGCAGAGTGTCCCACAAGTTTTATGTTAAAAGATGTTAAATCAGCTTTTACTGGGTTGAAATTTACATTTTATTTTGCCCTTGCAATCTCTCTTGAATCAATTTTGCGATTTTCAGCAAAGACTAGTGTTGCTGCCAGAACTTTTTACAAATTATTACCATGGGTACTTTATCCAGGCCCTGATCTTACATCATATGTTGAAAGGTAGAGGATAAACCTATCCTCTGCTTATCTATCTTCACGGTTGTGCATTGTTATTGTATATACATTTTTAAGCGCATTGAACGAAATCACGCATCTTTATAAAACAGCATAGAAGTAAACTTTTTGGTATATATGTATGTTTGTGTGTATATATATATATGTAAAACTGTGGTGGACAGGGATTATTTCATTAGAGAGAGTTATGAAGACAATTGTCCTATTTTACCTTCACAGTCTAGGGAAATTGGGCACTGGCCATGCAGTTGTGTTCCACAATTCCTGCTAAGTACAATAGGAAGGGTCGGCTTTATGAGTAAGCGGGAAGGCAGAGCTCTGTACTGTACAAGGGCCTTGTAGTGTTTTTTGTCACACTGCCCGGGAGCTACATTTACAGGTCTAGAAATTTGGGGTTTTGAATTTTTTTTTAAGTGCTCCCAATTCAAATGCCAGTAACACTAGGAATCCATATCACACGACTCTGGAGTGGGGAGTGCCTCATTAAGCCAAGTACAAAGATGTACAGAAAGAAGATATAGTCTCTTTCTGGTAGGAAGTCAGAGTCAATGGGGGTTGCAGAAGGGGAAAACGGAGAAAAATCAAGTAGGAGCACAGAAAAGGAGTGACGCTTGCCCTGTAATTATTGTAGAGTTCTACCTTTTGCCACACTTGCCCATAGGCCCAGTGGCAGTATGGTGGAGAGTGAAGGACTCAGAAGACCATATTTATTTACTAAGTTTTTATGTGTGTTCAGGTGTGGGTGATGGTGTGGGGCCATGAGTTCATAAAATAAACAAATTTCTACAAAGAAATGTCTGATATGAAGAACTCCGTGAGTCATCAAGAAGCAAAATTAGTTTCTTTTTAATAAAATGTCAAATGCAGGTGAAATTACCAAAGATGGAATGTTATAAGAATCTGAAACCTTTTTCAAAATCAATCTTTAATAAAATAGAATCTCAATAATGAATAAGAACTTCACTTTAGAAGTGATTTAACAAAGAGACATCAGCGAAGGTTGATAATAAACCTTTCCTGGCAGTCATACTCTTGGAATTCTACTTTATATAATTATACCGTAGTGGAGAAAAATGAAGAAAGTAAAGAACTATAATATGAGATCTTTTGATCTCTGATTTAATTTAATTGATTCTTACTGGCAGAAATGCATCCTAGTGTCTACATTATTGTAATGGAACCACCACTTAATATTTTCATGTTTATTTGGAATTTTAGCATTAGTTTATTCATTTCTCCACAGGAAAATTTTATTTATAAAATATGAATATGATATTTCAAAATAAACAAGGATCTGATCTTACACATACACACATATGTATGCACATACATACTATACCTGTATTTATACACAAATATACTCTATATATATATGTATATCTAGACACATGTATGCACACACACACACAATCAGGGAGCTTAAAGCTTGAGGAGAGATTAGGCATGTGAGATCCTGTAAACAATCCCTTACCCCCAAGATAATTCTTTGAGTGAGCTGAATGTATAGAGACTTTTGTTCATTTCACTGAAGGAAGAGGAAGGATTCTGATGCAAGGGCAACGGGGTCAGAGAAAAGAAATGGAGGAGAAAAGAATATTGGAGGAATAACATGGTGGCTTCATATTGGGTTACCTAAGTGGAAACTATATTTCCCAGAATTCCCTTCCTGTATGGTTCAGAGTTAGACCTGGACACAAGAGAAATTTGAGAGCAATATGGAAGTTGGTGGTAAAGCAGTGGCTATTACATTGTAAAAGTTTATGTAAGACAACAGGTGCCGTTGTTCATATAATTTGGGGGGCATCTGCTGCTCCACCTTGGAGCATCAGCAGAGCCTGTGGTCCTTTCGGCTTTCAGGGGCTGCTCCTTCAGCTTCTCCAAGTCCTGGGTCAAGTGCCTGTTCATCCCAGGGATGAAGGATGCCAACTTCTCCTGCAGACCACCAATTCCATCAAGGTTAGAGACAGTAGCAGACACAGAACTCAATTTGTCCTTGTGGGTTCCCGTTTGTCACGACTCTTCCACACTTAACATTCACTTTTTCTCCCAACTGCCAGCCAGGCCCACCCATACAACTTCAGGCCCAACACCGGATGTAGAATCAACTGTGTTAATGTACCTAAAGAAGGCAACACTTTGGGTGACCAAGTAGCTGCTAGTATAGACCACTTAGGAAAAAAATAAGGAATATGATGGAATTCACTGGTTGCTTTTAAGTGCACTGGAGAACTTGTGGAAAGAAAATTTCTGAGCTTAAGCTTTTAAATTCCCAGCTCAAAGTGGGTAAGAGACCAGAACACTTCCATGACTTCCTTAAAAGAAACTTTTGGTGTATACAGGTGTGATGTATGTGTCTGTTGTGTGTATGTCTTGTAGCTATGTTACTGCGTTTTCTGAAAATCAAGTTCAAAGTCTAATTAAAAGTTGTTCTATAATGCAAATTAAATTCCTAAACTTGGGCCGGGTGCGGTGGCTCACGCCTGTATTCCCAGCACTTTGGGAGGCTGAGGTGGGCGGATCACAAGGTCAGGAGTTTGAGACCAGCCTGACCAACATCGTGAAACCCTGTCTCTACTAAAAATACAAAAATTAGACAGACGTGGTGGTGTACACCTGTAATCCCAGCTACTTGGGAGGCTGAGGCAGGAGAATCACTTGAACTTGGGAGGTGGGGGTTGCAGTGAGCCAAGATTGCACCTCTCTGCACTCCAGCCTGGGCAACAGAGCGAGACTCTGTCTCAAAAAAATAAAATAAAATAAAATAATACATAAATAAATAAATAAATTCTTAAACTTGAAAGCTCTTTTATGTAAAAGTTAGAGCATTGTTTGGGAAGGAGTGTGATCCTGAAAAATGGGATAAAGACATCAGTAGATTCTGAGGAAGCTGAAGACCTTGAACCCATATATTCCATCAAGCTGCTTTGTTAGTAGAAGCAGCCCTTCTTCCCCTGTCTGAAGAGATTAGTCTCCTCTTTCTTTTCTTTTCTTTCTTGTTTTTTTTTTTTGAGATGGAGTCTTGCTCTGTCACCCACGCTGGAGTACAGTGGTGCGATCTCGGCTCACGGCAACCTCTGCCTCCTGAGTTCAAAAGACTCTCCTGCCTCAGCCGCCTGAGTAGCTGGGATTATAGGCATATGCCACCATACCCAGCTAATTTTGGTATTTTTTGTAGAGATGGGGTTTCACCATGTTGGCCAGGCTGGTCTCGAACTCCTGACCTCAAGTAATCTGCCCGCCTCGGCCTCCCAAAGTGTTGGGATTACAGGCATGAGCCACCGTGCCCGTCCCCTTTCTTTTTTTTTCTTTTTAATTATTTTTATACGTTTAGTTGGTACAAATGCAGGATTATGAGCCACCGTGCCCGTCCCCTTTCTTTTTTTTTCTTTTTAATTATTTTTATACATTTAGTTGGTACAAATGCAGGATTATGAGCCACCGTGCCCGTCCCCTTTCTTTTTTTTCTTTTTAATTATTTTTATATGTTTAGTTGGTACAAATGCAGGATTCTTACACGCATATATTGCACAGCCGTGAAGCCTGGGCTTTTAGTGTACTCATCACCCGAATAATGAACATTGTACCCAATAGATAGTTTTTAGCCCTCTCCCCCACCATCCCTTTGTACTCACAGTGTCTATTATTCCAGTCTCTATATCCATGTGTATCCAGTGTTTAGCTTCCACTTGCAAGTGAGAACATGTGGTATTTGATTTTCTGTTTCTGAGTTATCGCACCAAGTCTCCTCTTTCTTGAAGTACTTGTAACAGCCTTCCCTGGGGTAGTTGCCTTGTGGGAGATTGCTGATCCTCCTCAAGACCTCTCCTTGACATCTGTTATACTTCTAGAACTATACCCAGATTTAAGTTTCAAAAGATCCCAGGGGTGAGGCATAGCATGTGAACCATAAGCAGTTAAACACACATGAAAAGAATTGCAAAATTTTGCCAATTTGTAATGATGATGGAAATTTGGAGAATATATGTCAAAATAGATTTTCAGGAATTATGTCAGGACTGATTTCATTCATGTTGATGCACTGAGCACAGATTTGGATTCGATGTGTTAATGTGAGCAGCTGAGAGTGACTCTTAACAGTTTTTTAAAAATTATAATTGGTTCACTGAAACCTGAATCCAAGACACCCTACACTAAATGAAGTTAAAATATCAGAACTTTTGTGGAATACTGAAGAGAAAGGTATTCAAAGGCTTAGAAAAATTGGAATGCTAGAGTGAATTTATCATGTAAGACATACTTACCCATCCCCTAATTATGTTCAGACAGTCCAGAGGACACTGACTTTACCAAGGTTGTGAGAAATCCTTTCATGAAGGACCCCTCAGCATCACCGTGGAAGAGCTCCGTGGTCTATTCTCTATAGGCCAAAAATGACAGTAGTAACTGCTGCCATCAGAATGAACTCCCTTGTTCAATGAGACAATGGGGTTCTAGGTGGCAGGGACTAAGTGTGGCATTTAATCAGCAGAGGCAATCGAGTTATTGTTACTGTAAAGCACAAAGAAGCCAAAATAGTTACCAGAATAGTCTGATTTTCAGACACATTTGGACTTCACTAATTGATCATGGAGTCCTTAGAACGAAAATAAATGGTATTCTCCCTCACTTTCCCACAAACTGCTATGGTCCTTTGACCTAAAATTGGCCCTCTGAGGGCTTACTGCAGTTAACAGCTTCACTAGGGCTAGAAAACGGTGTGTGTGTGTGTGTGTGTGTGTGTGTGTGTGTGTCTGTTGTGTGTATATGCATGCATATCTCTTGTGGCTATGTTGCTGAGTTTTTGAAAATGAAACTCAAAGTTTAATTATAGATTGTTTTATAATGCAAATTGAAATCCTAAGCTTGGAGTTTTTTTCATGAACCTTCACGGAAACGACAGAGCGGGGCTATTGCTCACCTAGGACACTGTGACAGCAGGGAAAGGCCTGAGGGACCTCTCTGAAGTCATTGGTGGGGAGGAGACCCTCACTATAGTGAATATAAAAGCCCTGACAGTGATACTTTTTGTCTTTAATGTTGAGCTTGGTTCCTTTATTGAGTATTTTTGCACCCCATAATAATTTCTTCCTCCTTCTTTTTTTAATAATCATCTGAAAGGCTCAAATGCATAGCCAGAAAGTGCTTGGTAAGAGAGGAAAATAGATATAGAAGTGAATAAAAATTTATTTTCATGTAATTTATATCAGTTGATTCTAATTTGACTTTTGAAGAAATTGAGACTAGACAAAAGTTGTCTCTCACAAGTTTTCCCTGAGAAACAGCATTGCTGCTTCCTTAGCAGTTCCTCATATGGCCTGATAAACAGACCTTTCCCCTGTCTGGCTGCCTCATTAGGAATTTCCCTTGGTGGTGTGTAATGGATTTAATTGTGCCCCAGCCCCTCTTCCAAATCAGATGTTGACATCCTAAGCCCCACTATTTCATAATGTGGACTTATTTGGAATTAAGGGTTTTTACAGAGGTAATCAAGTTAAAGTGAGGTCATCAGGGTAGGCCCTAATCCAATATGACTGGTGTCTTCATAAAAAGGGGAAATTTGTAGACAGAGACACATGCAGGGAAGACGATGTGAAGAGATATGGAGAAAAGATGGCCGTCTAAAGCCAAGGAGGGAGGCCTGGAGCAGATTCTCCCTCACAGGCCTCAAAAAGAACCAACACTGAGAACACCTTGATTTTAGACTTCCAGCCTCTGGAAATGTGAGAGAAAGTTCCGTTGTTTAAGCCACCCAATCTATGGTACTTGGTTATTGTAGCCCCAGCAAACTAATTAGAGGTTGACCTCTGTATTGGACTTAACATTACATGAGTGGTATATGGAAAGAAAAGTAAAATTAGGTTAAAAAGGCTTGGTTATTTAGGTATTTGTTTTTCCACTTTCCAATTAGATGACTTTTGTCAAGTCCTCTACCCTTGCAGATTAAGTGTTTCCTCATTTTTGCAGTCTTTTTTTTTTTTTTTTTTTTTTTGAGATGGAATCCCACTCTGTCGCCCAGGCTGGAGTGCAGTGGCAGGAAGTGGCATGATCTCTGCTCACTGCAAGCTCGCCTCCTGGGTTCAAGCAATTCTCCTGCCTCAGCCTACCAAATAGCTGGGACTACAGGCACATGCCACCATGCCCAGCTAATTTTTTGTATTTTTAGTACAGACAGGGTTTCACTGTGTTAGCCAGGATGGTCTCGATCTCCTGACCTCATGATCTGCCCACCTCCACCTCCCAGAGTGTTGATATTACAGGTGTGAGCCACGACACCCAGCCAATCCTTTCTTCTTAGGAACTGGTGACTAGTGTTCTAGTCAGCTCTAATCAAAATGCTTGTGGGTGACACTATTGGCCTCCTACCAATAGGATGAGCATAAGTCCCAAGGTGAGTGGGACAGTACCTGTTTATATCTATTATATTGGTGGAATTCTTAATAGGGCACCTTTTTTTTAATTTTTATTTTTAAAATTTTTTTATTTTCATAGGATTTTGGGGAACAGGTGGTATTTGGTTACATGAGTAAGTTCTTTAGTGGTGATTTGTGAGACTGTGGTGCACCCATCATCCCAACAGTATACACTGAACCTAATTTGTAGTCTTTTATCCCTTACCCCCTCCCACTCTTCCCCCTGAGTCCCCAAAGTCCACTGTGTCATTCTTATGCCTTTGCATCCTCATATCTTAGCTCCCACTTATGAGTGAGAACATGCGATGTTTGGTTTTCCATTCCTGAGTTACTTAACTTAGAATAATCGTCTCTAATCCCATCTAAGTTGCTGCAAATGCTATTAATTCATTCCTTTTTATGGCTGAGCAGTATTCCATTGTATGTATTGATACCACAGTTTCTTTATCCACTTTTTGATCGATGGGCATTTTGGTTGGTTCTACATTTTTTGCGATTGTGAATTGTGCTGCTATAAACATGCGTGAGCAAGTATCTTTTTCATATAATGACTTCTTTCATTCTTAGTCGTGTTCCAGTTGAATGATAAATTAGATATATGGTCTCCTTATCCTTTGCCATCTCCCTATTGCCAATTTTGCCCAGGTATTCCTCAGCTTCAGGAGTGGGTCCTGATTAGGCAATGACAATTATGCTAATTTCACCCTTGTTTGAAATTGGTTCAGCAACACTTGCTCAAGTCAATTAGAGCATAGGATTCTTGGATTGTGATTGGTCCAGGAGTGAGTAAAGGTCCTAATCTGGCCAAATGAGATTAAAAAGCAGGACCATGACTAAAATGATAGTTTTTCTTTTTTTCAATGAATGACATAATATATTGTCCTACTGTTGCTGGTAGTCATCTGATGAGCCTTACACAAGCAAGCTCAGGAATAAAATTGCACACAGAGTGGGCATAACACAGAGAATTGGAAAGAAACTAGACTCTTCATTGTACCACACCTAAACCAGCCTTAACTCCACACTTCTTGATACGTGAAAAGAGACGTTTTCTTATTGCTTCAGTTGATTTGAGTCCAGGACTTTTATTATTTTCAGCTAAATGCATCCTAAATGAGATAATGTTTATTCATTTGCTGTGGTTGCTAGAACAACTTATCACAACTTGGTGTGTTAAAAGAACAAAAATTTATTCTTTCATGGTTCTGGAGTCCAGAAGTCTGAAATCAGTTTCACTGGGCTAAAGTCAAGATGTTGGCCAGGCTAGCTCCTTCTGGAGGCTCTAGGGGAGATGCCTTTTCTTGCATTTTCTAGGTTCTGATGGGCTCCTGCATTTCTTGGCTCAGGGCCCCTTCCTTGAACTCCTCTAATCTCTTGCTTCTGTTTTCACATCTCCTACTTCTAAAATCTAATATTCACCCCTGCCTCTCTCTTATAATGACATTTGTGATTACATTTAAGACTCACCAGATAATGCAAGATAAGCTTCCCATCTCAGGGTCCTCAATCCACATTTGCAAAGTCCCTTTTGTCATTTAAGGTAACATATTCATGGTTTCTGAAGATTAGGCTATGGATGTCTTTGATGACTCTTTTTCAGTCTACTACACAATGCTTTTGACTATAGTGCAGAATGACAAAGATTCTGCAATGGTAAGATAGGTGACATAGGATGTAGACTGTAACTTTTTTCTAATGTCTTAGAATGTGAACTGAGTCATAAACCTGAGAATGGTAGGTGGTAAGTACACATATATTATAAAGAAAGATGGTAAACATATTCATGACCAAATTACTGAGAGATAGCAGAATCTCTCTAGAAACTATTAATCCAGCTACCAACTTTTATTTTATATAAGAACAGGCACTTTAAAGTGTGATTGGAGAGAGAATAGTTATAATAGGTGTGTCTCTGTTGTAATTAGGAGTACCATGGAAATTCTCCCCAACCAAGGGAATAGAGACTGAGATGCCAGCACTCATCTCAAGTCATTTGATGAGTCTCCAAGAATTTAAGTTTTAAAATCTGGAGATGCCAGGAAAGTAGAAGAGACTGGAATCTTGTTTTCTGACTGGATGATTATGTAGCTACAGAAATGTTTAACTCTTGCCTAATCTCACCAGATGGGGTTTGGTGGGAAAATTCTTCAGAGGCCTTGATAAACCCAGTAGAGCAGAGACATACATAAACAAAGAAACTGATGCCTGCTTCCTGCCTGTTTCTAGTATGGAGAATTTTTTTTTTTTTTTTTTTTTTTTTTTTTTTTTTTTTTTTTTTGAGATAGAGTCTTGCTCTGCCACCGAGGCTGGAGTGCAGTGGCGCAATCTCGGCTCACTGCGACCTCTGTCTCCTGGGTTCAAGTGTTTTTTTTGTTTCTTAACCCCTGGAGTAGCTGGGATTACAGGTACATGCCACCATGCCAGGCTAATTTTTGTATTTTTAGTAGAGATGAGGCTTCATTCACCATGTTGGCCTGGCTGGTCTTGAACTCCTGGACTCAAGTGATCCATCCACCTCTGCCTCTGAAAGTGCTAGTGTGAGCTACAGGTGTGAACCACCCTGCCCAGCCCCTAGTATGGAGAATTCTCAAGCCATGAAGCTGGCTGGAACAACCTGCAATGGCAGGACAAGTAGAGGGCAAAGGGGAACCACCAAAGAGTATACAATGTGCCCTATGAGAGAACTAACATTTGGGCATCTGCCTTTGGGCATGTGCTATGGCAAATTATAAAATATCTGTCATATAAGATATCCTTATTTTCCTAATCTCCCCTGTTTGCTATCTTGACCCTGGGAGAACGTGTAGCAGAGGTAATGTAGATGGAGAAAGGAAGGTGAGAAACAGACTAAGACTACTTCATTATTGCAGCTATCACATCCAAAGATCAAGTTTCAGTTCTGCGGAGGAGTGAAGATTTGGAATGGAAGTTAGATTGAACTTCTGATTTAGTCTGGATTTTTTTTTTTTTTTTTAGCATCTGAGAGTGAATTACAATTACTTAAATGAAATTGTTCTTGTCACTGAAAGAGACCAAAAAGGCTTGGGATATGCCTGGAATATTATCTTAGAAAAGCAAAGGAAGTTTGCAACAGACAGTATTAGTCAGAAAGGCTGGAGAAAAAAGTGAAGAAGTTTACTTCTTTTGGTAAACTCCTATATAGGTAAGAATATGTTAAAGAATAGAGAATAATAAAAGCGTGAATATGGCAGCAATATAAAGTAGTAGATGCACAACTAAATATTAATATATTTTGAAGCTAAGAAAGTACCCAATATTAGAACTAATCTTTAGGTCTCTTAAAAAACAAAGCATAGCAATAACAACAGCAAAATAAACCAAACTACAGCCTATTTGACCAAATGTTATTTTTCATTGAAAATAGAAATAACTTAGTTATTTACTGACAATTTATAGCTTCAACTTTTCCAAAATTGCATTGCTTTTTTCATTTTGGTTGTTTTGCAATTATTCTTCAAATATAGGATGACATTTCTGATTTGAGATAAGTAAAATATCCTATTCTACTCTTTTTTCTTTACCTCAATACATGACTCACATGAAGAGGAGGCACTTGTGGAAACAAGAGCAGGAATACTGAAAGAATACTGTACATGGTATTTTTCTGTTCATTTTATCTAATAGAAATTTTAAAATAAATCTTTCATGTGACAGATTAGGTAACAGCAAGCGTGAAGATCTTTCTTCACAGCTTGCTTTTACTGTGCCATTTCCTTTCATTTCCTGTAAGTGTGTTTGGCCCACAGACCTCCCATTAGTTTTAAAGGGATTCAGTGTCTAAATATACACTAGGACATGAAAATCTGTCCTAGTAAGGAAAAACCTCTGCTGTCTAATGCAATAGTGCTTCAGGCTTCAGGGGAATCCTTCTGAAAGATTAGATTAATTCTACTTCCTGCCACTGCCAATGATTAGACAGGGAAATAATGTGGCTTTAAAATGAACCAACTGCACAGAGGACATTCATTAAACCACCAACTGTAGAAAATAATATAAAAATGTTTTCTTTTTAAATCTAAGTGTGAGGGATCAAAGTGCAGGAGGAGGCTTTGTTGGAATGCCTAGATAAAGCAGAGTCAGTCTTTAAATGCTAAAGACTTTACATCTGTTAAAAATATGAATGTGTATATTAACTTATTCAACTGATAATTTTTGAACCCCAGATATTTGCCAGCCACAGTTGTAGATGCCGGGAATAGAATAATGAGCAAAATATACAAAACATCATGTATTCACGTAGTTTACATTCTAGAGTGCAGAAATAGGTAGTAAATATAAAAAATTTTATGTATATGTATTGATGTGCATTGTATATGTATGTACATCTATATATGTACAAATAGACATAATGATCTCTATGTATTTTATCTATATTCATATTCATATAGTGATAAGTTCTATAAAACTCTTATCTCCAAGGAAGTGGAAGAAAGGAAGAGGAAGTCATTTTAAATAGAGTGGTCCTGGAATTCCTCATTAATTAAGCCACTGATTAAATATCTGAAGGAAGTGCGAGAGTTAGACATCGTAATTTCTGGTGAAAGAGGTTTCTAGGTAAAGGAAGAAGCAAGTGAATATTATGCTTGGTGGATAGAAAAGGGGTCAGAGCTGGGTGTGATGTTGTATGCTTGTAGTCCAAGCTACTCAGGAGGCTGAGGCAGGAGGATTGCTTGAGTCCAGGAGTTCGAGGCTAGCCTGGGCAACGTAGTGAAACTTCACTTCTAAAAACGAAAAGAAAAGAAAAGAGGCAAGTATGATATGGCTGAGAGAGAGAGAGAGGACAG
Source organism: Homo sapiens (assembly GCF_000001405.40). Classification (NCBI taxonomy): domain Eukaryota; kingdom Metazoa; phylum Chordata; class Mammalia; order Primates; family Hominidae; genus Homo; species Homo sapiens. The sequence continues at coordinate 102,179,254 of NC_000004.12, read as the reverse complement.
TGGTGATAGATGAGGACAGAGAGGTCACAGTGATGCAGATGACATAGAACCTCATAGGCCATGGTAAGGCATGAGAGTTTTTCCCTGAGAGGGATAAAGCCATTGAGGGGCTTGAGTAGAGAGTGATAAGAGCTTGATCATAGTTTTGGAAGGGTCACTCTGGTTTCTGAGTTGAGAATAAATTGCCTAAGGGACAGAAAACTGGCTAGGAGTCCATGGCATTATAATAATCTGGGGAAACGATTGTGATGGCTCTGAGCAGGGTGGGGAGTGGTTGGGGTGGTGATAACTGGATATATGTTGAAGAAAGATCTAATAAGATTTGCTGATTCATTGGACATGGCATATGAGAAAAAGAGAACATTCAAAAATGGCTCCAAGGTTTTTGGTCTGAGGAATTGGCAGGATGGAAGAAGTGTTCCTTATTGAAATGGGGCAGGGAGTGGGAGGGGCAGGTTAAAAGGAAGTTCTGCCTTGAATGTGTTAAGTTTAAGTAGTCTTTTAGACAATCATGTGGATAAATCTAAATAAAATCTAGAAAGTGAGCATGGATAAAGATTGCATCCTAAGAGAGTCTATTTAGACTTGGGAAGTGCGCATGAGGCAGCAAAGAAGATAGGAAATGGCCAGTGAAGCTGGAGGAAAATCAAGACCGTGTATTATTTAGAAATTAAATGAGGGACGTTTTCCAAGGGAGCATGGCTGACCGGTCAACTCCATGGCTGACCAGTCAACTCCCGGACTGCTCAGCCATGCTCCCTTGGAAAACTTCCCTCAATGAGTTGACCAGTGATTTGGTCAAAGAGGCGTTCATTGGTGTCCTTGATAAGAGGAGTTTTAAGTGAAATGGTGATGGAGAGTGAAAGCCTTATTATATTACAGAGAGCTTAAGAAAAAATGAGAATAAGTTGGAGGTAGTAAGTATAGGAAAATTTTAAAGGAGCTTTGCAACAAAAAGGAGCAGCCACATGGAGGATAACCGGAAGGGGATATGAGGTCAAGGAGAGGGTTTTTTCATGTTTTGCAGATGGTGGAAATTATAGCAGTTTTTGTTTGTACACTGATGGGAATGTCACACTGCAAAGTGGAAAATTAATAATGGAAGACAGATGAGAGAATAACTTAACTGATGTGTTTGTGTAGGTGAGAGACAATGGGATTTAGTGCACAAGAGGGATTGCCTTTAGACAGGAGCAGGTACAATCCATCTGAAGTAATTGGTGGGAAGGCAGACTATGTGGGTGCAGATGCTGGTTTGTGAATAAATGCAGTGTGGGCACCACTGGAAATTCTTTTGTTATTTTCTGAAATGGAAATACATTCTGCATCTAAGAGTGAGGATGGGGGAAAAGATATTGGAGATTAGAGGAGGGAGATAGTTTTTTAAGAGGCTTCAAAATTTAGCGAACTAGTAAAACATAGAAGGATAATTGGTCTGCACTAAGGGCAAATTACTTGCTTACTGTGTCCTAACCTGTCACCTGCAAGTCTTGTTTTACCATTTCTATTAGATAACTTATAGTGAAGGGAGTCAGCATTGTTTTATGTTTCTCCAGCTTACATTAAGTGCCTGGGAACAGACATGGCATAGGCAAAATTATGGCTATTATCAGTTTTTCTGGAGTTTGAGATCTTGCCAATTACATGTGATGAAGTGAGAGAGGAATGGGAGAGAAGTATAAGAGAGAGGCTATAAGTGAGTGAGGGCTATAATGATGGGCTACTGAATTTAAGAAGGGCAAGTAGGGAAGTGAGGACAGGAAGGTGAGGGGCAGTACAAGATGTATTTGATTCATGAATTTTAGATCTTGGTGAAATAAGGAACTGTTGGAGTGAGAGCACTAGAGGAAATATAGGCATGGTGGTCCAAGAGTGTGATGCTTAGTACTGGCTATGACAAGGTATATAGACTGTAAGCAGGACAGTGGGAGAGAATGACTGAGCTAGGAAGATATAGTCATCATAGGAGAGGAGGATGGAGGAACTGAGAGGCAGTTATATCACTTTCAGCTTTTTTTCTTTTCTTATGCCAGCACCTAATTTCTTAATAATTGTACTTTTATAATAAAACCTAATATTCAGTGGGGCAAGTTCTTTCACTCATTTTTTTCTTTAAGAATGTCTTGGCTAGGCATAGCCTTTACATTTCTACATTTTCGTAGACATTTTTTAGTATTGGTTTGTCAAGTTACACACACACACACACACACACACACACACATACTTAACATTGGAATTTTTATTAGGATTGTATTCAATCTATTAGTGAGATTTGGCAACTTTATGATATTGAGCCTTTTGTTCATGTTCAGGGTATATCTTCTCATTTACTGAGGTTGTTTTGATTTCTTTCAATAACATTTTATAGTTTTCTGCATTAAGTCCTTCCACACTTTTGCTAGATTTATGATGCTTATGCGTGTGTCATCTGTAGTGGATGTCATGGTGTACCACCTAAACCCTCCTCTTGGAGCTGCTGGGAGTGTTAGGGGTTAACAGCATTCAGCTGAGTCTCCCTGGAGCTTGCCTTCAGTTGAAGAGAGTCACCTGGCCTAAGGTCACCTCGCACCACTCCCACCTTCCAAAGAGGATTCAATGTAAGAATATAAAAGCCTGAGAGGTCCCCTTATCCCAATTTGAGACCCTTTGAAGCACCATCCCAACTTCAGAGCCTCCTGTAGGATTGATTGGCTGAGTCCTTGTTGTCACTGCATTGAAATTTAATTTTCCCTTTGCTCAATCCTACTTTCTTCACTCTCCATATGTTGGTTTTGAGAATACATCCCAGTAAGTTATGGAAATATCTTTCTCAGAATCTGCTTCCTAGAAAATTCAAATAGTTGCAGTATTTTTATAAAATTTAAATTTTTAAAATTGTTTTTTTCCTGATTTATGGAAATGCAATTGGATTTTGTACAATGAGCTTGCATTTATCAAAGTTGCTAACTTAATATATTTTCAAGTTTTATCTGTATGGTTTTGGTTTTCTACATATGCAAACATATTTTCTGTGAGTGACCTTTTTTTTCCTCTTCCTTACTAGACATTATATAGTCATCCCTCAGTATAGGCTGGGAATTGGTTCCAGGACCAAAATTCTCAAATACTTAAAGTTCTGCAGTGTCCATCCTTAACATGTGTGAGTTTCGCATGCTGCAAGTACTGTATTTTCCCTCTGTGCTTGCTGGAAAAAATCCACCTAGAAGCGAATCCATGCAGTTCAAACCCATGTTGTTCAAGGGTTAACTGTGTGTTTTATTTCTTTATTTTTCCTTATTGAAAAGTCTAGGCCAGGCGCAGTGGCTCACACCTGTAATCCTAGCACTTTGGGAGGCCGAGGCAGGCGGATCATGATGTCCACGATGTCAGGAGATCAAGACCATCCTGGCTAACATAGTGAAACCCTGTCTCTACTAAAAATACAAAAAAATTAGCCAGGTGTGGTGGCGGGTGCCTGTAGTCCCAGCTACTGGGGAGGCTGGGGCAGGAGAATGGCATGAACCCAGGAGGCGGAGATTGCAGTGAGCTGAGATTGCACCACTGCACTCCAGCCTGGGCAACAGAGCAAGACTCCATCTCAAAAAAAAAAAAAAAAAAAAGAAAAGTGAAGAAAAGTGTAGGACCTTTCGTATATTTGGATAGACCTGGTATTAGTGGGACTCTTTATCTCATTTTGAACTCTAGGGAAGCTTGCAACATATCAATATTAAGTAAGGTTTGATGTAGGTTTTGTTTTCAATAATCTATTGGATTAAGGATTCTCAAGGAAGGATTACTTCACTTTGTCCCTAGTTTGCAGGATATTTTTTCATGAATGGGTATTAAATATTATGAAATATTTTTCCTGCATTTGTTTAAATCATCATAATATAGTCTTCCTTTATTCTCTTAATGTAATGAAATATGTCATTACTGTTCAAATGTTAACACAAGCTTGTATTCCTGAGGAATAACCCAAATTAGTGATTTTGCATAATCTTTTTTGTGTAAAAATGGATTTGTTGGCTATTTTTTTGCTTAGCATTTTTTCATCTATGTCCATGAGTGAGATTGGCTTATACTTTTCTTCATCATCACATCACTTTATTTTAGTAATAAGGTTATGTTGGCTCCCAAAATAAAACTGCAGACATTCCTCCTTGTGTTAGTCATCTAATCCTGTGCAACAACAAAACTTAGTGTTTTAAAACAATGTTTATAATCTCATGGTTTCTGTGGGTCAGGAAAGGCTTAGTTGGATCTTTTGGCTCTCACAAGTCTGCAGTCATCTCAAGGCTCCACTGAGAAAGATCCACCTCAGGCTCACTCACAAGGTTGTTAGTGACACGCAGTTTGTCAGTGGCTTTTAGATTAAGACCTCAGTGTCTCATGACCTGTTGGCACAAGGACACTCTCAGTATCCTGGCCCTGTGAGCCTCTCCTTAGGGCAGCTTACAACAAGAGAGCTTGCTTTATCTAAGTGAGTAAGGAGAGAAAGCCTGCTCGCATGACAGAAGTCATGGTCTTTTGCAACTTAATCTTGGAATTGATCTCCCATGATTTTGCTGTCTTTTGTTCATTAGAAGCAAGTCACCAGGTCCAGTCCACACTCAAGGAGAGGAGGTTACACAAAAGCATGAATACCAGGAGGTGAGGATCATTGAGAGTCACTTCAGAAGCTTCCAAACACACCTCTTTTTCCATTCTCTGGAACATTTTGTGCAATATTGGTGTTATTTCTTCCTATGTATTTCAAGTTATCTGGTACAAGATAATTTAATTAAAAATTTTTAAATCATAGGAAGATTTTTAGACTCCATTTCTTAGTAGTGAAAGAAATATTACAGCCGGGTGAGGTGGCTCACGCCTGTAATCCCAGCACTTTGGGAGGCTGAAGCGAGTGGATCACTTGTCAGGGATTCCAGGCCAGCCTGACCAACAAGGTGAAACCCCGTCAAAATACAAAAGTAGCTGGGTGTGGTGGTGTGCACCTGTAATCCCAGCTACTCAGGAGGCTGAGGCAGGAGAATCGCTTGAACCCGTGAGGCAGAGGTTGCAGTGAGCCAAGATCGCGCCACTGCACTCCAGCCTGGGTGACAGTGCGAGATTCCATCTCAAAAAAAAAAAAGAAAAAAAAAGAAAAAGAAAAAGAAATATTAGATTTCTTCTTTGGTCAGTTTTGTTAAAGGCTGCTTTTCAAAGATCTTGACAATTCCATCTACAGGTTTGAATCTATTAGCCTACAGCTCTTTATAATATCTTCTTTTGATATTGATTGCAGGATATGTAGTGATGTCCACTTGTTTATTTCTGACGCTGATTATTCGTGCTTTCTTTCACTTTTCCTTGATCAATCCTGTGAAAAGTTTATGAGTTTTATTATTCTTTTCTAAGAATCAGTTATTGGCTACATTGGTCTGTATTTTCATTTTTAAATTTTCTTTTTAAATTTGTGCCTTTTTGGTATTTGTATAAAATATCTTTTTTTAAAATCCTTTTACATTTCAAGTTCCTATATAACTATGTTTTAGGTATGTCTTTTGCAAAGTTTAGATTCATTTTATTTTATTATTTGAGACAAGTTCTCACTCTGGTTGTCCAGGCTGGAGTGCAGTGGTGTGGTTATGGCTCACTGCAGCTTCAACCTCCCAAACTCACGTGATTCTCCCACATTAACCTCCCAAGTAGCTGGGACTACAGGTGCTGTGCCACCATATCCAGCATAGGTTTTTTTTTTTTTTTTTTTTTTTTTTTTTTTACTAGAAATGGGGTTTTGCCACATTGCTCAGGGTGGTAAAAGTTTAGGTTTAGATATATAACTTATTAATTTCTGTCTTGTGCTTTTTTTACTTGCCTTTTTTTGGTATGAAATATTTTTTAAGTCAGGTTTATAGAGACCTAAGCTATATAAGACAAAATTACACAACTTTAAATGTATAATTTGGTGCATTTTTAGAAATAAATATATATTCATATAACCACCACGACTACCACAACTATGATATAGAACATTCCCATTGCCCCTAAAATATTCCTTGTGCCCCAATGGAATCAATCCCTTTTCAGTCCCCCAGACTGTAGCAATGTTTGCCTGATTTCTGTCCCTAAGACTTTGTATTTTTCTGAACTCTATATAAATGGAACGTGTAGTATGTAGCTTTTTCATTCTGGCTTCCTTCATTTACCATAATGCTTTCAAACATGTTATTTTTTACAAGAGTGAGTTTTGTTTGTTTGTTTGTTTGTTTGTTTGTTTTTGAGTAGTATTAGATTGTATGAACACACCACAAGATTTTTATCATTTCTCCATTTGATGGATGTTTGGCTACTTTTCAGTTTGGGCTATTATGAATATAGCTGCCGTAACATTAGCATACAGGTCTTTTGTTGGCATATGTTTTAATTAATCCTAGGTAAATACCCATGAGCAGAACTTGTGCATCATTTAATAAAGGTAGATTTAATTCCAAAAGTAACTGTCAAACTGTTTTCCAAAAACAATACCATTCTGTACTCCTACCAGCAGTGTGCGAGAATTCTAGTTCCTTTGCATTCTTGGTATCATTTGATATTGTTGAGACTTTTTAAATTTTTTAAATTTTCATCAATCTAGTAGGGGTAGAGTGGTATCTCATTGTGGTTTAAATTTGCATTTCCCTAGTCTAAGAACCCTTCACAGCTAAGTCTCTTGAAAAGGGAGCAATGCCTGGTGAGTGTGACTAGTCTTCATTGTTTACCACTTAGCTGTGCTATGCAGCTAATCACCACAAAGCCCCAGGATGGTAAGATAGGACCTCAGACATACAGGAGGATGCTGACAGGAGCTCTCTGAGCTGGAATAATGGGGGCACAGATAATACTGCTATGTCTATATTATTTCATTTCATTCTTCAATGAGATACGTATTCTATATTACAGTTGAGGAAATCGAGGCTTAGCATGTTTATGTAATTTTCCCCAACCCATAGAGCTGGTAAGCAGAGGTGCCAGAATTTAAGTTCAAGTTTTTGTGGTTCCAAAGGAGTTTACGCTGAAATTTGCAACTGTTAAAAATGCTCTTAGGATCCTTTTCTACAGACTGAATAACATTTTTTTAATTTTTATTTTTTGAGATGAAGTTTCACTCTGTGACCCAGGCTGGAGTGCAGTGACATGATCTCAGCTCATAGCAACCTCCACCTCCTTCCAGGTTCACGCCATTCTCTGCCTCAGCCTCCTGAGTAGCTGGGATTACAGGCGCCCACCACCACGCCTGGCTAATTTTTTGTATTTTTAGTAGAGACAGGGTTTCACCATCTTGGCCAGGTTGATCTTGAACTCCTGACCTCGTGATCCACCTGCCTCAGCCTCCCAAAGTGCTGGGATTACAGGCGTGAGCCACCATGCCCGGCCCATTTCTTTTTAAGTCTTTATTTTCCAAGCCTTTGATGAATTTATGGGTTTCCTGAATCTTCCCCCACCCTACCCCACCCCATCCCTCACCTTCTGTGCTCCTTGTTTCTGTATATAGTATTGAATAAAGAAATCCAAATTTGCTCCATAGTGACAATTACCGTCACCATTACGTTAAGCTATTCTGATTGGGCCTGTTGACTGAGTAAATGGAACATGAGAACGTTGGTTGTATCAGCACAGACTGTTATGATGTAGCTTAATGCACCCTCAGGATTCATGGATGGGTAAACTGCCCTGAAGTAGGCCAACTACATTTTATGGCCAGTCTCTTCCAAAGGATATGAGGAAAGTGATTTACTTCAATAATGCATATTCTGTAATAATTTAACATTTAGCAGTACACATTGCCATTCAACCTTCAGCATTCTAAACAAACATGACTCGGGTTTGATGGTTATATTATATATTATATATATATAATGTAGTTATATATATTATATATATTATATAATGTAGTTATATATAATTATATATATAATTAGATATAATGTAGTTATAACTACATTATAGTATGTAGTTATATATACAGTATGTAGTTATATATACAGTATATATATAGTATGTAGTTATATATACAGTATAGTATGTAGTTATGATATAACTACATTATATCATAAATGTAGTTAATCAAGGCTCCTGTAAATTAATATTGGTGGTCAATATATGGTGATGTTCACTGCTCATTACAATTTACACTTGAGTTTTAGCTTACATGACAGATTTGGGGATTTTGTACTGTTTCTCTTTGAGTTAATATTATAAGCAATTAGATTTACTTCTTTTAGCAAAAGTTAAATCATCATAGTATATGGTAATCTGTTGAGATCTTTTGCTATTCTTTGATAATTTATTTTGAATAGGTCACTTTAACAAAACATTTAATTATACTGAGACAATATTTTGTGAAAAAAGCAAGAGGTAATTTCTAATATATGCATGGATGAAGTTGCAGTTTGCTAAATTTTAAACTGGAGGGCATGTTACACAAATGTTAGACTGGGTAGGGCAGAAAAATTTGGACACTGTTGATTATTTGGTCAGCTCTTAATATATATATAGAAAAACTGGGAATATAAATGAAAAAGAGCAACTTTTAAAATTTCTAATGTGTTATTCTCTTTTACCTTCCCATGATCTGTGAGTGAATTTATCTAGGAATCTAACTACCTGGAGGACTGGGGTGGGTAGCGGGGCAAAGAATATAATATGTTCGAGAAGGAATACGAAGAATAGACCAAGAAAATATTCAGCCTCCATTATTCCATCATCAGATCATGTAATGGGAATCATAGTCCTAGAATCATAGTGCTAGGATTCTGTCTTGAGAGAGACTTTTCCAATTTACTTGATCTCCTTCTTCAGCATACCCACAACCAAGTGCAGAGAGTACAGCTTATTGAGCTGTCCTGTGGCATAGAGGAGACTTAACAGTCTGCCATTAAGGATTGGCTGGAGTCCAGAAGAGGTTATCTATAAGAAATAATTAAAAACCTTTCCCTTTTCTATCTCAAGACATTTGTGAGCAGGAAAAGAAAAAGAGTTAACATACTGAAGACCTTCTCTATGTTATGACTTACATGTACACAAGTACGTATAAGTACTTGTATGTATCAGCTCATTCAGTCCTCGCAATGACACTATGAGTTATTTTATTCTTATTTTACGGTTGAGGAAACTGGGACACAGATCCCCTAAATAACTTATTTGAGATCATGCATCTAATGAAGAGCAGAGCTGAATTAGGCTGTTTAGCTCGACCAGCTCTAAAAAAGATGAGTTAGTGAGGATAACGTGGATGGCAAAGAGAGCAGGCAGCTTTTCTCCCTGTTACCTATTCAGGATTAAGAAATCACCTCTGAGCCTCATGTGGCACCAGCCTCAGGCACAGCTGTAGCAATGTAGCTGTACAGTGTGGTCAGAAGAGGGACATCTTACAGGATGGCTCTCCTGAGCTGCTTGCAAGGGCCTCCAGTGAGAAGCTAGATCTGGAAGAGTGGGCCCACCCGGTGATGTTCCTGGGACTGGAGTGAGGGTTGGTGGACCCCCACAGGCCCACGGACTGAAAGGAGGTTGTAGTTGTTATTCGGAGATCTGTGGCAAGTAGGAGCAGGGATGAGCCAGGGTTGACCAGGATATACTACCAATGGCTGACAAAGCCAAGAGACACCAAAACATGAGTGCCACTGACATAGAGTGAAGCTATGCAGCCTAGCAGCAGGGCAAACAGCTCCCAGGAGCCATGGGTGTTGCCATGGAGACCTGGGGAAGCAGAGTACATTGCACTGAAAGCTGGCTCTTTCCTTTTCCCTGGGGACTCAAAAGCCTCATTTCCACCCCTTACCACAAGGCACCATATGCCACATTAGGTAGAAATGCAGGGGAGGAAGGGTAGCTTTGGGACTGAATGATTTTTTTTTTTTTTGAGAGACGAAGTCAGCACTATTGGATGAGATTTAAAAACTTAATATTTCCTATTAACTAATGGGGATGAGACTAAGACAGAGGGTCAGATTAAGTATAACTATAAAGAACTTTCATTTTCTCTTCATATCTGAGTTATAATGGGAGTTAAATTTTATAAACCTGTTACAAAATATAGCTAACCAGAAAAAAAAAGCACAAGCAAAAAAAAAAAAAAAAAAGTTGCCAACTGTCAACTGTGTAGGTAATGAAAAAAAGGGACATATGGAATAACCAGAACAATTAAAGGGAGGAGATAGAATTACTGAAAGAGGACAGCAGGATAATAATAACCTTATTGATGGTAGCCAGTTACATTAGAATCGAATTTAACAAAGAACAATTTACAAGGCATTTAATGTCAATGTTCCCTAGCTGTTACAGAAATGTACACGGCAGTACAAAACAAAACAAATACATAAATACTGTGACTAGGATAGAAATAATGAAAATTACAGGGAAATAATAACAATTTCAGTACCTCAGTAGGTTGTTCCAGGGCCACCCACACCTTTATTTGTTAGACTGTACTGTTTTTCCTCCTCATTGCACTTCTGGGTCTGGGCCAGAGAGTGGTGGGTGGAGGGAGAATAGTCTCTGGTTGCATTCTCCTCCTCAGCTGTCAACTACCTAATCACATTTCACCCTGGCCTTTCTGCGCCCACTGCCCAACTTCGTTCAGGCCTTCATTTGCTCTTACTCGAGCCATTGTGAAGGCTTCCTAATTGATCTTGCCTCCTACAATCTCTCCCTACTCTAATCTATTCTATATAACTTTTCCAGATTCATTTTACTGAAGCATGGTTTTCATTACATCAGTCTCCTGCACAGAATCTACAGAAATTCCTTCAAATGGCTCTCTTTTAGCTACTGAATTGGGTAAAAACTTTCTCTCTGTTATATAGCATGCTTCACAATGAAGCAATAGCAACTCTGCTACTGAAGGTCATGGTATTTTATTTTTAGAAGCTTTGCAGTTACTATAGGGCTTGTTTCTTTTCTCCCAGAGCATCTATAGTTTTGATCATTCAATAATCATAGACATATAGATAATCAAATAAATAGAAGAAAATAAATTGAAGAAAGTAACCATGTGGAGAGGTTATGTGGAAGCAAGTGGGACCTCAGAAGAAGAATCATCTTATTAGAGAAGATGTCTCTTGGGGTTTCTTGAAGAGGCCCAATACATAACTCCAGCTCATCTGAAGGGTCACAGAAACACACAAGGAGCTAGTGAAATGGAGGATATCCTCTTTGGTCTCTACTTCTGGTGATACAAATGAGAATATTGGGTTATAAGAACTGCAAACTCATACCTCCCACACCTCTGATATACTTGATCACCATTTTTTTTGTGGCCATACCAGAGAATGATTGATTTAAATATTTCTTCTTTCTCTTCCTCTTAATATTAGAGGAATAGTACAATGAGTTTAATAAATGAGCTCAACCATATGCCCACCAGCACAATCATGACAGAATATTTAAATCAACCCCCAAATAGCTGTCCTGTGCCTTTGTAGCTCATCTCAACTCTGATCCCTCTCCTGCAAGGGCTAATCTGCCTTCTATCATTCTAGTTTTGCCTTTTCTATAATTATATATGTAGAATCATACTGTATACATTTATTTATGTTTGGCTTCTTTAACTTAGCATAATGCATTTGAGATCATGGAACATGTTTTTTACATAAGTTAGTAGCAGCTGGAACTAGGGCTGTTAAAGAACAGGGGAACTAGACGTAAAAAGCAATGAATTTGATTTTCAGATTTGACACTATCTGTGTAGCTATGGGCAACTTAATTTTGAGCATTGATCTCTTAGCTATTAAAATGAGGATAAAAATATTGACTTCAGAGTGTTATAATATCAACTAAATAAGTAAAAAGCTAGGTGAGTGCTACATACCTGACACATTTTTTGGCCTTGAAACACAGTAGCCAGTATTATTAACAATGGCAGACTGCTTGTTACACTTTAGTATCTGCTCTCCCCCGGGTGACCTTATGTTCCAGTTTTCATATGTCATCCTAGACTAATTATTGATGGTGCTCTCTGATAACTCAATAGTGTCTTAGTTTGGAAGATAAATTACATGGTTACCCTAATCCTCCCCTTGTTATTCAATAATGGAATTCCCAACTATGGATTAGGCTTGTGGCCAACCAGACTAAAGACTCTTTTGTAAATTCTTTGCAGCCAGATGTTCATTTTGTCCAGTAAGATGTAAAAGAAACTGTTGGGCAACTTTTGGGAAATATTATTGTCTTGGTTCATTTTCTGCTGCTATAACAGAATACCACAGACTGGGTAAATTATAAACAGTAGAAGTTTATTTGGCTCATGATTTCAGAGGCTGGGAAGTCCAAGAGGATGGCACTGGTGTCTAGTGAGGGTCATCTGATGATGGAAGGCAGAAAGTGCAAGTGAGCACACAAGACAGAAAACTGGGCCAAACTTCATCCTTTTATTAGGAGCCCACTCATGTGATAACTGCCCACATCCATGACAGTGGCATTAATCCATGCATGAGAGCAGAGATTAAGTGTCCCACATTTTATTAGGCCCCATCTCCCAACACTGTTGTATTAGGGATTAAGTTCCAATACATGAACTTTTAGAGGACACATTCAAACCATAGTATTCCTCCTCTGCACCCCCAAATTTACCTCCTTCTCACAATGCAAAATACATTGATTTCATCCCAATGGTTCCAAAGCCTTAACTCATTTCAGCATCAACTCAAAAGTCCAAAGTCCAAAATCTCATCTAAATAAGATGTGGGTGAGACTCTTAAGGCATGATTCACCTTGAGGCAAATACCTTCCAACTGTGAGTCTGTGAAATTAAACAAGTTATCTACTTCCAAAATACAATGGTAGGACAGGCATGCGATAAGCGTTTTCATTCCAAAAGAGAAAGCAGTAAAAGGCCTCAATTAAGTCCAAAACCTAACAGTGAAACAACATTAAGTCTTAAAGCTGGAGAGTAATCTTTGACTCCATGTACTGCATCCTGGGCATGCTAGGCCAGGAGTTGGTCCCCCAAGACCTCAAGTAACTCTGCCTTCATGGCATTGCTGGTCTCAGCCCATGCTTTAGATCTTCTAGGTTAGTGTCTTGTGGCTGCATCTCTCTCAGGCTAGTATTGCACACTGGTAGCTCTACAGTTCTGAGGTCTCAGGGATGGTCTTGCTCCCATGGCTCCACTAGGCATTAACTCAGTGGGGATTCTCTGTGGCAGCTACAACTCCACATTTCTGTTTGGCATTGCCCTTGTGGGGACTCTCAGCTGTGGCTTCGCCCCTGTAGCAAATCTCTGCTTGGGCCCCAAGGCTAACTGCAACACGGACATTGAAATCTATGTGGAGGAGGCCAGGCCCCCACAGCTCTTGTATTCTGTGCACCTGCAGAATTAATGCCATGTGGACGCCAGCAAGGTTACAGCTAGGTATGTTAAGTTACACCTGGAGTTGTTTGAGCCATGGCTGGGGTGGATGAGGAGTGCTGTACTATAATGCAGGGAGCAGAGTCTCGCGGTAGCTCTGGGAAGTGAGCCTTTGGAGGGCGCCCTGGCCCACCCCACGAAACCATTTGCCCTACTGGAGCTCTAGGGCTGTAAGGGGAGGGGCAGCCTGGAAGAACTCCGAAATGCCTTCCGGGTCTTTCTCCTGTTGACTTGGTGAATAGCACCTGAATCCCTCCTAGCCATGTGAATCTTTTTAGCAAATGGTTGTGTAGCCATCCTCTTAGTGTTTTCTCCCATGCGTTTTGGTTCCTTACATGGCCAAGGTGAAAATTTTCCAAACATTTCTGTTCTACTCTCCTTTTAATTATAAATTCCATCTTTAATTCATTCCTTTGTTGTTGGATCTCAACATATGCGGTTGGAAGTAACCACACAGCAGCCTGAATGCTTTGCTGCTTAGGTATTATATTTCCTCTGCAAGATATCCTACTTCATCACTCCTAAGTTCTACATTCCATAAAGTCCTAGGACACAAATGCAATTCAGGCAGCCTTTGCTACTTTATAATAAGGATGGCCTTTACTCTAGTTTCTAATATGTTGTTACTAATTTCTGTTTGAGTCCTCATTAGAATGGCCTCTAATGTCCATATTTCTATCAACAATTGGGTTATGACCACTTAAGTAATCTCTAAGAAGTTCCAGGCTTTCCCTTTCTCTGAGTCCTCATAAGAATCATCCTTGGCTGGCCGAGCACAGTGGCTCATGCCTGTAATCCCAGCACTTTGGGAGGCTGAGATGGGCAGATCACAAGGTCAGGAGATCGATACCATCCTGGCTAACATGGTGAAACCCAGTCTCTACTAAAAACACAAAAAATTAGCCGGGCATGGTGGTGGGTGCCTGTAGTCCCAGCTACTTGGGAGGCTGAGGCAGGAGAATGGTGTGAACCCGGGAGGCGGAGCTTGCAGTAAGCGGAGATCATGCCATCCTTGGCTGGGTGAGGTGGCTCACGCCTGTAATCCCAGCACTTTGGGAGGCTGAAGTGGGCAGATCACAAGGTCCGGAGATCGAGTTCATCCTGGCTAACATGGTGAAATCCTGTCTCTACTAAAAATACAAAAAATTAGCCAGGCATGGTGGTGAGCACCTGTAGTCCCAGCTACTCAGGAGGGTGAGGCAGGAGAATGGCATGAACCTGGGAGGTGGAGCTTGCAGTGAGCTGATATCATGCCACTGCACTCCAGCCTGGGTGACAGAGAGAGACTCTGTCTCAAAAAACAAACAAACAAACAAACAAAAGTCATCCTTAACACTTAATTTATGGCAATACAGGCTGTTTCTAGCCCAATCCTCAAAACTCTTCCAGCCTCTGCTCATTACCCAGTTCCAAAGTGTCTCCCACATTCTCACATACTTGTTATAGTAACAACCCCACTTCTCAGTATAAATGTTCTGCTTTAGTCTGATTTCTGCTGCTATAACAGAATACCACAAACTAGGTAAATTATAAACAATAGAATTTTATTCAGTTCACAGTTCTGGAGAGTGGAAAGTCCAAGATCATGGCACTGGCACCTGGCAAGGGTCGTACCATGGTGGAAGGTGGAAGTGAATAATAAAACTTTGTTCAACAAGTTATGAAGGCCCACCAAGAATCTTGCCCAAGTCTTCCTGGGGCTTGAAGCATGACAAGATAACAAAGGAGTGCTCACACTCTTCGTAACAGGACCCATTTAAGATTAAACAAGTTTTATTCTGAAGACAGAAAGAAGAAGTCAAGACAAACTTTTTATTAGGAGCCCACTCCTGTCATAACAAACCCCTCTCCTGTGATAACAGCACGCATGCATTCATGAGGGCAGAGGTCACATAATCTAGTTGTGGCAGGCCAGGTCTCACAAAAGTTGAACAGGTAGTCCTTGAAGCATGACAAGATAACAAAGGAATACTCACACTCCTCATACCAGGACCCATTTAGGATTAAACAAGTTTTATTCTGAAGACAGAAAGAAGAAATCAAGACAAACTTTTTCTTAGGAGCCCACTCCTGTCACAACAAACCCCTCTCCTGTGATAACAGCATCCATGCATTCATGAGGGCAGAGGTCACATAATCTAGTTGTGGCAGGCCAGGTCTCACAAAAGCTGAACAGGCAGGCCTCCATAACAACTGTTTCATACTGACTAAATGGTTAGGTTAAATATTAAAGGCTGAGAGAACCAGTGTCCTTACACAAAGGCTGGAACGAGTAATAAGGGCCCGGGAAGAGTTTTGCCTAGGCCTTCCTGAGCCTTGAAGCATGACAAGATAACAAAGGAATGCTCACACTCCTCATACCAGGATCCATTTAGGATTAAACAAGATTCATTAGGGGTTGAAAATAACTCCCCAAACCTTCATAACTTAGCAGAAGATAAGGGTAATCACATTTGGCATCTGGACACACTAGTTTAATAAATTTACTGAGGCTTCGGAGGAAGGTTCCCAAGACTCAGACCTTAGTTATAGATTAGAAGGAATTAATCACTTATGTCTTTAGATGAATGCACACTTACATGTAGACATACAGCTTAGAAGGTACATAAGCCCTGAAGAACTTCATAATTTTGAGTTGGTCTGGCGATAATTTCCCAGACTTTTCCCTGTACTTGGTTATAGAAATAAACCCTTTTGTTTCCCGGTTCATTTGCATCTCATTATTGGACCATGAGAATAAGCAGCCTGACCCTTGGTTCAGTCTGGGAACATAGTCAAGTCTTAAAGATCCCACCTCTTATTAGGCCCTGCCTCTTAACTCTGTTGCATTGGGTATTATGTTTCTAACACATAAACTTTTGTGGACACATTCAAATCATAGCAGTCTTTGTGGGCAGGGAGATATCTTTTACCTTCTTTTTTTCTTTTTATTTATTTATTTATTTATTTATTTATTTATTTATTTATTTTGAGACAGAGTCTCACTTTGTCGCCCAGGCTGAAGTGCAGTGGCGCGATATTGGCTCACTGCAAGCTCCGCCTCCCAGGTTCACACCATTCTCCTGCCTCAGCCTCCGGAGTAGCTGTGACTACAGGCGCCCACCACCACGCCTGGCTAATTTTTTTGTATTTTTAGTAGAAACGGGGTTTCACCGTGTTAGCCAGGATGGTCTGGATCTCCTGACCTTGTGATCCACCCACCTCGGCCTCCCAAAGTGCTGGGATTACAGGCTTGAGCCACTGCGCCCGGCCCTACCTTCTTTTTTCTTACCTTGCTGGCTGGAATGGGGACTTGCCGGCTGGAGCTGGAGTAGCCATCTTGGACCATGAGGTAAATTTGACAGTGGAAACCATGCCAGGTGGGCCATAAAATAGAAGGATTCTATTGGATTTTACCTGAGAGAGAAATAACCTTCTATTTGTTTTTAAAGTTAATACTTTTTAATTTTTTGTCATTCACAGACAAACCTATATATAATTAATATATTAATCCTTTATTACATGACCCTCTCAAGCCTTGAAGCCCTAACTTGCCAAGGGAAAAGTGCTCCCAAATTAAGTGCTAGTGGAAGATAATCCCCTTTTATTGTCTGTGAAATATAGTCAAAGGTAAATAACATTTATCATATTTATATTCTTCATCTAGGGGACATGTTTATGTTCTGTTTACATTTTATGAATAACTGATGATATGTCTAGCCTAATGAGTTTGTAATTTGAAGGCTTGAGAAACTTGGTCATAAAATAAAGCAAGATAAACTATTCTTCTTATATAAATGCCTTTTAATACACAGCTAATTCTTTATCTGTATCTGTAGATTAAATTCCTTCATGTATTCTAAGAGATGTTCTGAGATCCTTTGGTATAGGGAAAGTACCCCAACAAAGCCATATTTTTTTAACCTTAGAAAGAAGATGGTTCACATTTGGTTCAGGTATTCCTTTACTGGGGTAGGAGGTTCTTCTTTTTTTTTTTTTTGTTAGTATTGGAATCTTTTTTTCAAGCTCTTGCTGTCCCTCATCAGGAAAATAACACCAGTATTAAAGGTATGATATGTCAGCTTTACTGATTGTTGATTTGGAGCAGCCAAAGGAGTTGGTGGTGCGATGTTCTATAAGCTACTCAACTTGTGTGCCTTACCACTGACTCTTAAGCCAAGTCACCTTTCCAATCACTACTTTCATCTTTCTTAATCCATTCACTGTACCTGTCTTCTTTCATCCATAAATGAGAACTATACACACAGACTATATTAAAAATCACTAAGGAATTCCATAAGACATTCCAGTTTTTTGAGTGATTGACTATGTGACTTGAAGCTTAATCCTTGCCCTTGGTTCATCTGAACTTTATGCCTTTTACTCTCTTTTAATATTTAAACCATTACTTCCATTATGCATTTTTGTATGTCTCTTAGCTTTACTCAACACTTCATATAAGAGCTCTCTACCTTAGACGTGCTTTAAAAAATAAAACCCCACTCCTGGTAGCTAGGAGGTCATTGGTCTTGAAAGGATCTGGTCACCCAATGAATGATTGAACCAGATAAAATCTGTAAGCTATTATCAGAGTTTCTTTGAGACAGTCAGTCCATTTTTCTTCTGTAACATATACATTTTTTTTTCAGTTTCATCTCTGCAGTCACAATACCAAGCCAATCAAATTCTGTGATATATGCTTGCCTGTCTCAACTGTTCTACATATGCTTAATATCTTATAATAGTTTTCTCTCTGTGTAAGGGGAGAGTACAATATTTGCCTTAAATAGTTGTGTCTTAGTCTGTTGAGGTTTCCATAACTAAAATACCATAGGCTAGGCAGCTTATAAACAACAGAAGTTTACTTCTCAGTTTCTAGAGGCTAGGAAATCGAAGATCAAGGTACACACAAATAAGTGTCTAGTGACAGCCTGCTCTCTGGTTCATAGTTGGCTGTCTTCTCACTGTCTTCACTTGGTGGAAAGGAAAAGGAAGCTCTCTGGGGTTTCTTTTATAGAGGTGCTAATCTCATTTATGATAGCTCTGCACTCACGACCTAATCGCCTTCTAAAGTCCCCCACACTCAAATACATTAGGGGTTAGATTTTAACATATGAGTTTTGGGGTCGGGGGGAATGACCATTCAGTCTATAACAGGGAGAAATCAAAAGATGCATATCTATGTGGATAAGAATCTTATGTAAATATTTCAGTGGCCCTTTCCTGAATCTGTAGCCTATGGTTTTTGCATTATTTCTGCTTTCCCCTCTTTCTGTTTTGGAATCAGATGAGCTTCTTTGAGGGACTTTCTTTTATTTAGTATATGTTTCTTTTCTCTTCAGTGTCCATCAACTGAATTTCTACCTCTCTCTACATTCCTTCTGATATTTTTAAATGTCCTATGCTCTTTCCTGAACATTTTTGCTCTTAGACGGCTTTTAGTAATTTACAAGCCTTTGCCCATCTATTCTCAATAGAATTTGGGTTATTTTCATAACTACCTTACCCATTATAGTTTTTTTGATGAATAATTTATTTCCCAGATTTGGGCAATTATATTCATATCTGTGGGATCCACCTGGTTGAATTAATAAGCTTGAAGACTCCAAACACCCTTTGACAGAAAAATCATCTAATGAGAAGATTGGGATTCAATAGTGAGGATCTTTTCACTAAGGAAGCCTCAGAACCTCTTTGTCTTCGTTTATTCGCACAATTGCTCTCTCATATTTTTGGCTGACCATCCAGTTTTTTGGCCAAGGTTATTGTCTCTCAAACATAAGGTTATTTTCCCTCTTTTGTGTTATTTACCAAAGGCTGTATTGTAAGGATCAGTATGTTTATTTTGATATCTTTGGGCCTTAGACTTTTAGAGCTAGAAGTTATGTTGGCAGTCATCTGGATCAAAGACTTATTGCACACATGCTTTGTATTTCCTCTTTTGCTGTTTCTTACAACCGAAGATTCTTCATCCCTGTAATAACTGGTCAGTTTGGCACAAGATAGCTGCAAAAAATTGTTTTAATCATCAAACTATAATTTACAAAAAATTAAATAGTAAGTAGAAAAAATAATTAAGAGCACTATAAAAGTGAAACCTTCATTCAGAAGATACTTCATCAACATGCTCCTCTAAAGTTAGTAATGAGTCAAGTATAATCTGATAATTGGGGAGGTACAGTGATTGAATATATAGTTTGTATTTAATTATAGAGCACACATTAATCTCTATCAAAATAAGTGTTTAAGCTTCATAAACATGCAGAAAAAGAAACTCTTTCCCAATGGCCCATAACTATAATTTTAAATATGAATGCCTACCTTCTTGTATGCAGGCAGGTTCTCACTCTTTATAAAATGTAAGCAGTATAATTAAAAGATCAGAATTGTGTAACAGAGACACAAACAGCCTCCCAAGCATTTATATGCACACAGAGAAGTATTCATTCATTAATTCAAATAATGTTCATAAGGATTTTGAATTTGCTGTCTTTTCCCAGGCCAAATAGAGATACTCTCTTCATTTTCTCACCTGTCAAAGACTGAGATTGAGAATGAATTGTGGCTTTTTCTTTTTCTTTTTTCTTTTCTGAGAAAGGTCTCACTGTGTTGCCCAGAAAGGTCTCACTATGTTCATCTTGAACTCCTGGCCTCAAGCAATCTTCACACCTCAGGCTCTTGAGTAGCTAGAACTACAGGAGCCTGCCACTGTGTGCTTGACTTATGGCTAAAATTTTAAACCAGTTGGAATTTCATAGTCGAAGAGCTTGTTTTCGTATAGTTTTGAGAGAGTCCATTAAGTAATGGGCCTCTTTATTAGTTTCGACTAATTCAGAGGGGTTGATGAATTAGAAGCAGGAATGAAGGAAAGGAATAAAGACTGTTTTTCATATTAGATTGGTGCAAAAGTAACTGTGGTTTTTGTAACACTTAAAAAAAATAGCAAAAACCACAATTACTTTTGCACCAACCTAATACTAACATCTACTGATTTTACTATGAAAATTGGTCTTTCCAAATTAAAGGACCTTTAGAAAAACATTTCTAGCAACTGCATGCTTTATTTATTCTGTCTCTCAGAATTGATATTTGTCTTTAAGATGCGTGTATGTGTGTTTACTTATGCTCATTTTAAGTTCAAATTGATTTTTATTGAGAATCCATAGAATAAGCAGTCCCTATAACTTGTGGTGCTGGAATCAGGAAGGAAAATATATTTAAATTGTCCGTAACATTCTTTGACCACCATTTTGCAGAATTTGGAATGTCAAAGGATAAACTCCATCTTATCGAAACATCTGCTCCCACCCCCCTGGGTGTTAATCTGAGCCTGTTGTTCTTAAACTTGAGAGTATGCATCAAAATCACCTGGAAATCTTGTTATAACACAAATTACTTGGATCTCCCTCCAGAGAAGTTCCCAGGTGATGCTGATACTGCTTGTGTGGGGATCACACATTGAGAACCACTGATCTTGCCTAAATAATTCACATATGATGAAATGATTTGCTAGACAGAGAGAAAGCTGTATTCTAAGAAAAAAAAATCCCTCTTGATAGTGGAAAAGACTTTCTGAAAGACAGCTGGATGTTTTAAAAATGTATCATGTAAGTCAGGGATCCCCAACACCCTGGCTGCTGACCGGTACCTGTCCATGGCCTGTGAAAAGCTGGGTTGCACAGCAGGAAGTGAGTGGTGGGCGAGCAAACATTAATGCCTGAGCTCCGCCTTCTGTCAGAACAGAGGCTCATTAGATTCTCATTGGAGCGTGAACCCTATTGTGAACTGTGCATGCAAGGGGTTTGGATTGCATGTTCCTTATGAGAATGTAATGCCTGGTGATCTGAGGTGGAACAGTTTCATCCCAATGCCATCCAGCACCCCCAAGCATGGAAAAATAGTCTTTCACAAAACCGGTCCCTGGTGCCAAAAGGTTGGGAGCCGCTTATCTAAGCAACTGTTTATTTAATTCTATGGTCGAAGTTTCTGAAGGGTCGCATGAATTTTTTTCTTTTTCTTTTCTTTCTTTCTTTTCTTTTTCTTTTTCTTTTTTTTTTTTTTTTTTTTTTTGAGACGGAGTCTCACTCTGTCACCCAGGCTGGAGTGCAGTGGCGCGATATTGGCTCACTGCAACCTCTGCCTCCTGAGTTCAAGCGATTCTCCTGCCTCAGCCTCCTGAGTAGCTGGGACTACAGGTGCCTGCCACCACGCCTGGCTAATTTTTTTGTATTTTTAGCAGAGACAGGGTTTCGCCATGTTAGCCAGGATGATCTCGATCTCTTGACCTCATGGTCTGCCCACCTCGGCCTCCCAAAGTGCTGGGATTACGGGCGTGAGCCACTGCGCCCGGCCCGATTGCATGAATTTCTACATCATCCTAAATAAACATACTGAAGAAGTTGTTCATTCTTGAAGGACAGAGTTTGACCAAAGGACATTTATATGATTCTAGATTTTTATGCTTGACCATAATGACACAGGGCATGCAGTGTAGATCTGTTGCTCTGCTGTTGGAGACTCAAATGCTGATTTGACCAGCACTATCAGATATAGCCTGGCGAGATTAAAAAAAAAAATAGAGATCTTGTATTTGTCTGTTCAGGCTGCTATAACAAAATACCGTTGAACTAGGTGGTGTGTAAACAACATAATTTTATTTCTCAGCATTCTGGAGGCTGATACATCCAACTGCCAGCAGATTCTGTGTCTAGTGAGGGCCTGTTTCTGGTTCATAGATCTGAACTTTCTAGATGTGTCTTCACATAGTAGAAGGGACAAATGAGCTCTCTGGGGACTTTTTTTTAATATAGGGACCCTAATCCCATTCATGAGGGCCTTGTCCTTATGACTTAATCACCTCTCAAAGGCCCCACCTCCTATATCATCACCTTGGGGTTTTAGCTTATAAATTATTGGGGGGAACATAAATATTCAGTTCATTATAGATGGCCAGGCTTTATTCCCAGTTATTCTAACTTAGTATGTTTGGAATGGAGCCAAATCAGTTTTTAAAAAGATTCTTAGATGATTTTGATGAACAGAACTCTAAAGTACTGAATTAGTGTAACCTCCCACTCGGTGTATCCAAACTCATCCAAATATCTGCATGGGCCAAAATAAATTCTCTCTAGGATCATCTGCTTTATTATTGGAGTAGCTGTAATTCCCAGAAGTTCATAGGTGTGTTGAATCAAATTTTAAACTTAAGCCTGATATTCTCATGATCATCTTTTGGTTCTAGTCTAGCTTTTTATGTAGTAAAGTAAAATAAATCCATGTATTCTTCTTCATGGTAATTCTTTGCAGTTTCTCCTAGACTTTTTTCTGAAAGATGCCTATCCATCGTGTAGTCATGTGTTCATTTAAAGCATGATTTACAGACCATTCATGTCATACTCCAATTTGTCAAAGATTCATTTTAAACCTGGAATTTAGAATTAAAAATGGTAATCGATTTCAGTTTATAAATCTAGCCATTGGTCATTTTTTAATACAAACTGAGATTGTATTAGCCTTTTAAAAATGTATATCATACAGCTGGGCGCGGTGGCTCATGCCTGTAATTCCAGCACTTTGGGAGGCCGAGGCAGGTGGATCACGAGGTTGGGAGATCAAAACAATCCTGGCTAACATGGTGTAACCCCGTCTCTAATAAAATACAAAAAATTAGCTGGGTGTGGTGGCGGGCTCCTGTAGTCCCAGCTACTCGGGAGGCTGAGGTAGGAGAATGGTATGAACCCAGGAGCCGGAGCTTGCAGTGAGCCGAGATTGGGCCACTGCACTCCAGCCTGGGCAACAGAGTGAGACTCCATCTCAAAAAAAAAATGTATATATATATATGTAATATATATAGTATATAAATATATATATATATATCATACTGTTGAATTATACAAAACTTTTAATTAACTAATTTTGCCAAATCCCTTGTGTGTGTGTGTGTGTGTGTGTATGTGTGTGCCAATAAGGCAAGGCAGGTAGCCCCCAGTTTCCCAGGGAAAGGTATAATGAGACTTGCTTTTTCTTTGTGGCTAAATACAGCATCTACTCCCGATATCCTTGGTATGTATAGTTCTGTAGAGGAGTTTTAAAGATTTGCATGAGGACCAAGAAGCCACTTGGAGAGCAAAGAGATGAAGATCTTTTTTTTTTGTTTGTTTGTTTTTTTTTTTTTTGAGACGGAGTCTTACTCAGTCGCCCAGGCTGGAGTGCAGTGGCCCGATCTTGGCTCACTGCAAGTCCGCCTCCCAGGTTCACACCATTCTCCAGCCTCAGCCTCCTGAGTAGCTGGGACTACAGGCACCCACCACCACGCCCGGCTAATTTTTTTGTATTTTTAGTAGAGACGGGGTTTCACCATGTTAGCCAGGATGGTCTAGATCTCCTGACCTCGTGATCCACCCACCTTGGCCTCCCAAAGTGGTGGGATTACAGGCGTGAGCCACCACGCCCGGCCGAGATGAAGATCTTAATCCCTTTCTTTTATGGTTAAAAAATTAAGAAAATATCCAATGGAAGAAATAGTTCTGATTGAAGTTTATTGATAAAAATAGTCATTGAGAGCACCTAAAGAGATAGTAACAATATCTCCAGGTTGCTAAATCCACTAGTGAGTTCTCAGTACAATTTGTGCAATTTATGCACCTCACCTGATTCTTATGGCTCCACTCTCACCATTAAGCCTTGGAGGCTCCCTTAATGGAGAGCCCCAGCTACTTCTGCTTATGTTTTAACACCACTGGTAGTCTTCTCATTCCCTAGACCAAAGGCTGGATTCTTCATGGTCTCCATTGTGTCCATCGTGGGAAGAGGCATAGTATTTCCTGTGTCCAGGTATGGCCTGGCTAGAACCACAGAAGGGCTACCTGCTGTGTCTAAACTCAGATGAAGTGCTACCTAATGGTGCATGGGGCCAGGTAAAAACTAGGTAGTTCCGGAAAATCAATGCCCTCTGGGGCAAACTTTGACCAGTGAGAGAGAAGAGATAGAAAGGAGCCAGCAGATACATTCCTACCCTTAACTTCTATACCAGTGGACTCTTTGAAATGTACTAACTCCATATGCTGTCTTCAGACATCCCTTGTGATTGAGCAATGGCCATGCAAAGCTCTGTTAGGCTCAGTTATGCACCACCTTATCATGTGTTCTCTACTCCTATTGTCACATCCTTTCTTACTTTTGATGCCTTGGTATTGTACCCCTCAACAGAGAATTTGCCTCATAGTCCATTTTCTAGGGAACCTGACAAATGTCAGTATCATTTTACAGAGGGGATCATTCTTCTTCAAAACACATTATTTGCTTGGCTTTCAAAACCAATACTCTTCACATTTTTTCCTATATCACTGCTTTTCAGTCTCTGTTGCTAGTTCTTCTATATCAACTTGACCTTTTAATGTTGCAAGAACCAAGAGTTCAGTCCTTTGTCCTTTATTCTTCTTTTTTTTTTTTTTTTTTTTGAGCTGGAGTCTTGCCTGTCACCCAGGCTGGAGTGCAGTGGCATGATCTCGGCTCACTGCAACCTCCACCTCCTGGGTGCAAGCAATTCTCCTGCCTCAGCCTTCCAAGTAGCTGGGATTACAAGCACGCGCCACCACACCTAGCTAATTTTTTGTATCTTTAGTAGAGACGGGGTTTCACCATGTTGGCCAGGCTGGTCTCGAACTCCTGACCTCATGATCTGCCCACCTCAGCCTCCCAAAGTGCTGGGATTACAGGCGTGAGCCACCGCACCTGGCCTGTTTATTCTATCTATATACACATACATCCCCATTTTCTAGGTGTTTTCATCCATTTCAAGCCTTAATTATCAATTGTTTACTGAAAATCTCAAATTTATATCAGACCAAATTTAACTCACCTTCCACACTGGAAGTTTCCTGATTTTAACATTTTTTCTCCTATTTTTAAAAAGTTGGCCTTCTTTTATATGGAAAGAAAATAAAAGAAAATACACTGTCAGGGTATATGAAATGAACTCTAAGAGAAAGCAAGTAAAAAGTTACAACTATATAACCTATAACCATGAATTTAGGAGACAGGAAAGAAAATAAGATAGTTTTGACTGCTTGAGAGAAGTCTTTGTTTTTTACAGAAATTTTGTCATTCAGATTAAAATGTTAGTGCTCACAAAGCATTAAGGAGAAATGTGGGGCCTGCCAAAGAAGAGAAGACAGTGGGGGACAGTGGCTGTGATGAGTTTCTTCTTTTCTGTTCTGTACCAAATACACTCAGTGAAGAAGATCTGACTTTTCAGCTTGTCAGAATAAATTTGTGGTGTTTTATCCCTAAGGGAAAATCTGTCATAAATAAAAATATATGGTGGATAAAATCACATAAATGAAGTGTAAACATTACATGAATGACCATCTTGCCCAGCTCCAGTGGAAGCAGTGGGAGTTTAGTGTCTTGGCCAAGGCCGGAAAGTAGAGTCAATTACTTGTAATTCTATTACCAATAAATTTTACTGAGAGTCTTACATGCCAGTTCTCTATCATCACTTCATTGCACACTTCATGTTTATTTTCTGTATTCTTTTCAGACACTAGCATATTTTAGTATGTGTTATTTTTCTTTTATCATATCACTATAAGGAATAATTTCTTTTAGGGATTCCAAAAGTATATAGGCACAAATTATTCCTTCTCTGTGTAAGTCAACTATTCTGACCTTTTATGGGCCTAATGTATGTTGTTTGAAGTTGGGTGTTGGTACCACTTAAAAAGAAAGAAGCAAATCAACAAATAAGGTGTATACACCATTTACACTTGTTGAAATGCCTTGTGAATTAATTTAAAGAGGTAATATTGTATAGTGGAAAGACTGATAACCCTGGAGTCAGAAAGAGCTGGTTAATATTTTAACTTCCCGTTTAATAGCTTGTGACATTGAGCAAGTTTAATTTCTGAATGGCACTTGTTTTGGTGCACTGTTGTGAAAAATTAAATAAGTAAATATACTTAGTGTGGAGAAGGCACTGAGTAATATATAGTTATTTTTAAAGTCCATGTTGTTAACACATGTAACATGTGTAACACCAACACATGTAACACTTCTCCCGTGTGATTTCCCCAGGAGGTATCAACCTAGAGTGTAACTGAAAGGATGTTTGCATGCTTATACATGTTTCCAGCACTTATGTATTTATATTCACATGTATATGTATTCTTCCCTTATTTGCCAAGGCATAACTTGAAATTTTTGTTAGAAAAGTGACATTTTCTAGTTCTTTGTGGTCTTGCCATTTGTGTCACATGATGTTGTTATTACAGCGGCACTTAATGTTTTGCACTTACTGAATTCTAAATAAATTTGTTGAATCTGTGATGCTGGCAATGTCTTTATAGCCTCAACTTCACATTAGAATAAAGACATTTTAAGTGGAGTTTTGCTTCAGGCTTTTTTTCTTCAATCTTCTCTGTCCTCTACAATTTGTAAGAGTATATTTGAGGTAGATTGTGGAAAGCTGAAACTTCTTTCAGGCTGTTTGTGCCTTCCTAACTGCACCCATCTTCTTGCTTTCTGCTTGTGTCATGCTTCTCACTTTATTTGCTGCTATTTTTAGTGTTGAAATGTTCTTAAAAAGATTTTTGAATAAATTTTTATTAAGACTCTTAGTATTATTAACTTTTAATCTCTGTGGGCCTTAACTTTTAACTTCAGGATCTAAAAGTAATTTCCTAGCTTATTGAACTTTTAAATCTTTTGCTGGAAAGTAAACCTTATTGGGCTAGTTGTTACAGCAACCATAGCTTTAGAAAATGTTCTTTCTTTTACAAAGCCATTGTCTTTGGCCAAAGTTCCTTCCCAGATATTCTTATCTACATTTCTGATTTATTATAATTTTATATTCCTGCCTAAAATTTCCTCAACTGCTCTTTTTTGGCGAGGGCTTTCCTGTTGATGAAGTTTATAGTGTCATACATGTGGCAACTAGAGCTGCTCAAAATCTGTTGCAGAGAAATATGGAACAATGTTAATTCAGGAGAAACAAGAGAGGAGTGTTACCAATCAGAGGAAGCACAGAGCTTACATTAGCAGATCTGTTGATGCACTTTGTTATCTCAGTTGTGTCAGTAATTACAGCAAGGCAGCCTTTGATTTTAGGCAAAGCCCTAATTCAAACCTTCTCCTCTTGAGCTGTGAATATCTGCAGGAGTTTATTTATTTATGTTGGTACCTGCTGCAAAGGACTTGGGACTATATAGAGCTTAATAAAATCTGATTTTAAAACCATAGGAAAACAAGGTTGAATGCAATCTGATGATTTTGTATGTGAAAAGCTAGAAGAATAGCTCCATGCTGGGCTGTTTTATCCCATGAATCAGCGCAGTAATGGGAGCATGATAAGTAGCTTTCAAAACTCCCCACTCTGTAAACTCTCTTTATACACTTAAAAAGGCACAGTTGCCTCAATTACTTGTTTGTGTTGCAGTCAAAAACAAATTGTAATAACTTAATTCTTTCGGGGAACATCTTTCATCCTGGAGTATTAGATCATGGAGTGGAAACTAAAGAGAGGTGTGTGTGGTGGTTGCCTACAAGACATCTATAATTTATTTTGATTAAAATTAGAAAAATTATACTGAGACATTTATCATTTATTGATACTATTTATTTATTTCTTTTTATTTTTTTGAGGCGGAGTCTCTCTCTCTCCCCAAGCTGGGGTATAGTGGCATGATCTCGGCTCACTGCAACCTCTGCCTCCTGGGTTCAAGTGATTCTTCTGCCTCAGCCTCTTGAGTAGCTGGGTGTGTGCCACTACGCCCGGCTAGTTTTTGTATTTTTTGTAGAGGTGAGGTTTCACCATGTTGGCCAGGCTGGCCTTGAACTCCTGATCTCAGGTGATCCGCCAGCCTCAATCTCCCAAAGGGCTGGAATTTTACAGGCATGAGCCACTGCACCTGGTCCATACCATTTAATCTATGTGAAAATCTGTGATTAATATCTCTTGAGAAAGCTCTAGTAATGTGAAATGTAAACGAGGTTAAAAAGATCTGAAAGGGTGGAAATTTACCTAGCAGCTTTAACATAAGCTGTTGTACTGAGCAGGTTGACCCTGGCTGGGAGTATACTGCAATGGACTGATCTGAGTTGGAGGCAGTGGCATAGTGAGAAGGGGGAGTGACTTGTTATAACCTAGTCCCAATTTTATCACTGTCCGGCTATGTGATCTTATGCACATCACTTATATCTATGTGTCTCAAGGTTTTGAATTATAAAATAATGCCTGTAGGTTTAGATTATACCTAACCTAACTTCTTTCTTAGAGATAGTGTTGTATGAGGAAGTTGTCAAATGCAGATACCCTACCGAAAATAGAAGCTGGATTAAAGAGGGTATTTCAGAAAATTCACAGGGATTTCTCAGTTTTTATACTAATAAGGAGATGCACCACCCTTGACTGGGAAAAAAACCCCAAAACTGATTTGGACCACATCCAGCTCATATCAAAGGTTTGAAGGTTGATTAGAAAGGATGATATTCTTTCAGCCACTAACAGACTAACTTAACGTATGCCTTAAATAACAATTTCATAAATTCAAAAGAAAGCTGTGACTACTCAGCCTGCATTTATAATGTACTGGAATTGTGGGTGGAAGGATTAGACTGTAGAGATATCATAAATTGAAGAGAGTGTAGGGCATTAATTCAACTACGGTTGTTAATTATTAATGGATTTCTTACTGAGCCTAAATCAACCTATTGATGGATTCACTCAATACAAATGTTATTAAGCACCTACTATGAGTCAGGCACTTACGTTGTTTTGGTTTTCGAGCCAAGAACATGTCTCTATTTCATATCTTCTCATGACTAGTTATATGTGTTATATTTTCATTGGTAAGTGTGTTGTATTCTTTCTAAGCCTTCAATTGTAAAACGAATACCCTTTTCCTACTGAGCAGCTGGTTCTTTGTAGGCATCTTTGGCAGATATTCTAGTTCTTCAGTTGTTTTGTTTATTAAAGCTGTGTCCAGTCCCACAGCACATACCTTGATTCAGACTTCTCCACTCCCATGTTTGTTGCAGCAGTGTTCACAATAATCAATATTTGGAAGCAACCTAAGTGTCCCTCAACAGATGAATGGATAAAGAAAATGTGGTACATATAACACAATGGACTAATATTTGGCCATAAAAAAGACTGAGATCCTGTCATTTGCAACAATATGGATGGAACTGGAGGTCCTTATGCCAAATGAAATAAGCCAGACACTGAAACACAAACATCACAGGTTCTCACTTATTTGTAGGATCTAAAAATTGAAACAATTGAACTCATGGACATAGCAAAAGGATGGTTACCAGAGGCTGGGAAAGGTAGTGGGAGAGTGGCGGGGAGGTAGGGGGTGGTTGTTGGGTATAGTAAAATAGTTAATGAATGAAAAAGACCCAATATTTGATAGCACAACAAAGTGACTATAGTCAATAATAATTTAATTGTATAATTTAAAATACCTCAAAGACAATAATTGGATTGCTCGTAAAACAAAAGAAAAATACTTAAGGGGATGGATACCCCATTTTACATGATGTGATTATTATGCATTACATGCCTGTATCAAAATATCTCATGTACCTCATAAATTTATACACCTACTACGTACCCACAAAAATTAAAATTAATTTTTTTAAAGCAAACTTCTGTACTTCTGCTCCTTTTAGGCTTCCTGTATTGTGCTGGAGTGGGAGGAAGAGAGAGGAAGCAGGCAAAGTATCTTGTTATTCAGCTTCTGCAGCTTGCACACCTCTCCTGGTTGGTTGTCAATATTCCTATGATTAACACTGTCCAAGCTTCAGTGCCCTTGGTGGGGCAAGGATTCAAAGGCTGGCTCACTCATGGGAATAGGTGTGGGCTTTTGGAGGATCCTGCAGATATTTTCCTATGCACAGTTCCTGGGGAATCCAATTTTAGTCAACCTCTTCCATCCTGTCTTAATTCCTGGTGTCAATGGTCCACCCTACAGCCTCTTTCTGTTGAGGTCTCCTCCCTGTATAGGGAGACATCTTGGGCTAAGAACCAGCAAGACTTCTTATGATGGGTTACTTTTTTCAGAATTGAGATGGTGGTGTTGCACGCTGCTCTGATGTTGCCTTGCTCTGCAACTCTCTTTTCCTGGGGTAGATTCAGGGACAGATCAGTGAGTGCTTAGTGCCTTTGCAGATAGCCAACAGAGGAATGAGATGACAGTTTTACTCTAATGGATCACTCACGGTCTTTACAGTTTTGGCTTTAGGGAGGAGAAGATAACTCGCAGGGAAGGAAGAGAATTGTTTCTCACCATGCAACAGAATTTGCAGGCCTCTGTGGATCCCAACACACTTTTTCTCTCTTTTCCAGCCCTCTGGTTTTATAGACTTGAGTGTGGAGAGCTCAGATGTTGGGTGATCATACTCAGCAATTTGCTACCACTTAGAAAACCCTGAGGGGAGTTCCCTAGTCCCCTTTTTGGTGGTTGTGTTTAGAAAATGTATATAGCACCTGTATATTTTCAGTACTAGGACTTGGCTGCAATTCAAGGACAAAATGGAAAAGTTCCAGTCAATATCCTTCTACAACACTTGTGTTAAAACAATCCAGCTACATTTAGGGTGGGTTTCTTCAGATGTTTGCAGTGCATATAGAATGACACTCAGAATATAGTTTTAGCTATCAAAGACATGCACACCCTAGTAGTATGGAGCATATTACTTTCTTCTTAGAAACTTTAAGTTGATACCTTAGACTTATTTTGCATGATACCTTAGAGTTATTTTTCATCTTTGGTCTCCATGGTACTTTGAAGCTTTCCATACTATATATCATAGAGAAAGAAAGAATACATTATCGTCTTGTTAGGGGATTTAAAAATAAATGTTATACTATAAATTCATGTAATTAGTAAGTGTTTAGAAGAAAACATTCTCCTATTAAAAATTATTTCAATAGCTTTAGGAGTACGAGTGGTTTTTGGTTACATGGGTGAATTGTATAGTGGTGAAGTTTGGGCTTTTAGTGCAACTGTCACTCGAGTAGAGTACATTATATCCAATAAGTAATTTTCCATCCTGACCCCCATCCCATCCTCCTTGTTTTCAAATTTCCAATGTTCATATACCACTCTCTGTGCTTTCTGTACACAAAGCTTAGGTCCTGCTATAAGCAAGAACATGTGGTATTTAGTTTTCCATTCCTGAGTTACTCACTTAAGATAATGGCCTCCAATTCCATCCAAGTTGCTGCATAAGACATTATTTTGTTCCTTCTTTAATGGCTGAATAGTGTTCCATGATATGTATATACCATGTTTTCTTTATTCACTCATCAGTTGATGGGTACTTAGGTTGATTACATAACTTTGCAGTTGTGAATTTTGCTGGGATAAACATGTGCATGCAATTTGATATAGTGGCCACTTTTCCTTTGGGTATATACCCAGTACTGGGATTGTTGGATTGAAAGGTAGGCCTACTTTTAATTCTTTGAAAAATCTCCATACTGTTTTCCATAGAGGTTGAACTAATTTACAACCCCACCAGCAGTGTATAAGCGCTCCGTTTTCACCACATCCCACACCAACATCTATTGTTTTTTGACTTTTTAGTAATGGCCATTACAGCTGGGGTAAAATGGTATCAAAATCAACCTACACACTCTTTATCCATTTCTCTGTTTTATTTTGTTTTGTTAGAAATTATTACAGTCTAGAATACTATGTCTTTTACTTATGTATCTTGTTATCTTCTGTCTTTACCAGACAGAATGTAGGCTTCATGAGGCCAGGGAATTTCTCTGTTTTGTTGACTGCTATACCCTATACTTAGACTAGTGTATGGCACTTAAAAAAGATTAAAAAGTATTTGTTAATAAGGACATGAATGAATGAATAATATATTTTTTAATAATCAACAATTCCACATGTCCACAAACATACCTGTGTTCTTATTGTCAAATCCAAGAGGCACACCAGAGCATTGAAGCCAAAAGACTGTGCTGGATTATTTTAAAAATAGAATACTTTAGATTATTTTAAAAATAGAATACTTTGATATCAAAAAAATGTAAATGTGGGAATTCACCATTGTTTTTCTGTGCTCATAATCTAGGCCTTTAAACATCTTCCAGAGTTTCGTGGAAGCTGAGACAGGAATTAAATATCTTGCTTTTCAGTTCTTAATGATGTCAGCAGTGAAAAATGAAAGGATGAAATTGTTCTATTAAAAAGAGACTATATCCTTGGCATTTCCAGAGGCAGGAACAGTGTAGTGTTGTCTAAATCATTGTTTTCCGGCACTCAGGAATCTGAGCTAAGAGACATGAAGAGAGTCTGAAAGTTAGTGGGGTGCTGGCCAGTGCAGCCGTAATAGGACAAATGAGAGGGCAGAGGAACCTGACCACTAGCCAGAGGGAACCAGGGCAGAAGTGCAGCCTGAAGTAAAGACCTCAGTGAAGGGTCCACAGGTCAGGGATAGGTTGAGGTTTTGTGAGATCTGAAGTAGATTAACTTTAGAGCCCTCTTAAGAATATGAAAATACCTTTTGCAAATCTGTGAAAAATATATGATGATGGGAACACACTGCTGGTGCCCCTCCCTAGTTTTGCAAGAGCTCGTGTAATTGAGAGGCACTGTAGTTTAAATGTCATTAGCTTTTTAGTAAGGATTTCTCTACATTTAGTGGCATTGGTGGGCCCAGAGAAAGAAAGAGAGAGAGATTGAGAAAGAGAGAATGCCATTCAGTCCAGAGCCATCTTGCTTCCTGGAGGATTTTGGTATCCACATATTTCCCTATAATAATTCCCTATGTTTGTAAAATCACCACATTATTTTTCTTTTCCATGCTAATACACGTGTCCTGACTATTTTTATATGAGAGATGTCGCCAAATATCATCACAGCATAGCAGTTAAGAGATTACTTTTGGAGTCAGAATGGTTGTGTTGACATTGAGGTGTGTTTATTTATGAGCTTTGTGTCCCTGACCATAATGCCGACTTCTCTGTGTTTATTTGTCTGTAAAATGAGAATAACATAAATAGCCTACCTCGTATGTTTATGTAATGATTAAACGAATAGAAAAAGAACTTGAAATTGCTTCCAGCCCATAAGAATCATCTAAATATCAGCAATTAGTTATCACTGCGCTACCTCCCATGTTGCTAATACCATGTGACAGTCCTAGGCAAATTATGGGTATAAATGAGAAACAAAATCTGCCTTACAGGGAGTGAAGAGTGGGACTAGCAGCTATGATACCTTACATACCTTTATGAAATGCTTTAGACCAAGTGTGAGAAGCAGAAAGGCAAGAGTAAATGACTTTTGTTCCAGCAACTCTGTTTAGATCAAGTCCACACAACCTAAAAACAATACTGTATTTGAATGAGAGTCAATGTATTGGACTCAGTAACATCTTCATTAAAAAATCCTGAAGATAACCTAGGAAATGCCATTTTGGACATTGGCCTTGGTAAAGAATTTTCACTGGGTCCCAAAAAGCAATTGAAACAAAAACAAAAATTGACAAGTGGGACCTAATTATACTAAAGAGCTTCTGCATGGTCAAAGAAACTATCGACAGAGTAAGCAGATAACCTAGAGAATGGGAGAAAATACAAACTGTGACTCCAACAAAGGTCTAATATCCAGAATCTATAAAGAACGTAAACAGTTTGATGAACAGAAAACAAATAATTCCATTAAAAAATGGGCACTTCTCAAAAGAAGACATACATGTGGCCAACAAATATATGAAAAAATTCTCATCATCACTAATCAGTAGAGAAATTCAAATCAAAACCACAATGAGATATCATCTAACACCAGTCAGAACGGCTATTATTATAAAGTAAAAAAACAACAGATGTTGATGAGGTTGTGGTGAAATGGGAACACTTATTATACACTGCTGGTAGGAATGTAAATTAGTTCAGCCACTATGAAAAAGCACTGTAGAGATTCCTCAAAGAATCTAAAACAGAAATACCATTTGACTCAGCAATACCATTACTGGGTATATATGCAAGGAATATGAATTGTTCTACCATAAAGACACATGAACTTGTATGTTCATTACAGTACTATTCACAATAGCAAAGACATGGAATCAACTAGATGCCCATCAATGGTGAACTGGATAAAGACAATGTGGTACCATGGAACACTGTGCAGCCATAAAAAAGAATGAAATCACATCTTTGAAGCAACATGGATGCAGCTGGAGGCCATTATCCTAAGCAAATTAAGGCAGGAGCAGGAAACCAAATATCACATGTTCTCACTTATAAGCAGGAGCTAAACACTGAATACACATAGACATGAAGATGGGAAAAAAGGCACTAGGGACTCCTTGAGGGGATGGGTGAGAAGGAAGACATGGGTTAAAAACCAACCTATTGGGTACTATGCTCACTACCTGGGTGATGGGATCATTCATACATCAAACCTCAATGACACGCAATTTACCTGTGTAACAAACTTGCACATGTGCCCCCTGAACCTAAAATAACAGTCAAGAGAAAAAAATACAGGAGAAGAACAATTGATTATGTTCAGTGATACTGACTGGGGAGAATTCTTGTTTTTTTAGTAATTGTTGTTTGGTAACTGATATGGCCACTTCTGAATCCTGATAGAGAGTGAAATGCTGGTAGCTGTTATAAATTTTTTTTTACTGGATGGTGTTGCTGTTTCTGCTCTTAGGAACAGTTCTTCAGCACTGAAACACCTAATCTTGATTTCTATTCTCACAACATATGTTTAACAAAATCTGGAGTTGCAATATTCAGCAATTCAGAGTCGACTACTGGTTGTTATGTAGTTCTCAGTTATTGATTGTTTATGTACAGATTACAGTCAATAAATAATAGTTTGTGGATGTTAAAGTGTTCTTGTATTGGGATTCCTGAAGACCCAGGCACAACAAGAAAGACTTTAACTCCATAGAGACTTGCGCCCATGTGCTGCTAAAACAATAGTACACTTTCCTTTATATTGCAGCTTTTGGGTAAACACTTCTGAATCAGAAAATTATGCATCAAAATACCATTACATGAATGGGAACATATTCAATTTACCTAAATAATCCTTCTTTCTCTAATACTATCACTCTTGGCTTGCTTACTTCTAGTTTGTTCTGTTTGTTGTTTTCACATATTTTCAGATTCTAGTTGCCTGGAGTTTACTTTTGTTTGAAAGGCTGAGTAAAAAATGTCTGTAACCATGTTCCATTCCCTATCTGAAAGGTGAAATCATAGAGTCATTAAGGTCTTTCCTGTGCCTCCTCTCCTCTTCCCTCATCGTCTGCTCAGCTGGCCCTTTGACTCAGTTCCAGAGAACCACTTAGGGTTTGGTCTCCAGGGGATAAAAGCCTATTATTTTTTAAAACTTGAAGAGAGTTTCCTCCACTTGTTTTATATCTGATTAGTTATAGAATTATGATTAATAAGAAAAAATCTCATAAAGACTTGGTGTTTTACTATTTTCTTAAGGATAATATAATGGAATCTTTATAAAATTTTTATTTCTGTGGTTGGCAGGATGAAGTGGCACATTGGATATGAGTGTTAGAGTTAGAAAGAACTGAGTTTTAATCTTGGGTGTACTTCTTACTAGCTTTTTAGGTTACTTCACTGTTCTAAGCCCCAGTTTCCTCATCTGAAAAACAAGTGCTGTCAGTTACTTAAGAATGTGGGCTCTGACCTCAGATTCAATGGCCTGCATTCATATCCCAGCTTTGCCACTTAGCTGAACAACACTGGGCAAGTTACTTAGTTTTTCTGTGATGCAGTTTTATTAGTTGTGAAATGGGATGGTAATAGAACTACTGCATAGAGTTGTGGAAACTAAATGACTGTTAAACGACTTAATGACTACAAGCACGTAAAATAGTCACATGGTGGCCCGGCACGGTGGCTCATGCCTGTAATCCCAGCATTTTGGGAGGCGGAGGTGGGCGGATCACGAGGTCAGGAGATCAAGACCATTCTGGCTAACAC
The DNA here is from genome assembly GCF_000001405.40 of Homo sapiens. Classification (NCBI taxonomy): domain Eukaryota; kingdom Metazoa; phylum Chordata; class Mammalia; order Primates; family Hominidae; genus Homo; species Homo sapiens. The sequence continues at coordinate 102,142,952 of NC_000004.12, read as the reverse complement.
GGTGAAATCCCATCTCCACTAAAATTACAAAAAATTAGCCGGGCGTGGTGGTGGGCGCCTGTAGTCCCAGCAACTCCGGAGGCTGAGGCAGGAGAATGGCGTGAACCCGGGAGGCGGAGCTTGCAGTGAGCTGAGATCGCGCCACTGCACTCCAGCCTGGGCTACAGAACCACACTCCCTCTCAAAAACAAAACAACACAATACAAAACACACAAACAAACAAAAACAGTCACATGGCATATAGTAAGCTCTCAGTAAGTGTTAGCCATTTTTACTCGTAAGACAAATGCAAGGATTAAATGAGATAATTTACATGAAGTTCCTGAAGGTATTTAACAATCATCAGTCCCTTTACTTCATTTTTTAATGCTTATCACAATATTCCCTGCATTTAAATCTTTTTTTTTTTCCTTTTAGTGCAGATACTTGCTAGCTTTATTTCTATATCATAAGCTATTGGCACCTACATTTTGGTCTATACCCGACTTGTAATTGTTATACTATGGCAACATTCTTACTATGGTATTCCGGAGTTGGACGGCTGAGTTTTGCAGAGAGTAAATTTTTCTTTTATTGCCACTAAATGGCATGGCATGCACTGTAATAAAACCTAAAATGTCCTAAGCAGTTTGTGCCCTCAAGAGCTTTCACTTTATTTAAGCAGTTACACATTGAGCAGTGCTGATGTACTGTTTCGTGAGCAGCAAAACTCAGAAAGAGAAAGAAACTAAAAAATGAATTAATTGGGAGACAAGTGGACAAGGGAAACAAAAGATAGCTCAGAGAGGTAAAAATTTAGCTTAAGGATGGTAAATGTGTGACTGTAGCCCTTCCCCCCAGTCCATGGCAATCACTTCCAGGCCCAGATACACCCTTATAATCCTTTCCAACCCAATTCTCCATGTATCTACAACTGCCACTTGGCGTTCCAAGTTTCCACACATGTGTTAGTTGGAGATAAAATGGTAAAGTCAGTTTTGCTCATCTGGATTTGATGAATGTCACCTTTGGGAACAATGATTAGCTCTTTAAGTATCCCCAGTCCTTTCTGAACATGGGAAAAACCTTATGATTTTATTTTCAAATCCCAATGATGATGTTTTTAAATTGAAGGTTTACTTTCTCTAGGAAAATTTTAAATATTTTGTGTACATGCAAAAGAACGATTTAGGCAAATGATATATCACAAATGAGTCAATAAACTCATTATACCTGTATGTTCTGTTGCCATAAAAAACTGTCATATTATCTTTTTTTTATTTATTTTATTTAGAAAGAAATTATTTTACCATTATTTTCAGATAATTTTGTTTTAGAAACTTGGAGTGGATAGCCATAGTGGACATGATGGAGTTATTTTCTGCTTTATAACCCATCTTACTATTTTTGCCAAAGACTTGGCAGGACAAAAGTTACATTCAATGGTTGACTTGTGTTTTCAAATTTTTTATTCTGTTTTAAGTCTTTTCCTAAGAAATCTTTCTAGATTTAATGTCACCTCTGTGTCAATGTTCCATTGGTAACCTGGGGGGAAAAAAGACAGATTGCTCTACTTACCACCAAGCACACAAAGGTCATCTAGAGTTCTAGGTGTCCCTTGACTTGGATGGCTTTGTCTATCAATTGCTTTCATTTTAGACAATTTAGGAGATGCTGGCCAGAGGATAAGCACAAGTGTAACGGGAGGCTTGCATCCAAATGCAGGAACTGACATAGGTAGAAGCTGAGGTATAAGGAATGTCATAGGAGAGACTATTTCATGCAAGTGTCAGAGTTAAGCAATTCATTCCCAGTACAAGTTCTGTCTGTATTATTGGACTGTGGGGCTATCTAGCCTTGCCCTTTCTAACAGCCACTACAGACAATGTACTGTCCAGAAACTTTTCTTTTAGAAAATTGAGTTAAATTATTCTTTAGCTTTGTCCTACTTCTATCATTCACCTCTTCCCTGCCCCCACTACTCCTACCATAACCACTCCCAGCATTTCAGAAAATAATTTTTTTACAAGAGAAACTTGACACACATGACCAAAAATTAAGGCTTAATCCAACCTTCACATACTACACTCACCATCTTCAGATCCCTCAATGTAGTTTGCTCTCTCCAGCCTTTGCACACCCCATGTCCTCTGTCTACAATTCAGTTTTCTCTTTATTTGCTTGGCAAACTCCTGATCATCCTTCAAGATTCAACTCATGGCACCTCCTTTAACAATCCTTTCCTAAACTTCTGTTCATACCCTGGGAGAGATAAATTCTATGATTTTGGCTGCTAAAGTAACTTCTGCATAATACAACTATTTTCTGGTAGACAAATAAAGGTCTGTCTCCCTCACTGGAATCAAAGTCACCTTTGCAATCCTAGGACTAAGCAATGTTTAGCACAAAGTTCTTTCTAAATTAAGTTTGTTAAGTGGATATTATGTACTTAGCTGCCAACTCTACATGGAAATACAAATAATTTTCTAGAGACATGAGGGAGGCAGGGTTGTGAAGTCAACTCTTGTAGAATTGCACACTGCAATTACTGATAAACTTGCTTTGGGAAGCATCAACCCTTCTGCTTTGTTATAGTTGTATCTTTGTAATTTGTCCTTTATTTCCTGCCACAGTGCTCTTGGTAATAACATTGGCATAATGCTGCAGGCAGGTGTGGTTGGTAATGGATAGAATTGGATTTGGAGCTGTCTCAAAGATTTACTTCAGATCCTCTCTGGTGCTTCAAGCTCTTAATTTTGGCAAACCTGTCATTTGCTAGCTGTCAAATGGGTTGAGTCATTTGTCTGACCTTTTCATCTGGGAACCTCCGAATGATTGATATGTCCCTGTTACACTTCCCAATGGGATGACTAAGTGTCCACTCAGCTCTACCTACCTGGTTTTATAAAAAGTGAAAACAATTATGCCATTCCTATGTCTATCTGTGAAAGCAGCCAGCTGGGAAAATGTAGTTGAACAAGATGTTTACCCTCTAATATTCACTTCCTAAATAGGGAAAAATTCCTGCTGGCAAAATCAAACCTTGCAATTCTTGTCTGGCTAACAGAAGAATCTCTTCCCTTTGTCTACTCTGTATCATGATTTTTGTATACATTTTCCTTTCCTCTTCACAAACAACCGTATGGAGTAGAACGGGTTATTATCTTAATTTTATAGTAAATATTCTAAAACTCAGAAATTATTTTAGGGTCATATTCAGTTCCTCTAGTACATTAATCTCCTTCCATCCCATGCTATCAGACATCCTGTTTTACAAAAGGGATGTTTGAATATTGCATCTACCTCTGTGTTATTCTCCCATCCAAGATCTATTTCTGAAATACATTTGTGTGCCAAGATATGGGGATCTCTTGGTGAAACTATAGGGAAGGGAAGTAGGCAAGACTGGGCCATCCCAACTCAGACTAGAGAGTTTGTCTCCAGAGTGGTGCAACCCACAGCAGTCTAAATTGCAGAGTCACATGGAAAGCAATAACTCAATCCCAGAACTGATGAGAAATCTGTGAGACATTCCCCGTTTGTCTATGCAATTGGTTCCTTTCAAAGGCAAGGTGCTTATTGTCTTCAATATAATGTGGCTTTTGGATGTTATCCAGTCAGCAAAGTAGAAACTCATATTTGGCAGGGCAAACCCAGCCGTGGTTTCCTGATGTGCTGAATCAATAGGAAATGACTTTGGAAAAACACAGCAACAACAGCAACAAATGGCTTTGAACTTTTTCAACCAAATACCATATAAAGTGAACTGCCAAGAGTTTCCTGCATAATATCCCTTTTTAGATGATGACATATAACTTCAAACTTTTGTTCCTTATGTACTATATGCCCTTCATTCTTCAGATTTGATTGAACTAAAATTCTTTCTGGAGCTGAATGTTTATGCCTGCATGGACTTTTAATTTTCTGTATTTTTGCATAATCAGGTTCCTTCTCCCTAAGATGTGGACAACTTCTCAGCTCCTATCCCCGTCATTATCTCTTCTCAATGTTTCTGTTTTTTTCTTTCTTCCTTTTCTGTTTTAAATTTAAAGATAAATCTGAAAAGCTAGTTACCGTATCATTCCTCACTCATATCTACAGCCAGACTGTCAGGGAGGAGGAGTGGGTGGGATGGCAGGAGGATGAATGACTGATGGAACAGACTCTAAAGCAACAGAGTTTGGGGGAAATGGTGTGTGAGATGGAGAGCTGACCAGGTAGAACCTTGGGGGCTGGAGCATCATTCTGTGGAAATTGATAGTAGGGAAGAGAAGCGATCAATTTATTGTTGTTGTTGGTTTCCTTTTCTATTTGTTTTACATTTCAGTGATTTTATGACTATTTTATAATTATAAAACACCTTGAATTTGAAAAAATAGGCAATTCTTAGCAATGTGCTGGAATTTGTTCTCATGCACATGCAAACTGGTGTGTCTAAGTATCAGCTTTCGTCTTGTTTAGTGTTGTTTGGACACTTCTAGACTCTTCTAGAATTGTGCCTCTATGGCACAAACAAACTGATGGGCTCTATTTTGTTTTTAGATGATAAAGGTTAAGTTGTCAGCCAAAATGAAGTAGATAAATCAAGATCTAGATACCCTCACACTTTCTCTCCTTTTGTCTCCTCTATCAGCAAAATTAATATGAGTATTTTAAACTTAGACTAGATTCAGCTTAATATGAGTAATATCAAAGTGTCTCACCAATAAAGATTTTCTCAATGTTGATGATGATCATGATGACAGGGAATATTGAGAACTTACTATCTGGCAAGTGCAAAGGCAGTCTATTTCATACATGTGTTATATACATTATTTAATTTACTGCTTTCAACAATTTGGGGGATAATGATTACTTCCAAGTTAAAGATGAAAATTTAAAATTTAGAAAGATTAATCTGCTTAAAATGGTGCTCAGCAATTTATCAGTGGAGTTAAGATTTGGGCACTGGCTTGTCATTTCAAAGCTCATAGTCTTATTCTGCATGCTATATTACATGACATGTTTTCTCTATTGATTTTTTTTTTTCTGAGGGAGTTACCAGTAAAATTATGTTTGGCAAAAAAGAAAATTATAAATTCATTGAGCAGCTGTATCCAAACTGTAGGCTGGGCAGCTGAAAGTGTGTGCAAAGCAGGTCTTCTAGAGTTGAGGTTATGGTCCATTTCTATGCAAGCCTTAACTAAATACTTCAATTACCAAATATAACCTAGTCTAACCTTTGCACCTCTTATTTTATTTCAGGGTTGCCCATTTCAGCTAATTTGGATGTTCACAATTGCACATTCGTAACTATTAATATGCTTTATTTGCCTATTTGAATGATTTGGAAATGAGGCCCAGAAGGTCCATGATCAATTCTTGATATCTGAAAGTATCGAAACGAAAACAGTACCACATACTGAGTATCTACTATACCATATACTGCACTGATTGCTTTACATACCAGCTCATTTGAGTCCTTATTGAGAAGCTATAGAGTGATGCTGTTATTTTAATTTCACCCATAAAGAAATGGAGGCTCAGAGAAGTTGAGTACCTTGGACAAGGCCTTGGGCAAGTTGCTGAGTCAGGTGGTTTAGAACAAAATCAATCAATACAACTAATTTCAGGTCAATCTCATAAATGTTCATTGAGCACCAGGCTCTGTGCCAGGCACTGTGATATGAATGGGGATTCAGCAGGGCACAAGGCAAGTATGGCTTCATGGTTCTAAACAGTCAGGAAGGTTCAGCTCTCCTGTGTACTGAACACCTATAGCAATAAGGACAAACCACTGTATATTGGTATATGTGCATAGTTTACATTTCTATTCGTTGAGCCTGTCATTTATAAGCATCTTACTGGAAAAAGTGCACCTATTAAGTAGTACTTTGTTGACATCACTGCCACTGAGCTTGGCATAGTATTGTCGATATGATCACACACCTTTTGATGGACTATAACTTACTAAGGGCAAGACAGAAGAGAGGAAGATAGCTTTTACTTAACAGAAATACAACATCAACTATTAGACAAACACAGGAATAGATTTCAGCAAAACTCCCTCAAAAGTGTTTTCAAACTGTAAGTCTCAACATATAAAAATTTAAACAACAGATCAGCAAACTTGTTCTTAAAAAGTATATTTCTATTCCTTGAACATCAACAGAAAAAGATCGTAAGTCAGGTAATTGCTCTAACGGACAGGAAATGCTATGAAAATTCCACTTTGACCTCCTGTGAAGCTGTCATTTTAAACTGCTGTTTTTGTTACATCCTTCTACCCATTTCTAAACTTAAGCTTAAATTCTAGTCCAAGAAACTGCCACTTTTATCACATGGTAATGTCCTAAACCTTGAAAAAGAAGTTTTAAGATTTCTGGTACTATAAGCATGGACATACACTTCAAAATCTGGATATTTTGATTTCTCTAAAATGATTCTATTCATTTTTTCACCCCACCTGTACTCCTCATTTTATATGTTTCTTTAAATCAAACTCCTTCTAGTTTTTTTGTTATTGGTTGAAATGAGTATAGATTGCTCTTATGAAATTAAGCATAAACCTGCTGAATGAACTCACTTAAGAAAAATTTTAAGCAAGCCCATGCATTTATAATAACCTCTGCAAATTAGGACTCAAATGAACACTGGTTATAATGCAGAGAAATACACTTAAACCAATTTTAGCTATCTTTAATAATATTATCAAAATGACTGCTACTTAATATACCATGTGTCAACCACCATGTATTTGCTAAATGCTTCTCATATTTTGCCTTCTAATAATGCCCACCAACAGTCTGTACACCATCTGTATTTATGCCCCAGTTTACAGAAAAGATGACTATCTTGACACACAAATTTTAATGTCAAAGTGAGAATGCAAGGACAGATTTATCTAATTCCAGAACCTGAGTTAGTTTTCTTCTGTTAACAATGTTCAGCCATTATCTACTGAGCATTTACTATGTATAAGTTGGTGAGAAGATACACTAGGAAGAATAGCTCCATACTAGAGCTCTTAGAGCATACAGATAACCTGGGGAGGGGGGTCATGTGACTAGATAACAAAGAGTGATGGGTACTTTGCTAGGAGGTAGCACAGGGAGCCACTGAAGTGCATGAAAAGACTGTTCATGGCAGATAGACAAGTGACAGGAAAGGCTCCCCAGAGGCTACTGTTTGAGACCAAAACAATTGGTAGAAGTTGGCCACAAAATGCAAGTATTAGGAAACAGAGCGAGAGGGAAAATCCAAGCAGAAATCAGAAGAAGCACAGAGATCCAGACATAAGAGAAATGCAGGTGGCTTTGGGTGGCTGGGGCTGCAGAGGACCAGCGGGGTCTACATCAAGAAGACCTTTACATGCTCTGCTGAGGAGTCAGGGCAACCTTGAGGTCAAGGAAGATTTTCCTGGCTATCAGGTGGCCTTTGTGTCTGGTATTGATGGGATCATTTGCATCATTGGATCTCCTCATCCTCCCAATTAATAGAATTGCCCAAGTACAAGGCTAATGCTCCGTCCTCCATTAAAAACATTGACTTCTAGTTGCTGCCCTTCTGCCCCTTGCTTGTGCTACTTTTTGTCATCATGTGCTTCTCTTGGTTATCACTTGTTTTTACGAGAGCTAAAAATGGGAACAATTGACTCTGAGAACCCTTAATGCCAAATATTAGTGCTTCCTGAATGTCAATATCAGCGTTAACAGCGATGCGAAGTCTTGGCACTGCCCTCTTGTACACTTTTCAGTGCCTGCTTCTACCCCTCTGCCACCATTGTCTAATTACACATTTTATGAAAACCCAGGAAACATAATGAAATATAGGCTGTTAAGGAAATCACTAAACAAGATCTAGTTGAATTATATTGCTTAATTTCCATGATGCCTTGTGGCTATTGAAATAAGTACAGTTTTCTTCACAATGTTTGCTTTTTAGCAGATGGGACCCACTCGTTTCAATATAATTTATATTTTTAAGAGGCATATTCGATTTTCTCCTAGGAGAATCTGCAAAAGGAGAAAAGCAGTTGTTCTAAGCATTAGTAGCTACAGGTAGAAAGGGTCAAGTTTACCAGTGAGTGGGGAACAAAAATACATAATTTTTTCATGTTGCTTGCTTGTGGTGGTATTCTTTGATACACAGATGATAACTTTTTAATATGCAACACATTTAACCCCAGAGAGCACCGGGAATTCTGTCGGACTTTTATTCCACCACCATTTGCCTATGTTTTGAAATAAGCATTTATATAGCACCATCTTCATCAATCTGTTCAATAGTTATGCCAGGGATGCAAGAATTATTATTCCCATTTTACAGATAGGGAAAACAAAAGACAGAAGGGAAGTAACTTGTTATAAATACTTAAGTAAGATATTAGGCCTTAAGATTTCCAGTTTATTAGTAAGCTTATTGAATTTTCCTATTGACTGAGTTTTACTGTCTCTAAATAAGCATACCAAATTCTGAAACAGCAGTTTAGAGTTTCAGTTACAATATTTCTGCCATAGATCATCCAATCCCAGTAAAGCCCTCTATTTGCAAGCTTCGTTTCTTTTGCTTTTGCTTTTATTGGAGATTATATTCTAGGGGCTGGAAAAGAGTAGAATACCTCTGACTCTACTTTCCTTATCTTAAATAAGAGAAGAAAGAGAACTCCTTTTCTTCTGCTTTTATAAATTATAAAAATGAACAAACCAACAAACATGACTCATATGAAGGCTATTCATTACAGGTGAACAAAATGAATAATACTTAATATTCTGGGTAAAGAAGTTCTAGTGTTGCAACGAAGATATACAAATAACTACATATTAATATAATACTAGCAGCAATAACAATAGCTTAAACTTACTGAGTTCTCACTACATTTCAGGCACTTTACATACATTATTTCATTTATTTCTCGCAATAGTCCCTTGAGGAAGGTAATATTTTCACCCTCACCATGTATATGAGAAGAGCAAGATTTAAGGAGGTTAAACAATTTTTCAGAAGCCATAACCAGGAGGGCAGAGTCAGCTCTTAAAAACTTATGATCTGGCTGTCAAATATATGAGTCCTCCTTACTTGCTCTTCCTTTTCAAGGACATTTATTCTTCCCAATAAATTTCAGAATCAATTTGTCAATCTGTACAAAATATCCAGCTGGAATTTTGATTTGCAACGCAATGTCTTAAAGATTAATTTGAGTAATATGATATCTTAACAACAATGTTTCTTCTTAGATTAAGGGAGTGGCTCTTCATTTATTTAGATGTCCATTTATATTGCTTAATAACGATATTTGCTTTTTCTTCATAAAAGTCATGTGTATTCTTTACCAGGTTGATTTCTGGTTGCTTTATATTTTTTGCTATTTGAATGGTGTTTTGTTCTGGTTTTATTTTCTGTTTTCTTATTTGTGGTGTAAAAGACATTGGTTTTAACATTTGACGTGTATACCTAATAAGCTTATTGATCAATCTTAACTACATCTAGTAGACTCTGCTTTCTGTGGTAGATGATTATATAATCTGCAAGTAGCGATAGTGTTTTCTCTTGTTTCCCAATTTAAATACTTCTTTTTTACTTTTTCTCTATACCAATATTGAACAGTAGAGGTAATAGTAAACATTTGTATCTTGTGTTCTGATCTTAAAGAAAATATATCTAGAAGAGATATTTTATGTAATTTTTTTCATACAGGATTAATCAAGTTAAGAATCTATTCCTAGTTTTATATATTTGTTTTATTTTGAAATCATAATAACATTTCTGACCTATTGAGTTAATTATATATTTTTTATCTTTTTGGAGATGTGACGACTCTACTAATATATTTTCTGTTGTTAAATTATATTTACATATGACTTATTATATGGATGGAAATGAAGGGGTTTGGGATAAAACCAATTTGATGAAAGAACTTTTCTTTTTCTTGAATTTGGACGTGTGTAGATAATATTTTATCTAGAAATGTTAATATCAATGTTAATAAGTGATTTGGATTATATTTCTTTTCTTACATAGACTCTCTATGGAATCAGGGTTGAACTAGCCTCGCAAATGAATGGGCAGGTTTTTTTTTTTTCTTTTCCTGTTTCTTGGAACAACTTGAATAAGAATGCTCTAGTTCCTTCTTGAATTCTTCGAAATGTCACCAGAAAACCTGTTCATTTGAACTTACTGCCGCAAGGGAGAATGCCATTTTCACAGAGACTTAGTGTCAGAAGGAGAAGTCAGAAGTAGGATATTTATAGGCCCCTAGGGTCTGGGCTAGAGTGGTTTAAGATGGGTCATTCAGTGAGGGAAACTGATAGGGACTGGGCTGGTTTGTAATATAGTTTAGGTTTGGTGGATACAGCAAAGCAAGGATCTTGAAGTGACTCTTGATAAGTAAACTGTTGTTGGATGAACAAGTTATTTATTCAGGTGAGTGCAATTTGGTTTTTTTTTTTTTTTTTTTTTTTTTTTTTTGAGATGGAGTCTCGCTCTGTCACCCAGGCTGGAGTGCAGTGGCATGATCTCGGCTCACTGCAAGCTCCACCTCCCGGGTTCATGCCATTCTCCTGCCTCAGCCTCCCAAGTAGCTGGGACTACAGGCGCCGGCCACCATGCCCGGCTAATTTTTTGTATTTTTAGTAGAGACAGGGTTTCACCGTGTAGCCAGGATGTTCTCGATCTCCTGACCTCGTGATCTGCCTGCCTTGGCCTCCCAAAGTGCCGGGATTACAGGCATGAGCCACTGCATCCAGCTGGTGAGTGCAATGTTTACTCCAATAAATTTATCCATAGGAATTTCCTGAAGCAAACCGCACTCATGGAAAGATGGAATTTGAGGAAACACCAGAAGAAAGCAAAAATGAGTGAATGTCTAGTAGAAAATTATTTCCAGCAGAGGGAACAGCAGGTGCAAAGGCCCTGAGGCAGAAGGGGTATGTATGGAATAGCAGGAGGCCAGTGTAGTAACAGTCAGTACCAGAGCAGAAATTGGAGATTGAATTAGAGAGAACATTTTAAGAACTCTGGGGTTTACTCTCAGAGATGTAGGAACCTATTGGAAAGTTTTGATGAAAAGAGTCACATAATCTAACTTAAATTTTATAAGGCTTACAGTGGCTATTGTGATGAGAATAGATTGTAAGGAACCACGTAGGAAGCTATTGCAATACTTTAGATGAGAAATGATAGGATGGTTTCTTGGATGAGGGTAGGAGTCATAAAAGTATTACACATGGGTGGATTCAGTATATATTTTGAAGGAAAGGCAAACAGATTTTGCTGATATACTGAATGAGTAGTTTGAGGGAAAGAGAAGGGTTAAGAAAGCGAGAAAGAGTTTTGGCCTGAACAGTGGAAGAATAGAATTGATATTTACTGGGAAGGAAAAGAATCTTGGAGAATCAGATGTTGTGGCTGTAAGTCAGGAGTTTGAGTTTGGACATATTAATGTGAGGTGCCTTTTAGATATGCAAGTATAGATGTCATATAGGAATTCAGATACATGAGCCTGGAGCTCCAGGAAGATATCTGAGGTAGAAATAGGAATTTGAAGATTTTAGCAAGTCAGTGGTATTTAAAGTCGTGAGACTAGTGTGGATAGTGTTGGAGCCCAGGGCCTGGGCTCTAGACTAATGTTTCTATGAGGAACCAACAAAGAATCTTGAGAGGAACGGTTAAGGCAGTGGAAAGAAAGCTAGAGGAAAGAGTGGTGTCTAGGAAGCCAGGTGACATAATTGTTTCAAGGGGGAAAGAGTGATCAGCTTAGGCCGAATATGAAAATTCACAATGGATCACCTACCTTAGCACTGTGGAAGTAATTGGGGCCCTTGAAACAAACAGTCTTGGTAGAATGCTGGAGATGAAAACCTGATTGGAGAGGGTTCAAGAGAGAAGAGAAGAAGAGGATGGGAGGCAGAGAATATAGACCACCCTTTTGAGGACTTTTGCTGTAAATGGGAAAAGAGAGGAGAGGTAACTAAAGCAGGAAAGTGGCATCAAAAAACTGTTTATTTTAATGTGAATGATTCAGTAGTGAGGAAATAAATAAATTATTTATTTATTTATTTTTTTATTGAGATGGAGTCTCACTCCGTGCCCCAGGATGGAGTGCAGTGGCATAGTCTCGGCTCACTGCAGCCTCCGCCTCCTGGGTTCAAGTGACTCTCATTCCTCAGCCTCCGGAGTAGCTGGATTACAGGCGCTTGCCACCATGCCTGGCTAATTTTTGTATTTTTAATAGAGATGGATTTCTTTATGTTGGCCGAGCAGGTCTTGAACTCCTGTCCTGAAGTAATCTGCCTGCCTTGGCCTCCCAAAGTGCTGGGATTACAGGCGTGAGCCACCATGCCCGGCCAGTAAAGTTAGAAAGAGGAATGAAGGAGTGATGTTGATTTATCTGTTTTTTTCTCATAATTCTGTCTGCTGTTTCTCTACCTATTTCATACATGCATACACACATGTCTATAACCATTTTATACTTTTCTCTCTATATATTAGGCTGCTTATGTTACTATAAAGGAATACATGAGCCTGGATAATTTGTAAAGAAGAGATTTAATTGGCTTACAGTTCTACAGGGTATAAAGGAAGTGTACTGTCAGCCTCTGCTTCTGGTGAGGGCCTACAGAAGCTTACAATCATGGTGGAAGGTGAAGGAGAAGCAGGCACATCACATGGTGAGAGTGGGAGCAAGAGAGCAGGGTTGGGAGAGGTCCCAGACTTCTGAGCAACCAAATCTTGTGTGAACTAACTTGAGTGAGAACTCACTTATCACCAATAGGATGGTGCTATGCCATTCATGAGGGGTCTTCCACCTCCCAGAAGGCCCCACTTCCAACACTGGAATCATATTTCAACATGAGATTTGGAGGGGACAAACATTCAAACTATATCGTTCTGCCCCTGGCCCCTTAAATCTCAGGTCCTTCTTACATAGCAAAATACAACAATCACCTGCCAATAGTCTGCAAAATTTTAACTTACATCAGCATCAAGTCTAAAGTCCTAACTCTCATCTGAGACCTATCTCCTTTCACCTATGAGCCTGTAGAATCAAAACAAGTTATTTACTTCCAAGATACAATGGTAGTACAGGCATTAGGTAAACATTACCATTCCAAAAGGGAGAAATTGGCCAGAAGGAAGAGGCAATAGGCCCTATGAATGTCTGAAACACATCAGGGCAGTTATTAAATCTTGAAGCTCCAAAATAATCTCCTTCAACTCCATGTCATGCATCCAGGGCACACTGGTGCAAGGGGTGGGCTCCCAAGGCCTTGGCAGCTCCATCCTTCTGCCTTTGAAGGATCCAGGCCCCATGGCTACTCTCATGGGTTGGAGCTGACTGTTTGCAGCTTTTCCAGGAAAAGGGTGCAAGCTGCTGATAACTCTATCTTTCCCAGGTCTGGAGGGTGGCAGATGCATTCTCACAGCTCCATTAAGCAGTGCTGCTGTGGGAACTTTGTGTGGACGTTCCAATGCTACATTTCCCCTTGGCATTGCCCTAGGAGAGTTTCTCTGTGGGGGCTCTGCCCCCATGGTAGTCTTCTGCCTGGGCACTCAGTCTTTCTCATACATCCTTTGGAATCTAGGTGGGAGCTGCCATACCTCCTTAAATCTTGCATTCTGAGCATATGCAGACTTAATGCCACATGGAAGCTGCCGAGGCTTATGGTATGTGCTCTCTGGAGTGGTGGTGTGAGCTGTTCTTGGGCCCCTTTGATCTGAGGCTGTAACTGGAGAAGCAAGGATGTGAGGAACAGTTTCCTGGGGTGGCACAAGTCAGGGATTTCTGGGCCTGGCCCCCTAAACCATTCTTTTCTCCTAGGTCTCCAGGCCTGTGCTGAGAGGAGCTGCCACATAGATCTCTGAAATGCCTTCAAGGCCTTTTCCCCATTGTCTTGGATATCAGTACCTGGCTCCCATTTAGTTGTGGAAATCTCTGTAACAAGTGGTTGCTCTGTAGCCCTCTTGGATTCTTCCCCAGAAAAAGGGTTTTTCTTTTCTACCACATGGCTAGCTGCAAAATTTGCAAACTTTTATGCTCTTCTTCCCTTTTAAATATAAGTTCCAAATTTAAGTCATTTATTTTCTCTCACATCTAAGCATAGACTGTTAGAAGCAGCCAAGCTACGTTTGGAATGCTTTGCTGCTTAGAAATTTCAATGACAGATACCCTAAGTCTTCACTCTTAAGTTCAAACTTCCACAGATCCCTACGGCAGGAGCACAATGCAGCCAAGTTCTTTGCTAAGGCATAACAAGAGTGATTTTGTTTCAGTTCCCAATAAGTTCCTAATTTCCATCTGAGATCTCATCAGCCTGGACTTCATTGTCCATATCACTATCAGCATTTTGGTCACAACCATTTAACCACTCTATAAGAAGTGCCAAACTTTTCCTCATCTTCCTGTTGTCAGGATACTGAGTCCTCCAAACTCTTCTGATCTCTGCCTGTTATCCAGTTCCAAAGCCACTTCCACATTTTCAGATATTTTTATAGTAGTACTCCACTCCTCAGTACCAATTTTCTGTATTAGGTCATTTGGGTTACTATAAAGGAATATCTGAGAGTTTGTAATTTGTAAAGAAAAGAGACTTAATTGGCTCAAAGATCTGCAGAGTGTACAGGAAGCATGGGGCCAGCATCTGGTTCTGATGAGGACCAGAGGACGCTTATTATCATAGTGGAAGGTGAAGGGGGAGCAGGCATAGTGAGAATGGGAGCAAAAGAGCCAAGAGTCAGACTTGTAAACAACCGGAACTTGCATGAACTAAGAACTCGCTTATCACCAAGGGGATGGTGCTAAACCATTCATGAGGGGTCTGACCCCATGATCCAATCACCTCCTACCAAGCCCCACCTCCAACATTGGGAATCATATTTCAACATGAAATTTGGAAGGGGCAAACATCTAAACCATAACAATCTATATCTATCTATTTATGTATGTTTTAAATTTATTCTTACGTATTCAGGTATATAAGAGTCCTTCTGGTGTTGTGTGTTTTTCATATCTCTTATCTGTTTTTAATATCACTACCACTGCTGTCTTATAGTTCAGATTTGCCTGAAATATCTTCATCCCTTTATCTTAAACATGTTTGTATCCTTTTGTTTTAAAATGCATGACATATAGATAGCATATGGCTGCTCCTTTAGTCTAATCTGAGGGTCTCTAGTTTAATTCGTCAACTTACTTCACTTACATTAAATGAGTTACTACTTTACTTTTTATTTCTCATGTCTTATTTTATAATTGTATAACAATTTTCTGTATTTTTTCTGCATTCGTTGAATAGGTGAATTTTTCTTATACTCATTGAAAGTTGTGTATTCTGTTTATTTTTTAGTGGTTCTTCCTGAGGTATTAAAAATAATACACATGCTTATTTTTTTCCTAAAGAAGGCCCTGTCCTTGGCATGTTCTTAATGCCTTTGTTATGTTTTCATCTTCAGATACGTTTTTTTGATTTTGGCATCATTTAGACTTTGATTTTCTAGATTTTCTTCCTTTTCATTTGTGCCTATGTTTTGGTCTTCTGTTCCTAGTTTGGTAACTGCTTATTCATATCACAAACCCAAAAGATTTTAACTTGTTTTCATGCATACTTCTTGGAGCTTATGAAGAATTTTTAGATTGGTTTCTCTTTTTTCAGGAGTGCTTCTTTCAAGAATGTTTTAAAAGTGAATTCCTGTATAGTAAATTTTCTGAGGCTTTCTATGTCTGAATATATCTTTATTTCAATTTCATTTTAAAATTACCATTATAGCAGGATATATTCTTTTTTTTGTTTTTTTTTTTGAGACGGAGTCTCACTGTGTCACCCAGACTGGAGTGCAGTGGCATGATCTTGGCTCACTATAGCAGGATATATTCTAAGTTCAAGTTTTTCATTCTTTCATAGTGTGAAAAAAATATCACTTTAGTGTCTTCTTCCTTACAGTGTCCCTGTTGAAACATGTGATGCCAATTTAATTATGTTTTTTTAAAGGTCTTTTTTTTTCTCTAATGGATAGCTTACAGAATTTTCCCTTTTCTTTTGTTGTTCTTGTAATTTATAGTAATATGTTTAGATGTGAATTTTTTTCCTGTTGATTCTGGTTGGCACTCTTTATTTTGAATATGGGAAAAATACAAAACGATGTGGTTTGGCTGCATGAACATAATGCCAAATATATTAACCTGCATAAATAATTTTCATTTGTCTTTTTACCACGCACAAAATAAAAATTACATATATTTAACAATATCATTTGTAATTTATTGATTCCAGGCATGTTAGGCTCTATGCAAGAAGTTTTATGTATATTATTTCTTTAACCAGAAGTACTTTATGAAATAAGTGTTATTGTTATTTCCATTTTTAGGAGATGAAGGACTTGAAGTTTAAAGCGCTTGCATAACTTGCCCAAGGTCATTTAGCTAGTAAAAGGTGGACCTGAGGCATCATCAATCCCAGGTTGTTTAACTCAATATGTTTTTTATAATCACCTCATTACCCTGTATCTCTAGATATATTTGTATCCTGACAAATTTGTTCCACTTAATTGATGAGCAGCATGTATGCTTGAGTTTAGTAATTTTTTGGGTAGGTAGGAATTTTTATTTGCCTGTAACTAAAAATATTACATAATTACCTGTATTTAAATTTGAGGAGAGAGTGAGAGAGAATTTTAATGTGAATTACTTGGAGAATAATTTAATTATTTGGTACAATGGTAGCATTAACTACAATGCCTTTTAGAGAGAAGAACGGCTATCAAATGAAATGGGTAAGAAGCACTATTTGCTCATTATTCTTGTCCCTGCAAACTGTCATCCCATGGTTACTGCTGAAATAACTTCATTATTAGTGAAACAAATGTAAGATTCCCATTTGAAAGAGGAAATATTGCTAAGAGCTGTGGGCAGGTTTATAAACCTCTCTGTCTTTGTCAATAGGAGTGTGCATTTGCCTTCCATATGTCCTATGTCTTAGTCCACTTTCTGGTGCTATAACAGAATATTACAGGTTGGATAATTTGTAAAGAAAAGAAATGTATTTCTTACACTCCTGGAGGCTGGGAAGTCCAAGAGCATGGTGCTGGCATCTGGCAAGGGTCTTTTTATGACAGAAAGGTGGAAGGTCAAGTGAGTGCATGCAAAACAGAAAGGCACCAGGGGCCAGGCTCACTTTATAACAACCCACATTCATTATAACTAACCTGCTTCTACAATAATGACATTAATCCATTCATGAGGGTTCTGCCTTCAAGACCCAAATACCTTTTATTAGGCCCAACTTCCCAACACTGTTGTATTGTGGATTAAGTTTCTAACCATCAATTTTGGGGGGACACATTCAAATCAGAGCATTCTGAACTATTTGTCTTATGTTGCTCCTCAATGTCTGGTTCTGATAAGCTAAAATGGCAGTCTGTAGTATCGGAATCAAATGGATAAAAATGGGTGGAGATGCTGGGGCAGTGGAGGGAAGAGTTCAAATGTTGATTCTAATTCATCCTTTTCGTGGATCCTTTCTTTGAGGTTTTGAGGTCAAATTCCATTCTCCAAAGATTACATGTGATTTGGGTTTCCAATACAAACGGATGCGGTTTCAGTTCTTTGAATTGTCAGTCACCTTTTACATTTTGCTCTTTAATTTCTTCCTAATTCTGGATTGAATTTGGGAGAATATTAATGGAGAGGAAAGGAATCTTGACCTTAACAGGTAAAGCTTGTGGACAAAGGAGGTCTGTCTTCTGTAGTTCACTTAATGTTTCCATTTGTGAATCTCCTATTGGCTTGGGTCAGAACTTTATTTGTAGATGATTCCTTATAAAAAAGAAGTTGTTCTGTTATAAATTTAAAGGATGGCTTGATGGGATGCAGCTAGTACTGGCTGCTATGGTTGTAACTCTGTCACAATAATATTAACTACCATTCATTGAGATGCACCAGGCATTTGCAACACATTATTTATAGCCCTTTCAGCAATGTGCAAGGTAGATATTATTATCATTTTACAGATGAGAAAACTAAAGCAAATTTCCCAAGGTCACTCAGCTATCCAAGTCACAGCTAGGAGTCACATCAAGGCCTGCCTTCAGTGCCCATGTTCCTCTCATATCACTCTCTTCACCACCTCCCCCTCAAAATAATGCATCTTTATTTATCCTGTGCTGACTCACAGCCTTTATTGAAGTCCTGGTGATAGTTTCCCCTTGGTTCCATGTTATCATTGCTTTGGTTATGAGTAGTTTAAATGTTGAAATCCTGGGCCAAAAACCTATGCTCCCATTTTCAGAACACATTTAACATTTAACAGTTATCTAAATAAAATAGTTCTTTGCTCAATAACTGAGTGAATTCAGAGTTGTACCAATTGACTATTGGATTTGAGGTGAGTTGACAGAAATTATTGATAAACATAAAGACTATTAGTTTACATTTGCATGTTTTAGATAATTTTTCCTTGACATAGCTAAATCTGGCAAAAAGAATTATGCCTTCAACAGTATACAGTCCATGGATGGATTACTACCAGAAGACATCTATAGATTTTGTTCAGATAGAACACTGCCTTCAATCTAGCTGAACTATCAGATGTACTTTATCTCCTAGTGTTACATAGTTCCTATAATAATTATTTCCCTGGGATTTCTATAATTGAAAGTCAAGTAATGTGGCTTATAGTGCCAAGGATGTCTGCCTTTCCATACATTGTCCAACACAGTAGTCACTTGCTACAATAGGATATTTAAATTAAAATTTTAATCAATAGATTAAAATTAAATAAAATTAAAAATTAAGTACTCTGTCACACTAACCCCATTTTAAGTGCTCAATAGTCACATATGGCTAGTGGCTACTGTATTCAACAGTGAAGCCTAGAATATTTCCATGATCACAGAAATTTCGATTGGACAGTGCTGAACCATAAAGAAGACAGAAATGAAGTTATGAAGAAATGAAGTCTTCTAGGAGAGGAGGCAGAGCAGCCTTCACTGAATAGAAGCCTTCACTGATCATCCTTCCTGTAGGAACACTATATTGAACAACTGTCCACACAAAAGAGCACCTCTATAAGAACCAAAAATCAGCATACCACCTGCTCAGCCACAGTAGGGTACAGCACCAAGTAGGCTCTTGGGGTCTTTGATTCTAGGGCTTGGCTCGTGGACAGCATTTCTGGACTTGCCCTAGGCCAGAGGGGAGCCCACTACCCTGAAGGGAGAATCCCAGGCCTGGCAGCACTCATCAAAAGCTGACTGAAGAGTCCTTGGGCTTTGAATGAACGTTGGTGGTTGTGAGACAGAACTTGCTGTTGGCCCAGGGCAGTAGTGGCCATAGGGAGAGACTCCTCTCCTTGTGGAAAGGGGAGGAAAGAATTGGAAGGACTTTGTCTTGTGGCTTGGGTATCAGCTCAACTGCAGTAGAACAGAGCACCAAGTAGATTTCTAAGATTTCCAACTCTAGGCCCTGGCTTCCAGATGAAATCTCTGGACCTGCCCAGGACCAGGTACAACTTACTACCCTAAAGGGAAGGACACAAGCCTGGCTGGCTTTGCCACCTGCTGATTGTAGAGCCCTAGGGCCTTGAGTGAACATAAGCAGTCTCCAGGCAGTGGTTACTGCAGGCCTGGGTGCAGCAGAGTCCCAGTGGAGGTGGCCACATGGGTGCATGCATCACCTTTCCCCCAGCTCCAGGCAGCTTAGCATAGAGAGAGACTCCTTTAGTTTGGGAGGAAGTAAGGGAAGAGAGGAAGAGTCTCTGCCTGTAATTTAGAGAATTCTTCCAAATCTGATCCAATACCACCAAGGTTGTACCTCTACGAGTTTGCAAGAACCACAGCATTACTGGACTTATGGTGCCCCTAATGTGGATATGGCTGCAGTGACCAAAAACTTGGATTACAATACCCAAGTCCCTTCAAATACCTGGAAAGCCTTCCCAAGAAGGATGGGTACAAGTAAGATCAGACTAAAAAGACTACAATATCTAACTCTTCAATGTCCAGACACTGATGAACATCCACAAGCATCAAGACCATCCAGGAAAATAGGACCTTGCCAAATGAACTAAGTAAGGCACTAGTGACCAATCCCGGAGAGACAGACATGTAACCATTCAGACAGTGAATTCAAAATAGGTGTTCTGAGTAAAATCAAATAAATTCAAGATAACACAGAGAAGGAATACAGAATCCTGTCAGATAAATTAAACAAAAAGATTGAAATAGTTAAAAAGAATCAAGCAGAAATATTGGAGTGGAAAATGCAATTGACATATGAAAGAGTGCATCAGAGTCTCTTGTCAGCAGAACTAATCAAGCAGAAGAAAGAATTAGTAAGCTCAAGGTAGGCTATTTGAAAATACAAGTCAGAGGACACAACCCAAATGTCCAACAATGATAGACTGGATTAAGAAAATGTGGCACATATACACCATGGAATACTATGCAGCCATAAAAAATGATGAGTTCATGTCCTTTGTAGGGACATGGATGAAATTGGAAATCATCATTCTCGGTAAACTATCGCAAGAAGAAAAACCAAACACTGCATGTTCTCTCTCATAGGTGGGAATTGAACAATGAGAACACATGGACACAGGAAGGGAAACATCACACTCTGGGGAATGTTGTGGGGTGGGGGGAAGGGGGAGGGATAGCATTGGGAGATATACCTAATGCTAGATGATGAGTTAGTGGGTGCAGTGCACCAGCATGTCACATGTATACATATGTAACTAACCTGCACATTGTGCACATGTACCCTAAAACTTAAAGTATAATAAAAAAAAAAGAAAAATGAAGTATGCCTACAAGATCTAGAAAATAGCCTCAAAAGGGTAAATCTAAGAGTCATTGGCCTTAAAGAGGAGATAGAGAAAGAGATAGGAGTAGAAAGTTTATTCAAAGAGATAATATCAGAGAACTTCCCAGATCTAGAGAACGATATCAATATTCAAGTACAAAAAGGTTATAGAACACTAAGCAGATTTAATCCAAAGAAGACTACCACAAGACATTTAACATTCAAATGCCCAATGGTCAAAGATAAAGAAAGGATTCTAAAAGCAGCCAGAGAAAAGAAACAAATAACACACAATGGAGCTCCAATACATCTGGCAGCAGACTTTTCCGTGGAAACCTTACAGGCCAGGAGAGAATGGCATGACATATATAAAGTGCTGAAGGAAAACAACTATTATCCTAGAATAGTATATCTGACAAAAATATATTTCATACATGAAGGAGAAATAAACACTTTCCCAGACAAAGAAAAGCTGAGGGATTTCATCCTTCCATAGAGTTTTAAAGACCTGTCCCATAAGAAATGCTAAAGGGAGATCACCAATCTGAAAGAACAGGACATTAATGAGCAATCAGAAATCAGAAATGAAGGTGCAAAACTCACTGGTAATAGTAAGTACCTAGAAAAACACAAAATATTATAACATTGTAATTGTGTTGTGTAAACTATTTGTATCTTAAATAGAAAGACTAAAAGATGAACTGATCAAAAATAATAACTACAACAATTTTTCAAGACATAGTACAATAAGATCTAAACAGAAACAACAAAAAGTTAAAAAGTGGGGAGGGGATGAAGTTAAAGAACAGACATTTTGTTTTCTTTTTGCTTGTTTGTTGTTTGTTTATTATGCAATCAATCATTATCTGTTTAAAATAATAGGTTATAAGATATTAATTGCAAGCCTCATAGTAAGCTCAAACTGAAAAACATACAACAGATACACAAAAAATAAAAAGCAAGAAATTAAAATTTGCAACCACAGGAAATCATCTTCACTTAAAGGAAGACAGGAAGGAAGAAAAGAAGGAAGAAAAGAGCACAATACAACCAGAAAACAAATGACAAAATGGCAGAAGTAAGTCCTTACTTATTCATAATAACACTAAATGTAAATGGACTAAACTCTCCAATCAAAAGACATAGAGTGGCTGAATGCATGAAAAAACAAGACCCATTGATCTGTTGCTTGTAAAGAAACACACTTCACCTGTGAAGATGCACATAGACTGAAAATAAAAGGATAGAAAAAGATATTCCATGCCAATGTAAACCAAAAAAGAGCAGGAGTAGCTGCACTTCAATCAGACAAAATTGGTTTCAAGACAAAAACTATAAAAAGAGACAAAGAAGGCCAGGCGCAGTGGCTCATGCCTGTAATCCCAGCACTTTGGGAGGCTGAGGCTGGCAGATCACGAGGTCAGGAGTTTGAGACCATCCTGGCTAACACGGTGAAACCCTGTCTCTACTAAAAATACAAAAAATTAGCCAGGCGTGGTGGCGGGCGCCTGTAGTCCCAGCTACTCGGGAGGCTGAGGCAGGAAAATGGCATGAACCCGGGAGGCAGAGCTTGCAGTGAGCTGAGATCGCGCCACTGCACTCCAGCTGGGGCGACAGAGAGAGACTCCGTCTCACAAAAAATAAAATAAAATAAAAAAAGACAAAGAAGGTCATTGTATAATTATAAAGGGGTCAATTTAGTAAGAAGATGTAACAGTTGTAAATATATATGCACCGCAACCAACACTTAGGCATCTAAATATATAAAACAGATATTATTAGAACTAATGAGAAAGGGAGAACCTAATACAGTAATAGCTGGAGACTTCAATACCCTACTTTCAGCCTTGGACAGATTGTCCAGACAGAAAATCAACAAAGAAACAAACATGGGACTTAATCTGCACCATAGACTAAATGGATCTAATAGATATTTACAGAGTATTTCATCCAATGGCTGCAGAATACATATTTTTTTCCTAAGCACATGAATCATTCTCAAGGAGATACCATATGTTAGGCCACAAAACAAGTCTTAGAAAAAAGTTTAAAAAATTTAAATTATATCAAGTATTTTCTCTGAACATAATGAGTAAAACTAGAAATCAGTAACAAAAGGAATTTTAGAAACCACCCAAATATATGGAAATTAAACAATATGATCCTGAACGAGCAATTGAATTTCAATGAAGAAATTTAGAAGAATAATTTAAAATTTTTTGAAATGAATGGTAATGGGAACACAACATACTAAAATCTATAGGATACAGTGAAAGCAGTACTAAGAGGGAAATTTATGACTATAAGCACTTACATAAAAATTTTTAAAACTTCAAATAAACAACTTAACAATACATCTTAAAGAACTGGAAAAACAAGAGCAAACCACATCTAAAATTAGTAAAATAAAATAAATAATAAATATCAAAGCAGAAATAAATGACATCGAAAAGAAGAAAACAATACAAAAGATCAAAGGAACAAAAACAAACCTTTAGTCAGAATAACTAAGAAAGGAAGACCCAAATAAATACAATCAGAGATAAAAACGGGAATATTACAACCAATACCACAGAAATGCAAAGGATCATTAGAGGCTACTATGAGTAACTATATGCCAATAATTTGAAAAACCTAGAAGAAATGAACAAATTCCAGACACATGCAACTTACCCCTATAGAAATCCAAAACCTGAACAGACCAATAACAAATAATGAGATCAATGCTATTATAAAAATTTCCTGGCAAAGAAAAGGCTAGGATTTGATGGATTCACTGCTGAATTTTACCAAACATTTAAAGAAGAACAATTCTAATTCTACTCAAACTATTCCAAAAAATAGAGGAGGAGGGAATACTTTCAAACTCATTCTATGGGGCTGGTATTACCCTGATACCAAAACCAGACAAAAACACATCAAAGAAAGAAAACTACAGGCAGTATCCCTGATAAATATTGATGCAAAAATTCTCATCAAAATACTAGCAAATGGAATTCAACAACATATTTAAAAGAACATTTATCGTGACCAAGTGGGATTTATCCTTGGGATGCAAGGAAGGTTTAACATATGCAAATCAATCAATGTAATGCATCATATCAATAGAATGAAGGGCAAAAACCATATGATCATTTCATTTGATGCAAAAAAATTGAGAATATTCAACATCCCTTCATGATAAAAACCCTAAAAAACTGGGTATTGAAGGAGCATACCTTAACACAATTAAAGCCATATATGACAGATCCAATAGCTGGTATCACACTGAATAGGGAAAAACTAAAATCCCTTCCTCTATGATCTGGAACATGACAAGGTTGCCAGCTTTCACCACTCTTACTCAGCACAATACTGGAAGTCCTAGCTAGAACAGATAGAAGAAAGAAGTAAAGGGCATCCAAATTGGAAAGGAAGAAGCCAAATTATCTTCATTTGCATATAATTTTATATTTGGAAAAATCTAAAGACCGCTGAAAAACTACTAGAATTCATAAACAAATTCAGTAAAGTTGCAGTATACAAAATCAACATACAAAAAACAGTAGCACTTTTATATGCCAACAGTGAACAATCTGAAAAAGAAATAAATAATGTAATCCCATTCACAATAGCTACAAATAAAATAAAATTCCTAGGAATTAACCAAAGAAGAGAAAGATCTCTGCAATGAAAACTATAAAACATTGATGCAAGAAATTGAAGAGGACACCAAAAAACTGGAAATATGTTCCACCTTGTGGACTGGAAGAATTAATATTGTTAAAATGTCCATGCTACCCAAATAAATCTACAGATTCAATGCAATCCCTATCAAAATATCAATGACATTCCTCACAGAAATAGAAAAAAACCACAAATTTATATGGAACCACAAAAGACCCAGAATAG
Source organism: Homo sapiens (assembly GCF_000001405.40). Classification (NCBI taxonomy): domain Eukaryota; kingdom Metazoa; phylum Chordata; class Mammalia; order Primates; family Hominidae; genus Homo; species Homo sapiens. The sequence goes on along the minus strand of NC_000004.12, from coordinate 102,118,309 downwards.
CCAAAACTATCTTGAGCAAAAATAAAAATAATGGATGAATCATATTACCTAAATTCAAATTATACTACAGAGCTTTATTAACTAAAACAGCATGGACAGACACAGACTAATGAAACAGAATAGAGAACCAAGAAACAAATCCATACATCCTCAGTGAACTCATTTTGAGAAAGGTGCCAAGACCATACATTGAGGAAAAGACAGTCTCTTCAATAAATGGTACTGGGAAAACTGGATATCCATATGCAGAAGAATGAAACTAGATCTTTATCTCTTGCCATATATAAAAATCAAATCAAAATGGATTAAAGTCTTAAATAGAAGAGCTCAGGCTATGAAACGACTAAAAGACAACATTGGGGAAAATCTCGAGGACATTATTCTGGCCAAAAATTTCTTGAGTAATATCCCAGAAGCACAGGCAATCAAAGCAAAAAATGGACAAATGGGATCATTTAAAGTTGAAAACCTTCTGCACAACAAAGGAAGCAATCAACAAAGTGAAGAGGCAACCCATATAATGGGAGAAAATATTTGCAAAGTACACATCTGACAAGGGATTAATGAGCAGAATATAGAAGGGTTTCAAACAATTCAACAGGAAAAAAAAATCTAACAGTATGATTTAATTATGGGCAAAAGATCTGAATAGGCATGTCTCCAAAGAAGATGTACAAATGGTAACAGGTATGTGAAAAGATGGTCAACATCATTAATTATCACAGACATGCAAATCAAAACCACAATGAGATATCATCTCACCCTAGTTAAAATGGTGTTACTCCAAAAGACAGGCAATAACAAATGCTGGCAAGGATGTGGAGAAAATGGAACACTCATACACTATTGGTGGGAATGTAAATTAGTACAATCACTATGGGTAACTTTTTGAAAGTTCCTCAAAATACTAAAAATAGAACTACAATATGATCCAGTAATCCTGCTACTGGGTATATGCCCCAAAGAAAGGAAATCAGTACATCAAATACATATCTGAAGTCTCATGTTTATTGCAGCAGTATTCATAATAGCCAATAGCTTCAAAGATCTGGAAGCAAACTAAGTGTCCATAGTCAGATGAATGGATAAAGGAAATGTGGTACATACACCCTATTCAGCCATAAAAAAATAATGAGATCCAGTCATTTGCAACAACATGGATAGGACTGGAGGTCATTATGCTAAGTGAAATAAGCTAAGCACAGAAAGAAAAACTTCTCATGTTCTCACTTATTTGTGGTAAAAATTAAAACAAACTCATGAAGATAGAGATAGAATGATGGCTATCAGAGGCTGGGAAGGGTAGTGGGTGGGGGGTGGGGAGTGAGGATGGTTAGTGGATATAAAAAAATAGAAAGAATAAGATCTATTATTTGACAGTGCAACAGCATGACTATAGTCAACATCAACAATAATTTATTATACATTTAAAAATAACTAAAAGAGTATAACTGGATTATTTATAACACACAGGATAAATACCCGAGGTGATGGATAGTCCATTTACTCTGATGTGATTATTATGCATTGTATGCCTGTATCAGAATATCTCATGTACACCATAAATATGTACACCTACTATGTACCCACATAAATGAAAAATTTTAAAAAGTTAAAAAATAATTAACTGCTGATCAGTCTCCCGAGTTGTATAATGTAATGGATTGTGCTGCATTGTAATTCCTTCTCTACCTGTCTCCCTAGGTATTTATGGGGAGAAGAGGATTTTTTTATTGCTAGAGTATCACATAGCACAGTGACTGACACCCAGGGGCTCAATAAATATTTGTGTAATGTTGCATGAACAAGAATCAAGAAAATAAGATGAATATAGAATTCTTGCGGACGATAGAATATAGTGAATATTTGGGCAGTATAAATAAAATAGTCATTTTCTTATGGAACAATAGTTCAGTGTTTCAATATATAAGAGATGACAGTTGTCCAGACTCCAAGCCCTAAAGCCACCTGTCACTAGGAAATAAGAAGGAGCCAGAGCTTAATGGCAATGTCAAGTTCAGTTGATTCTGATTTGAAATGGGTGGCTGTCAAGTCATGGTGAAACACTTTGTTTCTGGTTGAATGAGTCTTTGAAAAGAAAATATCTTTTTTTTCAAGGTATTTTAATTTATTTTCTCTTCTAGACAAAAGTCAGCAATAAAATTAGAGAGCGATTGGAAATTCATCTAAAGAAATTTTCATCTTTTGGGTTATGACAAAGCCATAAGGGAATCATTTATGACTATGAAAAATAAAGCAATGATTTAGGTTACAGCAAAATACAATATGGTACCGATATGTCTTTTTACACTTTATACTTTTAGTAAGCATTTTATATATAAATAGAGAATTAGTTACATTAGTGTTTGCAATAGCAAAGCAAATGAGTGTGTGTGTGTGTTTGTGTGTGTGTGTGTGTGGCTGTCAAAGATAATGAGCTATGGAATCACAAGATTCCTTCTGGGAAAGTAGAAGAGAGCTGAACTTAGGATTTAGGTTGACATTTCTCTCACTTATGATTTACCACATATTACTTTGCAGGCAATTTTTCATATGGTCACTTGGAAAAAAAGATATCTAAAATTCGGATTGTGTAATTAACATAAAAGACAGGTGACTTTTGTTGTTGTTATTCTATGGATTGTGTTCTCAGTGGTTAAGTCATTCCATGGTTGTTACAACCCACTTTCCTCTTTGCCAACTACTGCAACTGCTGCTGATGCATGCTCCATGCCTGTGGCATACCCTGGAGTTGTTTTTCTACTGAGTGGAGAGTTTTTATGCATCCACTCATACCCTCTCATCTGGTCATCATTTTTTTCTGGGAAAGCATTTTTTATTTAGCGAGCTATAGCTATAGAACAGAGGGAGGACATCTGGTCCCAACATAGATTAGACTTGATTTCTAATCTTGATTTCATTAACTCGATGCCCTCGACACTTGAGACATGAGAGGAATAGGTGAAGTCATATCCTTAGGTTTTGATGATGTAAACTTTGCCTGTGAGTGAAGCCTGGGAGTAGCCTGGGATGAGAACATAAGTGGTAGTTTGTTGGTATGGTCTCCAGCAATCCTGAAGATAGATATCGAGACTGGGAAGGCATTGGCTTCAGGTTTCCTTAAATTACAGGCAGTTCCTCAAAATGGCACTTCAGAAGAAAGAGAGAGAGAAAACTCCAAGGTAATTAATCTACCAAGAGCAATTTAAAAAAATGGTTTATGATTGTACTGTTTTACTCATCTAAATAGCCTATTTTTCTATCTAAGTAATTCATAGCTTTATGGAATTTAAAGAAAGTAAATCTACTTATACTATAGGAACATGGTTTAATGTCACACTGATGAGAAGCAAGTGCTTGACTACTCAGGATTAGACAGGTTAGATTAGTAATGCAGCATTTATTGTATAATTTTATTCTTCCTATTCCTTCATATGCTTTTTTCCTTTTCTTTACTAAAATAAATAAGGCTTTTTCTTACATCTGACCCCACCTGTCAGTTATATGAAATAAGACTTTACATCAAATGTAGCTCTATGGCAGTTAAGTCAAATAAAGGCTGGAATATGGCATGTCCTGCCATCCTACACATAGTAGGAAATCTTCTGTGTTAATAATGTTGGGAGCTTAGACAAAATAAAATATACATTTTCCCTTTGTTTTAATAGAAAACAGTAGTAATCTGTGAGTTGGAAGGAACTAATCTAAGGAATAATTGTGGATTTCTGAAACCAATTTAAGAAAGCTTTGGCCACTAGCCTGATCTAATGTGACAGAGATGGACAAGAGAACAGTTCCTCTCCTGAACTTGGCAATGCACAAGACATTCTCTTCTTATGGGGGCAGCATTATTAAGAGATCCAAGTGTATCCTGAGGATGTTAGCTGAGATTGACTCTGGCAGGCAGCCCTAGAAAACTTAGCCAGAATGCTCTCATTCAGAAAGGACCTTAAAGCATTTGTAACACGGCTGGAATGTTAAACTCCATCATAGATGAGGAGATCTGGGAGGAGTGACTATTTAAAACCTTAACAGTCACACTCAGGTAGATGCCTTTCTAGATCGGATAATTCAATTCTCCTGACAGGTGTGAAGTGGTACCGGCCACTCTCAGAATGGCACTAACATCCCACTTTAAACCAGGGAGCCATTTATGGACTCATTTTAATTCAATTTTGTGATTACTGTGCTCTAATATATTTAAATCCATACATTTTGATAGTGAAAGAGTTCAAGGTGTATGTGCAAAGAAGCCTGAACCTAACAGGTTAATGACACCAGCTCTGAGGTACAAGATCAGTTACTTGAGAGTGCCAGTCTCTAAGCTGTTAATTCTAATTCTACAGTCCATTCTAATTCTACAGTCAACCATTCTACAGAACCATTCTAAAGAATTCTACAGAAACCATTCTAATTCTACAGTCAACATTGGGGGCTGCTGTGAGGCTCTTTGGGTAAAGCCAATCACGTCTTAATCACCAAAAGGATTTTTCAGGTACCTTGATAGGTTTGGTGTTCTGCATGAGTGGTAAAACTGATTTTTTTTAAAATGCGATTTAAAAGAAAAAAAAAAGATTTGTCCCTTTGGTGAAATACTCTTAGAGGAATGTCATAGCTGAGAGGTTTCCTTTATTCAGTTCCGAGCAATTTCTGCTAAGTACATTTAGGAATCCATTCACTTTGAGCCCTTCTCTTTAGTCTTGGCAGTTGTCCGCATAGGTATGTTAAAAATTATGTTACCTGGCCGGGCACGATGGCTCACGCCTGTAATCCTAGCACTTTGGGAGGCCGAGGCTGGCGGATCACGAGGTCAGGAGATCAAGACCATCCTGGCTAACACGGTGAAACCCTGTCTCTACTAAAAATACAAAAAATTAGCCAGGCATGGTGGCCCGCACCTGTAGTCCCAGCTACTCGGGAGGCTGAGGCAGGAGAATCGCTTGAACCGGGGAGGTAGAGGTTGCAGGGGGCCGAGATTGTGCCACTGCACTCCAGCCTGGGCGACAGAGCGAGACTCCATCTAAAAAAACAAAACAAAACAAATTTATGTTGGCTATTCTGGGTCTTTTGCCTCTCCATATGAACTTTAGAATAAATTTGTTGATATCTGCAAAAGAACTTGCTAAAATTTTGGTTGGGTTAGCATTAAATCTTTAGGTCAAGTTGGGAAGAACTAACATCTTGACAATATTGAGTCTGCCTACCCATGTATGTGGAATATCTCTCCATTAATTTAGTTATTTGATTTTGTTCATGAGGGTTTTGTAGTTTTCCTTATACAGATCTTGTACACAGTTTGTTAGACTTATACCTAATTGTTTGATAATGTAAACTGTATTTTTATTTAATTTTTAGTTTTTAATGATTTTATTTTAAAAAATTAATATATATTAGATATACATATTTTGGGGGTATATGTGATACTTTGATACATTTATATAATCACATCAGGGTAACTGGGATATCCATTACCATAAATATTTATCTTTTGTTTACACTAGGAACATTAAAATTATTCTCTTTCAGCTATTTTGAAATGTACAATTGATTACAGTTAACTATACTCACCCTACTGATCCATTGAACACCAGGTTTTGTTTCTTCTAAGTGTATATTTTGTAAGCATTAATCAATCTTCCTTTATCCTTCCTTCTCCCCTGTGTAGCCTCCAGTAACTGCCACTCAACTCTCTATCTTCATGAGATCCACTTTTTTAGTTCCCACATATGAGTGAGAACATGTGATATTGTCTTTCTGGGCTTGGCTTATTTCACTTAACACAATGATCTTCAGTTCCATCCAAGTTGCTGTAAATGACAGGATTTCATACTTTTTAATGGGCAAACAATATTCCATTATGTCTATATATCAAATTTCCTTATTCATTCATCCATCAATGTACACTTAGGTTGTTCCATATCTTGGCTATTGTGAATAGTGCTACAATAAATATGGGAGTGCAGATATCTCCTCGGTACATTGATTTACTTTCTTTTGGATATATACCCAGTAATGAGATTGCTGGATCATATGATAGTTCTATTTTCCGTTTGTTGGGGAACCTCCACACTGTTTTTCGTAGTGGTGATACTATTTTACATTCTTACCAACATTGTACAAGGGATCCTCTTTCTCCACATCCTTGCCAGCATCTGTTATTCCCTGTCTTTTTGATAAAAGCCATCCTAACTGGAGTGAGATGATGCCTCATTGTAGTTTTGATTTGCATTTCTTTGGTGATCCGTGATGCTGAGCATGTTTCAATATACCTGTTTGCCATTTTGTATGTCTTCTTTTGACAAGTGTCCATTCAGAACTTTTGCCCATTAAAAAATCTGATTTTTTTTTGTTATTGTATCTCTTGAGTTCCTTATATATTTTGGTTATTAATTCCTATCAGGTGAATAGTTTGCAAATATTTTCTCCAGTTCTGTGGTTTGGGTCTTCATTTTGTTCATTGTTTTCTTTGCAATGTAGAAGCTTTTTAACTTGATGTAATCTTATTTGTATATTTTTGCTTTTGTTGCTTGTGCTTTTGAGGTTTTACCCCCCCACCACCAAAAGTCTTTATCCATACCAATGTCCTGGAGTATTCACCCAATGTTTTCTGCTAGCACTTTCATAGTTTCAGGTCTTATATTTAAGTCTTTAATCAATTTTGATTTAATTTTTTTATATGATGAGAGATAGGGGTCTGTTTTATTCTTCTGCATATGGTCATTCAGTTTTTCCAGCACAATTTATTGAAGACACTGTCTTTCCCCTATTGAATGTTCTTGGTATCTTTGTCAAAAATGAGTAGTCTGTAAATGTGTAGGTTTATATGAGTCCTGTACTCTATTACATTGGTCCATGTGTCTGTTTTTATGCTGATACCATGCTGATTTGATTGCTATAGTTTGGTAGTATATTTTGAAGTTGAGAAGTGTGATGTTTCCAGCTTTAATCTTTTTCCTCAGGATTGCTTTGGCTATTCTGGGTGGTGCCATACAATCTTCAGGATTTTTTTTTCTATTTACATGGAACATTTCATTGATATTTTGACAGGAATTGCATTGAATCTGTTAATTGCTTTGGGTAGCATTGTCATTTCAACAATATTAATTCTTTTAATCCATGAGCATGGAATAACTTTCTATTTATTTCAATGTACTCTTCAATTTCTTTAGTGAGAATGTTATAGTTTTCCCTTTTAGATCTTTCACATCTTTGATTTAGTTGATTCCTAGGTATTTTATATTCTTTGTAGCTATTGTAAATGAGATTTTTAAAAATTTCTTTTTCAGATTGTTTGTGGTTGGGATATATAAATGCTACTGCTTTTGTATGCTGATTTTGTATCCTGCAAGTTTACTGAACTTAACAGTTTTAACAGTTTTTTTAATGTGAATTCTTTAGGTTTTTCTAAATATAAGATCTATCATCTGCAAACAAGGATAATTTGACTTCCTCTCGCCAGGCCTTCCAGTATTATGTTGAATAAAATGGTGAAAGTGGGCATCCTTGGCAATTTTACCCTGTGCCATTTGTTGTTGACTTTGGTTTTGTCATATATGACCTTCAGTATTTTGAAGCGTGTTCTTTCAACACCCAGTTTGTTTAGGGTTTTGATCAGAAAAGAATGTTGACTCTAATCAAATCATTTTTCTGCATTGCTCAAAATGATCATATGTTTTTTGTTCTTGGTTCTGTCAATGTGATGTATGTATCACATTTAGCGATCTGTGTATGTTGAACCCTCTTTGCATCACTGGGATAAATCCAACTTGATCATGGTCAATTATCTGTTTATTGTGTTGTTGAATTCTGTTTGCTGGTTTTTGTTGAGGATTTTTGCACCTGTGTTCATCGGTGATATTGGCCTGAAGTTTTCTTTTTTTGTGTGTTCTTGTCTGTTTTTTTTGTATCTGGGTAATTGCTGGCCTGGTAGAATGAGTTTGGACGTATTCCCTCCTCTATTTTTTGGAATAGTTTGAGTAGAGTTGCTATTAGTTCTTCTTTAAATGTTTGGTAGAACTCAGCAGTGAAGTCATCCAGTCCTGGGCTTTTGTTTGATGGGAGACTTTATTATGGTTTTGATATTGTTACTTTTTATTGATTTCTTGAGGTTTTAAAATTTCTTCATGGTTCAATCTTAGTAGGTTGTATGTGTCTAGGAGTTTATCAATTTTTATAGGTTTCCCAATTTGTTGGCATATAGTTGTTTGTAATAGTTTCTAATGATTCTTTTTCTTTCTGTGGTTTCAATTGTTATAGCCCCTTTTTTGTTTCTGTTTTTTTTTGGGGGGGGGTATTCTGTCTTTTTTTCTTAGTCTAGCTAAAGATTTGTAGATTTTTATAACTTTTCAAAAATACAATATTTTATTTCATCGAAATTTTGCATTTTTAAAGTTTCCATTTCATTTACTTTTGCTCTCATTTTTAATATTTCTTTCATTTTTCTAATGTTTGGTTTGTTCTTGCTTTTATAGTTCTTGAGGTGCATCATTAGGTTGTTTATTTGGAGTTGTTTCAAATTACTTTGATGTAGACATTTATTGCTATGAACTTCACTCTTAGTATTGCTTTTGCTGTGTTCCATAGATTTTGATATTTTGTATTTCCATTTTCGTTTTTTTGATAAATTTTTAAATTTCCTTCTTAGTTTCTTTATTGACCCATTGGTAGTTCAAGAGCACATTGTTTAATTTCCATGTGTTTGTGTATTTTCCAAGCCTTCTCTTATTATTGATTTCCAGTTTTATTTCATTGTGAGCAGAAAATATACTTGATATGATTTCTACTTTTTAAATTTATTGAGACTTGTTTTGTGGCCTAATGTATGGTCTATTCTGGAGAATGTTCCATGTGCTAATGAAAAAAAACATATATAATCTGCTGCAGTTGGGTGAAATGTTTCATAAATGTCAGTTAAAGCTATTTGGCCATGTGTGTAGTTTAATTTCAATGATTCTTTGTTTATTTTCTGTCTAAATGATTTGTCCATTACTGACAGTGGGATGTTAAAGTCACCTACTATTATTATATTGCAGTCTGTCTCCCTCTTTATATCTATTAATGTTTGCTTTATCTACACGGGAGCTCTGGTGTTGGGTATATAGATATTTGTAATTTTTATATTCTCCTGCTTTGTTGATCCCTTTGTCATTATATAGTGAACTTCGTCATCTCTTTTCATAGCTTTTGACTTGTAGTCTATTTTATGTGATATAAATATAGCTACTCTTTCCTTTTTTGCTTTTCACTTGCATGGGATATCTTTTTTCCACCCTTTCACTTTCAGCCTGTGTGTATCTTTAGAGGTGAGGTTAGTTTCTTGTAGATGGCATAGAGTTGGATCTTGTTTTTTCATCCATTCAGTCACTTTATGTATTTTAGTTGGAGAATTGAGTCCATATACATTCAGTGTTATTATTGATATGTAAGCACTTATTTCTACAATTTTTTGCTTGTTCTCTTGTTTTATAAACCCTCTCATTTTTCTTCCTTTCTTACTGTCATCCTTTATGGCTAAATAATTTCCTCTAGTAGTATGTTTTAACATTGTTTTGTCATTTTCAGTGTATCTGTTACAGGTTTTTGTATTGTGGTTACCATGAGGCTTAAGAAAAATATCTTAAAGTTATAAAAATTATTTTAAAGAGATGGAAACTTATCTTAGATCACCAAAAAAGGAATAAAAACAAAGAACTAACTAAAAAACCCTCTACATTTTAACTTCATCCCCTCAGATTTTGACTATTGGTTATCTCAGTTTGCATATTTTTATACTGCCTATCTCTTAACAAGTTGCTGTAGCTATTATTTTTGATAGACTTGTCATTAGGTTTCATACTAGAGTTATAAGTAGATTATACACCACAATTACACTATTGGTGTATTCTTGGTTTATCTTTGTACCTAATTGTACAAGTTGATTTTATACCTTTAAATGTTTCTTAGCAAGGATGTAGAATCAACCTAAATGCCCATCAATGGTAGACTGGATAAAGAAAATGTGATACATATACACCATGGAATATTATGCAGCCATAAAAAAGAATGAGGTCATGTCCTTTGCAGGAACATGGATGGAGGGGGAGGCCATTATCCCTAGCAAACTAATGCAGAAATGGGAAACCAAATACTGAGCATTCTTACTTATAAGTGGAGGCTCAATGATAAGAATATGTGGACACATAGAGGGGAACAATAGATATTGGGTTCTATTGGAGGGTGGAGGATGGGATGAGGGAGAGGATCAAGAAAACCAACTAATGGGTAGTAGGCTTAACACCTGGGTGATGAAATAATCTGTACAAAAACCCCATAACACAAGTTTACCTACATAACAAACCTGCACATATCCCACTGAACCTAAAAGATAAAAAAGAAATATAATTGACATATAATAAACTGTAAAATTGGAAAAAAAATTTCCTTTTTGGACATTAGTGTTTTCTCTTGTCACTTTGAAGAACTCCCTTTAGCATTTCTTGTAAGATGGGTCTGGTGGTGGTGAATTGTCTTATCTTTTGTTTGTCTGAGAAAGACTTTATCTCTTCTTCATATTTGAAGGATAGCTTTGCAGGATAAAGTATTCTTGGATAACAGTGTTTTTTTCATTTAGCATTTTGAAAATTCACTTTCCCTTTTGGCCTGTATGGTTTCCATTAAGAAGTCTGTTGCCAGATGAACTGGGGCTCCATTATTGTTATTATTATTGTTATTATTATTTTACTTTAAGTTCTGAGATACATGTGCAGAACATGCAGATTTGTTACATAGGTATACACATGCCATGGTGGTTTGCTGCACCCATCAACCTGTCATCTACAGTAGGTATTTCTCCTAAGGCTATCCTTCCCATAGCCTCCCACCCTCTGACAGGCCCCAGTGTGTGATGTTCCCCTCCCTGTGTCGATGTGTTCTCAATGTTCAACTCCCACTTATGAGTGAGAACATGTGGTGTTTGGTTTCCAGATTCATCCATGTCCCTGCAAAAGACATGAATCATCCTTTTGTATGGCTGCATAGTATTCCATGGTGTATATGTGCCACATTTTCTTTATCCAGTCTATCATTGATGGGCATTTGGGTTGGTTCCAAGTCTTTGCTATTGTGAACAGTGCTGCAATAAACATACTGTTACTCGCTTCTTTCTTCTTGCTGTTTTTAAGGTCTTCTCTTTGTCCTTGACTTTGAGAGTTTGACTATTATAAGCCTTGCATTAGGCCAATTTGGGTTGAATTTGATTGGTTCTCTCTGACCTTCCTATATGTGGATATGTGTACCTTTCTTGAATTTTGTTATTAAAATCTTGTTATTATTTCTTTGTATATGCTTTATCTCCCTTACTCAACTCCCTCTTGAACACCAGTAATTCTTAAATTTGATCTTTATAGTTGTCTGTATCTTATAGGCAATCTTCATTCCTTTTCCTAGTTTTTTCTTTTCTTCTCCCTCTCATTGTGTAATTTTTTTTTTTTTTTTTTTTGAGAGGGAGTCTCACACTGTCACCCAGGCTGGAGTGCAATGGTGTGATCTCAACTCACTTCAACCTCTACCTCCCAAGTTCAAGCAATTCTCCTGCCTCACCTTCCCGAGTAGCTGAGATTACAGGTGCCTGCCACCACAGCTGGCTAACTTTTTTTTTTGTGTGTGTGTTTTTTAGTAGAAACGGGGTTTCACCATGTTGGTCAGGCTGGTCTCGAACTCCTGACCTCATGATCTGCCTGCCTTGGCCCCCACAAAATGCTGGGATTACAGGCATAAGCCACTGCACCTAGCCTCACTGTGTAATTTTAAATAACCTGTCTTTGACCTCACCAATTCTGTCCTCTGCTTGATTCATTCTGCTGTTGAGAACCTCCAGTAGATTTTTCAGTTCACTGAATGTATTTCTCAATTTCAAGGTTTCTGTTTTAGTTTTTAAATTTGTTTCAATCTCTTTGTTAAATTTCTCTGATAAATTTCTGAATTGCTTTTCTGTGTTATCCTGGAGATTACTGAGTTTCCTTTTAAGTGCTCTTTTGAATTCTTGGTCAGAGAGCCCACTTATCACTGTATTATTAGGGTTAGTCACTGGTTATTTGTTTTGTCTGTTTGAGGAGGTCATGGCTCCCTGTTTGTTGTTGTTTCTTGTGGTTGTACATCTACGTCTCAGCACTGAAAGATTATTTATTCCATTCTTCTCTGTCTGGCTTGTTTTGTTTTGTATTGGTTATGTTTGTTTAGAGAGTCTGCATAATTTCCTGTTGAACTTCTTATATTTTTTTCCACTAGGTCACTGTCTGCTTTTCAGCACTGCATTGAGCCTAACATCCAGATTTGCCTCACCTGTAGCAAACAGAGTGCTGACTATCCAGAATGGGGGAGGTCCCAAAGAGGATATCCTGGCAGTGTGGAATGACTGACTAGGGGTTAATGCCCAGGTGATCTGTGGAATGTACCTCCTAAGATGTGGTGCTTCTCAACAGCCACTCTGATTTGGTGTCTCCTTTGGTTGAGTTACAGATCAGAGTTTCCAGGGCTGGGGATGATAGTCCCACCTTCGCTCTTTGTTTCTGGCTGTCCTCAGGGTTATGTTTTCCTTTAGGCACTCATAATATTTCCTGTGGGTATAAGCATTCACAGACCTTCTGCCAAAGAACCCAAGATGGTGGGAAAACTGGTTGTCCACCTTGATCTCACTTTTTGCAGTGTAGAAGCTGAGTTGGAGGAAATTTTCTGCATGCTTGGTGCCAGGGGGATTGGAGAGAGGGGCATCACAAATATGAAAATCCAATTCTCTTATCATCTGCTTAGAGATTTTTTTTTTTCTTTTTTCTTCTCTGTGGCCCTGGGAACTGACTCATCACATTTGAGTTGTGGAGGTATTGCCGGTGATAATCTCAGTGCTGTATATTTGTTTGTTTTCTGTGAGGGGGAGTGAAGCCAGCTTGTTTCTACAGTGCCATTTTGGAAGTGGAAGTCAGTATATCAGTATTGTATTTTTAACTTCAAAGTCCACTTGTTCATTGCTGGTATATAAGAAAGTGATTTACTTTTGTATGTTAACTTTGTATGCTGCAACCTTGCTACAATCACTTATCAGTTCCAGGAGATTTTTGTTGAATATTTCAAGAAAGTTTTATTTCTTTTTTTCCTGATCTGTTTACCTTTTCTTTCCTTTCCTGTCTTATTGCATTGGCTAGGACTTCTAGTACAATGTTGAAAAACAGTGATGAAAGGGAATATTTTTGCTATGTTCCTCATCTTAGTGGAAACACTTCATGTTTCTCACTATTAAGTATGGTGTTAGCTGTAGGATTTTTTGTAGATGCTCTTTATCAAATTGGAGAAGTTCTCTATATTCCTAGTTTACTGAAAGTTTTGAAAAAATCTTGAAAATTTCTCACATTTGTCAGCCCTGAGCATCCAGCAATTTGTCAGTTACTCAATGAGTGATGTTGTTAGTTAGAACATGATTTCTGTGTTTTTTTTTTGTGGTGGCATTCTCTATCAAAACTTTGTTGCTTTGAATCACAGAAATGCATTTCAGAATAACTTAAATACAAATTAAATAAAAGCAACACTCTTATAGTAGCTTATGGAATATAAGGAAATATTGAAATATAAGGCTGCAGGAATATTTCATTAGTCCAAGGATGCTCTTGGATTTTCATTCTAATGCTGGGCTCATCTCCCAACTCTGTTTGTGTCTCACTTTAAAGATCTAAACAGATTCCCACTGGCTTCTGACAAGCCAATAAGTTATCTCTCTTTGGTTAGGTTATAACTTGGTCCAGTAAGATATGACCAGCAGTGGGGCAGGGTCATACAGTACAAACATGCATAACCTAAGCAACCACAGTCTGTGGGAGAGCAACATTCTCAGGATAAATATGTGGCAAGGAGGAGTACCTGATATTTGTGGAAAGCTGACATTGCTGCCTTGTGAATGTAACTAGGGCTCACTTAGCCTGACATTAATACATCCTGATTTAGTATGCCTACAGTACAGTAGCTGTTTTCATTAGCTCTTACTATCACTTGTGCACTAGGGACTTAGTTTGGAGAGAGCATTCTCCAAAAAAAAAAAAAATCACATTATTAAAGAGGTTTGATATTTATACTGGGTAATTGGCAAACACTCGTTGTTAGCAGATGAAAGTTGTTTTTAACTGATGTGCTTGCTTTCTGAATCAGATAGGAAAATTAGTGGCCTTAGGCTTCTCTTTCAAATTTAATACACAGAGTGCACGATGTATGGAACGAGTTTTATTTTCCATAAGCAAAAGCCTATATTTTATGCAATTTTTCAATGAGGTTCTGCAATCACTGGCAAAATGTGTTGTTGTAGTTCATGTTCATTTAGTGTTGTTACTGAAGCACTCTAGAGCATATAAATGAGGAAAGAGACTTGGTGATTCAAATTGGATTGAAGAGATGTCACCCCTACAGAAGAAAAGATCAGAGCTTGAGAGGTATTGTAAGGAACCACATTTTCTTCTCTCTTATTCAAAGACTAGATTCTAAATCATCATATTAATTTATCATGTAAGTAGGATATTTTAGTGCACTTTCAGCTTGAACCAGCATTGTAATTCCTGCTACCACCATTATGATATGGTTCTCTATGATGTATAGAAATGGATATTAAATAGGAACACAGAGCTAATGGTTTCAACCTATGCTGACTGGATTACATAATTCTGTTGAGGGAGAGAACCAGGTTGTTGGCTTAGTTGAAAAGCCCTGGAAGGCCTGACGTCAGTAAGACCAGATTCTAGAGTGTAAAGCAAATACATCTTATAAGAAATACCTTCCCTTGTTGGAAATACCTTTCCTAACAACGAGAGCAGTGAGGAAAGTGTGTTCTACCACGAATCCAAGCATGTTTCCTCTCCTGAATTTTCCCTTCTACTTCTCTGTCTTCCTTGCTATAGCTTATCACAAATGTTAAAAGGTCAACTTTTAAAGTGTGAGGACTTTTGATCACAGTAGCAGCTGGAGATCCTCACAGAAATTTACTTTGTGTGGCTTTCTTCTGAAATATATAGCCTTAGTTATTACCCTATGTCGTACATTATGGCTTTCAAGGATTAGGGGATTTGCCGTTTTGGTACTTTTCTGACAACATTTTTATACTCTCCCCCTCACTCACCTCACTTCAAGCGTGTTCATCAAACATCTCAAGTACATTCCCAACTAGGGCCAGTGGACTTACTATTTCCTGGCCTAGAATGTTCTTTAGGTAATTGGAAGGCTTGGACCCTCATTCTGTTCAGCTTTTTACCATCCTCCCATGACCACTATATATAAAATGGCAGCCCTGTCATTTCTATTCTCTTCCTCTGGTTGTTTTTCTGCATTTCAATTGAATTACTTAATGAGTAGATTAACTTAATGTTGTCCTTCATTAGATGTCTATTTGCAAAATCTGCCAATATTATTTTCTGCAATTCTTCACTTTGGATTGTAGCAAGGATTCCAAACTCAATATATCACCTTGTTCTATGAATGTATCACAATTTTTATTTTGTTTTCAGGTCACTAATTAAGTAAACAAAAAAGGAGGGGACAAAGTGCATTCTGTTCTCACATGCAAATTTGTAATTTTATTTGAAACCAATGATAAAGACATTTTACTTTCAATTTAGAGTCCCCTTAAAAATGAAAGAGAACACAAAGTAGTTCTATATAAGCAGCTCTCAGAAAATTGTACTTTAAGCACTTGAATTTAAAACAGATAATGAGTGTGAATGATTTGCTATAGAAGAAAAATTAGTGAGAAATGTGAAGTAGGCATGATTGTCTTTATGACTTTTCCTATATTTAGGTTTTTCCCATGCATAAGACACCACGTTGCTGATGGTTTATTTCTCAATGTTTACAGCTGCCACATCACTCCCATACCCACCTCTTTTGATATTTCCTTTTGCTGGAACTTCATTCTTTATAATCTAGAGAACTTATAATAATAAAATACAAGTACTAACATTAATAACATTCTAAAATAATTCAGATAATTATTAACTCATAGGAATTTGTTCAGATAATTCAGATGATTAATATTTCCTTTGATAAACCATTTTTTTGCTGCTGAACTAATGTACTGATGAGACAGGACTTAAAGTCTGCAATCTAGTTCTGCTGGTGGTCTGTCTCTGGCATTACTGGTACTCAGAAGTACTTACTGAGTGATTAATAGTGACTATTGTGGCATTAGCTATCCAGTCGTAGTAAGGATGTAATCATAACATACACCTAAGGAGGCTTTGGTCAGGTCATAGATATTGGGCAGAATTAGGACTTATGAAACCGGTGGGAAGACGCCACGTGACAGACCAAATAACATTTCTACTTCTTTCAAATGGAAAATGATCATTTACTGTGTTACCATGCATTCTTTTCCCAGAAAGGAAATCAATTTATTATTGTCTGGCATAGAATCAAGTTTAGGTAAGAGGGTAGCCTTCAGTTTTGTTTCATCAATATTCAGGGGAAAAGTTGAACAATGGCCGTGATAATTTTTATAAGAGCTTTTAGCTTTGCATCAATATTCATCTCTGTACTGTCTTAAGTCTCAAGCATCTTAGCTGGGGAGTAATTGTATCCACTACTGATGTCCAGATGGAGCTAATGAATAGAAAGGGCAGCTACTAGAATAAGTTTACACATAGGGCAAAATTACTCTATTAGTGAAGTAGCATATGATTGTCATTAATGTTTGTCTCCTTGTTCAGTCTTCCTATGGCTGTGTCTAAGTCCAACAGAGTTAGTTCTGGGTTCTTGATTCATATCTTCTGCTGATTCAGAATATGTACTTGGACGTTGATTTTATTTCTGAACTTCTTCTTGCTTCTTCCTCCTCAAGATAAAGATAATATCTTTTTGGTATATTTTAGCCTTCTTCTGAAGAAATAAAAATTAAGTAGCATAATGATCAAAACAAGGGTTATTTGTTTAAAAATTTAAATTCACAGATAAATTTAAGTCATATATTGTTACAGAGAATTGGAAAATCCTTTTATAAATAATGTAGTTAGTTGACATGATCTAGATGTGTTTTTATGTCATTTTAGGAGTAGAAAACAAACATGGATTTTTACATACACTAGTGTGGGATATTAAGTATCCTTAACATCAAATTGATGTGTTAGCAGTGCTATGTTTAGAAATCATAATCCAATTCTATTGTACTTGTTCCATAGTTTGTAGAATTTTAACAGTGGAAGATGATGATGTGGAAGATCTGTAATGTATTATATCAAGATGTTCAACTGGGACAGCCCCTAAAACAGTGATTGATGACAGTAAAAGTTTTATAATATTAGTTTAAAAAAGTTTTTTATTATAATTAATATTCCAATGTTTTTCATCATTCTTTCAACCATAATTTTCAATGTGAATAATAATCTATCAATTGGATGCACATTTATTTACTAAACCCTCTTCTTTTAAGAAATATTAAATTCCTGCCAATATTTTAAATCTATTTTATTGGTACATTTGCCCATTTCCTATTAGATTTGGGAGCAGTTGCTTGTATTTTAAAGATGTTAACAACTCTGTGTCACTTTGTAAATACACTTTCAGTTTTAATTGTTTACAAAAGTTTTTGCCTTTAATCTTTATGTAGTTAAATTTACTCTCATTTTCTTTCTTCTTTATAAATTTAGGGTTTGACAATATGATTTTTAAAAGTGTTTCCCATCTCACTATATTTTTTAAAAGCTTAAATTTCTTTTTTATTCTTTTTTAAACATTGAAATATTTTTATTTGGGGTTAGCAATCATATTATTATTTTAAACTCTGTGTATGTAAAATAAGTCATTTTCCATATATTAACTTTTCTGATATTAATATTATATTTTATTTTTTTCTTATATTGATATAACACCAAGGATTTTGGTTTTTTTCTTTGACAAACTTCTTTTTTATTTTTTACTCATTCTTGTAATTACTTCTAGGGTTTGTTTAAAATGAACTTCCTGGTATAAGGTCTTTATTTTCATGTTTATTTTGAGCCAACTTAACATCTTTGAGATTAATAAAGCTATCTGACAAGTTAATACTAATTTTTATAACTATTTAGTCTTACCATTTTTATGTTGTTATACGCTTTCTGTTTTGGGGAGGTTAGCTGTCACCATTTTTTAAATTCTATATATTTATATTAATATATTTTCTCTGTACTTTTTCTTCTTTGGTGTTTGGATGTGTATTCCCTATTTTTAATTCCATTGGTGCAGACTGATGCTGCTTATGTGCCAGACTGATGGCACATCGCTCAATCTGTTATGCAAACACATTTGGTTTGGATTCCACATACTGACTTGCAGAAAACTTTAATTCATGGTTAGCTTAAGAGCCTTAACATCCAAAATCTAAACTTATTAATTCTCAAAAAATTGGAAAAATAATACAACTGGGCCTGCATCCTGCACACCAGCAATCCACAGGAGCTGATCACATGCCCTGAGCATATACACTTTCCACATTGTCAAGGTTTTAACAACTCTTCATTGTCACTGGGGTTAAGTCAATTGCCATGTACCATCACACCTGGACTCTTCCTTTTCTTAGCTTAGTTCACCCATTTGGGTTATTGTCCTGGCCGGTGGAGGTATTTAAATTGATGATGCCTAGACTAGAAGTTAACTTTATGTTTTCAACCTTTATTCCTGTATTTATCAGAGTCCAAAGTAAAACAGTATCTTCTTATGCCTAAGTCTTTGAGACAAAATGAATAATAGAAGCCATTATTTTTGGATGCAAATATGACCCAATGCAAGTACTCCTATGAGTTTCACAGTGGCTTCCCAGCAAGCTTTTTGTTCTTTTATTTTTCATATGAAGCATTGAGGTATAATGCACATATAAGATTTATCCTTTTAAGTGTACACTTTGATGATGACTATTGAATGTATACAATCACATAACTGCCACAATCAAGGTATAGAAAATTCTGTCTTCTAAAAAAGTTATCTAATGCACCTATGCAGTCAATCTTTTCTGCCTACCCTTAGTCAATGGCAACTATTGATATGCTTTCTGTTCCTTTAGCTTTGCTTTTTCTAGAAGGTCATATAACCCCAATATGATAGTACCAATTTTTGTTTGTCTTTCATCATTTAGCATTTTGCAAAGCATCCATGTTGTTACATGTATCAGCAGTTTGTTCCTTTAAACTGCTGAATAGCATTCCATTGCATGAAACAAACACTTAGTTTATCCCTTCATCGGTGATGAACATTTGGGTTGTTTTGAATTTTGACCATTAGGAATTAAACTGCTCTGAACATTCATATAGCAATCTTTGTGTGGACATTTGTTCTCATTTTTCTTAGGTAAATATCTAAGAACAAAATTGCTGGGTCGTATTTTAAGTGTATGTTTAGCTTTATAGGTAATTGTAAAAATGTGTTTTTTAAAATGGTTTATCATTTTGCATTCTTATCAACAATATATGAGATTTTTAATTGCTCTAGTGGGTATGAAGTGGTGTCTCATGGTGATTTCTATTTGCATTAGTCTGATGACTAATGATAATGAGCACTCTTTGATGTGGGAATTGGTCATCTGTATATCTGTTTTGGTGAAGACTGTTCATTTTTATTATTTTTTTTTACCCATTTTTATTATTTTTTTTTGTTAATACTATTGCTATGTATTTTGTAAATACTTCCTCCCCCTCAGTTTGACGCTCATCTTTTCATTGTCTAAGACAGTGTCTTTTGCAGAGAAGAAGTTCTGATGAACTCCAATTCATCGATGTCTCTCTTTTATGTTTTTTGCTTATTGTGCTCTAAGAAGTTTATGATTAACCCAAGAAACCAAAGACGTTTTATAGTTTCTTCAAGAAGTTTTGTCGATTTAGCTTTTATAATTAGCACTATGTTTTATTTCACATTAATATTTGTTTGTATTATGAAGTAGGATTGAAATGCATTTCCTTTTCATACGGGTATTTAGATTTTCCTGCATAATTATTAAAGAGAATGTCTTCTTTACTAAATGCTTGGCATCATTGTCAAATACTGATTGCACTAGTCATGGTTCTCCACAGGGACAGAATCAATGGGATATATGTATATATAAAAGGGAGTTTATTAGGGAGAATTACCTCATGCAATTACAAGGCGAAATCCCATGTTAGACTGTCTGCAAGCTGGGGAAAGAAAAGAATGGCTCACTCCAAGTCCAAATGCCTCAAAATCAGGGAAGCCAACAGCATAACCTTTAGTCTGCTGCTGAAGGCCCAAGAGCCTGGGGAAGTCATTGGTGCAAGTCCCAGAGTCCAAAGGCTGAAGAACCTGGAGTCTAACGTCCAAGGGCAGGAGAAGCGGAAGCAAGCATCCAGCATGGGAAAAGGAAGGAAGCCAGGAGACTCAGCAAGCAATGCTACCCCATCTTCTTCCACCTGCTCTGTTCTAGCTGGCTGGCGACCCATTGGATAGTGCCCACCCACATTGAGGGTGGGTCTTCTTCTCCCAGTCCACCACCTCAAATGTCAATATTCTCTGGCAATGGCCTCACAAACACACCCAGAAACAACACATTACTAACCATCTAGGCATCCCTCAGTCCAATCAAGTTGACACTTAATATTAAACATCACACCAATTTACCTGATATTTCTAAGCCTACTTTTTGGAATACTTATTTTGTTCTCTTGAGCTATATAATTATTTTTAAGCCAACACCCCATTATTTTGATATCTGAAACTTTATAGTAAATAAAATCAGGTAGTATAAGGCCTGATATCTTTGTTTTTCTTTTAAAATATCATATCATTTTGGCTATTCCAGGTTGTTTGCTTTTCTAAATTGATTTTAGATTTATTTTGATATCTGAAACTTTATAGTAAATAAAATTAGGTAGTATAAGGCCTGATATCTTTGTTTTCCTTTTAAAATATCATATCATTTTGGCTATTCCAGGTTGTTTGCTTTTCTAAATTGATTTTAGATTTAGCTTTTCAAATTTTATTTATTCAGAAGCTGCTACTTTCTTGATGAGGATTACTTTGAATCTGTAGATAAATTTTGGAGAATTGACATATTAACAATATTAAATCTCTTGACCATAAACATGATTATATCTCCATTATTTTAGGTATTTCTTAACTTTTTTCAGTTTATTTTATAGTTTTTAGTATTCTATGGCGGTTTCTTAAAGGCTGTATTATCTTGTTCTCATTCGAATACTTATCTAATATTACTCTCCACTTAACAGTCAATATTTTCCAAAGAAAAAACTGTTTTTCTGATTCTTCTAAATATTGTGATCTTTTTGGGGGGTCCATGGAAAGGAGTTAGTATCCCTATGGGCAGGGGATGGTGATAAGAAAAGCCATGATGTAGAAGACATGTTGAAAATAGTGCTGGTAAGATTTTGTGATGGATAGGGTCTGTAAATTAGCAAAGAATAAATATTTTGTCCTAAGGAACTGTTCAATTGTTGAAACTGTTTTACTGAGATGGATGCCTTTTAAATGTCAGTCAGGCTGTTGTTACAGATAAACTTTTCTAGCTATTTTAAAGCATGAACTGATTTGAAATGGGGAAGTGGGTGCTTGTGGGCTCCAGGCTAAACTTTGGGGATTGACTCTTTTGAACTCCTTTGAACTCTCCTATGCTACAGCAGGAATTAGATAAGCCACTGGCCCCACTGCTGGCTCTGTTTTCAAGATTACTCCACCTTAGCTTAATCTGAATGTCAGAAAATTTGTGCTATAATTTTGAACTCTGGGAACATACTGTGCCTGCTAGATTTGCACCAACAAAACATCAGAAGTCTGCCATGGCCTTTTCCGCTGGTTAACTCAGTTTTCAATTCATGACTTGTGCGAGGATTACTGAGTGTCATAACTTAAACCACTCCCAGAACCCTATCTCAGGGCAGTCTGGGAAATGCAGCTTTTAACTTACCAACTTTTGCACTATAAGCTTACATATTACACTGTCTTCAAAAGAGATTTAGCTGGTGTCTTAGTCTGTGTGGCTGTAAAGGAGTACCTAAGGCTGAGTAACTTATAAAGAAAAGAGCTTAATTGGCTCATGGTTCTGCAGGCTGTACAGGAAGCATGGCACCACCATCTGCTTCTGATGAGGGTCTCAAGCTACTTCCACTCATGGTAGAAGGCAAAGGGGGCCAGTGTGTGGAGATCACATTGGGAGAGAAGCAGCAGAGAGGGTGGGTGAGGTGCCAGGCTGTTTTTAACAACCATCTCTCACAGGAGCTAATAGAGCGAGAACTTACTCATTACTGCAAGGGTGGCAGGATGCCATTCATGAGAGATCCAAGACCCCCATGACCCAAATATCTCCCATTAGGCCCAACCTTCAACACTGAGAATCACATTTTAAAACGAGATTTGGAGGGATCAAACAAACCATATCCAAACTGGGCAGCAGCTGGGCTCCAAGTGGGAGAAGTCAGTATGCAAAGAATTTGCTAAACTGCTTCACATCAACTTTGATACCAGAAAAATTCCTCACTGATATGTGAAGACAGTTTGCCTACTAGCACAATTCCTGGAAATAAAATGACATTTAATATTTTGAGTATCATCCCATCCTCCAACTACCTAGTCATTGCGGAGAGCTCTTCTGGATCAAGAAAATGAGATTAACGTGGCGTCCCAGTTGGTACTGACTCATTTACTAAGTTTAGTGAAGTTTACCTCACCTGGGCAAATGTCAAGGCCATTTCATTTGAGAAGCTTTTTGAAAGGCCTTTTGAGATGAGGGAAATATATTTTTTCAGAAATGAGCTGTTTATTAATCCAAATCTGTCAATACAATGGATTCTATGAATTACTATTAGAACATGCCCATTTCTTATTTCTTGCTAAACTTATAAGAAATTTTTCAATATTCACACCTTTCAAAATTACTGCTTTCTAAATGAACAATGGATGCTTTTTCTATTCTTTCAAATCTTTCAGTTCTGCCATGATCTATGTGTTTGTTTGGGAAAGTGATTTTTTCTCTTTCAGTCTTGTTTTCCTCATGGAAGCAGCACCATCCATGTCTTAGGACAATTGCAAGAACTAAGTGAGATGTTATATAAAATATAAACAATGTGCACCATAAGTGTTTGTTTCCTATTCCTTTCTCTCTCTTTCTTGCTTTTCCTCTTCTCCCGACTTCTTCTATAAATTTTTTCAGGCTTTTCCTGTATCTGCTAGTGCTATCTTTCCTGCTTTAGAATCAGGAAGAATGGGATTTCTTATACCAACTCCAACAGCATCTTTTCTCCTTTCTTAAAGGATAGAGAAGGTGACCTGTTCCCTAATATCTGATTTAAGATGCTGATCCACAAAGAAACTCTGAAAAAACAATTTCAATTTCTTATACTGAGTTTCAGAGCTTGGTTGCATGCCTATTTTTGTTAGTTTGTAAAAGGAGGTAAAACTCTCAACAGATTGAGAATTAGAGGTTCTGTAGGCTTTAAAAAGGAAAAAAGATCTCTCATTTTTGCTAGGGGAGTTTAAAAGCTGATTTCAAAACTTAAAATAAGCCTCATATTTCTGTTCCTTTGGGGCTTATTCTGCATCTTTTGATGACCAATATGTGCAGTCTTAAAGTGTGTGCCACATTTATCTCAGCCTTTGTGTTCTCTCCTCACAGCTGTCAGTGGCACTGTGTGTGGGCTGATCTGTGGGCAAGATGCTCTCGGGTAGGCACTGTCTGTGCCCTTAAATGCAGGTGGCACTCAGGGGATGAAGCAGGCACTTGCTTTTTCTCTTGCCTCCCACCCTACCCTCTAATAAAAATTCATTCTCAGTATCTACAACATCATGGGAAGGTTAATTATACTATGCCTCCATTCTCTCCCTTTACAAAGAAAATAAACATTTATATGGAGGTGATGCAAGTAAATAATTTAGAGTCATGAACCATGCAGGAAAGGAAGCTTGATGAAGTACACAAACCTGGAGTGAATTGAAGCTTGAGAAATCATTGGTAAAGAAGAATGGAATTGCCTCCGAAAGGCCTTCCAAAGAGCAAATTCACAATCCTGGATGTTTTCTAATGCAGACTTTATTTGAGAGTTGTTTCTATGGTTTGAATGTCCCCTTCAAAACTCACATTGAAATTTAATTGCCATTGTAACATTGTTGAGAACTGGAGACTTTTAGAGCTGATTAGGTCATGAGGGATCCACCCTCATGAATGTATTAATGTTATTATGGAGGGACTGGGTTAGCTATAGCAGGAGTGGGCTTTTGATTATTAGTTTTTTCTCTCCATAGTTAATATTCACTTAGACTTTCAGCATTATTTTATCTCCCAGGGAGATGAGCCAGAACTGCATTGATTTATATATTTGTTGGTAGCAGTTTAGGTCCTCCAGGAAGTGAACACCATGATGGAATTAGAAGTGAAAGAGACTTATTGGAGGAAACACCTATGAATGACAATGGGTATGGGGAGCAGGGGCAGTTAAGGAGAGGCTTTACATGGCAGTACATGTCTCATTCCTGCAGAAAGAGAGGGAGACAGACAACTGATTCGGTTGGAAGAACTGAAGACTGCAGTGTTCCTTGAGAAAGACTTGGTGAAGCTAATGGGATGCTCAAAGCAAAGGTTGTCCATTGAAGGAATCCTGATTGAGCAGACATGGCCTGGCTCCAGTACCCACTCTGTGCCCAGGTATTGGCTGGGAGAAGTCCAGGAACAGTGCTGAAGTGGATCTTGAAGATGGTGGATCTGGAACTGTTGGCTCACCACACTCTGTAGCAGGTCCTGTCTTGGCCAAACTGAGCGGTGCACGTCTGTGGCTACCACACTGTTATTGTATGTTGGCCACTGTAAGCTGCTATAACAAAAACTGGGTAGTTTATAAACAACAGAAGTCTATTTCTTATAGCCGTATAGGCTGAGAAGTGCAAGATCAAGGCTGATTCAGTGTCTGGTGAGGGCCTGCTTTCTGGCTCTTAGACAATGCCTGCTTGCTGTGTCCTCTGCTGATGGAAGGAGCAAGGGATGTCTCTTGGGCTGCTTTTATAAGGGCACTGATCCCATTCATGAAGGCTCTCCCCGCATGACCTAATCACCTTCCCCAAACCTAACCTCCTAAACCATCACTTTGGGGTTAGGATTCTAACATATAACATTTGGGGAGGACACAAATATTCAGACCATAGCAATCACTATTTGAATTCTGGCAACTTTGTCCCTTTCTTAAGCATTTTTGAAGTCGTCTCTATGTTCCTATATCAAGGCCTGGCAGTTTTAGAAAATATTTCTTAAACTGCATCCATTTATTGCTCTGTAACTGACGTCTATACTCAGATGACTCTGCTCATTTGGGCTGCCTGTTTCCATGAGATGTGGGACTTAAAGAAATTTGTCTGAGAGTCGTGACTGATCTCTGTTCTATGGCTGAGCTTGTGCAAAATATGTACTATTTCTGACACTTTTTGCTAGTGTATTTCTTAAACATCTTCCTCAAAGTGTGTCACACACTGTTTAAAGTTTATCCTTTTCCCTAAGATAAAAGCAAGTTGTTAGGAGGTGCACCCTCTACCTTGAGCCTATTTGGGAGGATGTGTGTTGGGGCAAGGAAGCAATGTTGGCTGTGAATGGAAGGAAGATTGATGGTTTTTCTATTTACAAGCCCAGTCACCTCCCCAAGATAATGATAGCAGCATTAAAATTCTAAGATAATCCCATAGAGAGGAAGTGTCCAAAACCTTACAAACACAGCTCTAAATCCAAGCACCCATCGGGCTTGCGTGTCTGAGGGGGATGCTCAGCCTGCAGACACCTACAGCATTTCACCAGCTTCTAAAATACAATCAATCAGTCAACCCAGACAGCAAGGCAGAAACAAGTTTCCCTGGAGTAACTCTGGGGCTTTGCTTACTTCTTCCTCCAAGGACTCATCAGAACAGGATATTTTCACTCTGAGGGGGAAGAACTGTGAAGAAGCTTTAGGAAGGCATTGTTAACATTGACGTGACACGTTTCTGGATTAAAAATAAAAAGATATATATTGTGGGTAGTTTGAGGAAAGGGAATTAGAGAAACTGACTTTGGCGTGACTGCTTTTAAGGAGCTCACCCCAGCCCAACGTTCAGAATTTAGTCTCATATCCCTTCCATCCCTCATCCCAGAATCAAATCTGATTGTGCTTATTTGTGTGGACCTTTTGCTAAGGGTTTTCAACAAATGACTTCACCATTCCCTTCTGCAGAGATAAGGATGCTTTCCAAAGATGAAAATGCTTGGGTTAAAATAAATTACTGTGAGCCTCAGGATGACTAGTGTCCTTACAAGTGGTATTGGAAGGAGTACCGCTAATAAAAAACACTGATTCCAAAATACTGTTTCAGAATGCAGAATCAGAAAATCAGTTGCTGCCACTACTAGTTTTTATCCATATTATTCCTTAAATTAGGCAACCACTAAGTCTATTAGGCAGGAATCAAACCATCTGTTCTCTCCACTGCAGCAGGAAAACTACTTGTCAAAGAATTGTGTCAGGTTGGTGCCCAGGGCAAATGTTTACTGTTGTAACAATTCTGTCAAGAGCAAATTTGGGGCTGGACAGCACATTCACTGAAAAATTGTTGGTGCTTGATACTGGGCTGTGAGTATGGGTCTGTGTGCTAAGATTTACTCGGACATCCGGCTAATAGGAAGAAACTTGATGTAGTGCTATTTTCATCAGCGGCAGCGCTTGAGAGTTCATGTTCTGATTATGATCCCAGGCAGCCACTTAGCCTGCTTCTTAGTTGCCCGTTTGGCATTGAAAACACAGTACTTCTGCTATTTAACAAGGGAGATTTTTAAAAAATTTTTTTAAATTTAATTAATTAATTAATTAATTAATTTTGAGACGGAGTCTCGCTCTGTCGCCCAGGCTGGAGTGCAGCAGTGCGATCTCGGCTCACTGCAACCTCCACCTCCCAGGTTCAAGCAATTCTCTGCCTTAGCCTCTGGAGTAGCTGGGATTATAGGCACCCGCCACCTCCCACAGCTAATTTTTGTATTTTTAGTAGAGATGGGGTTTCACTATCTTCCCAGCCTGGTCTTGAACTCCTGACCTTGTGATCCACCTGCCTCTGCCTCCCATAGTGCGGGGATTACAAGCGTGAGCTACCGGGCCGGGCTGGGGAGATTCTTTAGTGGAAAAGTTTGAATATTTTTGGCACTCAGTAGCTTTGACACCAGAAGTATTTCAATTGTATTAATTTTCGATACAGCTAGGTGAATCTGGGATTTATTTGAAATTATATTCCCTAATAAAGTTAAAGAAATTATAATGTTTGAGAAATTAAGTTGATTCTTTGCTCTTGCATGTATAAAAGTAGGTCTTCTTGTTACTTTCTTACCAAATTTCTAAACTGGGGCCATATTTTTTTTTATTTAGTTTGCTATTCTCCTTTTGGCACTTCGGTGGAATAGTACATATTTAAAGACTGGTATTTTGGAACTGTGCAAACCACAAAAGTGTTTTTGCTGGGAGAAGTTATTTCTGTTAGTTGCCTTCTTTCCTTGCAAGTTGACTGTAAATGTCATGAAGTTTATGCCCTATATAAATTGCTTTAATTATGTTGGGTTTATGTAACTTCTTCGTATTTGTATAGGCTAAATGTATGCATGAAATTTTTCTATAAACTCTAAAAGCTTGTTGAATATCATAGTAAATAAATACAACCATATTTAAGTGAAAGTGTTTATTCTTACTGGTTTTACTTAAGTCTAGATCACCAAAACCATTGTCTTTGCATCATGATATTTGATTTTGGTAATTAAGTGGGAAGAACAGGCCAGTATTCTCGTCAAAACAATCCCAGATGGCAAGTGTAATTCTTAGACTTCCAGTTTACCAACATAAGAATACTTCCTACCCTCTCCTCTGTCCTACAGAAACAAACATGGCCCAGATGCCGTGATAAATGTGTGGGATTCATCCTATATTCTTGCAGAAACATTTGTCATGGCCAACTCTAATTTAAGACCAAGAAATGCTTTCAGCTGTTTCTATCCAGTTGCTAAATCAAAAGGCAGTACCAGAAAGAAATTTGAGGACTTTTGAAATGACTGAAAAGCTAATATATAATGAAAGTTCCAGTAGAAAATAAAAATGCCAACATAATACCTGTAACACACATTTTGGTTTGCCCACTATTCTGCAGTCAAATATGACTTTGTTGAATAAAATATAACAGAACATTAAAGCAGTTAAAATATCTAATCACAGCCCACGTTAACCGCACTGATTTCTGTCTGGTCAACTGATAAGGCAGTTGCATGCAGTATTTAAGCACTTTCTGGATAGTATCCTTTTGATGTGTATCTCAATGTCCTTTCTGTTTTAATTCTCTTCCACTTTACCTGTCATAATCATTCACAGTACATTGAACATAAATATAAAAGAAATGTCATAATCTGCTTTCCTTATTTATGTACATTTCAGGGTTCTAATAATGTTGTCGTGGTGAAACTCCCAAAAATCTCATGCTACTATATGATACCTAATTCTTGGTTTGTCAAGGACTAGATTTATTTTGGTAAACATTTATAGAATATTCAGAAAGTGACCTGGTTGATGATAGAAGGGACATTGGGTTCATGAGTAGATAACAAAATAAGCGAAGTATTGAGGAGATGAGAATTAATTGGAAAATAAATAACTTCTTAGTGTAATCCCACCTTGAACTATGCTTTCTGTTCATTTGCATGCTTAAATGTACTGAGTTCTTATTTTTATGCCTACTATATGCAAAACTTGGTTTGGGTGGGTGAAAAAAATCTTATGACCAGTTATCTAGGAAAGGATTTCCATGTTACAGATACATAATGAATTTCTTAAGCAAATAATATGACTAATGGTTTATAAGTGTCTTTAGCAATAGTTTAGATATTTCCTAGGGCTGCCATAACAAAGTGCCTTAAAACAACAGAACTTCATCTTTCATGGTTCTGGGAGCCAGAAGTCTGAGGTGTTTCCAGGGCCATGCCATTTCTGGACCCTGTTGGGGGGATACTTTCCTGGTTTCTACCTTCTGTGTTTTGTTAGCAATCCTTGTGTATTAGTCCATTTTCATGCTACTGATAAAGTCACACCCGAGACTGGGCAATTTACAAAAGAAAGAAGTTTAATGGACTCACAGTTCCATGTGGCTGGGGAGTCCTCACAATCGTGATAGAAGGCATGTCTCATATGGTGGCAGACAAGAGAAGAGAACTTGTGCAGGGAAACTCCCCTTTATAAAACCACTGCATCTTGTGAGACTTATTCACTATCATGAGAACAGCATGAGAAAAACCCATCCCCATGATTCAATTACCTTCCACTGGGTCCCTCCTATGACGTGGGAACTGTGAGAGCTATAATTCAAGACAAACTTTGGATGAGGACACAGAAAACCATATCACCTTGGCTTTTGACTTATGCAGCACTTAGATGACACTCTTTTCTCTATGTTTGGGCTCCACATGGCATTCTCCTCCCTGTATTCCTCCCCGTCTTCTTCCTATAAGGACCCCAGTCATATTGGATTAAGGGCCCACTCTACTCCAGTGTGACCTTATCTTATGCTGGTTATGTCTGCAGAGACTTTATTTCCAAAAATAAGGTTACATTCACAGGTACTGGGGATTAGGACTTCAGTTGTCTTTTATAGAGGACACAATTCAACTCATAACATATATGTTTTGATTTCTCCAGTCCAGGGTGTTGGCTATAAGAACAGAAACAACCCTGGCTATCTTAGCCAAAGGAAATTTGTCATGAGGATATTTGGGATTTACATAATAGATGGGATTCTGGAGGATGGAATTAGGAGATTAGATAAGAACAAGGGATCCTCTGGGGGGTGGGTAGGCAAAATTGACCCCCATTCTGACCTCCATTCTGCTTCTGCCCCATGATTAATCTGGTCTCAACTATTGAATCAGCATCCCAGGAATAAGTGTCTCATTGATTGAGTTTAGGATTCTGGATGTGCGAAGGGTGGGTGGAAGAAGAATCTGCCACCCTTGGCTTATACAGTGAGAGTCAGGCAGCTGAAATTCCTTTCTTGTCAAAACTATTAATCAATGACAAATTTACCAAAATCATGATGGCAATGCCAATAGGAAAGGCAAGAGGGATTCAGACAGTGGGTGGCCAAATATGACAAATGTCTGCTGCAGGAAGATAATCTCTATGGCAGCAAACTAAAATGACAAATTTCTCTGGGTTTAAGAATATCCTCAAGTTCATAAATAAGTTAGATTGGGCTTTGCCATCTTCTTAGTTACCCATTGGTCACCAGTACTAGAAGGCATACCAGTAACAAACATTTAGCATTTTGAACCTGTTTCTATGTCAATGAAGCCATCCATCTAAGATTATTGTGAAGATAAGATATATAAAGTAGCTTTTACAATGACTGTGAAAAAAGAAGACAACCTCCAAGTGATAGTTATTAGTTGTTTCAAAGAAGGATGGTATTTCACTTTTACACAGAGAATTTTAATTTGTGTAGTTCTTGAAAAAATAATTGAAGCTTTCCAAAATGAATGACAGAGAAAATTTGGCTTTAAAATATAGAATTCAGGCATTATAATAAATTACCTCAATTGTAAATGGTGGTAGATTATTTCTGTAGAATGT
Source organism: Homo sapiens (assembly GCF_000001405.40). NCBI lineage: Eukaryota > Metazoa > Chordata > Mammalia > Primates > Hominidae > Homo > Homo sapiens. The sequence goes on along the minus strand of NC_000004.12, from coordinate 102,087,719 downwards.
TTTATTTTCGATAGGAATGAATGTTTTTGTGCCCAACAGAAAATCTAGATAACTCAGATGATTCATTGAAACAAGAAGTGGAGCAAATGATATTGTTGATTTTCTAGAAAAGGAGGTCCAAAACGCCAAAGTTTCAGCCTACCTCCCAACTATTTTGTATACAGATTAAGGGGCTTGTCCAAAAGACAGCGTGAACAGTATGTTCCAGAAGTTCTAAACTTTAGGTTTTCTTGTTCAAGTTGCTTTTCTTTTTTTCCATGTTGCTTTTTTTTTAATGGAGAAGTGCAATAATAAAGAATTTAAAAATTAAAAATTTCCATAGTTTTATTACCTAATTATTATTTCTTTGATTTTCCAATTCATGTTACCATGACTATATATTTCTACATAGCTATTAAAATGTTCACTATATAATGTTGTGTTGTATTTCACACATTGAATTATAAACACTTTTCTACATAAATCTCCTAATAATAAGGTAACATTGAATACCCTATTCCCTCACTCTTTAAACTTTCCTGATTTTTCTTTTCCCAGCATTTATCATTGCCTGGCATCGTAGTACATACTGATGTCTTTAATGGCTATTTCTCTCACTAGAATAAATTCAGTGTAGAAAGGCAAATAGAGTTCCTAGCATCTAGTGAGCACTCAAAAAACATTTCTTGAATAAATGGATTAATAAATGGCTAAAGCCCTGTCATTAGATGTTTAGATGGGGTTTGCTCTTCTGCTATTACAGTTAATGCACTTACGAACATCTTATAGAATGTAGCTTTTGTTTCTTTTGAATTTTTTCTTTATGATTATACTGATAAAAAGAATATATATATTTGTTCGCTCTTTTTATTTAGCCATCTATTTACTCATTTATTCATTGATTTACCAAGTATTTAAGCGTCTGTGTTGGCCATTGTTTTATGTCTGGAGACAAAGCTGTGAAAACGGTGAACGAAGTTCTTGTCTTTATTGAGTTTTTATTCTAGTGAGGGAGACCTACAAGAAATAAACAATTAAAAATTTTTTTTAATCTAAAACAACATATCTAGCCATTTTTTTTATTATACTTTAAGTTTTGGGATATGTGTGCAGAATGTGCAGGCTTGCTACATAGGTATACACATGCCATGGTGGTTTGCAAAGGATATGAAAAGACACTTCTCAAAAGAAGACATTTATGCGGCCAAGAAACATATGAAAAAAAGCCCATCATCACAATTAAATTTATAATAGATGATCAGATAGTAATAGGTGCTATGGAGAAAACCTAAAAGGTGACAGAAAGTTACACTATTTTAGACAGGGATCTCAGGGGAGGCCTTTTGGAGAAGGTAACTTTGGAGAGAATTTTTAAATGAAATAAGGAGTTGAGGCATATGAATAGATGAAGTAGACAGAACAGCAAGAGCAAAATTATGTTGCAATAAATATTTTCTGTATATTGCCATATTATGTTCCAATGGAATTGTAACTCATCCATTTTATTTGCACTTGTTTAAAACTTTCATTTTTCTGCTAATTTATTAAGTGCAAATTCTATCTTAGGTTAGCTTTAATTGTTGTATCACAAATGAAGATAGACATTTGTTTCATGTACTTGTTCACTTCTTATATTTCTTCTTAAAGGAACATTGTTTCCTGTCCTTTGGGAATTTACCACTGGAATCTTTTTTTTTTCTTATAAATTTGAATGTGATCCTTATATATTAGAAATGCAAATATGTCTCTCAATGTGCCATTATTTTAATTTTGGGTTTGCCACTTTTTATTATATAGCTTTTCTTTGTGGTTTTGTATGCGATTTAGTGGATGAACTAACATCAAGAAATGTCTGTGTTTGATTGCATTGAGATCTGAATTTCACCCTTCCCTGTATCCACATCCTTTGCCATGTACTTTTTTATTCTCTCCCACACTGACTGTGGGTCAGCCATGTGACTTATTTTGGGTGGTGACATGTCCAAAATCAATATGACAACTATAGAGGCTGGGAAATTACTTGTGCAATTGCTATGTCTCTCTTGTTCCCTGTAGTTGCCAAGAGACTGTGCCTGGGCTCCACTGCTGGTAGAAGGGAGACACATTGTGCAGAGCCAGGTTGTAAAGTCCTGGCCCAGGCCATCCTAGATCAGCACAGCCAGCTGACTACCAGCATGATCAGCAAAATCATGCCCTTCTCCCTACAGACATCAGCCCATGGTACTCAGTGACAGTCAAGTAACTAGTCTCATTTCAAGAAGAGCTTAATGGCTGGGCATGGTAGCTCGTGCCTTAATCCCAGCGCTTTGGGAGGCCAAGGTGGGTGGATCACCTGAGGTCAGGAGTTTAAGACCAGCCTGACCAACATGGTGAAACCTCGTCTCTACTAGAAATACAAAAATTAGCTGGATGTGGTGGCGGACGCCTGTAATCCTAGCTACTCTGGAGGCTGAGGCACGAGAATCACTTGAGCCTGGGAGGCGAGGGTTGCAGTGAGCCGAGATCATGCCACGGTACTCCAGCCTGGGCAACAGAGTGAGACTTTGTCTCAAAAATTAAAAAAAAAAAAAAAAAAAAAGATTAATTCCAGCTGTCTGTGGTTTCTTCACCAAACCTGCAATGGCCCCCTGGTCTTAAGAAAAACTTGGTGTCTAGTGCTGAGTTAGGCTTATAACAACACAGCTCGTCTCATAATGTAGGAAAACATGTTAAGGTCAGTAAACTATCCTAAGATTCTAGCAGCTAAACTCCTTTCTGAATTCACAACATTAGCATAGAACATCAGCAAGCCTATAACAATTGAAAGGAGACTCTGGTACGGTTAATAACTTGTTTACTTGCTTCTGTCAAAATTTTAGGTGAGTCATAAAAAGGATATGATCTCATAAGGTTATTAACAATGAGGGTCTAAACATATTTTAAAAAGAAATAATCATATTGATCACAGTCTAAAATTTTTATGTCAAGAACAGAGCAAACAAAAAAGAACCAATCAATGAATAATTTAATAATGATGCCTTGATTACAGATGTAAGTGAAATTCTTCCTGAACTTGTGATTTGCTACTTTTAGATTTTGATGAAAGATGTGTTTAATGAAGGTCATTTGATTTGATGAAATATCCTTAGAAAAATTACTTAAACAGAATCTAGGTTCCACAACTAGGTAGTCAATGAATAAAATTTTAGTTCTACCTGTGGTAATACAGTACTAGCATTTAAATTTTCCACTGTCAGCAAGTCCTGTTGACTATATTACCAAAATATGTTTAAAATATACTTCCTCTATCATTTCTTGTATCACTTTAGCCTAACCTGCCATTATCTCTTGAATACCACATGTGTTCCTTACTGGTCACTTTCCTCTACTCTTGACTCTACAGTCCATTCTCCATTCTGCGATAAGTTTGACTTTTTCTGGTTAAAACCAGTCAATGGCTTCTCACTAGACCTAGAAAAATATCCAAACTTCTTAAAAAACGTGGCTGTTACTCACCACTGTAAACTCATTTCATCTCTGTCATCCTAATCCACTACATTCCAGTCACATTGGTTGTAGTGATTTGCTAGGGAAGCCATAACAATAAGAGTCATGCAAACTGGGTGCCTTAAACAACAGAAATTAATTTTCTCACAGTTCCGAAGACTAGAAATTGGATATCAAGATGTCAGCAGTGTTAGTTTCCTCTGAGGGCCTTGAGGAAAATATGTGTTTGAGACCTTTCTTCTTGGCTTGTAGATGGCCATGATCTGCCTGTGTTTTCACATCACCTATTCTTGGTATGTGCCCATGTCCAAATTTCCTTTTCTTATAAAAACACCAGTCATATTATGTTAGGATTCTCCTGAATGATGCCACGTTGACTTACATCCCACTTTAAAGGCTGTATCTCCAAATATGGCCACATTCTGAGGTACTGTGGGTTAGGACGTCAACATGAATTTTTCGGGAGACACAATTCAGACCATAAAATTGATTTTTCAGTTTGCAGAAAATGTTCAGCTCATTTCCCACCTTGTGGCCTTTGCACTAGCTGTATCCTCTAACTTTAATGCTATTCTCACTTCTCATGGTTGCTGGTGTCTCAGATGTCTCTTCTTCTTCTTTTTTTTTTTTAGATGGAGTCTCACTCTGTCATCCAGGCTGGAGTACAGTGGAGTGATCTTGGCTCCCTGCAACCTCCACTTCCTGGGTTCAAGCAATTCTCTGCCTCAGCCTCCCAAGTAGCTGGGATTACAGGCACCCACCACCACGCCCAGCTAACTTGTATTTTTAGTAGAGATGGGGTTTCACCATCTTGGCCAGCCTGGTCTTGAACTCCTGATCTTGTGATCCACTCGCCTCTGCCTCCCAAAGTGCTGGGATTACAGATTCGCATCACATGCCTGGCTAATTTTTGCATTTTTGTGGAGACAAGCATTGGCCAATGTTGGCCAGGCTGGTCCTGAACTCCTGACCTCAAGCGATCTGCCTGCCTTGGCCTCCCAAAGTGCTGGGATTATAAGCATGAGCCACTGCACCCAGTCAGATGTCTCCTCTTAAAGAGATCTTCCCTGGTCACCTAAACTGAAGTAGCCACTGAATTACTTTCTTTCTCATCAATCAATTTTATATTTTTGAGCAGCACTTATCATTTTCTGATATTTTCTATTTGTTCCTTTGTATGTTGCTTATTATCTATTCTTCCTGAACCTTACTAGAATGTAAGCTATATGAGGGCAGATACCTTGACTATCTTGTTCACTGTTTTTTTTCCCAGCACCTAAAACAGTGCCTGACCTGGCACAGGGGAAGTAAAATGAGATAATTAATGACATAGAGAGAGGAGGAGATGGAGGGAGGGAGGGTGGGAGAGAGGAGACATTCAAATCTAGATCTACCTCACTCCTACATTTTCACCAGTGGGCTTCTGCCAAAATAAAAATAAAAAATGTGCTCCAAGTATTAAATAGAATTTAAAGTATCACTTTATCAGGGACATAATCAGTGATTTAAAGTTCAGAAGATAAAATTTGATTTTCTGGAGTTTTTGGTTGGTTTCTGGGTATCATTGCTAGTAGTGTTAGATTCCATGATGAGTCTTCATAATTTTGAGAAGAATCCCCAACTTGGTAAATGTAATGCAACCTGCTAAGTTCAAGAAAGTCATACAAAGAGCTTATTATTTAAGCCATTTATTTTAGGGTTGGCTTGTGTGATGGTTAACATTGGGAGTCAACTTGATTGGATTGAAGGATGTAAAGTATTGTTCCTGGGTGTGTCTGTGAGGGTGTTGCCAGAGGAGATTAACATTTGTGTCAGTGGACTGGGAAAGGCAGACCTAACCTCAGTCTGGGTGGGCACAATCTAGTCAGCTGCCAGCATGGCCAGAATAAAAGCAGGCAGAAAAATGTGGAAAGATTAGGCTGGTTTAGTCTTCCGGCCCTCATCTTTTCCCATGCTGCCTGCTACCTGCCCTCAAACATCGGACTCCAGGTTCTTGAGCTTTGGGACTTGGACTGACGGACTGACTTCTTTGCTCCTCAGCTTGTAGGTGGCCTAATGTGGGACCTCACCTTGTGATCATGTGAGTCAATACTCCTTAATAAACTCCTTTTATATATATATTTATCCTGTTAGTTCTGTCCCTCTAGAGAACCCTAATAGAGTTTGTTTGTGTTTTCAGAGACAGAGTCTTGCTCTGTAGCTCAGGCTGGAGTGCAGTGGCACAATCATAGCTCACTGTGGTCTCAAACTCCTGGGCTCAAGGGATCTTCCAGCCTCAGCCTCTCAAGTAGCTGAAACTACAGGCATTTGCCACCACACCTGGCTAATTTTAAAAAAAGATTATAGAGACAGGGTCTAGCTATGTTGGCCAGACTGGTCTTGAACTCCTGGCCTCAAGCAATTCTGCCTCAGCCTCATAAAGTGCTGGGATTATAGGCATGAGCCACCATACCTGGCCTAAAGCCATTTATTTTTTGTTTCTTCTTTTCCCTTCCTCCCTCCCTCCCTTCCTCTCTTCCTTCCTTCCTTCCTCCCTCCCTCCTCCCTCCCTCTTTCTTTCTTTCTCTTTTTTCTTTTCTTCTCTCTCTCCTTCCTTCCTTTTCTCCCTTCCCTTCCCTCCTCTCCTTCCTTCCTCCCTTTCCTTCCCTTCCCCTTCCTTCCTTCCTTCCTTCCCTCTGTCTCTCTTTCTTTCTTTCTCTTTTTCTTTCTTCTCTTCATTTCTTCTTTCTTCCTTTCTTCTTCTTGCTTGCCAAAAAGAGATCTATGCTGAGCAAGTTGTGGTGTCGAAGAAAACCACTTAGCTCAACACCCTGATATAAAAGCAGATGGAGGTGGAAATACAACCAGAAAATACTGGAGGAGATATTCCAATTTACAGTACTGAAAAATAGTGAAGGATTAAAGAGTATTCACATTTCTTGGTAAGCACTATAAGAAACTAAGCTGATTGGTAGTATGGAGAGGGCATTATGAAGATCTCAAAGAAAGGTATCTTCTCTTAGCAATGTTCTCATTCACATGTAAAAATAAGATCTGTGGCCAGGCGCGGTAGCTCACGCCTGTAATCCCAACACTTTGGGAGGACGAGGTGGGAAGATCACAAGGTCAGAAGATCGAGACCATCCTGGCTAATACGGTGAAACCCCATCTCTACTAATATACAAAAAATAGCCGGGCATGGTGGCAGACACCTGTAGTCCCAGCTACTCGGGAGGCTGAGGCAGGAGAATTGGTTGAACCTGGGATTTTGAGATTGCAGTGAGCCGAGATCCTGCCATTGAACTCCAGCATGGGCAACAGAGGGAGACTCCGTCTCAAAAAAAAAAAAAAAAAAAAATGTCTGTGTAGGAAGGTCCTACTGGTACCCAGAACTTATTTTCAAAAGTTTGTAATGTAAAATTTAAGTGTTTTATAGTAAAATAGGCAAAATTCTGAGGTGGCACTCATGATTTCTGCCCCCGGTATTTATCCCCTTGTAAACTCCCCTCCTTGGGTGTGGGTGTGACCTTTGACTTGCTTCTAGATGACAGAGTATCTAGGGATTTTTCAGATGTAATTAAGGTTACAAATTAGTTGATTCTAGAATAATAAAAAGGCATATAACTGTGGGCGGGCCTGGGCCTCTTCCTATGAGTTTCATGAAGTAAGCAGCCATATTGAGGAGCCTACATGGGTGGGAGGTAATTCCACAAGGTCCCTAGGACCTGAGGATGGTTTCAAGCCAGGAAAAACCTGGAACCCTCAGTCCTAAGGCCACACACACAAAAAAATGAATTCTGTCAATAACCTGAATAAGCTTGAAAGACAGTTATTCCCCAGTTGAGCCTCCATATGAAAATCCAGCCTGGTCAACACCCTGATTGCAGCCTGTGAAACCCTGGGCAGAGGATCTGCATAAGCTATGCCTAGACACATGACCCACGGTACTTTCAGATAATAAATGTGTAACTTTAAGCTGCTAACTAACTTTATGACAAATTTTTATGCAGCATAGAAAACTAATACGCATAGCTTCAAAATTAAGAGGCCTTGTATTTGGACAATTGATTCCTATCTGGTTTGCTACATCCTCTCCACTTTGTTTTGCCTAGTGCAGCTGGAGTGTTCATTTTTTAAAAATGCAAATATGACATCTGCTTTCCTTAAAACTCATTTATGATTTCCAGAGAAAATGGAATTGTCAATATTGCCCTGCAAGGTTTGTCCTTACACTCCATGTTTCCCTTTGTTGTCTGTGCTCTAGTCATATTGGCCTTATTTTAGGTTCTCAGATGCCCTTTAATTTTCTTCTGCCACAAGGCCTTGGCACTTGCTGTTCTCTCTGCCTGCAACATTCTTTTCTACGCCTTCCCTCACTTAATTATCATTTATTCTTCTCATCCTTTCTTCATATCTCCACTGTCTTTTCCTTAGGAGATTATTACCCTGAATTTCCTAATTAGGTCAATACCCACTTCCATAACTCTCACAGCACCATATACTCTTCTTCATGGCTATTCATACAACTAAAATTTTACATTCATTATTGTGCTTATTGTTTTTCATATTCCCATGAAAGCAAGCAACTGTTTCTGTTTTGGTTTACCATTTTATTCCTATACCCCTTGCACCTAGTGTTTTGCCCTGCAAAGATTAATAAAATATTCAAATAATTATAGTAATAAATAGCATTCATTGAAAACCATATCAACCCACTTTAATAATATAAAATATATAAGGAAGGTATAGATTAATATACTATTAATATTTGCAGATTAGAAACTGAAATAGAAAGAGAATAAGTCAATTTTCTAAGGTCACACAACCAGTATTAGAGTTGGGATTTGAGTCCAGGCATTTGCAGCTCACATCATTACTTAAATATCCTAACTGAGGATTTAGCAGTACCGCATGCTTCCTCCTATGGAAGGTGATCCATACATACATATTAAGTGGAAATGAATGCATGGTGTGTTCCTGGAGGGCATTTGTTGTCTGTTTACTTGCATGGCAGCCTGATGAGCACAGCTGCCTGAGACATGTGGATGTTACCTTCCTGTTGAGTGGAAGAATGTATTATATGTAGATATATAGTTTATATTAATATATTTATATATATTTATTGGAAGTTTACTTTTATATATGTTTACCATAAATGTAAATAATAGAAGTAGCACCATTGTTCCTAGAAATAAACATATTCTGTATATATTATTCTATATGTATCCTATAGAGTATTATCTATATCTCTCTTTTTCTAGGACCAATGGTGCTACTTCCATCATTTTTCATGGTTTTAACTGTTTTTCAAATAAATGTTCTGCCATATTCCAAAGAAGGTTGCTCTTTCTTCCAATCTCATTTTAGAGGCTAAAATTTCACAAATGTTTTCTTTTCTGGCTGCAGAAATGGCTTGTTTTCAGGAAAGCATAATGCTTGCATATTTTCAAAAAGGTGAGGAAGCAGATAGTTTTATAGTCATAGATGGATTGTTTGCCATTTTTTGGCATGGTTCTTTATGTTAAATACAAAGAGATCAATCATGACCAATATTCAAATGTGAAGGTGTACAAATATCTCTGTGAAAGTAACACAGTTTATAGAAGCTAGAGGGAGGAGCACAAATGGAGATCATAAGTAAGTTTCTTATGCCTTTCCATGTCACTGTTAATGGCAGGTCATCTGCCAGGATTCCCCTAGTCAGCTGATGCAGAAGACCTGGGAGGTACGGGGAATGACTTGCCATGTCTGAATTACTGAACACCTCATTTTACATTATGACAAATGCCAATGTCTTGCAAGAGAGCTCAGGGGTCCTTAGCAAACGCTTTCATTTTAGTGCCAGGCTGAATGCCAAGACATCAGTTCACACTTCCCTGAATCCCTTGTCTTTCTTTTGCTTGAACGAAGACAAGAGAAAACATTAGGGGCAAAACTGAGGCACCTTTATCACCTTTCATATGACATGTCCATCTCCATCTTAAGAAATGAAAGAGACAGGCCGGGCGCGGTGGCTCACGCCTGTAATCCCAGCACTTTGGGAGGCCGAGGCGGGCGGATCACGAGGTCAGGAGATCGAGACCATCCCGGCTAAAAACGGTGAAACCCCGTCTCTACTAAAAATACAAAAAAAATTAGCCGGGCGTAGTGGCGGGCGCCTGTAGTCCCAGCTACTTGGGAGGCTGAGGCAGGAGAATGGCGTGAACCCGGGAGGCGGAGCTTGCAGTGAGCCGAGATCCCGCCACTGCACTCCAGCCTGGGCGACAGAGCGAGACTCCGTCTCAAAAAAAAAAAAAAAAAAAAGAAATGAAAGAGACAATCTTTCAGAAATTGTTGGTTGATTTGACGATGGAGAATACCTCTCTCTGAGGGTCACCTATTGCTATACAGGGCAAAAAGGCAATCTGAACAAAGCAACTATGACACCAGATTCCATGGAGTGGGAAATTGCTTCAGTGTTTGATGAACACTGAAGAACATTGTGTTCTACATTTCAATGTAGAGCATTTCTTAATGGTCTCACACCAAGTCTGAGTGGAACCAAGCTTGACATTGACTTGAAGACGTAATAAAAAGGATCATATAGCAGAAATTATAGTGTTTTATCTAGGAACATGTTTACTAATTCATTTGTCTGAAGATAAAAGATACCTATCAGCTTAATTTTATTCTGAGAGAACCTAACTTTAATATTTGCAAAATTCAGAACTTAATCTTTCACTTTATGTTAACCAGGTGCAAATCTTGAATGCCAAATAAATGTCATGCATGCCACCACTCCTCCCACCCTCCACACTGTTATCCATGGCAGACATCACTAGTTGATCATGACACAGGTTCCCACTGAACCCACTCCATTTCAACACATCACTCCAGTCACTCCTCAGCCAGTCTTTCTTTTCTCACTCAGTGGAAAATGAGGCCAACTTACATATATGTAAAATGTAAGCCAGTGTTTCTCAAACTTAATGGGTTTCTTTATTTCAGGATTAGTTTTCAATACTTTGATACACATATAATATGCTATTTATAATGAAATAAAATACTTAGTACTGCAATAACCCACATGATCACAGAATCCCATTTTAATGCAATACCTGTCACCCACCATGCCCATTAATTCCTTGGAAAATAACTTGGGAGATATTGCTAGAGTACCTTACCAGTCCTGGAGTTTTCTACTTGCTGCTTCTGATGTTTATTGGTGATCCAGGTGGTCATTCAATATTTTGTAATCATTATTTTTTTTGTAATGGTATAGATTTGAATTAAATGCTGTAAGGCTGTGTATAAGAGCCACTCAGAAAAAAAGCCAGCCTAAAATGTCACACAGTACTAACATTTCAAAGATGATTATTTTTTGCAAACTATCTTCCTTGACCATTTACACTGAGCCAAAGTGTTCTAAGAACTTACATCACATTTCAGTAGAGTGATGAGACATCTCTGTTTATGCCTGAGGCAGTTCCAGTTTATGCCTGGTTTTTCATTGTAATCATTAACAGTACTCCCTTTTATGATCCAAAGTGTCCTCCTTGGATGGTAAATTAATTAAGTGACCTCCCTACCTTTAATTCTCAAACGATTTATGCTAATGTTGGTATTATTACTCCCATTTTACCAAAGATAAAATAGGGCTCAGGATATGGAAAAACTCTTTGTTCACACAGCTAGTGCATAGCTGAGACAAGATTCAAACTAGTTTGGTCTTATTTCAAAGTTCATGCTCTTGAATGTAGTAACTGCTCATTTAAATACATAATGTCACTAAATACCCACAAAATTATGTAAGGAACATTATCATCTGCATTGTGAAGATGAGAATATTGAGGAAATGATACACTATCATTTATAAATTTGAAGTCTAAGGTATTGAGAATCTTACCCTTTGCGTTCTTTTATGTGGTTGCCCTACTTTTAAAGGTGAACTCCACAAAATAAGGCAGGCCAAAAAGTGTAGCTGGCAGGTATAGCTACAGAGAGGGCTATGAATAGGGGCTCATATCAGCTCTGTGCTAATCAGCTGGGATTCACTAAATTAGGCTTATGATGCAGAGCTCTCCGCTAAATATTTATCCTTTAGAAAAGCAGTATGAAGAAAAAATTCAGGTAAGTCCAAGTTATTAAAATCAGACACCCTGAGCATTAGAGAAAACAAGAAGGAACTCAGATGAGCAAATACTTAGTGCACAAATAGAATATAATGACTCAGATTACAAGGTCATTCTCATTAGAAAATACTGAGAATAGTCTCATGTTCTAAAAATTAGAGGTTCCATTGGCAGAATACTTCTAATGTTGATTTATGAAAATGTATTAGACTCATCCATTTTTTGAATACTGTTTTTAATGATCCATTTAAACTTAAGCCATATGCACTTCAAAATAATGACATTCACTTATCCTAACATAGCACTTTCTACCTTCAGAAAATTCTGTATAAAGTTAACTGATTTTATTTTAACAACATAGCTTTAAGTATGAGTCCCATTTTACTTTATAGTGTAAATCAAGGTTTCCCAGTCTCAAAACTCTTGACAGTTTGGGCTGGATAATTCTTTGTCTTGCATATTATAGGATGTTCATCAGCATCCCTGGTCTATACATACTAGATTCCAGGAGCACCTCTTCCCCAGTCATGAAAATAATAAATGTCTCCAGATATTGCCAAATGTCCAGAGCAGCATAATTATCTCACTTAAGAATCTACCAGTTTAAATGCTTCCTCTTTGTTATCCTAGAAAATTGACTAGGTAGAAAATAAGCAAGTTAATATTCAAAATAAAACTCTTTTGATAACATTCAATACCAGTTCAAACTTCTCTAGAACTCAGAGTGCTGGTAAATTAATAACCTAAGGAAGGGGATAGCTCTTGGCTTAAGTTAGGAGTAATGGCTTGGGAATATATTTAATTTGAAGAAGGGATGATGAAAAAGATAAGATACACGAACTCTGAAAATTCAATTCAAAGTCTTCAGAAGATTTTACATTTGGGCCTTTCCTTTCTGGCAGTGGCTATGGCTCTTTTAGAAATGCTCCAAATCTCCAAGGAAATGTCTTATTTCTTTTTCTTATCTTTGGATGGGACAACCCACAGAAATGGAGGCTTAGTGTGTAAAAGGACATGTCAGTTCTTGAAATGTTGGATGTAAAACTGTGGACTGAATTTCCAAATATCATAATCAAAAGCACTTTTTGTTAGGGATTAATCAAGCTACTGTATTATTTTTTAAAACTTGAGCTTATTTTGAGAGTGTTAACAGTTATAAGAAACCCATGATAAGTGTTTTGTAGCATGGCTTTAAATGTATATTCTTGTCACTGTTTAGAAGCTAGAAAAAAAATTGTGTTTATATGAGCCCTATATAGTAATATTAATCAAGTTTATTTATTTTAAACAATTTTTGGTAGACTTCTCCCTTTAAACCGGTAAGCAGAAAAATTTATTGGCCAATACTCCACTTGATCTTAGCCAAAAGGCCGAGAAGCAATTTTATTGGCTAATTCTTATAAATTTACTTTAAAAACTCAGACATAGCTTTAAACATTCAATTTATTTGTGGCATTTGTACATGAAAATTATATGACGATAACATTGCTTTCTATTCTAAGCTAGTAAATTGTTTCTAAGAAATAATAGATTGATAAAATTGCAAGTCTTAATACAAAGGTAGGTTATGAAAATGTATATTAATTTGAGATATAGAAAAGTTTTCAAATAATAATGTTTTCAGGGTTATATGCAAATAGACACTAAATAAGACAAGGTTTCTGCAAACATGATGTAACAATAATGACTGGAACTCTGAATGTGAGAAATTCAGAAAATGAACCAGCTACTTAAAAAGCAAAAATGTGCTAAGTAAATTTGTATTTTCATGGTTATTCTAAGGAGAGGAGGAATAATCTGTTGAGGTTAGTGCCCTCAAGCAGACCCCATAACTTTGCTACACCGCATTTAACTTCTCTGTGCTGTTTTCTTTTAATTTTCAAAATGGAAATTAGCTGTTTCATTGGTGAAGTGCATTGTAAAATGAGAGAATTTTCAAATAATGCAATTACTCTATGGTATTCTGTTTTAATAGTAATATACCCATATGAAGCAGGTATAATGAGAATAAATTTTGCCAATAACAAATTCTGAAATCTGAAGTTTTGTTTCTGCTGTCATAGTATGAATTCGCTTTAAAGAGAGCAGGCAATCCAAATTCAAGCTTGCTTCACCCTGAAAGCAAAATGTCCGTAGATTCGTGAGTTTCATTATAATAACCTGGAAATGAGAAAATAGGAAATGTATTAGTGAATAATAGCTCATCAATTTAAATTGATTAATTGGCATTAAATCACCCCTGTACATAAATCTTTCTACAGAGCAATCACCTTTAGCTTGAAAAATACATGTTAATCCTTTCAGGAGAAGACAATGAAATCTTTAAAAAATTCTGTTTTTTAGACAAATGATACCTTCAAGTCCCTAACAAGGCTGCTTTAGATTTTCTAAAAAATATACACAGCTAATATTTTACCTTCTTTAATGATCTTTCTTGCAACAGAAACCAAATTCCTTTTCAACTTGGGGTCGAGCAGGAAGCTGAAAAAAAATAAAGATATAGAGCTAGTATTTCTCGATTTGTCCCTATTTTAAGGTTGAACAAAGAAATATGACAAAGTTATAGTTGCCTTTCACAGCCATGGAAAAACAGCTTTGCAGAGAAAACTGGCAAGACAATCTTCCATTTTAAAAGGAAACAGAATCATTGTAAAGTTCAACTGCATCCGAGTCCTTGAATTCAAATTTTCTTTCCATTTTGCAGAACATTTTAAGCATTGGGAATTTGTATTCTTTTCCTCTTATTCAAAATCTCCTCTCCAAAATATATGCCCTGTTTGTGCAATCCTTCAGCTCTTATAGAAGAATCTTTGGTTGATATTTTCATAAGCCCTAAGGCCATAATGCACCCACTTTTGCTACATTTGAATGAGTCTAATGAGTCTATAATATATATCTATATATTATATAGTGTATATATATATATACATATATGCACATACACACAGCTTGGTGGTGGGCTACAGAAGAATAAAAAATGCAACTGCTTCAATTCGTTTTTAAGGGTGAATGATTTTTATGATTACTTATGACTTATTTGAAATATACAAGGAACTTAAAGGGTTATTAAACTTTGGAAAATTAAAATTCGTTCATTATAAGAAGTTAGCAAAGACTCTAATTCAGGATTTTAGCAAGAAATCCAGCTGCTACATGACTCTTGGTAGCAGCGCAAGTGTGTTACATTATATATGCAGATAGTTGGAATAACATTATTTTTATGAAGAAAAATTGTAGTCAGGACATTATCAGTGTTGTCTTGGATTGGTCTTGGTTTTCCATTGCTGTTGTCTTTGCTTAGTGTTATCATTAGCTTCTCGTTAGCAATTTATTTTCAGTTAACTCTATGATGTGAAGTAATGCATATTTAAATCAATAATATTTTGGGGCTATACTTTCCCTACTAATGTCCTAGAGTTTAAGGACTGTATACATTGTGATTCAAACACAGTAGACTTATCATATTTCTATTGTTAAAACACATGTATTGATAATTCCTCTAAGATTTTTTTGGTCTGTACATGTTGAATTTAGCCACACTTTGGCCTCAGTGGCTTTTTCCTTTGAGTTCCCTCTTTGTTTTTTTTCCAAATAATTTCCTTAAATAAATGCTCATAGATTTTGCACACAAAGGCACACCTAACCTATTTTGTTCATATCTGTTAGAATGTCTAAAAGCATAGACAGGATAGAAGGCTCTCATGTTCTTTTTTAACGAAGTTATTTCTTTGCATTTTATAGAAATCAAAATAAATACAACCTACCTTATTGCTGAAGTGTACATTATAAAACTTATTTTCATTGTGGGCAGTTTCCTTACCTAGAAATACAAACTCAGTTATTACCTCTTTATTCATTCACAAATTTGATGATTTATTTATTCAGTACTTCTTAAAAATGATTTCTACAAAGGTAAGATATGGGTGAAAAGAAAAATTATTAGGAAGATAAAAGGGGGATACCGAAAAGGCACCCTTGGCATGTGCTGTTAATTTCTCCTGCCCATGTGGATTGACTTGGGTAGGATACTGAGGACCTACAGGAGTCACTTGAGTTTAGAAACAATCTTTCCAACACCTCTGAGTAACAACCTCCACTTGATTACTCCTTCTTCCTTTTCTTTTCCACATTCACCAGGATTGGCCAATTACAAAACACACTTTTCCACAAAAACCTGCGCCTTCTACTCCCTGCTCTCCTAGACTACTGCTCCTCCTGCCTTTATCACTGGCATTCCATTTCTCATCCCAGCCACAGGGCTCAGTTCTATGGCTTCTTCATTCTCACAGTCAGTGGTTTGGTCCAGGCTATGGAGAGTTGCTTCTAGAATATTCAACAGCTCCCTAGCTGACGTCTAGCTCCTCCTTACTATCCCATCAGCACACAATCCCCCCATCACATGGAAATGAGTTACCCTCTCAAATGTTTCTCAAATTTCATTTGCTTTATCAGTAACTCCCAAGTATCAAGCACGAGCTTCCATTTACATATATCATTATCAGTCTTTATAGCAATTCCCCATGGTACAATGCTTATCTACGTTTTGCATATGAGAAAACCGAGGCCCACAGAGCGTAAGTGACTTGCCACAGGTCACAATTAGTAAGTTGAGAACAGCAGGATCAATCAAGAATTCCAAACTCACGGTCCTTTTATTACGTTATGGTGCCTTCAGTGTTTCTATTTTATAGTCGCTTCACGTTTATTTTGGATGTCAAGTTGTTTTGCATATAAATATAAAATCTATGTGAATGTTTACACTGACTTGCTTAATCACATTAGGTTTACATTAATATTGAAATTGATTTACTCTGTACTTTGTTTTAGTCTTAGATCCTTCAATAAATACCAAGCACTTACCACCTGGATGGTGCACAATGGTGAGTTTATCTGGAAGACAAAAAAAAGCATGTTCTACTGAGTTTTGTTCAATATTTATCTTAAATTCTCTCTCTTATTTTTTTAATTGTTGGACTACTTCTTGTCTTTGAGGTTGCTATGAAATCTCACATTCTGATCTAAAAATATCAACCCCAAATTTCTCTACCTCCAGCCACTGTGAGTGAAACCATGCCTTTTATTACTTTTGTCCTTTCCTCTCCCAACCTTTGTCTCAAGGTATTATGATTTTAGATATGTTTGACATTAACACAAGCTTGCTGCCCTGCCTTGATATTCCGCTAGCTTGAGCTACTTCATTCTTTTTAAAAATCAACTTTATTCAGGAATAATTACATACAATTCAATTATTTATAAGGAAAGAGGTTGATGATTTTTGAGAAATACATATGGCCATGTACCCACCAACTTAATTAGGATAGAGACCATTTTATCTCCGTAGAATATTCCCTAATTCTCCCTTATGTCAACCTTCACTCAAACATTACTCATGGCACCCCCGATCTGATTTTGTTGCAGGTAGGTAGCTAGCCAGGCATGAGCGAGGTGGGAGAGGGCTCCACACCACCCACCAGGAATGTCAGGCGACCATTAGGTGATGGTTCAGCAGTTATCACACTGCCTTTCTAAAAATGATAATTGGCAGCCTGTGCCGGGGAGAGGGAATTTGCTGATGGTCCAGAGTTGCCTCACTAAAGTGATAATTGATCACAGGTGCCAGGCAGAGGCAATTTCCCAATCAGATAAAAACACTTGAAATTGGTAATCAACTTCCAATAAATTCTCAGTAATTAGGTGAGTGAGCTCCAGCATGCACATTAAGAGATAAAATGGTGGAGTATGACCTTCCAGGGGCATTCCACTGGAAAAGAAAAGAAAGCCTTATGTGGGCATGCATACAACTTTCTGAACACACTGCGCATGCTCACTTCCCAAGTGTAAGGCGGACACCGTGCATGTGGGCAGTTCACCCTTAGGGAAGAATGAAGGGAAAGGGGTGCAAGATGCTGGAAGTTGGCCAGCATATAAAGTCTTAGGATCAAGGTTAAACAGGGAGCTTGACCTCCACAGTGCCTGCTTGGGTCTCTTTCAAATATGCTTTTCTTTCCTTCCTGCTCTAAAGCTTTTTAATAAATTTCCACTCCTGCTCTGAAACTTGCCTCAGTCTCTTTTGCTGCCTTATGCCCCTCTGTCAAATTCTTTCTTCTGAGGAGACAAGAATTGGGGTTGCTGCAGGCCTGTATGGATTTGCTGCTGGTAACCTGGATATTTGCCACCCCTAAGAATTTCTACTTCTACAATTTTGTCTAGATTAGTTTTATCTAGAATTCCAGATAGATGGAATACTACAGCATGTAGTATTCCTTTGTGTCTGATTCCCTTGTGTCTGATCCATCCTTTTTATCTGTTATCTTTCACTCAGTATGTGTAATGTTTGTGAGATTCATTTATATTGTTGTTATAATAGTAAGTATTCCTTTTTATTGCTAAATAGTATTCCATAGTATAAATATATCACAGTATAAGCATGTATTCTTCCATTGGACATTTGCATTTGTTGTAATAACCCAGTTTAATTGTTTCCAGTTTGGATATTATGAATGAAACTGCCACGAACTTTTGTGAACAAGTCTTTGTGTGAACACAAGCATTTATCTGTCTTGGAAAAAAACCTGGAATGGAATGACTAGGTCATATGGTAAGTGCATATTTGACTTCTCCACAGTTATCACTCCACTTTATATTCCCATAAGCAATGCATACAATGCATATCCAGTTCCACATCCTAACCAACAGTCTTCTCAAATGGTAATTCATTATACTTTTTATGTATTGGTATATCAGTGTAGTTGAATTTGCCTTTTGCTAATGGTTAATGATATTGAGCATCTTTTCACATGCTTCTGGGCCATTTGCTTTCATAAACTAAGACGTGGGTACTAGATGTGCTCCTTGATGCTGGGCCGTCACTGCCTCTAGGTCCTCTCAGCTGAAAGAGTTAAAGAAATATACATACTTGTACATACAACTATATTTCCATATTTATCTCTCTGTAATTATTTGTTATACTTTTACTTCCAATTCCAGTGCAATACCATAACATTCATTCTAGCCCTTCTTCTTTCCTTAATTATAACTGATTTCTCAGACAATAAAAAACCTGGCTCTCATTATCCATAATACATTTTTTTTGCTTATATTCCATTTTGCCTCCTGTATCTGCCTTGTCCTCATTTACTGAATAAGTAAAATATTAACAAAGTTCTAAAAGTGAGAATTGTACAAAGAGGTATACTCAGAGGAGTGTGGAATTTTATTTTTTGAGTCAATTTTGGCAAGTTTTGTTTTTCAAGTAATTTGTCCTTTTTGGTCTAAGTTGTTAAATGTATTGGCAGAAAGTTAACTACATATTTTCTTAGTATCTTTTTTTTTTTTTTGAGATGGAGTCTTGCTGTGTTGCCCAGGCTGGAGTGCAGTGGAGAAATCTTGGCTCACTGCAACCTCCACCTCCTAGGTTCAAGCAATTCTCCAGCCTCAGCCTCCAGAATAGTTGGGATTACAGGTGCATGCCACCACGCCTCGCTAATTTTTTGTATTTTTATAAGAGACAGGGTTTCACCATGTTGGCCAGGCTGGTCTTGAACTCTTGACCTCAGGTGATCCACCTGCCTCAGCCTCCCAAAGTGCTGGGATCACAGGCGTGAGCCACCATACCCGGCCAGAGCCACTGTGCCTGGCCCTTAGTATGTTTTTAATGTCTGTAGGATCTGTTGTAGTAACCCAATTTAATTCCTAATTTAGGTATCTTGTTGTCTTTTTTTTTCCTTGATCATTCTTCCCATGGGCTTATCAAATTTATTTATGTTTTCAAACAACTTACTTTTGATTTTATTTTCTTGTTTATCTCTTTCCTTTTTTACTGATTTCTGATCTTAATTATTTCTCTCCTCTTACCTCTTTTTGAAGGTTTGCTTTTCATTTTCTATTTTTCTAAAGTGGAAACTTAAATCATTGACTTAAAGCTTTTTGTTATTTTCTAGTATAATATTTATAGTAATACATTTCCCTTTAGTTAGAACTGTTAACTACATACTTGTTTCACCTGCATTTCACAAATTTTGATATTTTTTCATTATTATTCAGGTTGAAATACTTTCTTATGATTTCTTATTTGACCCTCATGTTATTTTGAATGTTGTGTTTAATTCCTAAATATATTGGGAGATGTTCTAGATATATAATTCTTAATTGATTTCTAAATTACTTCTGTTGTGGTAAGAGAATATAAGATTCTAAAAGACTGAAATCTTTTAGAGAATATACTCTGAAGGTTTCAGTCTTTAGAAATTTACTGAAACTTTTTTGATCATCTAGCCTATGTTTCATCTTGGTGAACCTCCATGTATACCTTTAATAAATATGTATTCTGACTTAAAAAATTATTTATGTAAATGTCAATTGGGTCAAGTTAGCTGATAGTGTTGTTTAGGTCTTCTGTATCTTTAATGATTTTTGTCTATTTGTTCTATTAATTACTAAGAAAGAAGTGAAAACATCTCTGAGTGCTGTCAGATTTTGCTTCAGGAGTTTTAGTAAAATTCATATATATAATATAAAATTATTTTATATAACGCAGATATTTAGAATCGCTCTATCTTTCTAGTGAACTGCCTTTTTATCTGTATGTAATATCCTTGTTTATCTTTTGTAATACTCTCTATTTTGAAATTTATCTTGTCTTACATTGATATAGCCATGCCAGCTTTCTTATGCTTATGTTTACTATTGTCATAGGAACCTTTTACCATACTTTACTTTCAAACTATCTATCTGTGTTTTATATCTAAAATATATGTCTTTTAGACAGCATAAGGTTGGATATTGCTTTTGTTTCCAGTCTGAAAATGTCTGCTTTTTAAAAGAAGCATTTAATTCAGTCACCTTTAATATAATTATGACATGGCTTAGTTAAATACTACCATCTTGTTCTTGGTTCCTCACTTTTCCATTTTTTTATGTTCCTCTTTTTCTACTTTCCTGCTTTATTTTTGGCGAATCAAATAGTTTTTTAATAATCTATTTTATTTCCTCTATAGGTTTCCTAAATATAGTTCTTTTTATCTATTTTTTAACTGATTTCTTTCTATTTTTAAAATAAAACATGAATCTTTAACTTAGATTTTGAGACAGTAGTATACCCCTTAGTACTTCATGCCTTATAGTTGACACATCAGACTGCTTACTTTACCCTCTCTCTCCTCTTCCTACTTTGTAACTGAATCTTTAAACTTTACCACGTAACAATTTTGGAAACATATAATTCTATTTATCTGCCTCCACTGTCCTTTGCATGATTGCTTTCATATTTCCTTCTTCATATTATATAACTTCTAACTTAAGTTTCATTATTTTTGCTTTAAACAATTGTCTTTGAAGTAATTTATGAGAAAAAGGAAAACATAATATTTTATATCTACCTGCTTTGTATAATTTCAGTATTCTTTTTCCCACAGATTCCCTCAGTGAGAATCTGAGTTTGTTAATATCCCTTCACCTTGTATGATATTTTTAAGCATTTATTCTACTGTAATTTTGCTATGAATTATCTCATTTCATTTATCTTAAATGTCTTTATTTTATCACATTTTTGAGGTATATTTCCTCTGGATTTAGAATTCTAAATTTTTTAGGACTTTAAAGATGTTATTGGCTGGTCGCATTGGCTCACGCCTGTAATCCCAGCACTTTGGGAGGCCGAGGCGGGCGGATCACGAGGTCAGGAGATCGAGACCATCCTGGCTAACATGGTGAAACCCCGTCTCTACTAAAAAATAGAAAAAATTAGCCGGGCGTAGTGGCGGGTGCCTGTAGTCTCAGCTACTCGGGAGGCTGAGGCAGGAGAATAGCGTGATCCCAGGAGGCGGAGCTTGCAGTGAGCCGAGATCGTGCCACTGCACTCCAGCCTGGGCGACAGAGCGAGACTCTGTCTTGAGAAAAAAAAAAAAAAAGATGTTATTGTATTTTTAATCCTCCATTGTTTCTGATAATAAATTATTGAATTTTTTTTTCCTTTATATGTAACGTGTGTTTTCTCTGGCTGCTTTCAAGAATTTCTTTTTACCTTGGCTTAAAGTAGCTTGAAAATAAATTGCCTAGAAGTCCTTCTTTTAACAGTTATGCTAAGTTTGGTTTTTAAAAGTTTTTTCAGCAATATGCAAGTGGTTTGCATTAAATTTGGCAAGTTTTTGGTCATCATTTTTTAAAAAATATTTTGGCTCTTTTCACTCTTTTCTCCTTTTGGGTTCTAATTACATGCATTTTAGAATGCATTATATTGTCCTAAATGTCGCTGGGACTCTGTTCATTTTCAAAGTCTTTTTATCTCTCTGAAAATCAAATTGGATAATTTCTATTGGTCTGTCTTAATTTTGTTTACTAACTCTTAATTTGTCATCTCCAATTTGATAATAAGTTCATCTGATTAATTTTTATATATTTTATTGTACTTTTACTTTCTATACTTTCTACTTGGTTCTTTTATATAGTTTCATTTTTTTTTCTGCTGAGATTCCCTATTTATTCTCTCCTTTAAACCACATTTTTCACTAATTCAGTGTTTAAGGTGCTTTAAAGTCTGTTTGCTAAGATCAACAACATCCAACATCTCAGGTTCCGTCTATAGTTTCTTTTTCTTCATTAAGATTACAGTTTCCTGTATCTTTGTATGTCTTCTTTTTTTAATTGAACACTGGACATTATAGATAATGTGTTGTATATTCTGGATTCTAGAATATTCTTCTGATGACGGTAGTTCTCGTTTTAGTAGGCAACTCAATTACTGTCAAGAACTTGTATAGACTTAATTTTATTCTTTTTCACCATGGGCTTTTTGTGATAGAAAGCCCAAGGTGTTTTCTTTTTAAGGCCCTGAGTTTGTAGATTCAGTCAGCCTACAAACTCTGTCTCCCAGATAGATCTTGTTGGGGCTTGGTTTGAGATTTTGTTAGGGCATGTCTAGAGTAGATCTTACTCTAAATCATAGTTCTTACTCATTACATCTTTTGGGTGTCACAGCAGAATGTCAGGTATTTTATGGAGGTGTTAAGATCTCCCTAATTTGACAGGGCCAGAACTTAAACACTCCCAGGCTGGCTTTTTCCTCAACTCTGCTCAACCTCTAGTGTCTCTCTTTTGCTTTCAATACCCTAGAAGTTGCTGTCTTGCATGCTTTGACTGTTTTGCTTTACACATGTACAGCTCATCTCTCAGCCACAGACTTGTGGAATCCTTCCCATGGACCTCTTAGGCTACCTCTCTACACAGCCACCTGCTCTCAGAGACCCACCACACATATTCTAGCAGCTTCAGCTGCCCTGAACTAAGATCTCTGTCTTCTCAGTTCAACAGAACTTCTTTGTTTTGCTCAGAGTGTAGTCAGGAAATATTCCTCTGGCAGAGACCAGGGCCATAATGAGACCCACCTCAGGAGTACTGCTTGTCTCTAGAATTATTCATAGTCTTTGGCTACCTACTGTCTGCCTCCTAATATCACTTGCTTCATATATTTGCCTGGTAATAGTGTCCTGTGCAATAGAAAGATTTGTGTAGTATTATTTATTCCAGTGCGGCTGAAAGGAGAACTAATTGATTCATAATTAAGGCACTGATAATTAAGAGCATTGATTTTGAATTAAACAGAATGGCTTCTCACTTAATATGTGTCCTTTAATTTTTCAGTTTCTCAGGGCCTCAGTTTCCTTATTTATAAACTGGAAATATTGCCCACCTCATAGAGTTATTGTAAGAAACAATAATGTATAGGTGATAATAAATGTTAGCTTTTTAATGCTCCTTGGTAAAATTATTTATATAACTTGTAATTTTATAAATCATTAAAATTTTAATCTTACTCATATTAGAATGGAGGTGTCTGTAAGATGGCCCTGTCTTTATGACCTTAATTATTTTAGAAAGTATATTTGTGTTTTAGAAAACATTTTAAAGTGCTTAAGAATTCTCTCTAGAAAAAAAGATAACTGTATAATATGAAGAGAAATGAATTTCAACACGAAGGACTAGCTAAAAGCTATGCAATATTAATGAAAATGGAAGAGATGGAAGCTTTCACACTCTTTTAGTGGCTGCTAGTTTTTAATTATCTGTGCAGGGGGAGAGTCTTGGGGAAACAGTGGTCAGATAGTGATAACGTAATTTATTTTTAATTTTGGAATGTGTTGTTTATTTTAGCAAAAGTTTTACCTTCTTAATAATGTTTGATTGGCTTAGTATCCCCTCCCCTAACCTCCACTGCCAAAGCAACTTTCAATTATTAGAAATTTTAAAATGATACACATGTTGACAATTGTGAGAATTCACTGTATTAATATTTTAACTTATTAAAAAGCATGTCTCTTTAATCATTTCATTTCTTTTTTTTTTTTTTTTTGAGATAGAGTCTTGCTCTGTCACCCAGGCTGGCGTGTAATGCTGTGATCTTGGCTCACTGCAATCTCTGTGCCTTCCGGGGGGGTTCTCCTGCCTCAGCATCCCGAGTAGCTGGGATTACAGGCATGCACCATCATGGCCGGCTAATTTTTATATTTTTAGTAGAGATGGGGTTTCACCATTTGGCAGGCTGGTCTTGAACTCCTATCCTCAAGTGATCCATCCGCCTCGGCCTCCCAAAGTGCTGGGATTACAGGTGGGGGCCATCATGCCTGGCCTTGATTTCTTATATAATGGATCATTAAAAAATTGAGCAGAGTTGTCCTATTTGCAACTTACATAGACATCAAAAGAAAGAGAGTAACAAGCATTTATTATATTTATAACATATAAAATACTTATCATATTCTCTGGTTCATTATGAACTTTCATTATGAACCAGAGAATATGATAAGTATTTTATATGTTAACTTACACAAGCACCCTCAGATGCATATATAATTATAGATGCATATTTTGCAGACAAGGAATTTGACTACCAGAGATTAAGACCCTCTCCAGGTTAGACAGCTGGGAATTGTTGAGGTTTAGATTTGAACTCAGGCCCAATCATCTCCACAGTCCTTGAATTTTCAACGTAATCACTCTATTATTTTTGAATAGCAGGCGAATCTTACTTACTATAGACATTTTCTTCTTCTGGCCTTTTCCCAATAATGCAGTCTCGTAGTTGTCGTAATTTCTCCTTAATGTGGAAACAACCAGGACATAGTTATGATTTTCAAATTTTTATGGATCAAGATGAAAACATCAACTACTATTAGCAATACCAATGCTGCTACTTGATATTAATTTGCTACTTATGATGTCTCAATTGCCATCCTTGATACTTTCCACGTTATCTTACTTAATTCTCACAGCTTAATGAAGTGGATGTAAAATGTCGTCATTCCATGTTGTAGATATGGAAACTGAGGTACAGAGAGGTACAGTAACTTTCCCAATTCATAGTTATAAGTGGTAGAGTCAAGATTGGATCCTAGAGTGCAATTCTTTGGGAAGTTGTTTTGCCAACCCAATTCTTGTGGGGTCTGTATTGGCTATTTGGTGTCCAAAAGCAGAAGGGCTACATAGTGATGGTTTGCTGCTGCCTGAGCCCATCTCAGCCTCTGTATGGCACATTCCTTCCCAGTGTTCTAATTCTAAAAATCAGAGACTTAAAAGCAGATGAACATAACAGGATTCCTCTTCTTAGCACATCTGTGATCTTTCTTTGATTTCCAAATATTGAACATTATCTTTTTAAGCAAAATGTAAAACAAGCTAACATTTAATAATCTTGTTTTAGAACAGAACTTAAGAATAGCACTCTTTCCTCAGGATTTTCCTGGAAACCTAGAAACCACTTTTCCTATTTAATTGTTTCCATTGCCTTACAGATCTCTCCTACCAGTGGTGCCAAACTCTTCTTCTTACTCTGTGACTGTGAGTAGGGGTGAGGACAGTGAAGGGCAAGGTTTTCCCTTCTCCACCATTTCATCTTCAACGCCAGGGATTCTACATGATTCTTAGTTATTCTGGAAACCAGCTTCCCCTATTAACTCCATGTTTGTGCCATTTTTTTCTTAGTTTCCTAGATTAATTCCTTCATCAATAATAATATGACTTCAGTTACCTCTGATAACTTCATTTATATTCATAGGATACAAACAAATACTTTTCCAAGCTGCAAGAAAAATATTGAAAAGTACATAGGAATGCATCTTTGTTTGCACGTGTGTGTGTTGAGGAAACAGGAGGAATATTCATCTTTTTGTTGTTTGGATTTTGGCCCAGTCCCTTATGTTAAGGACTGACTGATTCCTCTGACAGAATTCAGACCAAGTCATTAAACTTTGTTGCTTATGGAAAGTAATCTTAGTATCTGTTGGCCTTTATTTAAAAAAATAATTTTTTAAAATAAGCATGAACAATATTCATTATCCCATTATAACCTTATTATTAGGTGAGTCAGATCAGTCTCTAAGTAGTGAGTATGAAGCACCTTAAATTCTTCCTAAAAACAAGATTAAATTTAAATATACAAACAAAATAGAAACAACCAGGGTTTGATGAAACAACTAGTGAAATAATTTCCAAAATGATATTTAGGTTGGATAACTCTAAATGGAAAACGTTATTATTTAAGGGTCTTAGGAGGATGAAATACAATTGACTTACTTCAACAAAATCTATAAAATCTAACATTGCTAGGAAAGTGATTTGTAGGTCTGCACCTAAACACATGTGTATTGGTGATGACATTGACATGATTGAGAAGCAATATTGTAATTCTGATCATGAACAATGAAGAGTTGCAGAACTCTACAATCAGTATTCTTTAGCATTTATTTGGCAACATAACAACTGCCTTTGCTTAGTGTCACAAAATCTGGATGAGGTTCAGCCACCAACCCACAACCATAACTGCCCTTAGAGACAGGTGGTTTCTAACAAGGCATGATCTCAGATGTACTGGGAAAGTCCCCTGGCCCATCTACTATATTGTGTGAAATTTCTCTATTTTGATTCTTTTTTATTGTTTAAAAATGTTTTCCTAAGCATCGTCTTTTAAACAAAAATTATCTCTTGGGAAAGTTACAATATTAAGCTATTATCAATTATTTATACTTTGGCCTAAATTTGCTTATTAAATGTGTTTAATCAAACAGCTATCTAGAACTGGGTTCTGAAGCAATGGGATTTCTGTGATAAGAAGAAAAAAATTGTTAAAATATTTTTGGAGTGAAAGATGGAATATGGGAATATGACCGTGTTATCTCTCACTAAGGAATATCAAGGGGTGTGTGTGGTATATTTTGTTTTCATTCTCATCTCAGAACCATGTCCTCCAATCCCATCTCAGGAGGTAAGTTATATTTACAGAAGATGAGCTTATTTTAACTTAATATTTGAACATATATATGTAAATGTGTGTATGTGTACGTATATAAAAATAAATGTTTAAGGAGAAAGAAGATAAATACTTATTGCATTTTATTTAGGACTGTTGCTTAGTGTGATTTTAATCATTGTCTCACTCCCCTTTCCTTTTAAGCCTGGCATACATAATACACCCTTCAGTGTAAAGATGCTTTACCTTAATTTCAGCAACAAGATTCAAAAAACACTCACTCTACTAAAGACAGGTATTATAAGCTGATTAGGTATTAGCTTTGGTATACTGGGTTAGAGGATTGACTTCACCAATGGCTGGTGAACATAATATCTGGATATTTTCAAACATTATTTGATTTCTTGAAGTATCTTCCTTAGTGGCTAGTTAAAAATGAAAGAACAGTTACCTGTATTCCTCATGAAAATTAAACATTAACAAACTAGGGGCTCCACAAGTGAGGGAATGTCCCAGAAAACACTGGGCCAATATTACCTGCTGAATCATTTCCAGGCCACTTTTTCCCATCTGCCAGTGTTTAAATTTCTCCAGAGCTTCATCCATAGACATTTTCCCATTCTTTACTTTCTCCTGCAGGAGGATGAGTTCTTCCTGACCATCAGTTAGACAGCCCCTGAGAGTAGAAAAGGCTGGACTCTCTATCCGAGCTCTGTCTAAAATACAAGGGGAGGGTGCATTAACAGAAAGTCCAGGTGTAGACAACTGGGAACAAAAGCACTCTACAAATAAGCCATTGGAGTAGCTTCTTCTTAACTCTCTATGAGCAGTTAAAGAATAAACCAGCACACTTTTAATGAGTTTCTTTCTAAGGATGGAGGTGCCTGGAAACTAGTCTTATGGGTGAAAAAAAAGTGTCTCATTACTAAGACAGAAAAGGACAAGGAGAGAAAGGGCAGTAGCAAAGGTTATATACTTCGCTAGTTGATGGCAGTGCCAATTTTGTCTTCTGTTTCTGAGGTTTATCAGAGATCACGTGCACAAAATACTTAGCATAGTGCCTGCCACACAGTAAGCTAGATAAATGTTAACATTAATACTAACAATAAATATCTTTAGAATAAACAGTCTTTCTATCTTTGGGAAAGGAGACGTTAACCAACATCCAAATGTCACAAAAGGCTTAGGATCATTTGAAAATTTATTTCTGAAAGATTTTAAATAAATAATTGGTCATTTTGTAGTGAAATGCTTCCTTTTCAAAAGAGTTTATTTTGGAGCATGCTATGTATTATTTGCTCAGCACAAAAGGAATTTGTGGCCTGGCTTGAGGCACAGTGGTAGCAAACTGGCAGACCATGGGTGAACTCAGTGTTTCCCTTGTCTGCCATGGTGTTTAAAGACATAAATAGGCCTGCATGACTTTAAGGATGCTATGTACTCTCTAGGTTACTGCAATCCTTGCCACACGTTAGAGTTCCTGGATGACAACACATGTCTGCTACCTGCCTGGCTGCTGGAACTCATTTGAGTTTGTACCTTCTCATTTACATATTTCCATTAAGTGCAACATACTTTTTGTATTATTTCAGGAGGGGTAGGTAACACATCTTAATATACTATCAAATCTAAATATGCCCACAGAGTCTGAAAGGAGAGAATAGCCAGTCCTACCTAACTGTATACCAGTGAGCTATCCCTGGAGGGATATGCCCATTTCTGGGACTGCCTCTTCAAGAAAGAAACAGATGAATTTGACTATCCAGACGATATTAACAAGGATTTGGGAAATGGGGAGGGCATTCAAATTCTACAGTAATAAGAATTTGTTGATATAACTAGGATTGATTGTTCTGGAAAAGAGGTTTCAAGTATTTGATAGCAAATGTTATATGTCTGAAGAGGACTTGAGCCTTGGGATTGTTCTGGAATGGCCTGTAGTGTTCCTCTCAGTTTTGAGAAGGACTGTAACAGTGAATCTTGGAACAGGGACATGGAGAGGGTTTCTTTCCAAAAAGATTCACGTGCACAGAAAATTTCTCTGTGGCCAATAATTCTGATTCCCACGGGGGCTTTCTTTCTTTCTTCTTTATTTTTATTATTATTATTTTTTTTTTACTTTTTCCCTTCTCACCATTTCCATTCAACAGAGAGGCTTTCTTGACTTGTCTTTTCTCTTCAGAATCTATTTTTACATAAATCTGCTTTTACCTTTTTTTTTTTTAAGAGTAAAGAGATTAAAGCATTTGTCTTGATAAATTAGGATTAGCATGAGAAGCTGCAAAGAAAAATGATTTAGGCACTTTACTACCTTTTATTCTAAGGGTATACAAGTCAAACCAAAACATGCAACCTGTAATTTTTGGTAGGGTTTACAAGATTTCTTTATTGCATTTAGATAAGAATTTGATGGGTAAAAAGAAGTAATGAAAGGTTTTCTGTCTTCCTAATTTTGTATTTTTTTTAGTTTACCTTCAGAAGAGTTAGTATGAATTTAATATAATTTTCATTAAAAAGCATTTGTCAGACAGCTAACTGTATGTATGGTAGACTCTTGTCTTTTAGTGTAAAAGCTTTAAGGTAAACTACAGTTTTTAAAATTAATTCCTTTTAAAAAATTTCTCTTTACAAGTATTTACATTTGATCAAATATTGGTCATATAAACATCAACCAACCCATTGTAGTGAGTATATAAATCTACAGAGTAGGTAAGAATGTAAATTGGGCTTTTCATTAAAATTATTTACTAGGAGACTGGCTGGAAGGACTTTATTGAAAATTTGAAAGAAAACAACTTGATTGCCCAACAAAAAGTAATTAAAATAGAAAATATTTACTTAATAAAAATCACGTAGTCATTTAAAAAATAAAGATTGTGGCAACATAGAAAGTGCTTATTATATTATAACAAGTACAAAAGCAGGATACAAAATTATATACACGTTAAAATTTTAGCAGTATCAAAGTTGTATATATAATAAAGCATGAAAAGAAATTTTAAAATATGTGTTATTCTATTGTGATGCCATATTACATATGTAATTATTTTCTTATGATCTCTAACTTTCTATAATAATACTATATTGCTTTTACAATATAAAAAATTTCTGCCACTTTATAATTAGGCTTTCCCATGGAATGCATACCATTTCAATCCATGCCAGATATACCATGCTGTAAGTACTATGTCATACTATAAGTATCAATGTGATGTCACACCATACTGTACCATCATACCAAATTAGTTTATGGCACTTGGAAAGAACTTTTCAGTAATAGGACTTAAATAACTAGGGTCCAGGTGCAGTGGCTGACACCTGTAACCCCGGCACTTTGGGAGGCCGATGCAGGTGGATTGGTTGAGCCAAGGAGTTCCAGACCAGCCTGGGTAACATGGAGAGATCCCATCTCTACAAAAATTAGCCTGTAGTCCCAGCTACTCGGGAGGCTGAGGTGGGAGGATTGCTTGAGCCTGGAAGATCAAGGCTGCAGTGAGCTGAGATCGCCACTGAATTCCAGCCTAGGTGACAGAGCAGACCTTGCTTAAGAAAAAAAAAGAGAGAGAGAGAGAAAGCGAGAGAGAGAGAAAGAGAGAGAGAGAGAGAAATAGAGAAACAGGGAGAGAGAAAGAGAGAAAGAGAGAGAGAGCAGGAGAGAGAGAGAGAAAGAGAAAGAGAGAGAGAGCAAGAGAGAGAGAGAGAGAGCGAGAACTAGTGACAAAGATTTAAAGCTTAAGTTATTTTTTGTTATTTAATTTGGGACTTGGTAGGTATATAAGCTCAGGTCCATTAGGAGATGCTTGGTCTATCGATTTATTTGTAAGTTCCAAGTAAGGCCTCTGCATCCCCTTAACTTTAGGGTTGCATATATTCTTTGAGATTTGTTTGTTTGTTTTGTTTTGTTTCATTTTGTTTTTGTTTTTGTTTTGAGGCAGTCTCCATCTCCCTGGCTGGAGTGCAGTGGCGTGATCTCGGCTCACTGCAATCTCCGCCTCCTGAGTTCAAGTGATTCTCCTGTCTCAGCCTCTTGAGTAGAGGGATTACAGGCGTGCGCCACCATAACTGGCTAGTTTTTGTATTTTTAGTAAAGATGGGGTCTCGCAATATTGGCCAGGCTGGTCTCGAACTCCTGGCCTCAAGTGATCTGCCTGCCTTGGCCTCCCAAAGTGCTGGGATTACAGGTGTGAGCCACCACACCTGGTATTTGATGTTTTATTTTAATGATTGTGATTTTAGAACATGATTTTTTTTCTCCACCACTTAGAAAATACAGAAGAGTACTGAAAACTGAAATAACTGCCACTCATTATTATACTCTTCAGAAACAGGTATCGTAAACGTCTTGGTGGTCCTTTTTAAGTATCCATTTCTTTCCTTTTTTCTGAATTAGGGTTATACTGACATAGTTCCTGCTCTTTTCTCTTAGTCATGTAGCCTAAGAATCTTTCCATAACATTAAATATTCTTTGAAAAATGGTTTTTAATGGGAGCATTATATTCCAAAGTTTGTATATTCAATAAAGTATTTAATCATTCTCTTACTAAGGGATTTTTTATTGTTTCCACTTTTCTCCACAATTATATGTTGTTGGAGCTTCTAAGTCTTTTATGTGAATCACTGGCTGCATTATTTATTTGGTTGGCATAGACTCATAAAAATATAATTTTTGAGTATGATCACTTTTAAAGCTATTGATGTATACTTAGTGTCAATCTCCTTTCCTGGAATGTGTTGTCATGTACAGTCTCACCAGTAGGATGAGGGAGTGTTTGTACTGTTTCACTTTTGATAGCATTTTGCATTATTCAATTCAAATAAGTACACAAGCTTTATAATAATTTTATAATCTAAACCTTTCTCTCATTGCCAGTGATTCTTGTGTCATTATAACACTGAGTCCTGTAGCTTAGAGCATTGAGTAAGTAACAGACTTTAATATCACATATGGCCACTAGTCCTGCCCTAATCTTTTTTTTTCCCAAGTGATTACCTTTCAATTCTTCTTAATTATCTTCTCTATCAATTTAGAAACATTCTTTCAAACTGTCATCTCTCTCCCTAAAGGAAAAGTAAATTATCAAAATGACTGGGATTCCCTTACATGTATAAGTTATTATAGAAAGAGTTGAGAGGATTTAATTTCCCGTTAGGAAAATAGCATTATTCTATCTTTTTAATAGGTACTTTTTGTGTATGTTTTGAATTTACAGTGAATAATTTCTTTTCTTTCATGATGTCGCCAAACTAATATTTCTGGTATATAAAAAAGTGAATTATGTATTAATTATATCCAGCTAGTTAAAATAATTTTTAAGAGTCTTATAGTTGATGTTTTCAGGTTTTCTGGCATGTACGTATATCATCTAAAAATAATGGAGAAAGTATCTCCTTCCCAATAATTACACGTTTTATTTTAGATGCATGTTATTGCAGTTGCTAGAAACTTCCAGGATAATGGTAAGTAAAAATATTAATAGTAGGCATCCTTATCTTGTTTCTATCCCTAACACGAATACCTCTACTTCTGAACTAATAAGAAATTTCTGATAATGTTGAGAAATTATTCTCTTTCTATTTTATAAGATTTTTTAAAAATTATGAATAGTTGAACTATAATTTTGTCTTTTTCATCAACTGAAATCATCATGTTTTTTAAAATAAAATAACTAGTACATTAATAGTTCTACTCCATGAGATGGTTCATATAATATAAAAATTCTCTTATTTGAATTTGAAATAACTCACTGGCAAAACTTATCCTGGTTAACTATTGAGTTAAAAATGTATACAAACATTCCTTGGTCATTAGTCTAGTGATATTTTTACTTTTTATTTATCACTTGACATAATTTTATTAATGAGTATTTCCTTGGTATTTTCGGGGATGTATCTTTTTAAAGCAGAACATAGTTTTATTTTGGCTTGAAGAAGTTAAAAATATACCACTCTGGCACATCAACTA
This sequence comes from Homo sapiens, assembly GCF_000001405.40. Lineage (NCBI taxonomy): Eukaryota > Metazoa > Chordata > Mammalia > Primates > Hominidae > Homo > Homo sapiens. Next base: position 102,054,963 of record NC_000004.12, on the reverse strand, counting down.
TTTAAATTGAAAAAAAGCAGGTGCAAGAAAGATGATTCTGACCTTTCAGTTGTTTCCCAAAAGCAGAAGACTAAATTCCCACGGTAAAGACACTCACTCTATACAAGAAGGAAAAGCAATATCCTTATCTTCACAGAGGAGAAGTTGAGACTAAAAGAATTCTGTACAGACCTTGGTAGAATAACTCTTATCTTTTAAGCCTCCCCATTTTCACAGTTTACTATTCTTGTCTAATTCAGTAGGTAAGTAACCGACTAACTGCTTCTTTGAGTCTTCATTTTCTTTGAGGACTCCAGTGCCATGTGAAACTATTATGCTTTTCTCTTGTTAATCTATTTTACATCAATTTAATTCTCAGTCCTGGCTGGTATCCTAAGAAGATAGAGGTGGAGTTTTTCTGCCGCTACAGTCTTTTGTCCACATTTCAGTCTGTATCTTTTTATGAGGGAGATTGTATAACATGGTATTTGGAGCCAGGTAGATGAGGGCTCAAAGCTCTTTCTCATTCCATTTTTGTAAACTCCAGTTTCTTTGTCTATAAAATGAAGGTAAATAATCCCCTTCTAACAGAGTTGTTGCAAGAGTTAAAGGAGCTAATATATGTAATGTGCTTTGTCGTGTTTCAGGCTTCTGTTAAAGCTCAGGAAAGTTGTAGTGAGAGTTGTTAATACGATTACGTGAATAGTACAGAAGGTGATTACAAGTTTGGCCTTCAGAGTATAACAGAATTGAGTTCAAATTTCACCTCTACCATTTCTTAGCTCTGTGTCCTTGGTTACAAATAATCAATCCATTTTAAAAAGGAAAATAATATCTCATAAGATATCTTTGAGGTTTTAATGAACTATCGTTATGCAGATGATTAACACAGCACCATTTGTCCTCAATGACTGTTACTGCTCTGTGAGAATGTTTTAACTGATATGAATTTATTGTGATGACTGCTGTTATACATAATCTTGTTTTGTATGTGGTTATAAAGACATATATATGTATTTGTATATACATATATACATATATATGAAGGAATTTGAAAGTAGTGGTTACTTTTTAAAATTTCAGATTTTTTATCTTTTTTTATTAATAAAGTAATGAATGAAAAAACATTTTTTTCTAGTTCCTAAGTATTTTTATATTATTTGGTCATTGTAACCAGATTATTGCTACTAAATTAGCAATAATTATGTTACATTACGTATTTTTCTTTATTACCAATATTTTACATTCATGTCTTATAAATAAATTTACAATAATTATTTAAGTTTACTTCAGTAATTTTAATAATGTAATTTCTTTTTAAGCTTTTTATTTTGTTTAATTCCTCATTGGTTAGAATATGTTTTGGTTAATACTTTCATAATGACAGAATGGCTATCTTCTCTAAAATTTTGGATATCCAAAAATTCTTATATTTATTTTCTTCTTACATGAGCAAAATACCTGACTAAATATAAACTTCTTAAGTTGAAGTTTTTTCTCAAATAAACTTGGTAGTCCATTATCTCAAGTTTCTGTCACACAGATTCTCTAATTTTTTAATGGATTCTGATTTATTTTAGTAGAAAATGTAAGTTAAAGTACTTGCTCAATACTTTTAAGATTGTTTCTTTTTCCTTATAATCAAAAAGATTTGCTAGGGTGCTTTTAAACATGAGCAACTCTCCTTACTTTTTCCTGTCTCATAGTGAGCCCACTCAATCTGCATTATTCATCCTCCAGCTTCCCACTTCTCCAAAGATTAGCTTAATAAAGTCATTGATCGTATTTTCTATTCTAGTTTTTAAAAACCTGTCATACTTGAGTTGTATCTCTGTTCTCCACATCTTATTACTGTTTTCGGTCTTTCCATGTACTGAGAACAAACCCTTCTTCAATATGTTCTCTACGTCACTGATTTATTTTCACCTAGTGTGAGTCCCTTTTGTTGTGACCAATGTGGATTTTAATTTGCTGTTGAAACTTTAGCTTCTTAGTTTATTTTATTTTTATCATACTTCCTCTTGTCAATACCTTTTCTTCATGTCGCATGTTTAATCTCATTCTGGTATCTCATCTAAAATGTCTTTCACATATTTTGCTTTCATCTCAGCCTAACCTCAAATTTCTGCTGCTATTTCCTCTCCATATTTTCCATTTGTTTATGAGTTCAAACTTTTCTGACATTTTCTTTTTTGGCCCCTGCATTTTGTTGCCAACTGCCTAGTACTGAACCTGAAAGTGGGACACTTAAGTTCAAATTAACACATACCGCCTTAGAACTTCTGAAAAAGTTAAAATATTTATAAAAAGCTTCATATTTAAGCAGTTATGAATTGTTAGCTGAAAAATGCTCAGTGCTTAGTGTGTGTGTGTGTATTTCCCATTATTTCCATGTTGATAGCTTGGTGCTTTTGATATGATATCTGGCAACCTTACTCATTAAATAAATAAATCATTAACAGAAGTATAATTATTCTGAGTCTTTACAAAAAAAACTCTCCTTCCCTTCTTCTGGAGTAGTTTTAGTTTATGAACTTTTCATATTACTTGTTTGTTCTCATCTTTAATCCTTCTGGCGTGGTGGCTCATGCCTGTAATCCCAGCACTTTGGGAGGCCGAGGTGGGTGGATCATGAGGTCAAGAGATCCAGACCATCCTGGCCAACATGGTGAAACCCTATCTCTACTAAAAATACAAAAATTAGCTGGTCGTGGTAGCACACGCCTGTAGTCCCAGCTACTCAGGAGGCTGAGGCAGGAGAATCGGATGAACACGGGAGGCGGAGGCTGCAGTGAGCCAAGATCGTGTCACTCTATTCCAGCCTGGCAACAGAGCGAGACTCTGTCTCAAAAAAAAAAAAAAAAAAAAAAAGAAAAAAAGAACACATCTATGGAATCATTGTTCACCAAGGCTTTTGGTGTTTATGTGTCCTTTGGCTCTTTCCTTGTGTTCAGGTCAAATTCCTGGGACTGCAGAAAACTTTAATAGGTGCAGTTCGCAACTCAAGATCCCAGGATTTAGCAGGTTTTGTCTAATGCAGCTGCCACGATAGAGGCGGGACATGATTCCCTGGCACTATGTATCTAAGTCCATGCATAAATTTCTAACAGACTTCTTGACCTTCCCATCCCTCCATTTTAGAGCTTTACTTTAGAGTCCCAGGACCAGCCAAGTGTAGCATTACCCTCCTACCCCCACTTTCAACTGGAAGGAATATTTTCTGCATGTATATGGAAAGATCAGAGCTGGGACACAGAGCACTTGTAAAAATTAACATTTATGTAGCAGAGAGGTAGCTGGGGTCAGGAGGTAAGGGAGGGATTAAATATCTTTCTACCTCCTATTATGAGCAAAGGACTGATTTGTTTCATAGACAGTAGGGGTAGACTACTGATTTTTTAATTTGTCTCAATTAACTTTTCTCAACCTTAGAATTAATTAGAATTAGTTCTAGATTCCAGTAAGCTTATTTTCCAGTCTTTGTTCTCCCTATTATTAAGAATTTCATCTTTTTTGTGTGTGCTTTGATTTCATTTCTGAGAGACAACACTGTGGGTTGCGAACATATTGCTATCTTAGACAAAAACTGAGCTATTACACAAAATTTTCAAGGTATGACTTTAACAACAACAAAAAACTTTTGTGAGCAATATGACAAATGGAAATGTAAGTATACTGGAAAAGGGAACTGAGGCCATTATTCTTTTATGGAGTACAAATGACCACATTTTGACAATTTTCCCTCTTTTCTGTTTAATATATCCAGTACTGGCAAAAACAGCCTGATGAAAATACCTCAGAGATCAGCATTCTCTTTTCCCCATGTAAGGGTAATATCTTCCCCATTTCTCCAGGTCTCCTGCTTCTAGACAATTTTATTATTTAACATTTATCAAAGTGCTACAGCAATGCACACTTATAGAACACAGAAAGGATATGTTGCCTGACTACCTCTTTCCCATGAGTAGGCACACTCCTGCCCTACAAAAGACCAGCCAATAATGATTTTGTAGTCTCGAGTGAGGAATTGGTGGGCAGGGACTATACTAGGGGTTACAAGCTCATAAACTATAGGGGCCATGCAGATAAAATTACTGAGCAAATAATATTTAGTACCTGCTTATTAAATACATTTGAATAGTTTTCATTAGCAAAAATAAATGTTCTTTCATTTTTTTCATAACCTGACTCTATATCCCTTTACTCACTTTTGATAGAATTATGACTTTAGAGAAATGTGTTCCAAATATAAGAAAACAACACAGAAAGCATGATAACAAATGGTAATAGTCATTTGTTGCAAGTTATACATTTATATAATAGGGAGTGGTTGGAAATTTGAATATTTCAGGAAGCATGGTCTTAAATGCTGGCAAAAGTTTTAAATTGTATTGTGTGGATTATTGCTAAAATATAATTTACTTAGGGGCTAAATTTGACCACATGTGGTCTCTGAAACATAGTTTCTTTTGGTGGGATTTTTTCACATGTTGATTTTGAGATTATTGCTGATTACTATCTCATCTATTCGACTTTTAGTCCATATCTAAGATAGGGCTTAGGCAACCAAAGTTTAAAAGCTCTGCAAATAATTCTTATGCTCATCTAGAGTTGGAAGTGACTGGTATAGGCAGTTGGTTAGGGTGGATGTGCTCCTCCTACCCACAGAAACTTACCCTTCAAAGACATGGTTTTGTTAGCAACAGCCAATCCGTACAGATCTGCAGCAACTTGATTCTTGCCTCTTTGGAGGCAAGAATTCAGCTGAGGGGCATAAGGCACAGGAGAGAGCAAGGCAAGTTTTAGATAGAGTAGTATTGAAAGTTTATTAAAAGGTTTTAGAGCAGGAATGAAAGGAACTAAGGTACACTTGGAAGAGGGCCAAGTGGGCAACTTGAGAGATCCAAGTGCACTGTTCAACACTTGACATGAGGTTTTAAACATTGGTATGGTTATGGGGTTAGTGTCTCTCCTCCCTTGGTTTTTCCTTGGGGTGGGCTATCTGCAAACGCAGAGCCCTGCCAGCACTTGGGAGGAGCCCATGTGCAGTATGTTTACTGAAGTTGTGCATATGCTCATTTAGGTGTTTTTCCCTTACCAGTTGAGCATTCCTAGAGAAAAGTCACATACCAGTTAAACCCTACCATTTTGCCTCTTAGTGCACATGCTTGCGCCCACTTGCCCAACTCCTGCGATCTTACTGGGAAGCTGCTGATGACCAGCTTCAGGTGTTTTCTGTCTATTAAGAGACTGCCTTTCACTGGCACTGGCTGTGACCAATTACGGTTTTAAAGAGACAGTTTAACAACTACCTAACCATCACCTGGTGGTCGTCTGACATTCCTGGGTGGGTGGCCCTCTCCTGCCCTGCTCGTGTCTGCCTAGCTGCCTACACTACCCTTTTGCCCTCTAAGAGTGAGAGCAACAACACACCCTTGATAAGGTTCATTTGACTATATGGCTGAGGAGATCTGTGGATGTAATCTATGATTACAGGGAGGCAGCTTGTTAAGAATGCTTGAACCTCATCAGTTGCCACGTGTCATATCCACGGTAAGATGGGGATGATCTTGATATAGATAGAAAAGGCCCTTCTGTACAGTCCAAGATGTGAACAAACTTGACCCTAGACTATATATGATTTTGTAAAACAAGGAAAATTAGCCAGATATTTCCATCTTTGAATAAGGAGCCCTTAAATTCTTTCAACATTTTTGACTTGATCATGTTCACTTAGAAATCTTCTAATGACTAAGTATATTTTATAGAAACTTTATTATCTGGCAGAGACCAAATAATGCAAGCAATCCAGTCACTGGAAAGCCATCTTCCCTTATTATAGGTTTAATGATTGGAATTGGGGGTATGAATCAGTCCTCTGTGAGCTTCGATAACATAAGCCAGACTTCAAAATCCTGATCAATTCCAAACACACTGGCAAATGCAGTTTTCTGACTAGAAATTTCTAATTTCTAGCACTAGTATTTTCTAATTTCAAATCCAAATTGGGAAAATTGACTTTAAAACTGTTTTGATGGAAAATTTTATCTGTGATCCAAAGTCCTCAGCATTTTTCCTTACATTTTTTCAAAATGTGGAAACTGAGTTGAAGAATCTGTTGAGTTTCCATGGAAATGGTGCCAATTAATTATTTTTTTCTTCCTTAGGAAAATTCCTTGACTTAGCAATAATGTAACTTCCTGGCAATCCCTTGCCAGTCTTAAACTTAGTGCACTTGAAATGCTTATACTTTCAATGGGAAAACAGTTGGCTCTCATCATCCCTTTTCCCTCCAGCATATAGAGGAAGAGTTAAATAATAATTCCTTTTTACCTTCTTTAGAGAACTTGTCTAGTCCCTTTAGAAAATCTTGCCTCTGACAAACATTATATAAAAGGCCCTTTTTATTGTTCTACCAAATAAAGAGAGTATCACTGGTGAAGTATGTACTGCTTTTCCTAGTACACCATGAAATCCCAGGATATTTGAAGAATATTCATTAATTAGGTAATAAGCAGTTTTCATTGCATAGTATGTTACATGGACTGAATGATCATAATATCTGCAACAGTTTAGAGAAATATGGTTGGATGAAATCAACCTTGTTAGCTATTTAGGTACTTAATTCTTTTATTACTAAGTATTCCAAATTATCTTGTTTTCATGCTAACTGCTGATTTCCCTGCACACTATAGTCATCAGGGAGGTTTTTAAAGAAACATTTGATAAGGATTGATGTTTCCTTAGTCCTTACAAATAAAACAATATGCTGTTCCCTTCTGGTACATTACTGATGTTCAGGAATAAAGGAATCTAAAGAAACTGCTCTAAGATGACTAATCAAAAATATCATCAATAAGTTGTATTTAAGTATGTACACAGAAAAAATATTACAGACAAAATATGATTAAAATGTTAGTATCTGAGTCCCTACAGAATTTTTAAAAATCTAGAGGTAATTGACCTTGATTATGCAAATTAGGTAACAAGATATGGACAGATAGTAATCAATACAATATTGCATAATTAGGTCCTCGTTTCCCTTTACCACCCTCTCCTCCCCTTTTTCTGTGGGCAGATGGGTACTAATTGTCTATACATGGTAGAATAATGACAGGGCTCTTCTAAGCTTAACAGATACTAGCAGCCCTTCCTTGCATTGCTCTCTGTGGGACAGCCAGGATAACTGATAAGATCAAACATTCCAAGGATCTCTTCATTACACTTGATACTCGTCATTTCTCTTCATCTCCTGTGGCCTTCTTTGCATTTTCCCTTTAATTCTAACATAATTTAATTAAAAACATGGTAATTGAATAATTTATAAGAAAAACACTTCAGGGATTTTTCTCCCAAAAATCTCCTCTCTTCATTCTTTCCAAAGCTCTGTGAGGTATGTATGGGAGGCCAGGTAGAAATAATCTTATCTACTTTGTTTAATTCTTTCGTAGCTGTTCTGATCCTAATTGTACAATGATCTTACATGTAGCTTTGCATTTATTTCTTGAGAGAGCTAAAGGCACAGTGGGAGGATAATAGTAGACTTAAAAAAGATCTATCTTTCTCCTTAAATATGAAATCACTAAAAATGGAAAACTGTCAAATAAAGAGTTTTTTGCATGTAAATTTACAAGCAGTGTATTAAAGTGTTTCATGAGAGAATAAAAGTTCAGCTTCATCATGTGTTGCATTCAAACACCGTGTATTAACTGGAAGATGATCTAAGTACCACCTTGCTGTTGTGAAAAAATGCCACTTGAAGTGATGGGTGAGGATCACTCATTTAAGAATGCACCCTTGTTTGAAGGATGATTCATAATGTCCTAGGAGCAGGTCCATTGAAGGTCTGTATTTAATAGTTCAGTGGGTGTTAGAATTTGGTGCAATCCATTCCCAGCCATCTTCACAATGGCAAAAAAGGAGCCTGACTGGGAGTGGTTAGTAGTTGCTGTGAAACAATTTCCTGGTTTTATTCCAGTGTCTCTTTCAACAATTTACCGGCACCATTTTCAAGGAAATATTAGTTTGGACTGAAGTTATTTCAAAGATGGGCCTGTATGTACACATTCATTATCATGGGCAGCTAATGTTACCCCCTACCTCTGCCACCTTTAATGTTTTTCATTTTTGAACATTGAATAAGGCCTTATTGTCAGACAAAAAATCATAATACATGATCTGCTACAGTCTTTCTTTTCAGCAGAAGACAAACATTTTAGGGAAAACTGGAGGCAGAAAATATTCTGTCTGTGGAAGATGTTTCTGTGGCTACAGTTTTCAGCTCTTCTCTGCATAACAAATAATTGTTCAAGAAATGTTAGATCAAGTGCTGAAGGCAAGAGAACAGTTAAAAAGGATGCAGTCTTTGATTGGCATTTAGTGCAAACCATAGAAAACTCATGCTAGCCCCTTTCTTTGGAGGAATCAAATCATTTGCCACTCCTACCAAGTTAGGTTCCAGAGGCTTCCCTTATAGGTCTATGAAAACACAGCCTCTGATGCATCTTAGATAATTTTTCTTACTTGACCTTCCTGGAACCCTCATGATAACATCGACAACACTATCACAAACATTCTGATAAGGTTATTTCATGCCTTTGTTA